>NC_000008.11:96339222-96964222 GCF_000001405.40 Homo sapiens
TGACGCATTCTGCAAACTGTTGGAAGGCAATTTCTCTCCCCTGTAGCAGCTCCCTCTGCCCTCAGGAATGTGATTTACAATCTGATGAGGCCATAAACCTCTACTTTTCACGTCTGAAAAACAGCAAAGTATGGGAAAGAATGTAAATTATAAATACTGAATTCCTATGGTCAGCAATAATGGAATGGCCTGGGTGGGTTATTTTTTTTAATATGGTATGCATATGGCTTTAATTTCGAAGGGGTTGGGTCCTCCCCCACCACTGTATTTCTTGGGAGAACAGATAACAGCAAAATGTCCTGCTGTGATACGGTGTTTTTCCAAAATGAAAAAATAGCATCTTTCTGATGACTCACTGGCCAAATACTTTGAAAGGCCACTGTCCATGGAGGGGGATGGGATGGTAGGTGACAGTGACATTTCCATACTCACCACCCTGGTGATCTGGTGTCTGTCCACCCCAAAATAACCCCCAATGTTCTCACTTAGCAACCTCCCGCCACCCCACTTTAACTTTCTAGGAGGAGGTTTTCCTATGAGATTTTTGAAATTCTCTTCCCATCTCTCTTATCAGTTGAGGTTCTGCTCCCTAACTGGGAACAGACTTCTGATTGCCACCATGAGCAGGAAAGACAGCCACAAAGCCGAGAGGCTGTGCAGGTTTGAGTTTTCATTCCAGCGGTGGGTCAGCGCCTGGCTTAGATTTCACACGCTGGGCAGCAGCAGCCCTGCGCTTTGCTGAGGTGGGAAAGAGCCACCAATCACGGGGTGAATTCCTGCTGCTGTTCTCAGACCACAGAAGCCAATGTGTGGTATTGCTGTGCTGGTGTTCAGCACTTTTCCCCTTAAACCCTCGCTCGTCCCAGTTCAAAACGATGGGTGAAAGCTGAAAAAACACCCAGGGCCCAAAGTTCCCAAACTCCTGTTTTAACAGCCCACGCCTGCCGGAGCATCTATGACAAAGTGAACGGAGCTGTGTTTTTCTTGGTGTGGTCCGTTAAGTATGCTGACGGTGGAGGAGTGTGCATGAGAATAGGATGCCTGAAATCGCAAACATATCCACCCACAGAAACACATAATCTCACAAACACCTATTCACTCAACACTCACCCTTTGTGTCTTCCTGCCGCTTTCTCTGGACTACATTTGAGTCACAAAATCCCAGGCTCAGCTTGAGTGCAATCACAAATGTATCCACCTACAGAAACGCATAATCTCACAGATACCTATTCACTCACATACTCACCCTTTGTGTCTTCCCGTCGCTTTCTCTGGACTGCATTTGAGTCACAAAATGCCAGGCTCAGCTTGAGTGCAAGGCTAGCCAGACCACACACAGGGCATGAAGGAGAGGCCGTTATGGTTCTCGGTAACATCCACGTATGTTTCTATGCTTTGGCCACCCAGATCACCTCAGCTGCAGGTCCATTCATCAATATTACGTATCTGCCAAAGAGTTTTTGTTTATGTACATCTAAGAAATTTCAACAGAAAGGAGATAAGCCCAACACCATTATCCATTTAAAAAAAAAAAAGTACACATCTTGTTCTCACTTATAAGTACCCTTGTCCAGGCGTGGTGGCTCACGCCTGTAAACCCTGCACTTTGGGAAGCCGAGGCAGGTGGATCACTTGAGGTCAGGAGTTCAAGACCATCCTGGCCAACATGGTGAAACCCCATCTCTACTAAAAATACAAAACATTAGCCAGGCATGGTGGCAGGTGCCTGTAACCCCAGCTACTCGGGAGGCTGAGGCAGGAGAATTGCTTGAACCTGGGAGGCGGAGGTTGCAGTGAGCCAAGATCGCACCACTGCACTCCAGCCTGGGTGACAGAGTGACTCAGTCTCAAATAAATAAATAAATAAATACCCACTAAGCAATGGGTATACATGGACGTACAGAGTGAAATAATAGATGCTGGAGACGACAGAAGGTTGTCGGAGAGGGTTGAAAAATTGCCTGTTGTGCACGGTGTCACTTCGGGTGATGGGTGCACTAAAAGCCCAGGCTTCACCACTCCTTCATACATGCATGTATGAAGTCTGTACTTGTACCTCCTAAATACACAAATTTTTTAAAAATTAATAATAAAAAGCTGGCTTAAAAGCAACAGTGGCAGCCAGGCATGGTGGCTCATGCCTGTAATCCCAGCACTTTGGGAGGTCAAGGCAGGTGGATCACCTGAGGTCAGGATTTCGAGACCAGCCTGACCAATGTGGTAAAACCCCGTGTCCACTAAAAGTACAAAAAAAAAAAAATAGCTGGGTGTGGTGGCATGTGCCCGTAATCCCAGCTACTCGAGTGACTGAGACAGGAGAATTGCTTGAACCCAGGAGCAGAGATCACGCCACCGCACTTTAACCCGGGTGACACAGCGAGACTCCATCTCAAAAATAATAAATAAATAAATAAATAAATAAATAAATAAATAAATAAAAGCAACAGCGGCTTCCCTTTGGTCCAGATGGTGCCCTCTTGTGTAAATAGTGTTGTTAAATGAATGCCCATCAGCTGGAGGACACTCGATGACACACTGGAATGTGGAAAGAGCAGGGCAGATGAAAGAATCACCAAACACCTTCTGAATGAGCACTCACATCAGTCAACAGGAAGCCTCCACTGTACTGTGATCAGTTTTCGCTTTCAAGTGATTGACTATTATGTTAATAGATTATGAAATGGAAGTGATCAAAAAAAATGGAGGCATCAGCCTTGTATTTGAAGTAAGTTTTGTAAGTAAATCTTATAAAGGAAAATGACAGAATCAGAGTTCTGGAGTAACGGATGCTCCAAAATGTGATTGTTGGCCTGTAAATTATCTTGTATTGTCACGGGTTTTTCAGGCGACATTGCTGCGAGCAGCAGAATTGCCTTTTAGGTTTGGAACAATGGTGTAAACACAACTTCTGGCGCTCTGTTTCAGAGCTGGCCAGCTTCATGAAATCTCGCCCAAAATGGGTATGACAGAGTTGGCCCAAGGACAGAAACAAGGGTCTACATCTTGTGTGAGATCCACTGCGCCAACCTTTCTCATTTATACTGTTTTAGCCCTTGATTTTTAAATATTGCAAACGGTTGTATCATGTTGAAAAAAATTCTTTATTGTCCAGCTGCTCCGACTGGGAGAGGGAAAAGGAATATTGAGATTTTCCAAATAAATTGTTTAATATTTAACATGTTGACATCGCCTTTGTGCTGTTGAGTTGCTAATGTGACTGGCACGTGATGTTTTTACTCTCCTTGGCAAAATAATTTCTATCAAAGCTAATGCTTCCTTAGGCTGTGTGCCATGCACCTTACTTTGTGCTTTTCGTGGATTTTCTGATTTATTCCTCGCAAGATCTTCACTGATGTTGCCCCATTTTACAGGTGGAGAAACGAGAGGTTTGAAGAAGTTAAGTGACTCAGGTAATCTTCTAGAATGCAGATCTTGATCCTCTACCTGAGATGTGATAGTGTAAGAACTCTAGCTCACACACCAAATTTTTCTGGTTCAGACCCTGCCCCTACCACTAACAAACTGTTTAACTTTGGGCAACTTATTTCATCGCTGTGCCTCAGTTTCATCCTCTGAGAACCAGGAATGATAATACCTACCTCATAGGGTTGTTAAGAAGAAATCCCAAACGCATCTTTTACAAGCACATATAACAGTGTCCAGCCTGTCATGAGTGTTCAATAAATATGTGCTGTTATCACTGTTACACTGACTGCCTCTTTGGAGGCAGGGAAACATTAAGAAGCAATTGTGATAAACTAAGCAGGAGCTGGTGAGGACCTGAACTAGGGCAGCCTTTGGATGGAGAGGAAGAAACAAACCAGAGAGACCTTACAGAGAGAAGCAGTGGGGCTTGATGCCCAATGAGAGGGATTCAGGATAAAGCCCATACTCTGGCATCTCAAGGGAGCACCAGGATCCCACCCAGCTGTGTGTCCAGCATCAGCTCCTGCTGATCCCTACATCTCCACGCTTCTCCCTTATACTTAGCACTGTGGAACCACTGGGCCTCCGCACAGCCCACCAAGTGCACCACACTCCCAGGCTCCTGCCTGGAATGCCTGCCCCGGGCATTCTGCCTGGCAAGTTCCACTTGTCCCTCAAGTCTCAGTGCAAATACTCTACACTCTGTTTCTGTGAAACTCCCCTCATCCCCTATGCACTTGGAAGTGCTCTCCTGTCCTGTTATTCACCTCTTTCATACCGGTGCTGTTGCGGATCTCAACTACACTCCAGGCTCCTTGGGTGTTCATCCCCAGCACCTACACAGCAGGTGTTCAGTAAATGCTCTCAGAGTGAGATTGCAGGACAGAGGGCACAGACTAACCCTCCCTGGATGTGACACTTCCGGTGTGGGTTGTTCGGGTTCCCTCTGATTATGTAGAAATGTTGTAAGTGTCCTCTGGCCCATGCGCCCCTCAGCCTGCATGTGGTGGTTGGGTCCTGCCACCTCCACTTCTTTAGCTGGCACATTCAGCTGTGTCCGAGGGCCCACACCTGGTATTGCTTACTTTTTTCTTGTAAGACCTCCACCAACTGTAGAAATTGATAGCCCCTGCTTTGGCATGCTAATCAGAAAATACCTTCTTTCCAAGTTTCTTAAAACTTCCTTCTTTGGGGTAATGACTGAGGATCAATTTCTGATCATTAGTACTTGAGCTGGGACAGGTGCCAAGGCATCCACTCTCCTCCACCAGTACCTGCTTTGATCTTGCCAGATCCCAAAGAAGGCTGTGATTTTCTCCCTTGGATACCAGTTCATGGGTATAACTCAAACTTCAGGTTTTGTGGGGCTCTCCATTTGGGGTTCACAATTCTAGAGGTTCTTTAATAAAAATAATATCCAAAAGCTCTTATTCTTGAAATTTCACAAAAATGAATGCCATGTGGCTCCATTGCTAGACTAATTCCCAGGGTCTTGGAAGATGCACATGCAAAGGAAGGGAGGGGACTCAAGAGCATAGCTTCATTAACTTCACAGTGAATCCACCTCTAATATAACCAGGATAACTCGCTTTGCCTGCTTGGAGTTTAAGTAAGCCACATCTCATATTTTTCCAATTAACTGCTCAAATCCCGAGATGCCATTACCAGCCGGAAGTGCAGCATATCCCTGCTGAAGCCTTCCACCACACCCAAATTCTCTCTTTTTTTTTTTCAAGACAGAGTCTCACTCTGTCGCCCAGGCTAGAGTGCAATGGTGCGATCTCGGCTCACTGCAACCTCCGCCTTCCAGGTTCAAGCGATTCTCCTGCCTCAGCCTCCTGAGTAGCTGGGATTACAGGCATGCACCACCACGCCTGGCTAATTTTTGTATTTTTAGTAGAGATGGGGTGTCACCATGTTGATCAGGTTGGTCTCGAACTGCTGACCTCGTGATCCACCCGCCTCAGCCTCCCAAAGTGCTGGGATTACAGGCGCAAGCCACCACGCCCGGCCCAAATTCTCTTAACACTAGGGATTTATTCCACCCACTGGGGTTGGAGAACTGGGCGGTCCCACCAACCTGGGGGCACTATGAGGTAAGCACTCTGCTCCACAGGCTCAACCCAGGGCAGTGAACGGTTGTCCTCTCTGGCATGATACTGTTTTCCATTTCCACCCCACTGTGATAGTGTTTTAGCTTGGGTGGCTGGGTGGCACTATGCCTGGAAGTCACTCCCAAAGCACAAGACAGTGCCAGGGAGGTTGGAAGTTCAAGCCTCAAACACAGTCTACTCCAGACCCAGCCCTTGCCCCACGAGGAGCCCAATTTTCCAGCCAGGCACCCCCTTGACTCATGAGGAATCTTCCTTTGTGGCCTTGGCATCCACCCAGAATCAACCTAATCCATCCAGGAGATCCCCATAAGGGCTACCTCAAAAGGAAAGAGGTGGAACCGTTGGCCTCTGGAGATTTGTCACTTCCCCGGAACACTTGCTGATGGAGAGTATTGCAAGTGGGTGCTTCGCTGGGCCACAAAAGCAAAACAAAAAGTTCTGCTGCAGCAGGTCCCCGAGTTCCACTTTTATGGCTCCTTGCCCGTAAGGAGCTGGCTGGATCCACTTCAGTGCATCTGACAGTTCCATACCAGAGCTGCTTCCTTCCTGATGGAATCCACCGCCCCTCTGGTTTTCAGATGGGACTGCAATGTTTGTCGGGGGTTTTCCGGAGCTTTGCTGAGCCCCAGGGTCTAGGCTGCCAGGGGCTGCATCTGCTCTGCATCTAGGGAAGATGTTCTTCCTTCTGTGTCTTCTGAGGCTTAGTTACTGCTCTGATCAAAAAAGAGTCTAAAGAAAAGGCACTTCCATTGGCGGTTCTCCCCAAACTGAACTAATTATCTTTCATCCTCCTAACTCTATCCTGTCATGGTGAGTTTAGGTTGGGGAGCTATTAAATGATCATCCCTCCTGCATCCGCTTACTGCAAGCTTTCCAGACAGGCAATGATGGACCACTGAGAACATTTTATCCCTGAACAAAACACATTAGTGTTTTTTGAAAATGTGTTCTCTCAAGAAAGCCAGCCCCATGTGCAACAACCTCCATTTCCAAGCAAGTAACTGTGTTAATCTGACTTCTCCCTAGTGTTAACTGAGCCAAACGTGAATCACTCACTTGGCCACAGGGAGAGGTGGACTCGTCGTTCTGTAAGATTACAATCCCATAATCTGCCTCCTGATCTCTTCTGCTGATGGAAGCCAGAGTCTGGGCTCCATTAAAAGATGACTGGGGAAATAAAACAGAATAGCACATTTTCACCTTCTTTCCGATCCAAGGAGAGTTGCTCCCAGATGCTGTATCTGCAGTCCAGCTTCTGACTTGCAAACAGTTCAAGAAGGAGGCTGTGGCCTGGATGGCAGAACACCCTGTATGAGATAGCTGTCACATGCAAACACGTGCACATGCAGACAGGGGAGACAAGGAGCAACGAAGAAGTTTGAAGGAGGGGGCTCAGGGTCAAGCCTTGGTTGAATCCCTTACATTGCAAAGGTTAAGACACTGAGGCCCAGAGTAGTGCAATGACTTGGCCAGGGCCACAGAGCTGGTGATAGCAGAGCCAGGGTTCAGGCCACCTTCAGATTCCTCCTCCTAGCTTCTTGCCCTTATACACCATGTCCACCCAAGAGCCACTAAATATGAACCACACATTGCTTGTGCAGCCTTGGGGCTTCATACACTTAGGGAATGTGCCCTTTCTACCAAACTTCTTTTTCTCTTCCCTGACACCACATTTCTCATCTTCAGAAGCCTGCTCCACTCTCTGAAGCCTTCTGTCACTGACTAACAGTTCAGAACTTTAAAGGGCATGTATACACAAAAACAGAATGCACCCAGCCAAGGATGCTTATCAAGAGTGGCAAAAAAAACCCGCAAAAGGAGAGTATCAGGAGTGGCCAACCCTGGGGTGATTTGAGGTGTTTAGAAAAAGCAAACGACTATTATTTAAAAGGAAATGGGCACAGCTTACAAACTCCACATATAGAACAAGAGTAGGAGACAAAAGAATGGGTGTTCACTCCTTGGGAATAGAGTTCAATCTGACTGTTTCTCTCTCACTGCTGCAGTTCCTTCTGTGATTTCTCTTTTCTCTTTATCAGGGCTCATAAGCCATGCTCTGGCCCTCCCTCATGTCCCTGGTCCCTTTCTCCCCTCATCTCTGTCCCCGGCCATTCTGGACTGTTTCCATTGCTCGAATATTCATCAGGGTCTTTTTCGTCACACCCTTCCCCCTACCCCGCCACTAGGAAGCTCATCTTCACCCTTTCATTCTCAATCAGAACAGTTCTGTAGCAAGACATGCAGGCTAGCTCGTTACCCCCATGGCATCTACCTCCTTTTGTGAGTAAAGTGAAAATCTGAGGGAGCACGAGTCAGGAATCTGCCTTGACCATGAACCTGAGTTGTTTAGATTTCGTTTATATGTTCTCCATCAAGAGAATCCCATTCAAACTAGAAAAGGCGGTGCACACATGGATAGAAGAGAACTGAAGCCCACAGTGGCAGCTGACTGTGTCAGGTGCAGTAAATATCATGCTTCTGTTGCAGTAAATATCATGGTGCTGAAGTTCATAGTTGTGGTGGGTTAAACCCCGAGAAACAAGAATGTATTGTATCAGGAGAGAGAAGAGAAAAAATAGATTTTGAAAACTGCAGGTCAACAAGCGTGGTCTTAATCCACAGTAAAATTCTAGAGCAGATTATTAAAGGGTGGTCTGTGACCATCTTTATAGAAGCAAGCATTGATCACTGGGCATTAGCAGAGGTTCACTAAGAACAAGCCATGCAGAGCTAATGTTGTATTGCTTTTACACGTAGTTATCAGATTGGTAGATCAAGGGAATACTACAAATGAGCAAAGAGCAGAGTACAAATCCCACCTAAGCAAAAATAAAATAAAATAAAGGACCTACCTCAACTTTGAGAAACACAGTGTGCTACTGTAGTTTCTCTTGAAGATTCACAGGACACATTAGCACATTAAAGGTTCTGAGAAGTCCTGCACCAAAAAACCTATTTAATACCATCCCACTGATCAAGCATTCTACAGAACACACTCGGAAAAAAAAGAGGATGTTTTGGATGAATTCCAGCAGGTGTTTTGCAAAGCTTTTTATTACATAAACTGTGAGGAGGTAGAGAAATGAAATGTGGAGTTAAAAATAACTCACTGGAATCACAGCTGGGTAGACAACTGTACTGAAAGAGCATTAATTAATCGATGAATTGCCACCCTGTTGGAGGTGTCCAGTGGATGTCTCAAGGCTCTGCTCTTGGTCCTGGCATGTTCAACATTCTTATCAGTGACTTGTATCACAACATTGAAGACTTACTTTTAAAATGTTCAGATAGCCTAAAGCCAGAGAAGCAGCGAATATGCTGTTTAACAAATTGAAATACTCTCTCAAAACCAATAAATGAATCCAACAGGATCCCATTGAGACTTATTAGAAGCAATGGTGTAAGTAAGGGATGGATGAAATGTGACTTGAAACCAGCTCATATGAAAAAGACCCAGGTTGCAGCTACATCAAGATCAGCCCAAGCCAAATGTGTGACAGGTCTACTATGCTTCTTAAGTCAGCGAAGCCATCCTGGGCATGCAAATGGCGTGCAGGGCAAGCAAGCTAGGCAGGATGGTCTGGCCACACTGGGTATTGAATTCTGGTCTTATGGTGCATTTCAAGAGGGACATTGACAAACTGGAGCCTGTTCAGAGAATAACCAACATCAGGAGAGGTCTAGAGAACTTGTATGCTGAGAAGGAAAGTCTGTAGAAACCAGGGATATTTAGATGGTCTATAAGAGAAGATGAGGAGCATGGTGATGACAACTGGCTTTGAGAGGCAGTGTAGTGTAGTAGAAAAGAGGTGAGTTTGTGTTCAAATCTCTGCTCCAGTACTTCCAACTGTGTAACTTAGACAAGTTTCTTAATATCTCTAATGACTCTTAATGTCTCTAATGACTCTTCAGAGTCCTTAGATGAGAAACCATCATCCCTATTGAGTGGCACTATTGGAATGTGTTTGGAGCAGAGTAAGTGGTCAACACATGCTTGTCTTCCCTTTATCCATGTGAAGAATGGCAGTCACGGCAATGAGAAGGGTGACTATTTGCTATAGATTTGTGGGGAAAATTGGGACCAATAGGAGAATTCCCCAAAGGGAGACAGATTTGGTGATGAAAGGCAGGAACTTTATAATAACCAAAAACCTGGAAATCAAAAGAACTGGCTCACTGCCTTTAAGTTGACACTGGAACTTCCACAGATACTTGTAGAAGAGATCTCTGTTTGGGGTGAGAGGTGGGATTAGATGACCCCCCAGATCCCTTTCAACTCTAAAATCCTGTGATTCAAAGATACAGCCAGACTATTTATTGTTCTCTTCTGTATGTAGTTAACTCATATATTCACCCTCCCCATTCATGTATAGTACAGTGATACTTATATGTACTTACTTAAAGTTATTCCTTGGCCATTCCCCATGTATGGGTTTTTCTCTCTCCTCTATTAGTGTTCACATTACAGCCTCGTTCAGGAGCTTGTCCAAAGTGGGCACTTAATAAATGTTAATAGACTAATAAGAGAGGTCTGCGTAGAGTGATGACTGTGAGTCATTACTCATAATGACTCATACAGGCATATATTTGAACTCATACTGTATGACTCCTTTGGACTCATACAGGCATGTATTCAAATCTTGGCTCTACTTCTTGGGCAAGTTTCTGTCTGGGCCTCTATGTCCTCATCTATGAAATGGAGATAGTAATATTAGCTTTATCAGATGAAATGAAATAAGTTTGTTTTAAGTCCTTGGAAAAACAGTAAGTATACAGTAGATGGCAGATAGAATTATTTTTGTTGTTGCTACCAGAGTGAATGTAAATCTATTTAATACTTATACAGGGGTTTTCTGACTACACAGTAAGAGGCATAGGAACAAATGGGTTCTTCCTGCACCTACTTGTTTCAAAACATTTTCTCCTAAACAGTGTTCTTGTTTATACCCCAAAGCCTTCTTAAGTCTATTCTCCCATTCCTAGCAGCGTATATGATTGGCACAAAGAGGAACCAATTGGAAATGAGCAAAAATGGAGAGACTGAAGTGGGCATGACTTTAGCCTAGCCAGAAAATCTATGCCAAGGCCCAAGCTGGTCTGAGGCATCCTCATGGGGAGTACCTGGTGTGCAGTCTGCCCCTGCTGGCTACCGAGGGGGCCTCCAGCTGTGGCCACTGGAGAATTGGCCCTGCCATCACCCTCTTGTTGTGCTCTGCAGAACAGGGGAAGTGTCCAAATGAGCATTCCCTCGGGGGCCCTGTGAGCCCCTCCAGATAGGTCCTGACCTTGGTTAGGCCTAGCCCAGCATGGACCATGGCCTGAACTGCAAGATAGCCGACAAGAAAGTAAGGGAGAATAAAGCACAGATGCTTTGTAAAGTTTGTAATTATGGTAAAAAACACATAACATAAATTTTACTGTCTTAATCATTTTTATGTATACAGTTCAGTAGTGTTAAATATATTCATATTGTTGTACAACAGAGCTTCAGAACTCATTCATCATGTAAAACTTGTGAAACTAGGCTGGGTGTGGTGGCTAACACCTGTAATCCCAGCACTTTGGGAGGCTGAGGTGGGCGGATCACCTGAGGTCAGGAGTTCGAGACCAGCCTGACCAACATGGTGAAACCCCGTCTCTACTAAAAATATTTTTAAAAACTAGCCAGGGGTGGTGGTGGGCGCCTGTAATCCCAGCTACTCAGGAGGCTGAGGCAGGAGAATTGCTTGAACTCAGGATACGGAGGTTGCAGTGAGCTGACACGGTACCATTGCACTTCAGCCTTGGCGACAGAGTGAGACTCCATCTCAAAAAAAAAAAAAAAACTTGTGAAACTAAACTCTTACCCATTAAACAACTCCCCACTTGCCACCCCTCCTCGTTCCCAGCAACTGTCATTCTATTTTCTGTTTCTATGAATTTAACCACTTTAGATACCTCGTATGAGTAGAATCACACTTATCTTTTTTGTGTGACTAACTTATTTTTCTCATCGTAACATCCTCAAGGCTCATTATTATTAACCTCAGCGGCATTATTCACAACAGCCAAAAGGTGGAAGCAACCCAAGTGTCCATCAGTTAATGAATAGGTAAACAAATATAAACAAATTGTAGTACATCCATACAATGAAATATTGTTTGTCCATAAAAAGGAATAAGGTACTGACATGCCACAATGTGGATGAACCTTAAAAACACTATGCCACTTGAAAGAAGTCAGTCACAAAAGGCCACATGTTATATGATTACATTCATATGAAACTCCAGAAGAGGAAAACCTGTAGAGACAGTAAGTGGATTAGTGGTGGGCAGTACTAATGGGAGACTGAGGCAGGAAGATTGCTTGAGCTCAGAAGTTCACTACCAGCCTGGGCAACATAGCAAGACCCCGTCTCTACAAAAAAAAAAAAAAAAAACAACCAAAAAAATTAGCCCAGCATAGTGGCATGCACCTGAAGTCTCAGCCACTGAGGAGACTGAGGCAGGAGGATGGCTTGAGCCTAGGAGATTGAGGTTGCAGTGAGTCATGATTGTCCTCCTGCACTCCTGCCTGGGTGACAGAGCAAGACCCTATCTCAAAAAAAAAAAAAAAAAAAAAGTAGATTAGTGGTTGCCTAGGACTACAGGGAGGGGGCAGTGGAGGTGGAGTGATAGCTAAAAAGTACAAGAGTTCCTTTCTGAACTGATAAAAATGTTCTAAAATTGACTGTGGTAATGGTTACACATATCTGTGAATATAGTAAAAACCACTGAATTGTATACCTTATTTTTTAAACCACTGTATTGAAGTATGACTGATATACGAAAAGTTGTATGTATTTAATGGGGATAAGAATACACTCAAGAAACCATCACCACAATCAAAGCCATAAACTTATCCATCACCTCCAAAAGTTGCCTTCTGCCTCCTTTATGTATTTATTTATTTTAATTAAATTTTTTTCTTTTGTGGCAAGAGTACTTAACATAAGATCTACCTTCTGAGGAAATTTTTAATTATACAATACAGTATTGTAACTGTTGGCTCTATGTTGTACAGTAGATCTCCAGATTTATGCATCTTGCATATCAGAAACTTTGTACCCTTTGAACAATACCCCCCCAATCTTCCCCACCCAGCCCCTGATAACCACTATACTACTCTGATTCTATGAGTTTGACTATTATAGAGTTGTCATAAAAGTGGGGTTGTGCACCCTTTGTCTTTCTGTATCTGGCTCATTTCATTTAGCATAACTTCCTCCAGGTCTATGTTGTTGCAAATGAGAGAACTTCCCTCTTTTTTAAAGTCTGACTAATATCCTACTGTATGTATGTACCACATTTTTAATCCATTCATCCATTAATGGACACTTAGGTTGATTCCATATCTTGGCTATTGTGAGTAATGTTGCAGTGATTATGAGAGTACAGATATCTCTTCAGAATCCTGACTTCAACTCCTTTGGATGTATACTCAGAAGTGAGATTGCTGGATCATACAGTCATTCTATTGTTAACTTTTCAAGGAAATTCCATACTGTTTTCCATAGTGTTTGCACCAATTTACATTTCCACCAACAGTGTACAAAGCTTCCCTTTTCTTCACACCCTCACCTTTACACTCACAGACTGATATCTTTCGGAGTTTTTTGATAATAGCCATTCTAACAGATGTGAGGTGCTAGCTCATGACTTTGATTTGCATTTCCCTGATGATTAGTGATGTTGAACACCTTTTCATATACTTGTTGTTCATTTGTATGTCTTCTCTCGTGAAATATCTATTCAAGTCCTTTACCCATTTTTACATAGGGTTATTTGTTTTTGTTTTTGTTTTTGTTTTGCTATTGAGTTGTGTGAGTTCTTTATATATTTTGTATATTAACTTCTTATCAGATAAATGATTTGCCAATACTTCCTTCCATTCTGTAGTTTGCTTTTTCACTCTGTTGGTTGCTTCCTCTGTTATATAGAAGCTTTTTAGTGTGATATAATCCCATGTTTCTCTTTTTGTTTTTGTTACCTGTGTTTTTGTGTCATATCCAAGAAATCATCGCCAAGTCCAATGGCTGGAAGTTCTTTCCCTGTTTTCCTCTAAGAGTTTTATGGTTTCCGGTTTTACATTTAAGTCTTTAATCCACTGTGAGTTGATTTTTGCATGTGGTGTGGAATTGTGCACTTTACACGGGTAAATTGCACAGTACATGAATTATGTCTTGATAAAGCTGGTTTTTAAAGAAGACCCACACGTGGGAGCAGCACTGAGGGGACCTGGTGCTGATTTGGAGGAGGATTCGGCCTCTCATTTCTGTTTTCTCTGTGCTTCTGCTTCATCCTTCTTCCTGTCTGAGCCGGGCTTTCTCTACTGGCTCTCTCTCTGCCCAAGGAGAAAAGTGGCTTACTCTACATTCCAGCCAGCTGCAGTGGCCATTAAGTAGAATCTCTCACCTGATTTCCAATTTCCTGGACAGAGACGTGTTTACCCAGCGTGGTCAGTGCCAGGAAGCAGGGCTGCCTGGTTCTTGCAGCCAGCACCCCCCTTAGTAAAACTGTGCAGGGTTTTTACTGTGCAGAGGAGCAGTTCTGATCCTCAGAGGTAACAAAAGTCAATTTTCAATGTTTTCTAGACAGAACCACCATGCAGTGAGCACCTTCCATGTGCCCTGTACTGTGTCAACTCCTTTCACCTTTCTAACCCCATTTAATCTCTGCTCGACACTGTATGAAAGCATGTGCTGACTCAAAGAAAACATTCTCAATTGGGTTCAACTTGTGGCACATGCATAATGTCATATCAAGGCCACAGCTGGTAAAATCATCTACCCAAGGGTAGCAAGGGGCCTCCTGCAATGGGATTACCAGCCACAGAATCTGGTTACCAGAGGGTGGTGTATTTAGCTCACCAAAACACAGGGCTGGGGCTTACTCATGGTTAGTGAGCCACCGCAGCCAAAAGAGAGGTGTTTCTAAAATGTGCTTTAAAACCCAATCTACTGGGAAGAGAGTCTGTTGCAAAAACCTATGTGGTTTTCGAACATTAGTAATCTGTGTGTGCCTTATTTAGAAGTCCTCTTTGGCCTTTGGTTATCCAACATCACTCTTGAGAAAGAATGGGTGCTAGTTCCTGAGGCTGAAGATGGGGAGTGAGACACAAGGAAAATCCACATTTTTAACTTAATCAGTGTCTGTGGAGTAGGCAGAATCCAAATCCAAACCACGTTTTCCAAAAAGATTTTCCTTTTTAATTCTTAAATCCATGTGTATTATATGAGAAATCTAATCCGTATGTTTCTTACTCATTTACACTTAGCTCATCAAAGCGTTTTCTCTGAAGAACTATTTGATGTCCAAGGAGACTGTAGAGACTTTTTTCCTTTTAACAAGACTTTGTTCTTAGAAATAAAGAAGCTGCTGAAGTTGTATATGCAAAGGATAAATGAACTTGAACCCCAGAAAGGTTAAACTTTGTTTCAAGTAGGTTCTGTATTCTGAAGAAACAACTTTGGGAATGAGCTCTTTTTCAAGTTTTGTTTTTTGGTAGGGGAGGGGAAGGGGCCTCCACTTGGATGCTTGAATTTTTTATGCCAAAAGAATTCCCCCTTCAATGGATGGTAGGCACTATTAGGGAATCAAGTCCATCTCCTCAAGGCACTCTGAGACGGTCTTCAACTTTTAGTCAGCAGAGACCACACTTAATATTGATCTCTATCTGGTAATTCACGGCAAAATCTGCACAGAGGGAGATGCATCCTTCTGAGAGTCCAGCATGTGTGTTGGGAAGAACAGAGCCCACTGATGAGAGAAGTGCCATGAAACCATCGGCTGGGCCACCTCACCTGTCCTCTAAGCAAGACCACACCCAAGCCAGCTCAGATAAAGTGAGCTAATAATTAACTTCTTTCATCCCCCACACTCTGAGATTTCTTCCTGAATTTGTGAACATTTGTCTCTATCCTTCACTCATGTCACATTTCATTGCCTGTCTCCTAGTATAGCAGTGACCTGGGGCTATAGGGGATGGGAAGAGGTGCAAGATGCTGTTCTTGTCCCTGAGAGGTTCATCATTTATTTCACTGAGATACAAAAACCCAACTGAGAAGATCATCAGATGTGCTCTTGGTGAGTGTTCGGGACTTCCAAGAAGGGAAGGATGGCCAGGGAGTGACAAAATGGGAAAAGCTTCCCAGACCAGGTGGGCCCTGGAGTTGTGAATGACAGCCTGAGCATTGATGCAGCCATATCCAGGAGAAGACACTAGGCACCCAGGGCTGGCATGCATCGGACACTCCTTCAAATTGATGTGTTAAAAATCTTTGCTTGAATTTCACCTGCTAGAGAGACTGAGGCTGAGTGCAGAGGGCATGCAGGACTGAGGGGCCAGGGCGGACAGTCTCTATGGCCTCTGCAGTTCCCAAACACATCCACCCCACCCGCAAAACCAGAGCTGTACAGTCAGTTACCTGCTGGCTCAGTGCCCATCAGTTATTACTTCTCATGGCCCTCGGGAACTTTACAGTCCACCGAAAGTGCTGTTTTTGTTTTCTAGTAAATACATATTTTTTTGTCTTAGTCCATATCTAGTGAAATGAGGTCTTAGCTCCCCTTATGGTCTGTTATGGGATAACTGTCTGACTGAGATGACAGGAAATTTGTGCAAATATTTGGCTCAATGTGTAGAGAGAAGGAACAATGCTGAAGAAGAGAAAACATGGTCTAGGGACCCAGCAGTGGCTGTTTCTCCTACAAGCCAGCCTAGTCCTTGGTGTCTTACAAGCACATTCTTAATTATCTATAACAGCACCACAGAGCACATATGGTGAAGCCTATTTTATAGAGGAAGAAGGAGGTACATAGAGGCTAACTCATTTACCCAGAGGCAGCTAATAAGGAGTGAAGTTTGGATAGGAACTCATGTTTCAGGGCGGGCGCACTGGCTCACGCCTGTAACCACAGAGCTTTGGGAGGTGGAGGCAGGAGGATCACTTGAAGCCCAAGGAGTCTGAGACCAGCCTGGGTAATATAGCAAGACCTCATCGCTACAGAAAAAAAAATTAGCCGGGCATGGTGGCTCATGCCTAATAGTCCCAGCTACCTGGGGAGGCTGCGGTGGGAAGATGGCTTGAGCCCAGGAGTTCAAGGCTACAGTGAGCTGTGATCATACCACTCCACTCCAGCCTGGGTGACAGGGCGAGACCCTGTCTCTAAAAAAAGGAAAAGAAAAAAAGAAACCCATATTTCAGTCCGTGACAGACCGCATATACAATGGTGGTCCCATAAGATTATAATGGAGCTGCCCTATACAGATGTACCATTAAAACATTTTTATCCCATATTTTTACTGCACCTTTTCTATGTGTAGGTGTGCTTAGATACACAAACACTTACCATTGTGTTGTAGTTGTCTATAGCATTCAGTATGATAACATGCTGTACAGGCTTTTAGCGTAGGAGCCATAGGCTATTCCACATGGCCTGGGTGTGTAGTAGGCTATACCACCCAAGTTTGTATACATTCACTCTATGATGTTTCGCACAATGGCAAAATCGCCTAAAGACACATTTCTCAGAACATATCCCATCATTCAGCAGCTCATGACTGTGCAGGGCTAGGTCAATACAGGATAGCTCTTGCTGATCCTAGCCTGAGTTTGTCCACTAGGCTATGCTGCCTCTCACTCAGATGAAAGGGAAGAGCTCTTGGTGGAGACTTCTGGAGGACTGTAAAGGAACATTGGGCCTGACTGCAAAGAACTGAATGCTGACCTCATGCTTCCCAGTTTTCATGGGCTGTGATGAACAGGATGGAGTGGCGGTGGCAGACTAGAGTGAGGAAGAGCAATGAGGGGCCACTGAGAAACCTGCAGATCCAAGGGAGAGGCAGGGAAGCTGGAAGCAGGGGAAATGGGAGGCCATGAGCAAAGAGAGAAGAGGCTTTGGTGATTCTGCCTTATGTAAGGGTCGGGGTGGGGTTGGAGAAAACACTGGTGACAGTGAAACTAAGATGTCAAGGAAAGGCATGGGTTTACAGGGAAAAGGGCTGAGTCTGTTGTATTTGAAGTTCTGGAGAAACTTCAGCATCTAGCCTTCTGGTCTGTGCTGGAGAGTGGTTACTGCTGGACCAGAGGACTCCCCTCACGTTGAGTTACTGAAAGCCATGGTGGGAACCGCGGATGGATGAGACCACCGGGCAGAAAAGCCGAGCAGCTCCTGAACAGTGAACCTTTGGGATCACCACACTGTGTTTCTCACAATTCAGTATCGCTGCTTCTCAGTGGAGGCTCTGCTGCCTCCATGGGAGAGCACTGGAAAATAGAGGGGATGCTTTTGATTGTCCCAGTGGTTGAAGGATGGTATAGGCCTTCGATAGATATACAGTGACACAGGGAAACAAGATGTTCTGCAATGCACAGGGCAGCTCTGCAAAGTGAAAAATTTCTCTGGGGTCCTCTTGATTTGTAAATATCTCATTGGGCTTTCATTTAGGTGAAAAATCTATTTTGAAGTCTCTTAGCCCAGAACCTAATTACAGTTTCCATATATACCTATATATTTTACTTCATTTAAATTTACATGCATTTTTGTAAGAATGTAACCATATAAATAGAGAGAAAATTGTACTTTGTTTTGTTGGAATTTTACTGAGCTGTTTCATTTCAGGACATCATGTTTCTGCTGGCAACATCACTCCTAAAATTTGAGTTACTACTCTGCATTGATACCTATCCCATTAGTGGTGATTTTACATATTCATTGAAGCATCTGATTATTTTGTATTAAGTGGTCATGTCTAACAGTAAATTAAAATATATTTTTTCTCTATAGATTCCTTTCATTTATTCTATATACTTACAGTTAGGTTATTATATTGTTCTTTTTTAAAAATTATGTGTGCATATGAGTTATTTTATCTATACAGTTTATTTCAGGAGAGTGAAGAGAGTGTTACAAATTCATTGTGGTAAGGAGGGGTTGGAACTGATGAGGTTGAGAACCGCTAGTTCTAAACTAGCACTATCCAGTAGAAATATAATAGGAACCACAAATACATTTTACATTTTCTAATAGTCACCCTAAAAAAAAAAGGATGGAATATTACTCAGCCTTAAAAAGAAAGTAAATCCTATCACATGATATGACATGGCTGAAGCTTGCGGACATTATGGTAAGTGAAAGAAGTCAGTCACAAAAAGACAAATACTGTATGATTCCACTTATATGAGGTATCTAAAATATCTAAATTCCTAGAAACAAGAAGTGGAATGTTGGTTGCCAGAGCTGAAGAGAGAGGCATATGGGGAGTTTTTTAATGGGTATAGAGTTTCAGAGTTGCAGGATGAAGAAGTTCTGGAGATCTGTTTCACCACAATGTGAACATATTTAACACTACTGAACTGTACACTTAAAAGTGGTTAAGAGGGTAAATTTTATGTTAGTGTTTTTTACTATAATAAGAAAAGAAGAGCGGGCAATACTAATTTTCATAACATGTATTTATTTAACTCAATATATTCAAAATACTATCATTTCAATATGTAATCAATATAAAAATTATCAATGAGATATTTTATATTCTCTTTCTTGCACAAAGTCTGAATTCTATGTCCATTTTACACCTACAGCACATATCAACCAAGACTGGCTGCATTTCCAGTGCTCAAATGCCATACATGGCTAGTAGTTAACGGCAAATGCTAACTACACTTGTTGAGCAGACCTTCAGCACCAGGCACTGCTGTGGGTCCTTTACATAGAATTACTCTTCCCATCCTTGGCCCTATGAGATAGGCACCAGGAAATTGAAGCACAGAGACCTTGAATAGCACACTTAATGTCAAGAGAAATTGTGGCCAAGTGGAGAGCTGAGCCTAGGCATTCTGGCTCCAGAGCCCGTGCCTTAATCACTGTGCATAGGCACCCTTGTGGGGTTTTTCTCCTGGACTCCTGTTCTGGCCAAGTGGGAGTCCACCCAGCCTCTTTTCCCAGTGGGATACTAGGATTGTGCTTCCCTGGGCTTGCTCTTCCATGGGCTCACATATTCCATGGAAGCACACTCCTAGCATCTCCCTGGGAAACTGAACCCTGGCTGCACAGGCTTTAGGGAGTCAAAATCTGGCTGGCCCCCAGGGAGCCAGTTAGGCTTGTCTCTCCCTGCTTTCCTGCTAAGCATAGCAGACGCTGGCCAGCCCGTCTGCACGGAAGAAAGAAGCCTGGGTTTGCTTCACAACCGCCTTCAATGTTCTCTATTCTCTGCATTCCCATTAGGAGAGGTAGTGGGCCTGGTGAATCAAGACAAAACACACAGATGTGGCAGAAAGACGGTCCCAACATGCACATCTAATAACGACTTGCCACCAGGACCTTGCTGGTGAATCACTTGCATTTCCAATAACTTTTTCTCCTGAGTTTCCCTTAATAAAGACAGATTTCTTCATTTCCTGGGGCTCCCTCAAGATTATACTGACAACTTCTCCATTAATTATCAAATTATGCCCCATCACAAAATGATTACATCTGCTTCCTACCTAAACACTTCCCCTCATTTGTGAAAAGTCTCATTTAAACTAATATGCTTTTAACTTGCTCAATTTCAACACCTCCATAGAGGCTACTAATGAGCTGATTCCTTGCCCAGCTGGTCCCTTGGCCCTTCCTTGTGTTCTCCGTTCCAAGACCAATTTAGATCTTGCAGTATGGGAAAGGGGAGGACTCACTCTTTGAGTTGGATGCTTGGTGGGAGCCTTCTTGAATGACGTGTATACTTAAACACAGGACCTTGAGTCTGAGCCCCCCACAAAAGTGAGACTCCACTTGCTGCTTCCAGAAATGTGAAAATTGCTTTAGAGTGGGGCCACAGGAGCAAAAGAGCCTCCCAGTTTCAATGGGGTAGCTTAATGACTCAGGTAATTAGACCCAGATTCCCTTTACAGGGGCCTCTTAATTATTATTTAATAAAGAGATGATTCCAGGCTATGACCCGCAAGGCTGGCGGCATTATAACTATGAAGCTGAAGAAATACTTCCTCCCAGATGTTGTTCTCCTCTGGCAGGGAGACAAAGGTACTCTGAAAGGACCCCTCAGCCTTTCCTTATGGAGAATGTCATGTGCCAAGCAACTCCTCTTCCTGGCACTGTCTTCTCCAAGGTGTCAGATGGGTCACTTCACTGGAGTGCTGGGAATCAGGTCAGTCTGTTCCTCTGATTAACCCTGATCTCATTCTGCTGGCAGCAGGCAGTAGCCTGAGGCCCTGCTGCCTTCTGAAGGCTGTCCACTCATGCCAAGGCTGCTGGGAGCAGGAAGAGCTGACAAGCGCACACCGAGAGCCAGGCTGTGTTCTAAGTGCTCTCAATGCCCTGCCTCCTTAAATTTTCACACAGTATCATTATACTTCCCTCCCCATTTTACAGATCAGGAAACTGAGGCTCATTGGGGCTATGCACACTGTCCAAGGTCACACAACTAATAATTGGGAGAGCTGGGATTTGAACCCACACACTTCTAACTCCAGAGCCTAAGGGCTTAACTCCTGTGTCATATTGCTAGGGATTAGTTGACCAGGGAGAAAATTATTCAGCTATGTTTTCATGGCCAGAACTTAGGTGGGTTATCTAAGTACCTCCATTGTCATCAATATTAATGATGTATCATGCTCTGGCCCTTGTCCAGAGACATCTAGAGTCATTCATGGTGACCCCATCCCAGGCATATTCCTTAGACTAGAGGTCCATTATACCAACCAGACCAATAGGAGGCCCTCCCTGGGATTTTTCATATTGGAACTTAAAAAGATGGGTGCAACTGAGCATTTGTGAGGCCCAAGTTGCCACAGGTTATGATCCAGGTGCATGGAGAAGACAACATTGACAACACACAGAGGAAGCATTCCAGTGATATTTGAGTCCTTGATTCCAGTCCCTGAGGCACAACACTTGTGTTTCCTGTAATCCAGTTAAGTGAACCAACCAACTTCCCCTTTTCACTCAAGCTAGTCCTAGTTAGGTTTCTAACTCCATTGCAATCAAAACAGTTCTAACAATCTATGCTCTAGAATTTGATGTACTGGGGACAATGGTGGAGTCTCTACAGGGTTTTAATCTGTACTTCAGAAAGGCAGCTGAGACATGGGATAGAGGTATGAAGACCAGCAAGGAGGCTTTTGTAGTGTGGCCTGTGGCAATGGCCCACAGGAAAGACGATAGGGCCGGAACCAAGGCAGTTGGTTGTGGGCCAGTTATAATGGAGTCAAGAGATATTTTGTTGATAGAAGTTTTTAGACTTGGTGATTGATTAAAATTGGGGAGATGACATTGGAGGTTCTCAGGGTGATTCCCATGTGGAGGGTGATGCCATTAGCTGAACGGAAAACACAGGAGGCAGAGCAGATCTCGGGAGGTGCTGGAGGAGCAATAGGTAATAAGCTTGGCCGTGGGTAGCTGGCTGGTGTCCAGCTGAGAGTGGCTCCTTGAAGCCAGCATGCTGTGTTCTGGCTTCATGACGAAGGTGTGCTGTGGCAGTCACCTGCTAGTCACAGCCTCAGTCCTGACCCACTCATCCTAACCAGGGTCTCACACCCCTTTCCATCCTTCTCTAGCTCTCCCAGTCACCAAGCAGTCCTCTTATTTTTGTCCTTGCATTACCCAGCAGATTTGTCAGGACTGGTATTGTCTTCCTGGTAGAACTTGGGCACCTTTCCATGGGATTCTGCTCCTTCCTGCTGCCCAGTTGAATTGACCCACCTTGGATAACTTCCTCCCTGGAGTGGCGGGAAAGGATGGCTAGCACTGCTAAAAAAAAAAAAAAAAAAAAAAAAACCAAGGAGACCTGCTGTGGAAAACAGACTGCAGCCAATTTGGCTGCTCATTTGGCTTAGGTTCTTTTTGAAAGATATCTATGGCCTACCTTAGTTAAAGCAAGAGGAGGATTAGAGATCCCCTCTACTATGGCTGCCCATCCAAGGGGTATGTGTATGTTGCACTGAAAGCAAGACCCAGACCAAATTCTGCTATATATATAAACATGTACTAATAAGCAAGCACTATAATAACACATAAGTATTTTTCTAAGCTTGATGAGATCTTTGCTCTCTGTATGACACACATCTTGCATGATGAGAAAATATTCTAGTGGCAGAATTCATGTGGGCTACTAGTCAGATTCAAGCCAGACAGCGTAGAATCATCTGTTAAGTGTCTGTGGCATAAGACCAGATGGAGTCTTAGGCTTGGTGGGACATTATGAAGGGTGTAAGCTGTTGAGCTTGAAAACTTCTTACACTCAGTGCACACAAGCATGGAGGGCCCTTACCACATTCTTAGCCATCCATATATCTTGTGAACAACTCATTTCATTAATGAAAAACTATTTCTAAACCCATTATACAAATGAATAAACGCTCTGGTGCTGAAGGAAAATAAAGATTGCTGAAGCTCTTGCAGAAGCTACCTCTAGAGTGTGGACTTCCAATTAGAGCCTTTCAAAGCTAATGAAACACTCCGGAGTATGTATCCCTGATCAGAGTACTTCACATGTTAGCGAATCACTCCTAAGGTGTTGATTAAAATGAACACACATCTCTCAGTTGATGCTGAAGTATTTAAAAATAAATTACGTGCTGTATCATTCAAACCACGCACTTTCCTCGGAACTTTTGCATAAGCTGTTCTCTGCATACACTATCTTCATCCTCTTCTCATCCTCTTTGCCTGAAAAACTCCTATTCAGTCTTCAGGACTAAGTATAGGCTGTCATCTCCTCCAGGAAGCCTTCCCTGATCCTCACTCCAACAAGGCTAAGTTGAGTGTCTCTCCCATGTGCTCTTGTAACATCTTGTGCTACTTCTTAGTTTTGAGAGTGAGCAGTCTCTTCCTTTGACTTGACTGTAATTCCTAGTCCTTGTATCCCTAGTACCAAGCCAAAGAGGTACTCAATTTGTTTGTAAAATTGAATTAAATTCAAAAGAAACTGATGTTTTTTTCCTTTCTCCCTGCTTCCCACCAATGTATCAGAAGCGGGATCGCCCAACTGTGTGCTTGCCCAAAGATTATAATCGATGAGAGGGAATGGATGAGAATAATTTGGAAAGGGTCAAATATAGAAATATTTTTACTTGTTTGCACTTTATTTATTTATTTATTTTATTTTATTTTTTTGAGACAGGGTGCCCCTCTGTCACCCAGGCTGGAGTGCAGTGGCACAGTCTCAGCTCAATGCAACCCTCGCCTCCTGGGCTCAGGCAATCCTCCTGCCTCAGCCTCCCAAGTAGCTGGGACTACAGGCACACACCACCATGCCTGGCTAATTTTTGTAATTTTTTTTTTTTGTAGAGACAGGGTCTTGCCACGTCACCCAGGCTGGACTCATACTCCCAGGCTCAAATGATCCACCTGCCTTGGCCTCCCAAAGCTCTGGGGTTACAAGTGTGTGTCACCATGCCTGGCCTGTTTTCACTTTAAATGCTCCAAGTGTTCACTGAGTTTGCTCTTAGGGTAAGCTCTGGAGCTGGAGTTGTGACAAGGATCTTCTGCATCAGCTGATCTCTGATATTTATCCTGAAAAGAAAGCAGCCAGAAGCCTTATTCATCCGATGTTTCTCTAAGAGTCATGCATCGACCTTCTCTATGAGCTGAGTGAAGGTCGGTAAGGTGCTGTCAGCCAGACAGAAAGCCCATCGGGAGGCTGCTGACCTCATTTTGCCCACCACAGTCCAAATATCCAGACTCAAACTTGACATTTGCCAAGGTACAGCTAAACAAACGGTGGTAAAATGATGCTCACCTATTCGGCTCCACATCAAAGTGGCTAAACAGGGTTTTCAATGTTAGAATAGACTCTGCAGAAATATTGAGAGACAGGTCAGTTATTCAGAGATGCTGTTCCTTTGCAACTCTGAACTTGTAGATTTAAATATGACCAGGTCTGTATCTCATTGAGCATTTTATTTCACTTAACTAGGGAAGAAGGAAGAGAAGACAATGTGGAATTTATGCATTTAAAATATATAAAGTTTATGCTTTTGCATTGTGTTGAAAATACTGTGAGCAAAAAATATTGCTGTTTTCAGAGGTTTCAGGAAAGGAACTGGAAGAGCCTCATTCCTGTCTCTCTACTGCTCTTTTAGCCACAGCCCCAACGTCCTCTCCTATTGTCATCCCAACACTCTTAGTCCTACATGCTACCATAACACAGAGACACACGGCTCAGCATTCTGGGGCGTGAGCACAAGGCAGGAATGTTCTAAAACACAGGGTCAAAAAAACCACAATTCCAGGAAAAGGATTGGGCAGTGGCCACCAAGAACCCCTGAGCCTGCCTTCAGTTAGAGCTGGACAGGTATGGATGGCCTGGGACTTGCTATTCTTCCTTCTCAGTGAACAAGGGAGCTTCTGAAAAGCTCTCAGATAAAGGTTATTTAAATGAAGGTCACTCTTGAATAAAATCTGGTGGGTTTGTACACTTGGCTCTGGTACTTAGTAAAAATGGTCAAAAATAATAATAAACGGCCAGGTGTGGTGGTTCATGTCTGTAATCCCAGCACTTCGGGAGGCAAAGGCAGAAGGATCCCTTGAGGCCAAGAAGTTCCAGACCAGCCTGGGCAACATAGAAAGGACTTGTCTCCACAAAAAAATAAAAGAATTAACTGGACATGATGGCCTGTAGTTCCAGCTACTCAGGAGGCTGAGGTGGGAGGATCACTTGAGACCAGGAGTTCGAGGCTTCAGTGAGCTGTGATCGTGCCACTGCATGGCTCATTACTCCAGCCTGGATGACAGAGCGAGACCCCATCTCAAAAAAAAAAAAAGAATAGAAAAAGATCCTCAAGCCCTCATCTGAAATATCTGGAGGGCCAGATGTGTTCTAGAACTCAGAATTTTTCAGAGTTTAGAAAGGTAACAAAGTTGCTGACAGCTCAGTGGAGTCTGGGCCAGCCCCCCAGCAAATCATCACTTGAGCATTTCTGCAGCAATGTATGACAATTCATCCCAAGAAAGGCAACAAGACGATGATGAGCTTGCATTAATTCAGGCCAAGTCAGGTTTTGCCACCAAATGAATTATGAAAAAACTTTTGGTTTCCAGAGCTGTCTGAATTTCAGAACTTCTGGATGGGGGATCATGGACCTGTAATCACATTTTCCTGAGGGGCTATTGCCCAGCTTATCTTTTTTAAGAAGAAAGACTTTGACTTCCACTACCCCACTTAGGAAGCCACAAACCAGCACACAGGTTTGGGCTCAGAAGCCTGACATCCTGCAGGTGAAACAGTAGGAATCCCTCTCACGAGCATTTCCTTTTCAGAGATTTTCTGACTCTGTGTGTATGTTTTCAGTTTTTCTTTCTGCGTTCTGCTTAAGGCAGCATTGTCACCCCTGTGGATCCCCACGACTGTGAAACAAGACAGAATAATGGTTAAGGGCTAACACTTCGTGCTCAGAAGGAACTTGGTTGAAATCTTACCTCTGGCACTCTTTAGTTGTTTGTTAGATTCTGGGAAGTTGCTTAACCTCTCTGAACCTCAGCTTACTCAGCTATAAATCCTCTTGCAGGGCTGTCATAAGAATTAAATGAGACTACAAAATTGCTAACATTTATGGAATGCTTGTTCTGTACCAAGCACTGTATTAAGAGTTATACATGAAGGGTTATTTTATCAAACAAATACCATCCCTATTTTATAGATGAGGAAGCTGAGGCTCAGAAAGTTTACCCAACTGAAGCCATGTTGCTATTAAATGCAGAAGCTGGTATTCAACACGAGGTAGTCTAACTCCTGGTACCCTTAACTACTCTGCTGTAATGACTCATCAGATGGTAGATAAGATGTTTTGCACACTCTTTGGAACACAGTGAGCTTTCAATGTAAGGTAACTATGATGTCATGGTGATAATGATGGCAGTGATGGTGATGATAAAGAAGGATCAAGTTTTACAGCAAACAGAATCCGGAGGAAGACCATTGAGTGACCTGGTTGCCAATGAACATCCACGTAGTACTCCTGACTTGATGCCCTAGGGATTACCCCCCAACAGCTCTATCAACTTCTTTTTTTAAGTAGGGTCCCAAGTATAACTTGCGCCCAGATTTTTTAAATGTTACTGGTTGGGGCCAGGCGCAGTAGCTCATGCCAGTAACCCCAGCACTTTGGGAGGCCAAGGTGGGTAGATCACTTGAGGTCAGGAGTTTGAGACCAGCCTGGCCAACATGGTGAAACCCAATCTCTACTAAAAATACAAAAAATTATCAGGGCGTGGTGGTGGATGCCTGTAATCCCAGCTACTCAGGAGGCTGAGGCAGGAGAATCACTTGAACCCAGGAGGCAGAGGTTGAAGCAAGCCAAAATGGTGCCATTGCACTCCAGCCTGGTCAACAAGAGTGAAACTCTGTCTCAAAAATAAATAAATAAATAAAAATAAAAATAAATAAAATGTTACCAGTCAGTCTTCCATGCCCTGTAGCTCAGTGGTACAACAGTAACACTCCCAGTTCTTTGGGAAACAGACTCACAGAGCAAGATTTATGTGCAGAAAGTTTATGGGCAATTGTTCTAGGGATCAACAACAGTAGGGAACAAAGAAAATGGTGTAACTGCACCAGACCAATCTGGTTCAAGTTTTATGTAACAAAGTTGTGAGTTGTTTTTCAGTTGCCAGGAACCTCCAGATTGAAGGTCACATTACCTGAGCATGCCCAGATGAACCAAGGATTCAACCATGGGTGGAACCTAAGGTCTCAAACTGGGGAGCAGGGACTGAATGAAGACGCAGACCCTGAATGGCAAGATACAGAATCCAATCAGATGGAGCCCTGGTGTCACCTCATGGCAGGATCTAGTCAGATCATGCGTCCCTGGCAGCACTTCATCGGAAGACTCAATCAGATCATGGCTCATTACTGTACGCCTATAAAGCCTGACCCAGTCCCCAGCTCAGGAAGACAGATTGGAGCATTTCCTCCTGTCTCCTTGACAATTAGCTAGAAATAAAGCCTTTCTTTTCTCAAAATCCAGTGCATGGTATTGGCTTTTATGTGCATTGGGAAATGAGCCGATTGATTGTTTGGTAACAATAGGAATGGGCAGAGAGAAGAATTGCACTGTGGTATAGTCCCATCAAAGACTTCTGCTTATCCCACAGAGAATGCTGGGGCTAAGATGGTCTGTGGGAGGCAGAATTCTAAGGCAGCCCCAAGAATTCTCACCCTCTGGTATACACACGTCACATAATTCCCAAACCTGTGAATATGGTGGAGTATCACCGCCCACGGTTAGGTTACTAATCTGTTGACTTGTTAACCAAAAGGGAGATTATCCCAGTGGGACTTACCTAATCAGGCAACTTCATAAATGGGCCTGGGCCCTCCTAGAAAGTGAGACTCAAAGCATGAGAAGGGATATTGAAGAGCCACATGGCAAGAAGCAGCTGCTGGTCTCTGGAATGGTCTGTGGTGGACAGTGAGAAAATGGGGAATCCTGTCCTACAGCCACAAGGAACTGAATTCCACCAACAGCCTGATTAAGCACGAAAGAGGACCCCAAACCTCAGATGAGACGACAGCCCTGGCAGACACCTTGGTCTCAGACAGGTGGGACCTGAATAGAGGACCCAGTTATGCTGGGCCTGGGATTCTGACTATGAGATAATACATGAGTGTGGTTTGTGCTTTATTTTTTAAATTCAACTTTTAATTTTGAGATCACTGTAGAAGCACATGCAGTTGTAAGAAACAATACAGAGAAATCCAGTGTACCCTTTACCCATTTTCGACCAACGGCAACATCTTGAAAAACTATAGTGTGATATCAGACCAGGATATTGACAAGATACAGAACAATATCATCACCACAAATATCCCTGCTATTACCCTATTATAGCCACACCACCTTATCGACTGCATCTCCTCCTTCCAACACCCGTCTCAGCCCCTGGCAACCCCTCCTCCATTCTCCATGTCTATAATTTTGTCATTTCAAGAATGTTATATAAATGCTGTAATCAAGTATGTAACATTTTGGAATTGGCTTTTTTTTACTCTGCATAATTCCCTGAAGCTTCATCCAATTTGCTGTGCACATCAGAAGTTCGTTTCTTTTTATTGCTGATATTTTTTACCACATGGATGTACCATAGTGTGTTTAGCTATCACCTGTTGAAGGACATCTGGGTTGTTTACAGTTTTTGGGCTACTACCAGAAAAACAGCCATGAACACTTGTGTGATAAACACCTAGGAGTATTTATCCAGAGAAATGGAAACATGTTTACACAAAAATATAGGAGAGATACAGAAGAGATACAGTTATAGGAGAGATACAGTTTATCCACATTGACACTGGCATTTGGTGTTGTCACTATTTCTTATTTTAGCCATTCTGTTGCATAGTGATATTTCATTGTGATTTTAATTCACATTTCCTAATGACTAATGATGTTGAACATATTTTCAAATGCGTATTTGCCATCCATATATCCTCTTCAGTAAAGTGTTTCTTCATGTCGTTTTCACATTTTCTGATTGTATTGCTTTTGTTTTATTTTTTAGTGTTAGGTTTTGAGAGATTTTTATGTATCTAGCTACTAGCCCTTTGTCAGATATGTGGTTTGTAAATATTTTCTTGCTCTCTGAAGCTTGTCTTTTCACTCTCATAATGGGCCATTTTACACAGCAAGAGTTTTAAATTTTGATGAAATCTAACCATTAATATTTTCTTTTATGGGTCAGACTTTTGATGGCAAATCTAAGAACTTTTTGCCTAGCCCTAGATACCTATGATTTTCTCCTGTGTTTTGTTTTCTAAAAGTTTTATAGTGTAAAACTTTTAAGCCTGTGATCTATTTTTGAGTTAATTCTTTAAATATATGAGATTTAAGTTGAGCTTCATTGAAAAGGCTATCCTTCCTCCACTGAATTGCTTTTGTACCTTTTGGTTGGGCATATTTTTGTGAGTCTGTTTCTAGGTTCTCTATTTGTTTCATTGATCTATGTGTCTATCACTCTGTAAATACGACAGCTCTATAATAAATCTTGAAATCAGGTAGATTGATTCCTCCCACTTTATTATTCTTTTACAAAGTTATTTTAGCTATTCTGGTTCCTTTGCATTTTCATATAAATTTTAGAATAATCGTGTCTATATCTACAAAAATCTTGCTGGGATTCTGATAGGAATTGCATTAAACTTCTATGTAAATTGGCAAATAATTGACTTCTTTATTATATTGAATCTTCTAATCCACAAACACACTATGTTTTTCCATTTATTTAGATCTTCTTTGGTTTATTTCATCAATGTTTTGTAGTTTTCTGCCACAAAACATGTACAATTGAAGTCCTGTACATGTTTTGTTAGATTTATACTTGGGTTTTTTTAGCAACTGTAAATGGCATTTATTTTTTATTTTGGTGTCTGTTATGGACACCATATACTACCTTCCCAGCTGGTAGTATTCCAGCATAGCTAGACTTCTCAGGAAAGACTGATGGGGTGAGAGAGAATTAGGAGATCCCTCTTGTGGTGGTCTAAGGTCCATTTTCTAAGATTCCAAATTCCTGTATCAAGTACTATAACTTCCATCTGTTATGGATGCCAAAATAAAATTGACTTTTGTATGTTTGTATTACATCTTGCAACCTTGAGGAACTCACTTATGAGTTCTAGGAGGTTGTTGTTTTGCAGATTTCATGGAATTTTCTACCTAAACAATCATTTCATCTGCAGATAGGGACAGTTTTATTTTTTCCTTTCTCATCTGCATGCTTTTTTTTCTTCTTGTACCTTTTGAAATTGGCCAGAACTACCTGTACTATGTTGAATAAGAGTGGTGAGAGCAGACATTGTTGCCTTGTTCTTGATCTTATGGAGAAAGCATTCAGTCCTTCACCACTAAAAACAATATTAGCTAGAGCCTTTTGGTAGACACTCTTTATCAAGTTGAGGAAGTTTCCCTCTAATCCATTTTTTCTAAGAGTTTTTATCATGAATACATGTTAGATTTTTTAAAATGCTTTTTCTGTATCAGTTGACAAGACCACATGATTTTTCTCCTTTAGCCATTAATATGGAAGATTACATTGAATAATTTTCATATATTGAATCAGACCTTGCATTTCTGGAACAAACCTTCCTTGGGAGAGTGGAGAGGACCATTAGGGAGTGCTTTGCTGGGTTTTTAGCCACCTGGTACAGGATGGTGAGAAGTTCAACCAGGAAAGGTAGGAAAAAATTTTCACGGTGAGGTTAACAAGTACAAGAGCACTGACACATGAAACTGGCTTTCTTTTTCAATGCAAATATTTCAGGATGGCAGGAATGTTGAGCCCAAGAAGGAGAATGGCAGGATATAAGGCTAAGATATAGGAAAGGCAGAGCTCCAAGAGCTTGTATGCCATGCTCTGGACCTTGGCCTTTCACCTCAAGGTGGTGGCAACCACTGTGAGGCTGGATGCAGAGAATAATCCAGTAAAGATTGCCTTTTAGAAACCCAGTGCAAAGGGTAGACTGGAGAACAAATCCTGGAGAGGGGGACCCAACAGGGATACTATAGGAAGAGTTCAGGAAAGAAAAGATAGAGTCTTAAATTACTGAACTTGTTATCTTCCTTCTTCAAATGCTTCTCTTCTGAGCTACTGACTTTCCTCATTCACCCTTCTACCACTCCTACTGAAGGTCATCTTAGACTCTTCTTTTTCATTTCTTCTACATCCAATCAGTAGAGACTATGTCTTCATTCTCCCTGCCCCTTGGCTCTACTTGCTGCCATCAACTCAGAGAGCCTAAAGTATTCATACTCTCCTCACTAGCCTTTACTTCTTACTTCTGTGTTTCTTCCACCTCCAACCCATTCTCCATCTTTGCTCTTGCTTTCATCTTTGAAATTCCCTGTTTCGTTTGTTTGTTTGTTTGTTTTGTTTTTTGGAGACAGTCTCGCTCCATCGCCCAGGCTGGAGTGCAGTGACATGATCTCGGCTCACTGCAACTTCCATCTCCCAGGTACAAGTGATTCCCATGTCTCAGCCACCCAAGTAGCTGGGATTACAGGCACATGCTACCAAGCTTGGCTACTTTTTTGTTGTTGTTGTTGTATTTTTAGTACAGACAGAGTTTAGCTATGTTGCCCAGGCTGGTCTCAAACTCCTGAGCCCAGACAATCTGCCCGCCTGGGTCTCCCAAAGTGCTAGGATTACAGGTGTGAGCCACTGCACCCAGCCGAAATTCCCTGTTTTAACCAAATCACTTCCATTTCTCTACAAAAGCTTCAGGAAGGGTCTGCTTGATCTGATACCAGTGAAACAGACTCCTGGCTGCTTGGGGGCAGGGACTGAGGTCTTAAAAGAATTGCTTTGAGAGGTCTTGGGAGAGATCTTGTGTGAATTGTCATGGGGTGCCCAGTGGAGAGGCAGCCATCTGCAGAGCTTTGTGCCTGAAGAAATACCTCCCCTTTAAACCCTGTTCATTTCTCCTGTGTCCATTCCCTCAAGTGGACTAGCCCAGGATGGGCACACAGAAGCACTCATATGTACTTGCTGAATTGAACTAATTTGAATATTATTGTTTCAGCCAGCTTATCGCTTTATAATTTGTTTATAATCTAATCTGAATTTCTGGGACTTTTCTTCTTACTGAAAAGTCTGCTCCTACGTACTTCAGTGTTAGAAGAGCCTTCCCTCTTCATACTTTGCTATGCTCAGCCTTGCACTTATGGGAGGCAGGAGTTCTGGGTGTTCCTTGGCCACTCAGATCCCCTGGATACTGGGTCTGTGCACCAAGATGATCCCACCAGGCTCTCAGGGCACTTCTTAGTCTGGATTGTGACAGCCTTGGGGTCATGAATTAAACTGCCTTTGTTATTTTTTTGGTGGGGGATGGGGAGGGGCAGGCATAACACTCCCATCTGCCCATCCAGGGACAGAACAATATTTATTTAGTAAATGATTGTTAATATTTGGTTAGATGTGAAATCCTGAGGAAGTAATTTCAAGAACACAAACCAACACCCAGCCCTCAGGTTCCCTGAATCTAGTCGGTCACCACCCCCAGCCCTCACAACGTATCAGAATGCCAAAGACTGAATTCCTTACCTTCCTTCATTCTCTTCCTCTCAGATCTGCTCCCTAAGCCCTCTTTAAGCCCCTTTATGTCACTACACAGCCTGGGCATCCACTCCAAGTACTATCTCTACCCGACTCCTCCCTCTTCTTTCTTCCAGTCCTAGGTTGTTTGTTCACACCTGTCATATCTCCATTTATAACAGCTATTAGGGAATTCCTCTCCAACCCCAGCCCTGTCTGCCTTTGAGGACTATCTGCTCATCTCTCCACCATGACCTCTGGCCTTGGGTCCTCCTGCTTCATGTGTCGGAACAATGGTGGTGGTATCAACAGTAAGAACTGCTTTGAAGAGAGTCTTCAAGGTGGCTTTGGAGTGTTGTGAGGATGTGCTGGACGCTTGGTCAAAGGAGAAGAGAACTTCAAAATGGAGACTGCTAGGAATCACCTGTGGACGGGAATAGAAAAACACAATAGCAGATCACAGATTGCTCTTTGCCAAGGTTTTAGCTTCCATGACCCACTATAAAGAAATCAAACCCTATAAAAAAATCAAACTCCAAGGTTGGCAGTGGAAGAAAAGAGCCTTTATGTGAATAAGGTACCTGGATCTCAGGACCCGACTCTTGGGGGAGTAGCTACCTCTTTAATCTTCCTGCCCAAGCCCTGCCCATAATTCTTCTCTCTGTGCCCAGTCCATCCAGTGAAATCAAGTTGGAGAACAGATACCACTTAACTAGAACACTGGGCTCCCCTGCTGTGTCACCCCAGCATTTCTGTCCACGTTTTGCCACTCAAAGCCCTTACCACCAAGATTAAAAACAGCTGTAATTGGTTTGTCATCCTCAGATTGTATCCGTGTCATTCATCCTCATATTCTAGATCATAGCTCAGTGACTGCCACAGGATAGATGCCCAATAATTGTTTGTTGAATGAATGAATAGATCAACTTTGCTTAAGACTCCAGGATATCAGCAAAGAAAGCAGACCCAAAGAGCTACTTGTAAGTAATCTGGCTTCCAAAATGTAAAGTACTCATCTTGAGCTTGGGTTCCTCTCCAGGGCCTCCCTACCTACCTCCCGGCATATCTCCACATCAATCCCTTTCCAGCTGGTAGTATTCCAGCATAGCTAGACTTCTCAAGACAGATTGATGGGGTGAGAGAAAATTAAGAGATCCTTCTCATGGTGGTCTAAGGTCCATTCTCCAAGATTCCAAATTCCTGTATCAAATACTATAACTTCCTTGGGTGATAAATTCTGGGAATGTCTACCTCATTGTGGGCTTACTCTAGGTCAGAAAGGAAAACAGCTTTCATTTCCTTTGCCAACTTTCATCAGTTTCTCCCTGAAATATTCTATTGAGAATTAGCCAGAAAGAGTAGGTGATCAATTAACACAGTCTGCTATGGATATGGGAGGGAGAAAAGATAGCATTTATGGAGTGTATTGCCTGTGGTCTCAGCAGAACAATCTGTCTTTATACAACAAAAGCGGTCAATATCCACACTTAGAGAGATTATTTCATACTTATCATTTAAGGTTTCAGATGTCTTTTGACAGTCTCCATGCCTTCTACTCTGCTACAGAGACTTGAAGAGGGGGAAATTTTAATAATTTGTATCAGCTTCTGAGGTGATTTCTTTTTTTCTAAATACAACTGAAGCTGAAGGAAACAATTACAACAGGATGGTATTACTTAAGCCCAATTCAACCATTATTATTTTTTTAATTTTATAATTTTATTATGAGCCTTCAATGGAATGCTGTGCTCTTTGTTAAGCATCATCCCCAAGCTTGGCAATGGTGCATGGATAAACCAGGAATAGCCCGGAAGCTCCCTCTCTGCCCTGTGCCACCTGGGTCTAAGACACATCTTCCAATAGGCCCCCAACGGGGTCAGGCTCAGCATCTCCACCAGGACTCTTTCTATTAGAGCTCTTGGTGGGAAACCAAGAAGGGGCAGCTGACCACCAGGTTACTTCCTTTCCAAGAAATTCCTGAGACCACCACTAGGGCAGTGGCTGATGCCAGCTGGGGAAGGCCTGAGTGAGTTTCAGCTGGTTCTGTGTTTGAACCAACATAGGAGTGCTCAGCACCAGGAGACAGAGGGCAATCTGACCCACTTTTCCTCACCAGTGCTGACCCTGGCTGCAGATTGGGAGGGGAAACACCAAATGCCACAAGGAGCTGAAACAAAAGGTGGGGGGATGGCAGGGCAGAGTGGAGGGAGAGAATTATTGACAGGAATAAGATGGGAAAGGTGGCGGAGACAGCATTTGGGTGTTGAAATTACCCTGTGAATTTTTTCTGGTACTTTCCCATAACTCTGAGACTGAACGTGTGCATGTGACATGTCTAAAACTGTGACTTGTTTAAAGCAATTGTTTGAAAACTGTCAGAACCAGGAGCTGATAGAGATAGGCTTCTAACTTAAATATCTAAAGGGAGGATTTCTTCCTAACTTCAAGAATGTGACCAGCTCATCAAAAGCAAGCAAGCAAGCATCAATGCATCACTTTGCTCAGTGTGTCTCAGTTCAGCTTCCTACGCTATCTTCAACTGTTTCTCAGATTTAAGAGTACTTGGTCTTTCTCAGGAGACAGCATATCTTATTTGCAGGTAAAGGACAACACCCCATTTGATAGTAAAAGATTGAATATCTAGAAAGTGTTTGTTTTCCTACTGTTTAAAAATTGTTTTTCCAGAAGATAAACAGATACAAATATCCATGGATGATTTGAGAAGTGCATAGGTGATAAATGGGGAAGAGAAAACCCATTCTGCCTCCTCAGTCATCCACTGATGTCTGAGAAAGAATGATATTACCTTTTTTCCCTCTCTCTTGACCTTCCTGTGCAATAAATACTGATGACAATAGCAGCATATAATATTTACGGTGGCCATGTAATTTACTCTCCAGACTGGGACTCTTTGGAGAGTGAAAGGGAGTGCTAATAATCATTACTCCAGGACAGTAGACTTAAATGCAGGATGGTAGACTTAAATGGAAACATATGGTCATCCTAATAATGGTGGAAATTTACCATGGATTCTGGAGTCATGCCCAGATTTCAATCCCAGCTTCCCACATACTTACCCACCATGTAATTACAGACATGTTACTTCACCTCCAAGACCTCCATTTCATTCACTATAAAGATGTGTGGTCTGTCCTTCAAGTTTATAATATCTTGCAATACTGTTATGAGGATTAAATGAGATAGTTATGTAAAATCACCTAGCATAGCGCAAGGCTGGCATTCCAAATATATTCATATTCTTTGCTTTATAGCAATATGCCAGGATTAGTGAATCAGTTTGTTTATCCATTTCTTCAAGTACCCAAGAGTGAATTGGACAAGCATTTATTAAGACCAGTGGTTCTCAGTGGAAGCAGTACGAGTCCATGGGGATGCTTTGGAAAATTGTGGTGGTGTATGTGGTTGTCACAGTGACTTGTGTATGTGGGGAGGGTACTACTGGCATTTAGCAAGAGGGTGCTGGGGTCGCTAGACATCCTGCAATATCCAGAAAAGTTTTGCACAACGAAGGATTCTTCCTCATCCCTCAGGGCCTACTAGTGCCCCATTTGATGTTCCTGGAGGCCAAAAAAAAAAAAATCTTTATAATTATGTGAGCCTAGAACCCAATTTGATTTTACATATAAATACAAAGCATTTGTTGCAGAGTTCTAATATGCACCAGATTTTCCCATAATGTGTCAGCTGTATAAATTAAAGAAAGACTGTGCTTTGTTCAGAATTTTACTAAGCGTTGTTCACTATTTCAGGAACTCTCATTACTAGTAAAAAAAAAAAAAAAAAGAAATACCACTGTTGGATAGTAATAGTAAAATAGGGAAGGATATGTTAGTCATTAATACAACACGCCACTCTTAAACTGCACTTAAGGCCTTCACATTCACATCATTCTCTTATGAGTGAAAGCATTTGACTCATGTCTTCTAGTGTGACTATCCTAAGGGTATACATAATGAAAATCATATTATTTTATTGTAAATTATTTTCTCTTTTATAACAAGGCATTATATTTGTGGCAGAAACTGCTAGATGCCCACCAAAATCCATGTTCCACTCTCTCTCCTGGTTCCTCAACTAGACTCTATTTCCCATCTACCCTTGCAGGCAGGTGTGGTCATGTGCTTGAGTCCTAGCCAATGGCCCCTGAGCAGAAGTGGCACATGCCACTTCCAGGCCTGGCCCATGGAAACCTCCCAGGTACATGCCTCCATGTCTGTTTCAACTCCCTGCCCATTATTTATCTGCTCAGTCCTATCATGAGAGCTAGAAATAAACGTTTATTGCATTTAAGCTATTAAACATATTAGGGTGCATTTGTTTTAGCAATAAGGGGAACCCAACTAATACAATATGGGCTTTTAAAAAAACTTATTTGTGAATTTCATTTTAAGATAGTAAAAAGGACATTATAAATTATTAGCTATAAAAGGGGTGTTAGGTCTGATAGTGTTGAGAACTGCTGGCCTAGACTATGGAAGGTGCTGTAAGGACTAGACAGAAAAAAAATGTGTGGTCTGTCCTTCAAGTTTATAATATCACATGCACAACTACACAGGCGCACACACATGCAGAGTTCATTAGTTCAAGGCTGTGTATGATAAGAAACAAGTGAGTTGTGTAGACTGGATGGACTCCGAACTTTTCATTTTGCAACCCCATTAGTTAAAAGCATGTTGTGCAAGCACTTTCAATATATATTTCATAGAATTCAAGACACTATCAGTTGTGCATTACATCATCACATTATACAGCATGAAGAAAGAAAAATATCCCTGCCAATCAAATTGTGACATAGGCTTTCGTAGGTATTGATTGTAAAATGTATTCCAATATGAGAGATGTTAAAATGTGAAACAATGTGTGTCTCAGAACTGATAAAAAAAAGATCATATGTTTCTAAATGAATATATTATGTCCTCTTAAAAGCATACGCAAAAATGGGAGTTTGAAAAGGTTGAAATTTTATAAGCAAAAGTTCAATACCTTCCTGTTGCACCCCAAAGGATCAGTGCAGACACCCCACCCTGGAGGCCACAGGCATAGATGGAGGTCCTGTGTGGGCCCAGAAAAGTGAGGGGGCTCTTAGCTGAGTCTGTGTGGCTCTGGGGAAGTGGACGGGCATTCCAGAAGAATCCAGTATTCCAGAATTATCCAGCTTCTGGAATACCAGAAGAATCCACCTCCAGCTTTCACACTATATTTCTTTAGTGCCTTCCTCTCAGCAACCTGTCCTCTCACAAGAAAAATATGTTGGTTACCTCTGTTGGGGGTAATTGCATTTTAATTGGAGTCTTCAGTCCTTTAACTGAAAGGGATTAATCTTCAAAGGAGAAATTGTGACCGTCAGTAGGGGAGCTATCTTGAGCCAGGTACTCGTGACTTCTGTTAGAGCCACCGCACGTCTGACTTGTAAGATCAGCCTTAAGTGGCACCTACCCAAATCTTGTGTTGCTCTTTGTCTATGCTGACGTTAAATACAGTGCCCAGCTGTCATCGGCTTACCCAGTTCAAGTTAGCTCCATTTACATGCCGCTATTTCCCTAAGTTGTTTATCTTTCTCCCAGAGAGTAGCTTCCTCGCCTGGCTACCCTACTTCTGTCATTCGCCCTAACACTGAGGCTGAGAACCACAGTCACTTCTGGCCCCTTGGCTTCACTGTCCCCCAACATCACTCAGATGCTTTCCCTGTTTCTGTGTTTGGGCACTTCTTCTGAAATGCTTGTCCACTTCCCTAGAGCCACACAGACTCAGCTAAGAGCCCCTCACTCTTCTGGGCCCACACAGGACCTCTGTCTATGCCAGTGGCCTCCAGAGTGGGGTGTCTGTAGTGATCCTTTCGGGTGCAACAGGAAGGTATTAAACTTTTGCTTATAAAACTTCAACCTTTTAAAACTCCCATTTTTGTGTATGCTTTTAAGAGGACATAATATATTCATTTAGAAGCATATGATCATTTTTTATCAGTTCTGAGACACACATTGTTTCACATTTTAACATCTCTCATATTGAGATGCATTTTACAATCAATACCTACAGAAAGGCTATGTCACAATTTGGCAGGGATATTTTTCTTACTTCATGCTGTATAACGTAATGATGTAATGCACAATTGATAGTGTCTTGAGTTCTATGAAATATATATTGAAAGTGCTTGCACAACATGTTTTTAACTAACAGGGTTGCAAAATGAAAAGTTTGGAGTCCATCCAGTCTACACAACTCACTTGTTTCTTACCACACACAGCCTTGAATTAATGAACTCTGCGTGCATGTGCCTGTGTAGTTGTGCATGTGATTTTATAGACTAGAAGGATAGACCATGCATTATTCTTTTGTCTAGTCCTTACAGCACCTTCTGTAGTGCTGTAAGGACTGTAAGCACCTTCCATAGCACCTTCCATCTGGGAACCCCAAGAGGAGAAAAGACTGGGCAAACAGGAGAGGTAGGCAGGCACTGGGATTGCTAAAGTGGCTTTTAGGTTCAAAACCTGCATAAAGAGTCTTGAATTGAATTATCCACTGAATTCTCTCCCTCCTCTCTCTTTCCATCTCTCTATTTCCTTCTCTCTCACACACACACACACTCTCTCTCCTTCTCTCTCTCTCTCTAAAAATATCTATATACATACACACACATATGTGAGTGTAGGTGTATGTTTTCTCACAAGGTGATTTTTAGCAAGAGAAAAATTGTAAAAAACTCAGAAATAACCATTTTTAGTATTCCTAAGATTAAAAGTAAGGAAAGAAATCTAAGGGGAAAAGACCAAGAGATCTGAATAGATAATTTTAAAAATCTGTAAAAAAGGGAAAACATCACCAAAATTTAGATTAAAAGGCAAACTGAAAAAAAGTTTGCAGCGAATGCAAAAAAGAGCTTCTATCTTTTCTTTATAAAGAGCTGAAGTAACTCAATAACAAAAATGCAAAGAACTCTAAACGCAAACATGCAAGGATATTTACAGACAATTCATAAAAGAGGCACCATAACTAGTCAATGATCATAAAGCCCATGGGGAAAGGGGCCATGTGTATGTGTCCACCATTAGAGACCTAATACCTGGGTCAGTGCCTGGTTCACCTGTTAAGTAAATACAGTCATGCGCCACCTAACAATGGAAATGCTTTCCTTGGGCAATTTTGTCTTTGTGTGAATATCATAGAGTGTGCATATACAAACCTAGATGGTATTGCCTACTCCACTCCTAGGCTCTATGGTATGGTTTTATCACTCTTAGGCCACAAACTGTACAGCATGTTACTCTACTGAATACTGTAGGCAATTATGACACAATGGTAAGTATTTGTGTATCTGAACATATTCAAACAGAAAACAGTAAAAATACAATATAAAATGTTAAGAATGGCACACCCTGTCCTGTTTAGGTCACTTACCATAAATGGAGCTTGCAGGACTGGAAGTTACTCTGGGTGAGTCAATGAGTGAGTGGTGATTGAATGTGAAAGCTTAGGACACAACCGTACACCTTATAAACACTGTACACGTAGATGGCACTACATTTATAAAAAATATTTTTCTTTCTTCAATACTGAATTAACTTTAGCTTACTGTAACATTTTTACTTTATAAACCTCTTAAATTTTTTAATGTTTTGATTATTTTGTAGATATTTGGCTTAAACACACATTGTACAGCTGTACAAAAATAATTCTTTTTTTTTTTTTTTGAGATGGAGTCTCGCTCTGTGGTCCAGGCTAGAGTCCAGTGGTGCGAGCTCCACTCACTGCAAGCTCCACCTCCCTGGTTCACGTCATTCTCCTGCCTCAGCCTCCCAAGTAGCTGGGACTACAGGTGCCCGCCACTAAGCCCGGCTAATTTTTTGTATTTTTAGTAGAGACGGGGTTTCACCGTGTTAGCCAGAATGGTCTCGATCTCCTAAACTCGTGATCCACCTCACTCGGCCTCCCAAAGTGCTGGGATTACAGGCGTGAGCCACCGCACCTGGCCCAAAAATATTTCTTTTTAATATCCTTATTCTATAAGCTTTTTCTACTTTCACAGTTTTTTATTTTTCACTTTTTAAACATTTTTGTTAAAAACTAAGGCACAATCACACATATTAGCCTAGGCCTACACAATGTCAGGATCATCAGTATCACTGTCTTCTACCTCTCCAGTTTGTCCCACTGGAAGGACTGAAGGGGTAATAACACCCATGGAGCTGTCATCTATGAAAACAATGCCTTCTTCTGGAGCACCTCCTGAAGGACCTGCCTGGGGCTGTTCTTGAGGAGGTGTCACTCTTTTCAGAAAAGAAAAGAATGCTTGGTTTATTTCTTTTTATTCATCATAGATGTGCTTGTAAAGTAGATAATGCATCATGAACACGTCTCTCTACTAATGAAAACCTTTCAGTGTTAGGGTCCATGGTTTCAAACTTTCTGAGTTGTTGAGGTCTACAAAGGCTTCTGCCAAACCCTTGACAGTGAATTTGCTCAGGGTTTTTTCTTTTTCTTCTGCAGTTTCCTTTTCTCTTGACTCTTCTTTAAGCTCTGAGTTTCTGTTCCAGCTCTCACAACTCTGTCAGTTCCTCAGGACTCACATCTAGAGGCTCCTCAATGTCATCCTAATCCACACTGAGGTTAAAGTTGTTTGTTCCCTTATAATCATGTGGGACCACCACCACATATCCAATTCATTATTGCCACATAGCTGTATTTGTTGAATGATTGATTCAATGAATGAATGAATGAATGAATGAATTAAAAAAGTTGACCTTGAGGTAATCAAAGGGATAAATATTAAATATTTTTGCCCATCACTGTAGCAAAGCTTTTTTTTAAAGGAGTAATATGCAATGAGTATAGTAAATGCATGTAGTGAAAAGGACTTTCTCATGCAAATTGATGGGCATGTGAATTGTGAAAAGCAATTGGTCAACAACATGAACTGTGATGTGATAGAAACTTTAACTGCTTACCTCCTTCTGGTGCATGGGTGGACCACGCTTTCTCACCCAATCCCACTGCCTTGAAGGCAGACAGGGTTGTGTAACAAGTTCCGCCTACGGGGTATGAGTGAGTATTTAGGAACCTTCCTGTGAAGATGTAATTGGAGAGGAGGCTTGGTTGAGACGGTGGAACCAAAGCACTGAAAAGTCTGGACTGCTAAGGACAGCAGCTTCAGAGAGTAACCTGAGCCCACAAATGAATTCCCATAACTAAGAAGTAAATTTTTATTTTTCTTAGGTCATTGAGATAATACTGCTGCTTGTTACCACAGCACACCTGGCTCATTCTGATTAACATACTTATTTAATTCTTTTAATGTCTATCAATTGAGTTATGCACCTATTATAAAACAGATCCAGAAATTCCATTTATAAGGAATAAGAGAATACTCCTAAATATGGAAAAATATATTTATACATGAAGATGATCTTTGTAAGGTTATTTTAAAACCAGCATTCCTGTAATAGAATAGTTAGCTGCTAAAGAAAAACATACCACATGTGCTTAGTAGATATTTATAAAGAAGATGTAATAACGTGGGAAAATGTTTATGACTGCCATCCTCACAGACTTTCTATTCATATAGAAAAAGATTGAAGAAAAATCACCAAAAATGTTAAAAATTGGTTTTGTTGGGTAGTGCAAATATAAGCAATTTCTTCTTCTTTCTACAGCTTACAGTTTTCCAAATATTTTAAAATAAATGTATATCAATTTTTATAAAGAAAAACAATGCTGCTCTTTCAATTACTCAAGTTTTAAAATTAATAACAAATAGGTTATTTTATTATCTCATTGGTAAGATTGTTCTTAATCCTGGAAACAGATTTTTCCCTAGTTGCTCCGAAATCCAGGTGGTGGACAATCTTTACATTTTATATTTTTTGCTACTTTTGTTTATATACATGCAGAAAAGGCAAATTTTAAGAAAAGATGTTTGTGAGTTCATCTCATTTAAAAGCACAATAGGTGGCCTATTGATTTTTAAAATAGAGAGGCTCTGACCTTGACCAAGGCCTTCCCGCTCTTTGGAGCCCATTGTCCTTCTCTGATCCATGAGAGATTGAGTCTGGTGATCCCTAAGGCCCTCTTCCAGATCTTCTACTCTGTAATTCCATGTTCAAATGGAGTAAGATGTTCACAATTTGGTATGTCAGAAGTGTAATTAAGTGTAATTCAACCAGGCATTGGAAAACATTTATCTAATTAATCTTTGTGAACAGGTATCTATGGAAACAACTTACATTTGTATTTAAGGGAGGTAATCATTTATGAATTTATCCTTATACAATCATCACAAAGGTAAGTTGTGCCCAGGATAGCTTCTTGCAGTATGTACAACAGGACACAGTTTTACACCAGTTTTAGTAGAATCAAGTAGAAATCACTCTGACAAACTGAGATATCACCAGAGTTTCAGAAACTGGAGAGTCTAGGTTGAAAATATATCATAGGGATCGTGAGAGTCACAGTGCTCAGTAGACACAGTTTTAGAAAAGTTGAGAAAAAGACACTGGAATGATGGAAGACCCAAGTAATCATGGAAAGCAGAAGAAAATGGATTAGATATAGAGAGCACCATTTTTCATTCAACCTGGGTCAGTTTTACCCAATAATTCTGGAATGACCACCTTGTTACCTAACTAGCTGCTCTTCTCTCTGGGCCTGAGCTTCTACACATAGAAAATTAGGGCCCTTGACCAGATAGCATCTAAAATTCCTGCAAGCTCTAATAATATGATTGAGCTAGTGTTTGTTTTTGCTATCATTTGATGTCCTTCAGCACTGATTTATAAGAACAAAATACAAAACTCAGGTTATGTGCAAGGAGACACTTCCATGTCTTGATAATGTCTGATAAGCAGAACTGGTGTCTTCCAGCTCACAGTTCTTTACTTCTCTCTAGCTTTGCTCTTCAGACCTCTCTGGCTGCGTGCAACAGAAGCTCAGCATGACCTGGCTCAAATCAAAAGGAGAAGCCTTGGTTCATATAACCAAGTCTCTGGAAGGGCATAGGTTCAGGTGGCCAAAAGACAATGGATGCAGGGTCTCGAACACTGTCAGGACTCTCCATGCTCTTTGGGTTTCAAGGTTCAAATCAGTTTCATCATGTTAGTGGAGTCATGGATATGGGCAGCTCTGGGCTCTCATTCCTGGGGAAGTTAGCATTCTTCCTTAAGCTCATCTTTGATAATTCACAGGTAAGGACACTGGTGGCACAGCTTAGGTCACAATCCCAACACCTGAGCCAATCATTATGCTCAGAGGTGAGAGATATGATGATTTGCCAACCTGGTCACATGTCCAGTCTTTTTAATCAAGAGGATTTGGGTCATAATGGAATTAATAGAGACGTCCATACTGAGAGGGAAACAGAATAGCAGCTGTATTTGTTTTCTATTGCTGTGTCTCAAATTGCCACAAACTTAGAGGCTTAAAACAATGCTCACCTATTAGTTCACAGTGCCATAGGTCAGAAGGCTGTGCACAGCGTGGCTGTGTTCTCTACTTAGGATCTCACAAGGCTAAAAGTGTTGGCAAGGTTTTCTTTTTTCTCATTAAGAGCTCAGGGTCATCTTCCAAGCTCATGTGGTCATGGCAGCATTCACTTCCTTGAGGTTGTAGGACTGAGGCCCTCATTTCTTTGTTGGCTATCAGCTAGGAGCTGCTCTCAGCTCCTAAAGGCCCTTCATATTCCTCTTCAAATCCAGCTTTGGAGAATCCCCCACCCCGGCTCCAGTGTCAAATTTATTTCACACTTCGAATCTTTGAATCTCTTTCACCAGCAAGAGCCCAGTCCTTTTTAAGGGCTTGGCTGATTAGATCAGCACCTGCCGCTCCCCAGATAATCTTCCCACCTTAAGGTCAGTTGATTTGGCACCTTAACTACTTCCGCAAAATCTCTTCATGGTACCTAGCTTAGAGTTTGATTAAATAACTGGGAGAATGTGTACACCAGGGAAGAGGAGAGTAGGAATACTGGAGATCATCTTAGAATTCTGCCTAACTTGCCATGTGAACTTAGGAAGTTTGAATTTGAGTTTAGTCTGAAGACTAAATCTACCTAAATCTTGAGCAACTAATTCACTTATTAAACTGGTTGCTTGACTCATGTAATCAACATAATTTAATCGAATAAATTTTAAAAAGTCATATGATTTTCTTCACTTTAGGAAGATAGAATATGAATTTAAAATAGAGCTTACTGAGGTAAAAGCATGTTTTAAGCACTTTCTCCATGGTGCTTTTCAGATGAGGAGCTGTTTGATTCCATAAACTCAATTAGGCCCTTCTGTTATACATCCTCATGGAACTCTGTTCTATGACTTTCGAGACACTCCTAATTACTTACTCAACACTATTACCACTATCCTGTATCCTGACAATGCAGAATCTGCATTTCCTGTTCCATGCATCATGCCTGGTACATGGCATAGTGGCTGGCACATACAATAAATATTCACAGAATAAAAGAGGACAAATGCCAGGCCATGCTTTCATCATTTATGTACTCCCTGTGCTTAGGGCAGTACCAGCACATAGTAGATGTTCAGTTGAAGTGGAAGGAAGTCACGAAAGGAGGGAAGAAGAGAGGAAGGCAGAACATAGTGCTAGGCCCCTTTAAAAGAAAGCAGCTAACTCTGCTTCCTGCTGTGTTGACTTGATTGACCTGTACAAACACTTCTTAGCATTTTACTTCCAAGAACAATCGTATAAGGTGATTTAATTATTTCCCAATGGTTGCTGGGACTCTTGAAGCCCATGCAAGACAATGGGCAAAAGGGTCCCCACACCAAAATTGGCATTGGGTATACCCAGAGGGTGTTTATCTGGCTGGGCTCCATGCCACTGGTCGCCCAAGGCTGTTCTCTTTGTTTGTTTTATCTCAAACACAGTCATATGCCCACTTCAGGTCTCTGTACAGGCAAAATGTGTCTGGAGTCAATTACTTAGCAAAGCAAGTACACTCATCCCCAGGCCTGTACTAGACTTTAACCGCAGACAGGCCAAACTCACAGAACCTGTACTGCTTATACAAAAGGAGACCTCTTATTACGTCCAGGGGGAAGTCAATATCACTTATAATATGTTAACTATCTCACTGACCCTGGAGATGATCTGGCTATGGAGAAGGGCTCAAGCAATCAAATATCTCTGAAAACAGACACATAATCTGGGTCCAAAATGTCAGTAATAATGTACAAACAGACCATCTTCTTGGAAGGAAATTTGGGAAATACCTTCCAGGGATGTTGTCCATGACATAGTGTTGGTCTTCCCTGCCAGCCCCTCCCTAACTTCCTCCTTCCCCTACCCTGGCCTCACCCACAACTACAACTCTCACTTCTCTTTTAACCTGTAAGTGGAAGTCTGATGATGATCGCACACACGTCCTCCTTCCTAAGTGCTGCATTATGTCCTGCCTCTTTTTTTGCTCTGATGCATCACTAGTTGCAGGACGAAGCTATTCACAGACCCTGGATCGAGTCCATGGGGAGAGACCATTGGGAAGAACATGATTTTTAAAGCTAGTTTTACCTCAACACTGCTCAATCCCAGACCACTCTTCCCCAGTCACTTGCTTATTGCTATGGGCCGAATGTTTATGTCCTCTGAAAATTAATATGTTGAGGCCCTAACTCCCAATGTAATAGTATCTAGAGGTAAAGCCTTCGGGAGTATTAGGTTTAGATGAGGTCGTGAGGGTGAGAATTCTCATGAGAGAAACAGTGCCCTTATAAGAAGAGGAAAATAGGCCGGGCACGGTGGCTCACGCTTGTAATCCTAGCACTTTGGGAAGCCAAGGTGGGTGGATCACCCGAGGTCAGGAGTTTGAGACCAGCCTGGCCAGCATGGTGAAACCCCGTCTCTAATAAAAATACAAAAATTAGCTGGGCTTGGTGGCAGGTGCCTGTAATCCCAGGCTACTTGGGAGGCTGAGGCAGGAGACTCACTTGAACCGGGAGGCAGAGGTTACAGTGAGCCAAGATCACGCCACCGCACTCCAGCCTGGGCAACAGAGTGAGACTCCGTCTCGAAAAAATAAGTAAATAAAAAATAAAAAGAGGAAAATAGATTCTCTCTCTCTCTCTCTCTCTCTCTCGTCAGTGCACTCACCCAGGAAAAAACCACATGAGGAAACAGCAAGACAGCAAGACAGTGGCCACTTACATGTACAAACCAGGAAGAGGGTCCTCACCAGGAAACGAATCCACTGTCACCTTGACCCTGGACTTCCGGCCTCCAGAACTGTGAGAAATAAATAGTTTTTTAAGCCACCCAGTCTATAGTATTTTGTTACAGCAGCCTGAGCCGACTAAGACACTTATTGCAATTAATTATTTGTATGATGACAGACTTCTTCCTTTCTACTACAGCTCTCTAAGAATTCATCTTATTTGATTTCACCCCTCATGGTGCCTAACTACAGGTACTTATGTGTATAAATGGTTGTTAAATGTTTCTCAAACCTCCGCTTTTGTCCTAAGGAGTTTGGACTTGATCACTTATGCAGTAGGAGCTGCTGGGGGTTTCTGAATGCAAAGTGGTATTAGCTGTGGTTCTCAAGCAAATGACTTACCTTTGGAGCCTCAGGTTTCTGGTAAGAGAAATTAGGTTGCACAAAGGCAGAAAGACGAGAAAGTTTTTTGAACAGCGTAACTTCATTGCGCAAATGTAAAATATCCTTAAGAGCTCACATTTGCCCCTTGCATTCCTCGAAAGGGCAGAGCATCTGCTAAAAGACCAATCTGTGAAGCACTAACTTGACTTCTGCTTATTTAAGCTGGACTAATCTTGTGACTAATTCTATCTCTGTGCTGTGGCTGCCTAAGCAGGGAAAATGTCCAAATGTGAAGGGGTTGAAATCCCTTATTATGGGGAAAATATCCCAGCATGCCTTTCAACTTTACTTTTGGCAAAAGTGAAGAAGATTCCTTTCTAAATAGCAAAAATTCACTTTGCTATACAAGAACTACTGAGGGGGATAAACCCTTGACTTTAAACTTGTCAAATATGTTTCGCAGCTAACAAAGGCTAAACACACACACAGACACGTACACAGACACACACACACATAGTCATGCCTATTGCTGCCATTTTATCCTTAGAATAACTTAATTATAAAGACCACAATACACTAAACACTTCCTACAAAATGTCCTAGCCAGGGACTATGTGATAAAGATTTCCATATATGGGCGTGTGACTAAGGACTGAGAGAAAATATGGCAGAGACTGCTGGCTACAAATCTTGGATAATTCCCTGAGAAGGAAAAGGAAAAAAAAAGAAGCATAACAAACCTGCCGCATGCAGGAAATGCCTGGCTAACATAACGGCCGAGCATATTCGTGTGGGAAAATGCACAGGCTCACAAGCAACAGCTTTCAGGGGAAAGATGTCTTCAAAATACTCTCTCCCCATTTTTACGCTTTCCGATTCCTAAGAGCTTCTGCGGGGACTTCTGAAAACGACCTTGGCACTTTAGGCCAGGACTTTTTGAACAGCCTTTTTCAAGGGCTTAGCTCCATGTTCTTTGCAAACTGCTAAATCCTTCAACCTCTAAATTTTGTTTCAAAGTCATAAATTTCTCTCCAGGCTTCTTGGTTTTCAGAAACCAGCACAGCATGTTTCATCTGTGAACAACTGGAAGAAAGCAATTTTACTGCCAAACTTAAAAAAAAAAACGGCAAGTTTCATTGGCTTTTAATTCTATATAAAGGTACGCCCTGCCTGCCAGATGTGGGTAAGTGCAATAGAATTAAAGTTGTTTAATCCTCAGCATTGCATAGGTTTTCTAGTCTAAAAATATCTCACTAGGCTAAAACGCTGGTCTGTATGAACATAATATAAATTAGAAGAGCTGAATGTAATAGTCCTTGGTTAGCTGAGAAATTTAGCAGCCCAAGCACATTTGGGGTGTTATCTACTTGCAAGTCTACTGGTCCTCACTCCAAGTTCCTTTCTGCTATCTGCAGCCCCTACACACAGTCAGGGACATTGATGTTGTGGGGTCAGGTGGGCCACCTAGATTACAGGACAGTCCTGCCTTTACATAGGTGTGTGTTTTGGGGCAAGTCACTCACCTTCACTGAGCCTCGGGTCCTCCCTGAAAGGTAAGGATAACAGGAAGCCTCTCCCAAAGATGGGTCAAGATGAAATAAGATGACAAGTGTAAACATTTATCACCATGTCTGGCACTTCTTAAGCTCTCACTAAATAACAGCCTGTCCTTATTAGGTTCATCCGTCTCTGCTTGAGCACTACTGTAGAGGACAAATTGATCAGTGGGCACCACTGAGCTTTTGGTATTTCTGATACAAACCAATTCTGTAAGACTCATTACATTTAATATGTTAAAGCCAAAATGGATTTCTTCTGAGTAACTTAATATGTACATTCTGAAGAACTTTGAAATCACCCACAGAGTCTCAGTAATTGGCTACATGTTATTTTTAATATATTAATTGATAGCCTGCAACAATCCTCCTTGAAAAGTCCTAGGTTGAGTGTCAGAATCTCCCCCAGAGTAGGATGTCCCTGGAAGCAACTCGTGGTTGTGTGTGTGTGTGTGTGTGTGTGTGTGTGTGTGTGTGAGAGAGAGAGAGAGACATGAAGTTTTCAGACTAATGCTGCTCTACTACGGCACTTCCTCTTTATAGTGACTGAATGATATGGTTTGGCTATGTCCCCATCCAAATCTCAGCTTGAAATGTAATAATCCCCACGTGTCAAGAATGGGGCCAGCTGGAGATAATTGAATCATGGGGTGATTTCGCTCATACTGTTCTCCTGGTAATGAATAAGTCTCATGAGATCTGATGGTTTCATAAATGGGAGTTCCCCTGAACAAGCCCTCTTGCCTGCCACCATGTAAGATGTGACTTTGCTTCTCCTTTGCCTTCCACCATGATTGTGAGGCCTCCCCAGTCACATAGAACTGTGAGTCCATTAAACCTCTTTTTAAGATAATACCCAGTCTCAGGTATGTTTTTATCAGCAGTGTGAGAACAGACTAATACACTGATTGAGTTCAAATGCTCTGTTACTGAGGTACTTAGCCTTTCTGTGCCTCAATTTCCCATCCGTAAAATGACTCTGAGCAACAGAATACCTACTTCCTGATGGCATTAGGAAGGGAGAGCTGTTTATGCTATGCCTAAAAGCAGTATGGCATAGTCGAGAAAACAAGAGCTTTGGACTGGGCAGGGGCCTGGCTTCAAATCTCAGTCCATCCTTTTTCCAGCTGTGGCCATGGCCATGGACTTTATGTCTTTTGGCCTATTTTCTCATTTGTAACAGAGTGGCAGACCCCGATGTTGCTTACGCCATATCTGTTCCTCATTCTTCTTTACCAATAAAACTCTGATTTTGTTTGGAGCTTAACTGTGCCCAGATAAAAATATTCATCTTACCATCGCCCATTTGATATAGTTCTGGCCAATGACACATAAGTAGAAATCACTAGGTACAGTGGATGGGAAGCTTGTTTCTTGAAAGAGCAGGCCCGGCTGGCATGATCTTCTCCTTTTGCCTTTCTTCCTTCTTCTCCTTCCCCAGGAACCCAGACACGATGCCTGGAGGGGAGTCAGCCATCCCATAATCATGAGGTGGAAAATATGAAGAGGAAGGCCTACACACTAAGGATAGTAGAGCAGAAAGATGGGAAAGGCCTGGTCCCTGATGGCTCCCAGAGCTCCTGGGAAAGCCTGGGCAGCCTGCCTCCAGACTTCTTATTTTTAGAGACGAGTCTTTGTTGTCAGTCTCTCTGTTACTTGCAGTGAAACTCGTTCAGAACAAACACACGTGGGAACTAAAATGGTACTTACTTCCTAGGGTCCTCGTGAGAGTCAGAGAAGGTTAGGTATGTGAAGCATGTACCACAATTCCCAACACACAGTTGACTTCCAATAAATGTGTATTCCCTTCCTCCCTTCCCCATCTTCACATTAGGGATTCTCTCTGCTACCAGTAAATATCAAGGGTGTTGAGGGCCAGTTCAGATATCTTCCTTTTAATGCATGTTAATCTCTAAGTGTGGATTGCCAAACTAGAAGTGACCCCACCATCTGATATGACTTCCCAAAGCAAATACATATATAGACTGTTCTTCTTAGAGCAGAGTTGCAGGAGAAAGGGAGCTAATGGCCACGTGGGGCTCTGCACTAGTACAAAGCATTTCAAGTTTTATGATAAATTCTGAGCCCCACATTTCAGGACAGACCCCCCTACTTAGAGAAGATGCCAAATGTGTGTGATGCTATCTGAAAACCTCTGCCATATTAGCTACTTTTGTATGTTTAGTTTAGAAAATAGAAGATTTAGGGAAACATGGAAACTTTCTTCAACTATAACTTGCATCCTAGGGAGATCCGGTCAACTATTAGCTGTGTGGACTCAACAGCAGCTTCCGAAAAGCCTTCCAGTTCTATTTGAGATGAACTATGGGTCACAGGCTTTGAAAGGATGACCAACATATATTCTCAGTAAATATTTAGTGAATTGATTAACTAATGAAAGGCCTACATATTTAGCCCCGATGTTTCTATGTTAAAATGCAGCTGGAGTCCTCAATATCTAACTTATTGGTAAAGACATGGCCTTGTGTGAAATGGGGTCACCTGCCTTTGAGGTCATCTGAAATCCAGCTTTACTTTTCTCTACCTGATAAGCTCCTATTTTGGAAATTTACTGGGAAGACCACCTTGAAGAGGCAGGGCCTACAGCCTACCCCAGCCCAAAGCCAAAAGCAGTGGCTATAAAACTGGAATTGCTAAGGCCAGAGGGACTGGTTTATGTGCAAGCCATTTTTATGAATATCTTGTTTATTTCAAGTGAGTTAGCATCACACACATTTGGCATCTCCTCCAAGATGTCTACTTAGTTGGTTAGAAGCACACAAAATGGAGTCTGAGCTCTCAGCAATGGCATGTTAACTGTACTCAAAGTTATTAAATCTCAAACATGTGGAAAAGAAAAAGTCATAATGCTACCAGTGGAGAGGAGACAGTGCACACGAAATCTATGAATGTGAAGACAGCATGTTGGGAAATGAAGCAAAAGGGAATTTTTCATTACTTGTATCTGGTTTTATGTTACAGTGAAAGCTATCTGGCTACTACAGTTGGTTTTATGTAGACCTCATCTATAACTACCTAAGCACTCCACTGGGCTAAAATTTAATCAAATATCTTGGTTTCTAGTTAGTAGATTTGTGGCAAGCATCAGTGATTTAAAAAAAAAAAACAAAAAGACACCTGAAGTATTCCCACCTTAGACTTAATAAATGTTCCCTTCTCAAATTCAGGTTGAAACAGAAGAAATTCTCTGATGGAGGCAAGGGAATTAGTTATCTCACTTTTTATTTTTTCAACTTACTTAGACAACACATTCATTTTATTGAGGACTCCTGGCATTGAATTTGAAGTTTCAAAGCTTTGGAACTCATTTTTGAGGTGATATTGGGAAAAAAAGCATCACATCTTTTTAATGAATTTTTTTCCACTATCAATAAAAGTCGGCTGAACCGTTTCCCATCGTTCTTCCCTCCTGAGCCTTGCTCCAACTTTACCTTTCTTTTCAAATCTGTCAAATTTCCAGTAAAATCCTCTTTCCCAGAATATGACAAACTTTGACTAATGAAATTAAGGCACCTAACTCTGGCAATGAGGGAGAGGACCAGGTTCATGTGGATATTTTCCTTAGGATTTATTTGGATCATCTATAAAGCCCTGTATTTATACGTGTTAATTTTTTTAAAATCCTATAAGAATGAATGGTGCACAGGCCCTTTTGGGAAGGCAGGAGGAGGTTGTGTAAGAATGAAATAGTTCCTCAAATCCACAGCTGGAGCCCTCTGCCAGCCTATCAGGGCCTGTAAACTGAATTTTTGCATATTTCAAGAACTGCAGTGGAGAATCCAGATGAGAGAGGAGCTAGGTTTGTCAGACAGCATCAGGAATCTTGTGTGTTCAGCTCTGAGTGCCACATTTTAACCCAGACACCAGCAGCCCAGAGAACACTGAGAGATGCTGGGAGGGCTGGAATCTATGCTGGCTAAAGTTTGCTCCAGGTGCTGCTGGTGTGCAGGGTAAGGAGAGTCCCGCACAGGAGGCAGCACAGTAGCCTCTGATGCTGGAGCCCTGTCCTGAGAGAGAAGGGGCAGTGTTCTTAGATTTAGCACCCAAGAGCAGCTTGGATCAGGGTGGAAGGAACACTCAGCGAAGCTGATCTCGGATCAAGATGAAGAAACGCTTTCTGATTCGGAGAATTGCCCCAAATGGAGTGAACTGCTCCATGAGAAGATAATCTTTGTAATCAGTAGCTGGTGATTTAAGTAATCACCAGCTACTTAAAGTCTCTTTAAGGTCTGTAAAACACTTTCATAATGTATCATCTCAGTGGAGAGGCATTTCCCTATCTTACTGATGCGAAAACAGGATTCTGTGAGATCCATGGCTTTTCCAAAGTCACATAATCATCCTAGAGTCTTAGTGTTGGAAGGGACGAAAGATGTCATCCAGACAAAGAAGTGAGTGAGGATCTGAGATTGGAATCAGCTCTCCCAGCCTCCTGGTCCAGTGTTCCTAACTGACATTTCGTGTCCTTTCAGCCTGCTCCTTTGGCTAGGAGTTTTCAAATTCTGCCTGGGAGCACCTAAGGATCATCCTTCACCCCTCTGTTCCCACCTTCGCCCACAGAAGTATAGCACAGTAAAGAATTATTCTGGCCGGGCAAGGTGGCTCACGCCTGTAATCCCAGCGCTTTGGGAGGCCAAGGTGGGCAAATCACCTGAGGTCGGGAGTTTGAGACCAGCCTGATCAAAATGGAGAAACCCTGTCTCTACTAAAAATACAAAATTAGCTGGGCGTGATGGTGCATGCCTGTAATCCCAGCTACTTGGGAGGTGGAGGCAGGAGAATCGCTTGAACCCGGGAGGCGGAGGTTGCGGTGAGCTCAGATCACACCATTGCACTCCAGCCTAGGCAACAAGAGTGAAACTCCATCTCAAAAACAAACAAACAAACAACAAAAAGAATGATCCTAGCTGGGCTTGATTCTTAAGGTCTACAGTTAACTGGCAGTGTAAACTTAACCTCTCTAAGCCTCAGTTTCATCATTCACCCACTGAGGATGACAGTGGTACTATGTCATGGGTCTTATGCTATGGGGGTTATATGAGATGATTCATGGATGATGTCCATTGGCACAGAATAAACACCCATTGGGTTTTCAGCTCAATTTTACCTGTGCTATCACCTAGTCCAGGTCTCTGTTATCTGTCACTGGGAACTATAATATCCTCTTAATTAGTCTTCCCACATCCATTCGTGCCCTGTCCAATGTATTCTCCATATTAGAGATGAGTGACCTTCCTAAAATGCAAATCTGATCATGTCACTCACTCCTGGACTCAAAACTCTGTAGTGACTTCCATTGATTTTAAGATGAAGGCCAAAATCTTTAGCAAGGCCCACAACATCATGCAAGGTCTGGCCTCAGCACACCAGCCTCCAGCTTTGGCTAATACAACCTCCTCTCAATCAGCTCTGGCCACATTGGACTTCCTCCTGTTCCTAAAGTCTTGCAGGAACATCTCCCACAGAAGGTCAGGTTGCCCCGCCCCCACACTGCTACTCTCAGAGCCTCATTTACAACCTTCTGGCATTATCCCCATGCATGGTCATATATTTGTGTGATTATTTCACTACAGTTTTTCACTAAATTATAATTGCCTTAAGGGTTTGCTCACTCCTGTTCATCAACATCAGGCATGGAAGCTGTCATTTAGTAGATGCTCAAAGAATATGTGTTGAATGAGTAAATGGCTTTGTAGGGAGCACTTTCAGAAAATATTTCTATGAGGCTTAGGGTAGATTTACTCCAAGATCCCTGATTTCTCTGGGATTAGATGATTCCATGCTTCCTTGTGCATCCTCCTGTTCCCCTGTCCAGACATCTTAGTATGCAGCTGAGTCCGCAGGAGCCTTTCAATAAATCCTTGCAGGCTTATAAGCAAATGAGTCAGAGAAGTAGAAAATGAATCTTGAGCTAAATATATGGAAATTCTTAACCTGACATTCTCTTTTCTTCCCAACAGAAAGGAAGACATTTATTAGGCATGTGATTTGGGGCAAATTAATTAACATCTCTGAGCCTATTTCTTTGTTACAAAAATTATTAGAATTAGTAGAGAGTTCACCTAGATTCCTAGATATAAGTTCAACATATAAAAAATAAAATTGTATATCTTCATATCAGCAATAAATAATTTGAACTATAACTTAAAAAATATTATTTATAATAGCAATATAAAAATATAAGGTATATGAATAAATATAACAAAAGCTATGTAAGATCTTGTGGAGAAAATTATAAAGCTTTGTTAAAAGACATTAAAAGGGATCTAAGTAATCAGAGAAATAGACCATATTCATGGATATAAATACTTTATAATACAACTCTAATTGAATTCCTGAGAAAAACTAAAAAGAAACATGACGAGAGTTTTTGTGGATTTGACAAGCTGGTACTGTCATTAGATAAAAGGGTAGTGGGCCAAGAATAATCAAGACAATTCTGAAAAGAATCAGGTAGTGAAAGTATAGAGGAAATAAGGTACCCTTAATTGCCTACAGCAATTAAGATGGTGTGGTTTGGTGCAGGGAGAAAAAAACAGACCAATGCAAAAGAATACAGAGTTCAGAAATAGATCCTTGCATAATGATAATAATATATAAGAAAATTAAAATTGAAGATCAAAGAGAAAAGAATGGTTTAATCAATAAAACTATGCCAGGACAACTGGTCATCTGTGTAGAAAAAATTAAAATAGATCCTCTCTTCACTCAATTTCCTAAAATTATCTCCAGGTAAATCAAGATATAAAAATGAAAAGTGGATCTTTAAAACGTTTGGGAGGCTGGGTGCAGTAGCTCACGCCTGTATTCCCAGCACTTTGGGAGGCCAAGTCGGGCGGATCATGAGGCCAGGAGTTCAAGACCAGCCTGACCAACATGGTGAATCCCCATCTCAACTAAAAATACAAAAATTAGCATGGTGGGCATGGTGGTGCATGCCTGTAATCCCAGCTACTCAGGAGGCTGAGACAGGAGAATCACTTGAACCCGGGAGGGGGAAGTTGTAGCGAGCTGAGATTGCGCCACTGCACTCCAGCCTGGGCAACACAGTGAGACTCCATCTCAAAAAAAAAAAAAAAAGCCTTTTGGGAGGAAGTATTAGAGAGAATCTTTCTGAAGGATTTCTAACCCTTAAGAGAAAAGATTGATAAATTTGACTGCATTAAAATCTCAAATGCCATTGAGTACAGAGTTTCAATTGAGAAAGATCCTAAAGCTCTGGATATGGATGCTGGTGATGCACAACGATGTGAATGTACTTAATGCTACAGAACTGTATACAATAAATGATTAAATGGTAAATTTCATGCTATGTATATTTTACCACAACTTTAAAAACCCAATACTTTTAAAAAGTGAAAAAACAGGCCGGGCGCGGTGGCTTACGCCTGTAATCCCAGCACTTTGGGAGGCCGAGGCGCGCGGATCACGAGGTCAGGAGATTGAGACCTTCCTGGCTAACACGGTGAAACTCCGTCTCTACTAAAAATACAAAAAAATTAGCTGGGAACGGTGGCGGGCACCTGTAGTCCCAGCTACTCGGGAGGCTGAGGCAGGAGAATGGCATGTACCTGGGAGGCTTGCAGTGAGCCGAGATTGTGCCACTGCACTCCAGCCTGGGCGACAGAGCGAGACTCCATCTCAAAAAAAAAAAAAAAAAAAAAAAAAAAAGTGAAAAAACAGTTGATAACCCAGAAGAAAAAGTGTTTACAATGAGTATCCACAATACGTAAGAAGCCATACAAATAAGTGTTTAAAAAAAAAAAAGGAAATTAAAGAATGGTCAAGGTTTATGGACAGGCAATTCACAGAAGATAAACTCCAAATGGTCAATTAGTATATAAAAAGATGCTCATACTTACTAGTAATCAGGGAATTGTAAATCAATACTTCAATAAGATATTTTACATCCACCATATTGGCAAAAATTAAAATGTCTGACAATACTAAATGTTGGCCAGAATATGAAAAATGCAAACTTTCATCCTTGTTGGTGAGAGTGCCCATTGATACTTGGTATCAAACACTTTTGAGGTAAATCTGGCAGTATCTTATTGCAATGAACTGAATGTTTATGTCCCCCTAAAATTCATACACTGAAGTCCTAACCCCCAAGGTGATGGTGTTAGAAAGTGGGGTTTGGGGGAGGTGATTAGGTTGTAGTAAGGGCAGATCTCTCATGAATGGGATTAGTGCCCTTATAAAAGAGATCCCTGAGAGCTTGTTTGCCCTTTTCACCATGTGAAGACACAGCAAGAAGGCACCCTCTATGAACCAGCAAGTGGTCCCTCACCAGATACTAGATCTGCTGGCACCTGGATCTGGGACTTCCCAGCTCCTAGAACTGTGAATAAATTTCTATTGTTTTTAAGCCACTCAGTCCATGATAATTTATCATAGCAGCCTGATGGACTAAGACACTTAAGAAACTCAAGATGGCCAAAGCCTATGACTCAGAAATTCTACTCCTAGGTAGACATCCTAGATAAACTCTTGCACCCCTGCCCAGCACAAAGAAATGACTGAAATAGCAAACAACCAAAAGCACAGTAACCTAATTGTCCATCAGCAGACATATAAATAAATAATATAATAGAGTCATATATGGAATAAATTACAGCAAAAAATGAACAAATAAACCAGAACTTCATGTGTTAGCATGATACATCTTTTTTAAAGTTTTATAATTAAAGCAAATCTCAGAAGGATATATACTACAATATTCCATTTAGATAAAATTGTAAATAAGTGAAACAACAAAATGTGTTGTATAGGGATTCTTGTAGATGTTATAAAAGTATAAAGACATCTAAAGGAATGGTAAACACCAAAGCCAGTTCAGTGGCTGACTCCAGGATGAAGGAGGCTAATGTGATCTGAGAACAGTACCCAGAAGGCATTAACCATTCTAATAATATCTTATTTTTTTAAAACGGAGAGCTGGTAAACTGTTACTCACGATAATAATCTCTCTGCCTTCTGTATATTTGAACTATTTTATAATAAATTTAAAAAATGTATTTGGACTGATTGATCCAACTTAAAACGAGAGCAGTCACACAAGGGTTTATGGGGCTCCTATTCCTGTGCCCTGCTTACATTAAAGTGGAGTTGGGGTTTCCTGTGCCCTTTCTGGGCTCAGAGGTGCCATGTGAATTCCTAGCATCCTTGCTGTATCTCTAGTTACCCTGTCTCCCTGGGCATATTCTCAGTGGACCTTAATAAGCACCCAGGCCAAAAACTTTGAAAGAAAATGTTTTACCTTTAGTGCTGGGCACAGTGGACAAGAAACTTTATCCTCCTTTGGGGAATAAAGGAGCTAGCAGGAGAAGGGGCTGTAAAGAGCAGAACAGGGCAAATAGATCTCAACTTTGGCTCTCAGGCAGGCATTATTGCAGATTAACTGTTACTTCTCTGGCCAGAAAGAACACCAGGGCTTTGGGACTTTACATCAGGTATGTGAATAAAACCAGTTTACTCACTCCACCTCAGGAGGCTAGTGGGCAAAATCTGCATTGCGTTATGTATGGTCCCTCTCCACATCATGTACTATGCACCTGTCTTTCTGCAACTGCCGAAGGTGGGAGTTGTCATAGTAAATCAGCAGGGCATTTTATTTGTCTCTTGACATGAGCTGTATAATAAGATGCGAACCCAGGGTCTGCTCCTGAAATCTGCCATCCCATCAGCCCTACTCCTTCTAAGGAAGAGTGCAGAGAGATTATAGGGTCACAGGAAACAAGAAGAGCTGCCACTAGAGCAGCTAATAAATAAGAGTAACGTGGGCCAGTGATGAGAACATACCATCCCTGGAGCTGCCAGAACAGCCCAGGAGGGGTGCTGCCAGCAGGATATTTGTTGAGCTTCTGTCCATTTGATCCCCAGACCAACTGACATTCCTTATAAAGGAACATCAGACCCTGCTCTCTGGTTTCCTCACCATCCTCACTTTAATACCAGAAACAGGTCAAATCTATATCTGGGCGAAACGGACTGGGTAACAAACCCAAGCACAAGACTTGGGAAAGACACTCTGAGCCTAGCTGATTTACTCTTTGGCATTAAGATTGTGGGGGCCCTTTGTTGGGGGTAGGGGGACTACTGTCCTGTCTTAAATGCACCTCGTTGGTTGTGGGATCCATTTCTGAGGTCTAGCTTCTGCCCTGAGGTGATTGGGGCCTGTAAGAAATAGTATCTCACAGTGAAAACCACCCAAAATCTACACTAATAAGAGCTTTCTTCTCATTTTTGTCTCAGAACAGCCCTAAGCCAATGGTGAGGGAGTGAGAAGAAGAGTGTAACCATCAAAGCAGATGAGAAAGAGTTGAGGGTTGCAGGAAGTGGGGAGGAAGCCCAAACAGTTGAGAGGTGAAACCTCTCTCTCTCACACTCACATACAGAGAAATCTCTCTCATGCAAACACATCTCTCTCTGTAGTAGTAGTAGTAGGAGGAGGAGGAGGAGGAGTAGTAGTAGCAGCAGTAGTAGTCCATTTTTATGCTGCTGAAAAGACATACCCAAGACTGGGCAATTTACAAAAGAAAGAGGTTTATAATGGACTTACAGTCCCACGTGGCTGGGGAAGCCTCACAATTATGGTGGAAGGCAAGGAGGAGCAAGTCACATCTTACATGGATGGCAGCAGGCAAAAAGAGAAAGCTTTGCAGGGGAACTCCTCTTTTTAAAACCATCAGATCTCTTGAGACTCATTCACTGTCATGAGAACAGCACAGGAAAGACCCGACCCCAAAATTCAATCACCTCCCACTGGGTTCCTCCCACGACACGTGGGAATTGTGGGAGTTACAATTCAAGATGAGATTTGGTGGGGACACAGCCAAACCATATCCTCTCCTCCTCCTTCTTTCCCTCTTCTTCTTCTTACCCTCCTCCTCTCCTCCTCTTCCTCCTTCTTCTTCTTCCTCTTCCTCTTCTTCCTCTCCCTCCTCCTCCTTTTCACTCTCTCTCTCTCTCTCAGACACACACACACACTTCTCTCTTATGCAAACACACCTCTCTTCCTCTGTCTCTCACACATACCCACCCCCTCTTCTGGCCTGGTGGTGAGGAGCATGGGCTCTGGCACTAGCTGGATTTGGATCCTGGCTATGCCACTTACCAGCTTGATGACTTTGGGCAAGTTATTAAGCCACTGAGGGCCCCAGTTTCCTCCTTCCCCAGAAAGAATAACAATAGAAATCTGGTACCTGCCTCATCCTCATTGCCAGGAAGATGAAATGAGTGAACGTGGGTTAAGCACTGAGTACTGGCATAGAACAAGTCCCATGTGATATGAGTATCTGGTCAGTCAAGCAGTGAAGTATCCCATTCCTTATCCTCTCCCCACTTGTCTTCCTCAACTAGTCCCAGTAAGACTCCCAAACAGCCTTCTGGCTGCTCTGCCCACCTCTCCCTTAGGCAGGGAGAAAAGTGGGTGGATTAGGCTATCAGTCACCCCACTTCCTCCCCCAAGTTTTGGAACAATTGCAACCATGCCAGAAGGGGAGGTTCAAGACCCCCCTTGCCCCAGTCACCAAGTTTTTCGGTATCTTGCTCAGGATCATTGAATGTGAGGGAACAAATGGCAGCTTGTGAGCATGGTCGGTTCACCTGTGCCCTAGCTGTGTTTGGGAAGAGCCAGGTAGAATCTATCCTGCTCTCTTTTACTGGCATTAGGTGAGCATTGTAGAAATGGCATGTGTCTGACCTCTTTCTATCACTGCCTTGCAGCCCTGATTGGGCAGGGGGTGGGGGTTGCCCCATTTCCCCAGAAATATTGCTAATGGTTATTAAACAATTAATATGTGCCTGGCCCTACGTGAAACACTTTACATCTATATTATCTGTTTTAATCCTCCCAAGAACCCCTTGAGGTGGGTATTCATACTATGCCCATTTTACAAATGAGGTTAAATACAGATTAGGGAGCTTAAGTGACATACCAAGATCTTACCTCTCTTACCCCCTTCACATTTAGCCTTGGATTTGCTTGAATCTGTTCTGCTGGCCTCTCTGTCAGGGGTAGGGGGTGTTGAGGGAGGGTGTGGATCTTCTTCCTTTCCTTTCTATTCATCATCGTGGCTTCCTGACAGCACATAAAATGTCTAGTATGGGGCTGAGAATGTAGTCAATTTTTTTTTTTTTTTGAGACAGTCTCGCTCTGTTGCCCAGGCTGGAGTACAGTGGTGCATTCTTGTCTCACTGCAACCTCTGCCTCCTGGGTTCAAGCAATCCTCCTGCCTCAGCCTCCCTAGTAGCTGGGATTACAGGTACCTGCCACAATGCCCAGCTAGTTTTTGTATTTTGGTAGAGATGGGGTTTCACCATGGGCTGGTCTTGAACTCTTGACCTCAAGCGATCCACTCGCCTCGGCCTCCCAAAGTGCAAGTGTGAGCCACCACTCCAGGCCATGTAGTAAACTCTTAACAAATGCTAGCTATTATTGCTGTATAATATTTATTGACCACACTGGATTAGGCCCTGGGAGTGGGCAAAGGATATAACACCATCCTGACATCCAAGTACTTACATTCTAGTGTAGGGGAGAATGAGAGGGGCAAAAGATAGGAACAGACACCTCATCAAAGATCTACAGATGGCAAATGAGCATATGAAAAAACGATCAACATCATGTGTCATGAGGAACTTACAAATTAAAACAACAGTGAGCTATCCCTGCACATCTATAAGAGTGGCAAAAATCCAAAACACTGACAACACCAAATGCTGGTGAGGGCATGGAACAACGAAACTCTCACCCATTGCTTGTGAGAATGCAAAACGATACAGCCACTCTGAAGGAGAATTTGAAACTCTCTTACAAAACTAAACATACTCTTACCAAACAATCCATCTATCATGCTCATTGGCATTTACCCAAAGGAGCTGAAACTTATGTCCACACAAAAACCTGCACATAAATGTTTATAGCAACTTTATTCATAATTGCCAGAGCTTGGAAGCAACCAAGATATCCCCAGTAGGTAAATGGATAAACTGTGGTACATCCAGACAACCGCATATTATACAGTGCTAAAGAAAAATGAGGTATCAAACCATGAAAAGACATGGAGGAAATGTAAATGCATATTACTAAGTGAGAGATATAAATGTAATTGGCTTCTTTCACTTAGTAATATACACTTACATTTCATTTACTACTAATTACTAATTACATTTCACTTATTACTAATTACTATTACATATTACTTATTACTAAGTGAAAGGCTACATACTGTATGATTCCAACATGAAATTTTGGAAAAGTATGGAGACAATAAAAAGATCAGTGGTTCACAGGGGTTAGGGGGAGGGAGGGATGAATAGGCAGAGCATAGAGGATTTTTAGGGCAGTGAGACTATTCTATATGGTGCTATAATGGTGGATACATGTCAATATAAATTTGTTTAAACCCATAGAAGGGACAACACCAAGAGTAAACCCTGAAATAAACTAGCGACTTTGGGTGATAATGATGTGTCAGTGTCAGTGTAGGTTCATGAATGGTAACAAATGGTGGAGGATGTTGACAATGGGGGAGGCTATGCCTGTGTGGGGGCAGGGGATATATGGGAACTCTCTGTATCTTCTGCTCAGTTCTTCTAAAAAAATTGTAGGTCCTAGTGAACCGAAAACTGGTAAATAAATAGATCTAAAATATAAAATAGACATAAAATAAAGTCTATTTTTAAAAGATGATGCAGGGTGGACATTGACATCAGGAGACCCTACTTCTAGCCTTGCTGCTCTAAGACCTCGGAGTAATTATTTAATCATTTCTGAAAAATGAAGAAAAGGGACTTGATAAAATCATATCCCCCTTTAGCTCTAGATCTTGTATAATAAAAACTATATTCAGGAACTTGAGTCATCCCACAAACATTTTGTCTTTGCCAAACTGAATCCTCTTTATATGTAACTTTCCCCTGTGTCTATGTCAAGAAAAGTTAATCAGATTATAATCACATCGTCATCAGATCTTTCTGCAATTGCTACTAGCACGTGGAGTACAGACTCCAGACAAAATTGCAATGGAAGCAAACATTCCTTTGTTGTTTCGTGGCTTCCCTTTCCGCCTCTCTTCCCTCACCATTTCGGTCTCCTGGGAGCCTAGAATCCTCATCCTCTTCCCTTCTCCTTTTTAAAGACCCACTGCCAGGAAATGTCTCTGTAGTCCTCTCAGATATGCTTCTCCCCATCCATGGAGAATTCTGACCCAGCTTTGTAAAGGCACCCATGGTATAAGGCATCTGATTCCTTGCCCAGCTCCTTTACCAGATTCTAAGCTCCTCAATGATAAGAACTATATCTCACTATGAGCACAGGCTCAGCTTATAGTTTCAAATAAGTCACTTCACATCAAAGGGCCCACTGCTGGTGAAGCCTGCTTTATTAGCTTTCTATGGAGTACATTTGAACCTCATTATTCGTGGATTGTGTATTTTCTTTTTTTCTTTTCTTTTCTTTTTTTGGGATGGAGTTTCACTCTTGTTGCCCAGGCTGGAGTGCAATGACACGATCTCGGCTCACTGCAACCTCTGCCTCCCAGGTTCAAGCAATTCTCCTGCCTCAGCCTCCCGAGTAGCTGGGATTACCAGCACCCGCCACCATGCCCAGCTAATTTTTTGTATTTTTTAGTATCTACAGGGTTTCACCATGTTGGCCAGGCTGGTCTTGAACTCCTGACCTCAGGTGATCTGCCCACCTCGGCCTCTCAAAGTGCTGGGATTACAGGTGTGAGCCACCGCGCCCGGCCCGGATTGTGTATTTTCAAAGGTACCTACAGGCGCTCACTAAAATGTATTTGTAACTCCAAAATCAACACTCACAGAGAGCTTCATGGACACGCATAGAGAGGTGAAAAATGTGAGTAGCCCGAGGCACACATTCCCAGGTGAGGTCAAACGAGGCAACACTGCCTTCTTGTGTCAGCTGCCATATTCTACACGTGTCCTTTTTGTGGTCTAGGTCTAGGCTTAATGTGTCTTACAAAGAAAACACGCGTGTTAGCTAACACTGCCTTCTTGTGTCAGCTGCCATATTCTACACGTGTCCTTTTTGTGGTCTAGGTCTAGGCTTAATGTGTCTTACAAAGAAAACATGCATGTTAGCTAAGCTCCACTTAGTCATGAGTTCTAGTGCTGGTGGACATGAGTTCAGTGTTAATGAATCAATAATGTATATGAAACAAGGTATCTTTCAACAGAAACACACATAAAATAAGGTTATATATTGACTAGTTGATCAAAATGTTATCACCAGAGACTCCAAAGAGTCTAACCCTGCATTGCCCCTTGGATCAATGGCTCAGTATTTGTTCATTCCGTGTTCATGGTGACTTTATAGAACATAACTACCACAAATAATAAGAAACAACTGTATTTGCATTTTTACAAGGAGAAGAGGCCTGAATATCTTTACAGGGATTCTCCGACCATGCTGAACAAATGGGCTCATTCAGACAACAAACAAGACAGAGAGATGGCCAGTCCAGTTGTCCCCAAAATCATGTTCCTCCCCTGAGTCCGTACAGTTTAAAACACTCCACATGATTGTCCCAGAAAAGTAAAAATGGCACCCAGTTGTCTTCTCGCTTTCCAGCCCATGATTTTACTGTGGGAATTCTAAAGTAAAAGCTAATTGTCTTCAGCACTTAAACTCTATTAGAAACATCACTAATAAGTAATTGGTTTTTTAAAACCACTTATTATGAAAAAAACAATAACTTCTCACCTAACCCTCAGGTCTGCAATACTCTAAATTCAGATTCTTTTATTAAAGATTAAAATACAGATTAAGTATTAAAATGTAAATTGTACTGAAGCTCCATAGAACCCATTAGAAGACCAATATTGAGCAAAATAACACTTTACCACTCAGGAATGCAAATAAAAAGGCATCAAAATCTGCTACTTATAACTTGAATCTGGGGTCCATTAATTTCGCATGCTTTTTTCCTAAAGAACAAAAAAGATAGGGGAAATAACCTTAAAAACAAATAGCAAAAATAAAAATTAAAAATGCAGCTAAGTGATATATTAGCTTCCTGTGGCTACTATAACAAATTTCCACAACTTGGTTGCTAAAAACAGTAAAACTGCCGGTGCAGTGTCTCACACCTGTAATCCCAGTACTTTGGAAAGCCGAGGCAGAAGGATTGTCTGAGGCTAAGAGTTTGAAACCAGCCTGAGCAACATAGCGAGACCCTGTTTCTACCAAAAAAATTAAATTAAATTAAATTAAATTAAATTAAATTAAATTAAATTAAATTAAAAAATAGCTAATCATAGTGGTGCTCACCTGTAGTCCCAGCCACTCAGGAGACTGATGGGGGAGGATCACCTGAGAGCAGAAGTTTGAGGCTGCAGTGAGCTATAACAGTGCCACTGCACTCCAGGCTGGGCAATAGAGTAAGACCCAGTCTCTCAAAAAACAATCCCCAAAAAACCAGCAGAAATGTATTATCTCTTAGTTCTTGAGGCTAACGTCCAAAATCAGTTCAACTAGGCCGAAATCAAGGTGTCAGCAGAGCCACACTCTCTGCTCTACGGGAGAAACTATTCCTTGTCTCTTCCAACTGCTGATGGCTGATGGCATTCCTTTGTTTGCGGCCACATCACACCATGGTCACATCACTTCTCCTCTTTTCTGTGTGTGTCAGCTGTTCCTCTTCCTCCCTCCTATAAGGATATTTAGAGCCCATCTGTATAATCCAGGATAATGCCCCATCTCAAGATCCTTAATTCAACCATATTTGCAATATCCTTTTTTGCTATATACAGTAACATTTACAGGTTTCAGTGGTTAGGACATGCATGTCTTTTGGAGGGCCATTATTCAGCTTACCACGGTGGTAAAGCTAATATTAATTATATCTATACACCAATGACCTAGCATAATGAAAAATAAGAGAAATGCCTATAAGAACACCCCCTCTGTGTTCCTGAGCCCCCATACTTCATGGTTGATTGTGACTCTTTTATAATAGCAATGACGATCGGAGCTAACATTTATCGAGCACCTGCTGTGTGCCTGCACTTGTGGTGTGAGCTGCCATGCATTAGCCCACAGAATTCTCACAATTATTCTTATGAGGTAGGACCATCATATTTCCATGTTCTATGGATGTGGAAACTGAAGAGGCTAAATCCACACTAAGAGAATGGCAGAACCAGGGTTCAAAACTGGGGACATCCAGCCCCAGTGACCCTGCCTCTGGTTCACTGGTGGTGCATCCTGACTCTATGGGAAAGAGCATCTAACAGGCAGGAGTGGGTGTTATTGCTGCAGGCATGCAGTAGAAGCTGCCAACTACCAAACTGTGTGTGGACTGCAGCTTCCTGAGTTTCATATTACCCTAAGATAAAATGCTGTGCTGAGAGAGTAGGGAGCTCCTTTTAAGTTACTAAGGGTGACACAGCTATTCAGGAACTCATTTCAAGTCTATCTGAGAATTTGGGCAAAATTTTACCTTCCTGAAGGTGAATGGAGCAGATCTGCCACACTAATTCCCTTCGATTGGTAATTCTAGGAGTTTCTGTGAATAGCGATAGATGAATATAGGCACTAACTGAGCCCATAGAGGTTAATGATGTTCACAGAGTATAAGGTTGCAGAAGCTGCAGATTCTTTTACATTGTGTTTTAGCAGCACAGAAGCAGGAGGGATCCATCAAATGTCTGATGTTGAGATGCCCAGCACTATAAGCCAGACTCACTGCTGACATGGATTAAATGGGCTGTAAAATGATTTTTCTGAGCCAAATGGTCTACTCGCTGTCCTGGAACACACTATCTCATGCCTGTGCTCACACTGCTCTTCTTGTCTCAATTCCCAGCTCCCCACCAGCCAGCCACTGTCTCATATTGAGCACCCAATATATGCAAGGCATTGGGCTGGGTGCTGCCCATAGAAAAGCAATTGAACAAGATTTCCACATCCAAAAGTGGAATCTAGAGTCAGGTTATGGGAAAGGAGAAGTGGGCAGTTTATTCCAACACTCTTAAACTGGTAAGAGCTACCCACTCACTTGTTCATTCAACAAATATTTTTTGGTTACCTACTGCAGTGGTCCCCAACCTTTTCCGCACCAGGGACCAGTTTCATATAAGACATAGGGCAGTTGGGGGATGGTTTTGGGATGAAACGGTTCCACCTCAGATCATCAGGCATTAGTTAGATTCTCATAAGGAACACGCAACCTAGATCCCTCACATGCAGAGTTCACAATAAGGCTGGCTCCTATGAGAGTCTAAAGCCAGCGCTGATCTGACAGGAGGCGGAGCTCAAGCTGTCATGCTCACTCACTGGGTGCTCACCTCCTGCTGTGCGGCTGGTTCCTAACAGGCCACTGCTGCCTACCAGTTCACGCCTACGGGATTGGACCCCTGATCTATTGTGTGCCAGGCACTCAAGAAGTAAAAACAAATGAAAATTAAAAGGCATGTAACCCAGTCTGAAAGAGTGTGGCTAATGCTTCTAGGAAGAGTTATAGACTTCACTTCATCTGAAAGACAGATAGGAATTATCTAGACCCAGTAAGAGGAGGATTTTCCAGGTGGTGGAGTAGCTCTGTAAGGCTGGGTCTGGGGGATCCTGGTAAGAGCTGTGATAGATAAGTGTGGGGAGTTAGGGCCGGAACTTGGAGGAGTTTGAAGCCCATATAGAGAATTCCAGACTTTATCCCAAGGGGAAGAGGAGCTCTTAAAAACTTTTTATTTTTTTAATAAAGAAAAAGTGTATTTTCATCACAAGAAGCATCCAGACTCTATATAACATATACCAACAAAAGTTTATTTGGGAGGCCAAGGCGGGTAGATCACCTGAGGTCAGGAGTTCGAGACCAGCCTGTCCAACATGGTGAAACCCTGTCTCTACTAAAAAAATACAAAAATTAGCTGGGCGTGGTGGCGTACGCCTGTAATCCCAGCTACTCTGGAGGCTGAGGCAGGAGAATCGCTTGAACCCAGGAGGCGGAGAATGCAGTGAGCCAAGATCACACCATGGTACTCCAACCTGGGCGACAGAGGAAGACTCCGTCTCAAAAAAAAAAAAAAAAAGTTAGGAAAACAAAAAAATTTTTTTAATTGATGTGGGTTGTATCCATATGAATTTTCTGGTCATGATATTACCATTATGTAAGATATTACCATTGGGGGAAATTAGGTGAAGAGTATTGTTATTATTTCTTACAAGTGTATGTGAACTACAATTATGTCAAAACAAAAGTATCATTTTAAAAAATGTATACACACACAAAAAATTAAGTCAGAGAGATCTGCTTGGGGTAAAAACATTGATATCGTCATGCAACATACCATTGGCTGTGCCTGGGCCTCAGGGGTGGTCTGTAATTTCCATTTCATTACAAAGGAGCTGGGCCTGCTCAGGGCACCCAAAGGAAGGAAAAGTGGAATGGCTCAGATGACACTGGAATTCTATTAAAGAAGAGTTAGAAATAAGGTTAGAAATAAGGGTGGCTGCTAGACTGTGGCTCAGAGGTGGGTCTAGACTTGCCCAACTCTCAGCTTACTAACAATAAAATTATGTTATTTCCTTGGCCATTATGGGATGTTGTTCCAGTCGGTGGCTTCCCAGCCTGCAGAACTGCCAGTGTTGTTTCTAGCAATGTTCCTTGAATACTCATGAACACACGATAAAAACTGCATAGTTGAATAAACACGAATATGCAGTAAGACGTGTCCTAATATTCAATTCATAAGACAAAGTATGACAGACAATTTAGAGCTCAAGAGTTTCTTGAAAGGTTTTTAACAATGGGAAGGACATGTTCAAATTTATCAAGTAGAAAATCCCTCTGGCAGCAGTATGGGCAATTTATTGCAGGGGGTGAAGAGCAGAGGGAGAAACAAGGACCTCTACTATAGCTACAGTGGTAATGAAGAGATGATGGATTCCAAAATCAGCAAAAATTACTATCTTAATTAATCATAAATCCCCAGTAGAGTTTGGCCCCTGAACTTGGCTGCAAAACAGAAATCTCAAAATAGCAGTGATTTAAACAGGATAACCATTTGTTTATCTCTTACAAAAAGAAGTCTGGAACTGCTCCGGAATGGCAGCTCGAGTCATCAGGGACTCAGGCTCTGCCTGTCTTTCTGATCTATGGAAATACACAGGTCCCATCCTTAAGTTACTTCATGGTTCAAGATTGCTGCCAGAACTCTGCTCTCATGACCACATTCCAGGGAGCAGAAAAGGAGAAAGCTGAGTGTGTAACTCTAAGAAAGCCTTCCCAGAACTCCTACACAGCACTGTTATTTATATCTCATTGGCCAAAATAACATGGCCACGCCAACTCACAAGGAAGGTAGAGAAATAAAATATTCTAGCTGGGTGCCTTGCTACCCTCCCTCCCAAATCTGGAATGGATAGGCTGTGGATAATGAGCAGTCTCTGTCACAGCCATCAGTCAAGTAAGGCACAGAGAAGGTGAGACTATCCTGGTCCTCCAGGGCATGAGTCAAGGAGCACCGTGGACACCGTGATGTGTCACCATGGTCCCCGTCAAGGAGGGGCTTGCTGTGTCGGCTGCAGGGGATGCTGTGGCAGAGAGCCTTTCCTGCCAGCCCTCCAGGGACTGCCTCAGCTGTAGAGAGCCTCCTTGCCCAGGAAGCCTCAGCAGCCTGCTTCAGTGACTATTGATCTATGAATATAAAGACCTGTTCATTGTGGTCCAAACAAGGCAGCTCTAAAGGACTATTCTGGCTCTGGAGCCTCCCATGGAGGTGGTCAAGACTATTGTTGAGCCACACTGTGGCTTGACTTCTCTCTCTGCCCACTTCTGCTTCCTTGCCCTTCCTTCCACAGTAGTGGTCCCCAGGACTCTCCATAATAAACCTGCATGCCAACATGCTCCAGATTCTGCCTCCTGAGCAACCCTGCCTATGCTGAGGAGGAGGATGTCTGCCTGGGACCAGGTATCAGAATTTCTAGGAAGAGATGAAACGTTCATATTTGTTGAACATGGAATGAGCTGAAAAGACAGAGAAATGCCACTACCTGCACATTTTCATTTTTCTGTCTCCTGCTTGCTTCTCATGGCTGTCAGTGTGCATGCCTGTAACATCCTCTTATGCCCTCCAATGTGTTACTATCCATCTGTAGGAAGTTTGGACGCCAGATACTTCAACTTATTAAAACTAGGTATGAAGAAAAGGAAATGGGGCTGGGTGTGGTGGCTCACGCCTATAATCCCAGCACTTCGGGAGGCCCAGGCTGGTGGATCACCTGAGGTCAGGAGTTCAAGACCACCCTGGCCAACATGGTAAAACCCCGTTTCTGCTAAAAATACAAAAACAATTAGCTGGGCATGGTGGTGGACGCCTGTAATCCCAGCTACTTGGGAGGCTGAGGCAAGAGAATCACTTGAACCTGGGAGGCGGAGGTTGCAGTGAGCGAAGATCGTGCCATTGCACTCCAGCCTGGGTGACAGAGCCAGACTCCATCTCCAAAAAGAAAAGAAAAGAAAAGGAAATGGATGTTGGATGACAGCTTGGTATTCCTAGATATAAAATGCCTGAATGTCCATGCGGCAAAACTTCCACCATCTCCAACTGTACTTAGAGCCCTTTTTGGCTTCTTTTCCTGGTTCCTGGCTAGGATCCTGATAGGTGAGGTGACTTTAAATACGGTAAATTAAGAGGGGAGAAAAGTTACTCTAATTTGGTGGTATTTGTTATTCTAGCTCAAAAGTCAGGTTTTTGTTTTTTGGTTTTTATTTTTTTATTTTATTTTATTTTTTTAGCTTCCCAGTGCTTGCGGAATGTAGCCTCAGGACAACTTCTCTGCATAGACGCCCTTCCTCTGGCATTCCAGATGCACATTTTTGAAAAGCCTGTCCACACAAATGTTCACTCAGGATGGAAAGAGATCACCTGGGCTCCCAGTCATGTGTGAAGGGTACACATGACCCATGCAGGTAGCTCTCAGAGGAGCGGTGGGGTCCCAGGACTGCATCTTCCAGCTCAAGAGCCAGCAGGCTTTCCCTCTATGGCCCTGCCTCCCAACCAGTGTGCAGCAGTGATTTGCAAACAATAGACGGCACCAGAACCTTAGTACTTAGAAATGGTTTTTCATGTTTATGACTCAGAGCAAACATTATTTATATAGGACCTGTGAATATACCCAGTCAGGGGAAAAAAAGAGAAATTTGTGGAAAGAAAAAAGAAACTTGCTATCCATTTCTTGTGGGAGTTTGGATTCTAGGGATTCTAGGTGAGTGAGCAGCAGGTGTTTGAGACACAAGTCTGCATGCTGTGTGACTTTTGAGGCTTTCCTGTTCACAGATCTTTCTGGCTTTGCCCATTTGTCTCTGCCAACAATTGGAATTGCCACCTTTATTTATCTGGATTTTTAAAAATTGAAATTGCAATAGCACTTTTCCTCACACACACTTGTCAGGGCAGAGTGGCTGAGCAGTCTATAGCAGCTTTCTCCAGGTCTGTTTTAAGGAGAAGCACTAAGAAAAATTCATGTCCATTTGCAAAATATTAACCCAAACAAGTCTGTAAATATATTTACACAGAGACTCGTATTTATCTTTGAATCTTCCAGGGCCTGCTGCCTGAAGGATGGCACATACTAAATATTTGTTAAATGAATGAATAAAGTGAGGAAGTGGATAACTGAATTACTGAGAGAATAAGCGAATGTGGGCTCAAGACATTTACTAGTAGGAAGATAAAATAAGCACACAAAAGTTATGATACAAGAAAGACTGAATGCTGGGAGGAGGGGATGATCACACCAAGTTAGATACTCAACCCTGGCTGCATGTCAGACTCATTTGTTAGAGCCACATGAAGGGCTTTAAAAATCCCAAAGTTGGCCGGGCGTGGTGGCTCATGCCTGTAATCCCAGCACTTTGGGAGGCCGAGGCGGGCAGATCACAAGGTCAGGAGATCGAGACCATCCTGGCTAACACAGTGAAACCCCATTTCTACTAAAAATACAAAAAATTACCCGGGCGTGGTGATGGGCTTCTGTAGTCCCAGCTACTCGGGTGGCTGAGGCAGAAGAATGGTGTGAACCTGGAAGGCAGAGCTTGCAGTGAGCCAAGATCGCACCACTGCACTCCAGCCTGGGCAGCAGAGCGAGACTCCATCTCAAAAAAAAATAAATAAATAAATAAGTAAATAAAAAATAAAAATCCTGAAGTCCAGACTGCACTCCACATCAGTTAGACCAGAACAGACCCAGGTGTTAGTATTTTTTAAAGTTCCTCAGGAGATTTTAGGGTGTGGCCAGAGTTGAGAACGAGCCATGAGACAAGAGGATCAAGAAGGATATAGGAAGTGGCTTTTGTGAACACCCTTTAAGGATGGGTAGAGTTTTGACTTGAAGAAATCAGCAGGAATACAGGAACATGGTAGCTTAACATGTCCTAACTTTTTCCCCTCCCAACTGCAATTCCAGCCTGACTATCCTACATAATCCAGACAGATGGTAGAAGCTGATCAGAGGGCACCTGTACAGTTTAGTGGCTTCTCCCCTCTGGGCTATGTGAGAGCCTGGGTACTAGTGTCTGAAGGACTCAGGTAAGTATCTGAACAGAGTTTCCCCAGAAAGCTGGCCTCAGGGGATTCTCCAACCCTGAGGAACATCCTCATCAGCTGGAAAGGCATATCTGATTTCCAGGGCTGAAAATGTAAGTTGAGGCCATTTCATCCTTGAGGTGGGGAGCTCATGAATGATAGGAAACATAATAAAACATAAAGTCTTGCTTCTTGTGGTACCTTCACAAGGGCCCAACAACCCCTGTGTGCTCCACTACTGGCCTTTAGGACTGAGACCACAAGGCCATCTCCTACCCTTGGAAATGAGACCACATAAGATTCTTAGCAGCTATGCCTGAGCTCCAAGGAGTAAACACAGAAAAAGCACACATCAGAGAAGGACAACAGCTAGAGAGAGAGAAAAATGACAAACAAAGCAACCAGGACAGAAGAAGTACTCATCAAAAATTAGAGCTATTGGAGGAGATAAGTCTATGACCCATACAAAAATAAAAATAATGAGAAACTGAGGAGATTTAAGAAAAGTCCTTAAAAGATGACCTGGAATTTAAACAAATAAACATGACTTTTCAAATGAAAACTAATTGAATTAGGTGAAGAGTAGAACAGTCAGTGTTGAAATTCAACTCAGGGCCTGAGGATCAAGTCAAGATGTCCACTGCACAGGAAAACTGTAATTCCAGATGAAGGAACAGGTGGGAAGAGGCAACAATTAAATGATAGTGCAAGAACATTTCCTGTGGATAAAGAAGTATCAGAGGCTGAGCGCAGTGGCTCATGCTTGTAATCCCAGCACTTTGGGAGGCTGATGCAGGCAGATCCCTGAGGTCGGGAGTTCAAGACCAGCCTGGCCAGCATGGTGAAACCCCATCTCTACTAAAAATACAAAAATTAGCCGGGTGTGGTGGCAGGCGTCTTGTAATCCCAGCTACTCCAGAAGCTGAGGCAGGAGAATCACTTGAACCCGGGAGGCAGAGGTTGCAGTGAGCTGAGATCACACCATTGCACTCCAGCCTGGGCAACAGAGCAAGACTCCATCTCAAAATAAATAAATAAAAATAAAAAAAAAGAAGGATCAGAAAGTATGTTGGAAGGTTTCACTGGTTTAGGCTATATTAAAGAGGAAAGGCACACACCCAATCATATCTTGGTAAAATTTCTGAATTCCACAGGTAGCACTATAAATTTTTTAAATTCACAGATAAAAAGAACGAGGAAGAAGAATCAGATTGACACTTAACATTGCTGTGTTGGAAGTTAGTAGAGTGACATTTATGGACTCCTGAGAAAAAAGGACTATGCCAGCCAGGACATCCTTCATATATCAGCAAGAAAGGAAGATATTTGGGGTATGCAAGAATTCAGAGAATATATTATTCTCATACCTATCTGGAGAAAATATGAGAGAAAAGACTCTGGTGAAACAACAGATGAATCAGAACAGAGAACTCAAGATTATGGAAGAAGAATAAGATAGGAAATAGCAGTGAGCCATGCTTGCTTTTTATATAGATATTTATAATATCTAAACCCATAATGATAGACTATCTAAGAATGTGTAATACAAGTTCTAAATAAGGATTCCTGAAATAGGCAATAAATACTCCAAGTAAATTCTAATAACGGTAATCTAGATTGAAAAGTTCTTCCGTATGTCAGCAAAACCTAAAAGTGGGAGAAGGACGGAACAATAAAGTCAAAGTCAAATTTATTTTATTAAGACTTCTCTGGAGAGGGAGAGGAAAGTGAGGCAGAAAAAGTGTTCTAAAGGAGAATTAATAAACATGAAAACGGAGTGAACTAAACAGAAAACAAAAACACAGGAGACACTGTCAACAAATCCAAAGGCTAATTCTTTCGTATCACCCAGTTGCCAAGGCTGGAGGGCAGGACTGTAGTGCTATTTTGGCACACTGTAACCTCTGCCTCCCGGGTTCAAGCAATTCTCGTATCTCAGCCTCTGAGTAGTTGGAATTACAGGTGCACACCACTACACTCGGCTAATTTTTATATTTTTAGTAGAGCTGGGGTTTCACCATGTTGTCCAGGCTGGTCTCAGACTCCTGACCTCAAGTGATCCACCTGCCTCTGGCCTCCCAAAGTGCTAGGATTACAGGCGTGAGCCACCGCACCTAGCCCAAAGGCTAATTCTTAAAAAGTTCAACTAAACAGATAAACCTCTCTGAAATCTAATTAAAGAAAAAAGAACAACAACAACAAAAAGACAAGATTGGGAATGAATAAAGAGCCATGGTCTCAGATACAGAAGAGATTTGAACAATTATAAGTATGTATTATATGCTAACTCCATGATAACAAAATTGAAGATCTAAAGGAAATTACCAAAGTTAATCCAAGAAGTGAAAACCTGAATAACTAATTACAGTGGGCCAGATCAGGAAGATGATCAAAGATCTACCATTGAAAAGGGTGTCAGGACAGAGAAGTCCACAGCTCAGTTTTCTAATCTTCAAAGAATAGATAATAGTAATATTTATCAATATATTCTAGACCAAGGAATAAAAATGGAAGCTTCTGAATTTATTTTACAAACCAAGCTTAATTTTACACTAAAACCCTATAAAGACAGCATAAAAAGGAAAATTATAGACCAATACTTATAACTGTAGATGCAAAAATCCTAAATAAAATGTTGACAAATAGAATCTAGTAATGTGGCAAAAAGACTAATACACTAAAGTAAGGAGAATTTATTCTAGTATTACAAAGCTCAACGTCAAGAAACATATCAACATAAGTCTTTTTATCAAAAAATTAAAGATGAAAAACCATATCATTTTATCAGTAGTTTCTGCAGAGGCACTTGATAACATTCAGTAGCTATTCCTATTAAAACTTTAAGTAAAATAAAAATTAGGATTGTTGGAGATAATAAAATCTCTTTATCAAAAACCAAGACAATATTCTAGTTAACAAAACACCAAAAACATTTCAATTAAAATCAGAATCAGACACGAATACCCACTATTACCATTTTAATTCAACATTTTCTTAGAGACTTAGAGAGTCAAACAAATGTAATAAGGTAAGAAAAATAAATGATTAGTGTAAACATTTGAAAGAAGTGACAAAGTATTGGAATTTTTTTTGCTCATGATTCTATCTTTTCTTTTCCAGATTTATGCCTGCTGTTACCATTACTATTTGACATTGTCTTGGATAAGGTTTTTAGAAAATACAATAAGAATATAAAATTGAATCACTGGCATAAATATTTGACAATATTTTCTTTCATTAATCACATGATTGCATTCTTAGAAAACCTAGAAAACTAATTTAAAAAACAAAACAAAACAAAACAAAAAAAGCCCACTCAGATTAGGCCAGGCATGGTGGCTTATGCCTGTAATCTCAGCACTCTGGGAGGCAGAGGCAGGAGGATCACCTGAGGTCAGGATTTCGAGACCAGCCTGGCCAATGTGGCGAAACCTCATCTCTAATAAAAATACAAAAGTTGGCTTGGCGTGGTGGCCCACGCCTGTAATCCCAGTTACTTGGGAGGCTGAGGCAGGAGAATCGCTTGAACCTGGGAGGTGGAGGCTGCAGTGAGCTGAGATCGCAGCACTGCACTCCAGCCTGGGTGACAGAGTGAGACTCCGTCTCAAAAAACAAAAAAACCCAACACTCAGATTAATAAAGACTTCAGTAAGGTGGCAAGGTTCACCAAAATGCATATTAAATTAATCATTTATCTGCTATAGCATATTCATCAAGAAATATATATGAGAAAAATATTTAATTTTAGTGATAAAAATCTATAAAATTTTTTTTGTTTTTGTTTGTTTGTTTTTAGACGGAGTTTCGCTCTTGTCCCCCAGGCTGGAGTGCAGTGGCACAATCACAGCTCACTGCAACCTTCACCTCCCGGGTTCAAGTGATTCTCCTACCTCAGCCTCCTGAGTAGCAGGTACTACAGTCACCTGCCACCATGCCCCGCTAATCTTTGTATTTTGGGTAGAGATGGGGTTTCACCATGTTGGCCAGGCTGGCCTCAAACTCCTGACCTCAAGTGATGCGCCCACCTTGGCCTCCCAAAGTGCTGGGATGACAGGCGTGAGCCACTGTGCCCAGCTAAAATCTATAAAACATTGAGGGATAAATATAAAAGAGAGGTACAGGACTATGTGAAAAACAATCCTATGGGGAAAAAACATAAACAAAATAGGGATACATTTTAATACTATGCAATTTGTTGAGAGGAGTTAATCTCATAAAAAATTTATTCTCCAAAAAATTAAAAACGTAATGCAATCCCAATCATAAACCCAGCAGATTTTTAAATTCTAAGAAAGTTTTGTATTGAAGTACAACATACACAGAAAAAGCAAATCCCTCTGCCAAATAAACAGTTGAAAAAGATGCTCATGCTCATCAGGAGTCAGCAAACTACAAATTAAGTTTACAATGGAATATGGCTTCATGACTATAAGACTACAAAAAAATTAAAACGAGGGGTAGCAACGGTTGCTACTAGGGATGAGGGTAAAAAGTACTCCATATTTTGCTGCCGAAAATATGTTTCAGCCTTTTTGAAAGCAATATACACTAAATTTTAAAATACACATGACTTTCAACCCTGGAATCCATTCAATAGAAGTAAAAGCATTGGTATATAAAGATATATATTGTACAACAATCTTGCTTCATTGTTTAGAGGGACAGAAACTTAAAACAGGAAATATCCATCAATAGAGAAAGGGTTGGATAAATTATGAAGGAGCCTCATTATGGATTACAATGCTGCCAACACAAATAATGAATCTGAAACATACCAGGGGACTGAGAGGAACTTCTATGAGATATTTTTGAATGAGAGATAGAAGATGCAGAGAATACATGATCCAATTTTTCCAAAGCAAGCAATGAACCCAACAAAAAACTCAAATATGTAGAGAGAGAGAGAGAGAGAGAGAGAGAGAGAGAAAGTACATGTACTTAAGCATGCATGCATAATCACATATCAGATATTATATGAGCAATAAGAAAATTTAAAAACTGTTAGCATCTGGTTATTTGGGAGTAAAGAACTGGGGGAAAGCTGGTGTAGACACCAGAAAGGACAAAGGTGGGAGGCTTCAGGGAATGTTTGGAGAAGAATGAGTAGTTCAGCTTGCTTCAGGGGTTGAGGTAACCCAAAGCTCACACCAGGCTGCTGGTGGGGTCCTCTCTTGGAGGATACTGAGGTCAGACTCTCAGTCTTAGAGCATATAGGTGCAGGATATATCACAGAGTGCGTCCCACCCACCAACATGTAACCTGGTAAGATCAGGTCATTAAGAATACCAAGGTACCAAAGTCACTGTAGGAAACCTGGGAGCACAGAGCCTAATGTGGTGGTGGGTGAGGCACTCCTACAGGTCTCCTGCCCTGGGGGCCATGGCTGTACAGAACCCAAATAACCCCTTGGGTCCACCTGACCCAGTTTTGCTAGGTTAAAGTCTACAAGTCAACAGTTATTAAAAATATACTCCAATCTTCACTTCCGTCCCTTGACAAACATTAAGGGATCAAATGCATAATCCACATCAACACACCTTAAAATACCCTTACCTGGAGCGATGGAAGCATTTTGGAATGAGACAGAGGTGGTTGGTTGCGCAACATTGTGAATATGCCAAATGCCACTGAATTGTTCCCGTAGAGCTGGTTAACTTTATGTTATGTGAATTTCTCCTCGATAAATTATTTAGAGGAGAAACAAATCCATTTCTCTCCCAACCTAAGACTGCTTTTGTATCTCCCTCTCAACTCTACAAAGAATGCTCCCCAAAGCCCAGCCCACAAGCCAGTCGGTTTAGTTTCCCTCTCTCTTCCTTCCTATGTTTCTTGTCCTGTCTCTCTGTACCTACTCTTATGCCGCATCTTGAAATCCCAGGAGACAGGCTGGCAAACACGGAGTTCTCCATATGGGGGAGGAAGGAGAGACCCTGAGAGGGAAAAGACAGCTTTTTGTTTAACAGAAGGTGAGAATGGGCGAGGCAAAGGCTGGAATTATTCAATCATAAGTTTTGCTTTCCCATATGTGAGCCTAAGGGACTTCTTGGGCTGTCCACCTTCTGCAGCCTGACTTCCCTCATGTCCTGAGTGGCTGTCCCCGCCTGTCACAACAGCTGTTCTTGGCCCACTGAAAGCCAAGGCCCTGCAGTGGTGAGCCCCCTACTAAAGAGTTACTTTTGAATAGGGACAAGGTACCCCTCACTGAAGTGGTTACACTCCTCACCCCCCATCCTGGGGGCTTCTCTTGCCCTCCCCTCCTGGACTCTGGAGGAGGCAGGGAGGGACAGGAGAGCTCCACGCTTGGCAGCACACTGTCTCACAGAACAGGTGGTTTCGTTTATTTTTCTCCATTTGATTTACAAAATTGTACCCTTTACTAAAACAGCCTTGGGGCTTAAGCACAACAAGTACATGCACAATGAGATGACATTTAATTACAGAAATATAAGCAGGAGACATCATGATGGAGCAGCAGAACTTCCTGCGAAATAAACATTCACGCAGCTCCCCATATTTGGCTGCTCAGCAGCTGAGAGAATGAGGAGACAGAAGGGTCTTCTGCTTTCACCTTGATCACCTACAGATGTCAGCAAGGCCAGGGATAGGACCAGTCTGTAGGGTCCAAAATGTACAGCCCCAGTCCCTGCCTCTCTTCACTCTGTACTTTAATGGGGGTAGGGGGTGGAGGGTGGTGGGGGCGCTTCTCTGGGCTTTTTGCTTCCTTTCCCTGCTTGTTTTAGGGAAGCAATCTACTAGTATTACTAGTACCAAATAAAAGTTCTAGGCCGGGTGCAGTGGCTCACACCTGTAATCCCAGCACTTTGGGAGGCTGAGGCAGGTGAATCACCTGAGGTCAGGAGTTTGAGACCAGCCTGCCCAACATGGAGAAACCCTATCTCTATTAAAAATACAAATTAGCTGGGCGTGGTGGTGCATGCCTGTAATCCCAGCTACTCGGGAGGCTGAGGCAGGGAAATTGCTTGAACCTGGGAGGTGGAGGTTGCAGTGAGCCAAGATCGAGCCATTGCACTCTAGCCTGGGCAACAAGAGTGAAACTTCATCTCAAAAAAAAACACAAACAAACAAACGAAAAGGGAGAAAGAAAAGTTCTAGAAGTCATTATGGTATAGTAGAAAGAACTTGCTACCTTTTTGTTTTTTTAAAGACAAACTGACTTTGGTTCAAATCCTGGTTTGTCACTTACGAGCTGTGTTGAACTTCCACAAATCACATAAATTCTCTCAGCTTCCATTCTCTCATCCCTTCTGCAAGGTTGTTGGTTGTAATGACATAACTGGTTTACTGGGAGGCTCATCTCACTAGGGGCATAAATATGAAATGGTTTTATTTTTTCTGCAACTGCCCCCAGTGTGCTTATGTCAAATACCCCTATTTTTCACCGGGTAACATCTCCTTTCTTGACAGCTCAGCCCCATTCCATAACATTGCAGTCACCTTTTTTTTTTTTTTTTTTTGAGACGGAGTCCTGCTCTGTCGCCCAGGCTGGAGTGCAGTGGCGGGATCTCGGCTCACTGCAAGCTCCGCCTCCCGGGTTCACGCCATTCTCCTGCCTCAGCCTCCCAAGTAGCTGGGACTACAGGCGCCCGCCACTACGCCCGGCTAATTTTTTGTATTTTTAGTAGAGACGGGGTTTCACCGTTTTAGCCGGGATGGTCTCGATCTCCTGACCTCGTGATCCGCCCGCCTCGGCCTCCCAAAGTGCTGGGATTACAGGCGTGAGCCACCGCGCCCGGCCTGCAGTCACCTTTTAATACTAAACCGTTACTTCTGATCCTTAAGACTCTGCCCTGTTTGTTCATTTTCAAATTTCAATCTTCTACCCAATCCAAATATTTTTCCTACCCTCCTAAGATTGTCACTATCAATATTTTATCAATACAGAATGCCCAGTGAAATTAGAATTTTAGATAGTGTTTAACGTAAGTGTCATATGATACTTTTATTTGTATTTGCGAATTCTTGCAATCCTACACCTTCCCCCAGCGGCGCAGGCTACTACTTTGGCTTTAGAGAAGTGGTTTGCAGCCTCAGCTGCTCATTAAAAATGTCAGTGCCTAGGTTCCACTCCAGACCAGTTAAACCAGAATATCTGGGCTCATGAAGAATTCCTGAAAGCTTCCCCATGTGATTCTCATGGGCAACCCAGGCTGACAGGACGGCCAGACCCTGGGAGGGCGGCCTGGCCTCCTCAGCTTCCCCCAACACCTCCCCCTTCCCAGCATGCACTGCGCTGGTGTTGGGGGCAGGAGGAGAAAGACAGGCAGGTCTCATCTTATTTGGATGCCTGTTGTAAGCTTGTAATCCGCTCTGTTGGCCACCACAGCTCCTCCATTTGATGACGACGGGCCATTTGTTCCAGGGTATGGCAGGCGTCCAAATATGGGCACTTCTGTGAAACCCGTTTGTTGGTTCCTCGGAGGGCCCTGTGAGGGTCTTCCTGCTGCTTCGCCTGTGGTGTGGGAGATCAGTATTCAGCTTGCTCTCCCCAGATCAGCCCTCTGACGGAAGCAGCCCTGAGCCCCTAACAGCCTCTTGCTGCCAAGGGTCCCCTCCCTGACTAGGCAGCCTTGTTGGGGTGTGTGGAATACTGGGGTTGTCTGTCACAGGTTACAGACAGGGATGGAGGGAACTAGGGAAGGCATTTCTCCTTCCAAGCTTTGGTATGTCACGGAAACCTGAGTGTCCTGGAAGACTCAGAACCTCTGCTGGTTCACGGGCCTGGCAACGTTCCTATGCTAGACAGCCGCAGCGCCACATTAGTATAGGCAGAGGCTCAGTTTAGTCTCCTCCCTTAAGTAAATTCATAGCACCCCCTCCCACCTCCACCCTCCTCGACCTTAGGGAGATGCAGGCCTAACACAAAGAGACTGTCTTCTCCATACTCCCAGTTCACCTGCAGGAGAAAGGAGTTGGGGGGTTCGTGTTTGTGGGGCTGAAACTGGAATTTCTCAGCAAGCCCTGTGGGGACTTAGCTTGTCCCAAACACTGTAGTTCTCTGACCTCTTAGAAGGGAGTATCTAGCACCTCTTGTTCTCAGATGAGAGCCCTAGTTCCCACTTCGACAGTCCTGCACCCACCAGCATGGTTCACTCCTAATAACTGATGTTTGTTGAAATTTTCTATGTGCCAGACACTGTGCTCAGCTGCTTCATTCATTATCTCCTTTAATCTTCAAAGCAGGGAAGGGAGATAGGAATCACTTTTCTATTTTTCAGATAAGTAAATTTTGGCTAAGAGAGTTCAAATAATTTGCTAAAGGTCATACAGCTAATGAGAATCAGAGCTCAAATTTGACTCCAAAAGCCTTGCTTTCACCGTTATAATTTATAATATTTCCTCCCACTGATGTAATTTATGAATAAAACTTATCTTAGTGTCTGGTACACAGCAGGCACTCCACAAATATTCATTCTCTTCCTAGATAACACTCAAACTAGAAATCAATCGTCAAGTACAATTTTATAGTATTCAATCCGAGTTACTTAGAAGCAGTTTAAAGCTTTGTTTCATCATCCCCATGTAGTTATCTATTAACTAATTAGCTCTTTTTAAAAACCTTCCCAGAGCAAGTAAGGATCACTCTTTTTTTTTTTTTTTAATTTTACTTTAAGTTCTGGGATACACGTGCAGAATGTGCTGGTTTGTTACATAGGCACACATGTGCCATGGTGGTTTGCTGCACCTATCAACCCGTCATCTAGGTTTTAAGCCCCGCATGCATTAGGTATTTGTCCTAATGCTCTCGCTCTCCTTGCCCCTAACCCCCTAACAGGCCTCAGTGTGTGATTTTCCCCTCCCTGTGTCCATGTGTTCTCATTGTTCAACTCCCACTTATGAGGAAGAACATGCAGTGTTTGGTTTTCTGTTTCTGTTTGCTACGAATGATGGCTTCCAGCTTCATCCATGTCCCTGCAAAGTACATGAACTCATTCTTTTTTATGACTGTGTAGTATTCCATGGTGTATATGTGCCACAAGGATCACGCTTTAAAAACACCTAATATGTGCCAGGCACTGTGCTAGTATTAAAGTTAGAGGTTAAATACTTGTGTTAGTTCCCCGTGGCTGCCGTAACAAATGACCACAAACTGGGTGGCTGAAAACAGTGGAAATTTACTCTCTCATAGAACTGGAGCCCAGAAGTCTGAAATCAAGGTGATATCCAGAGTCAAGCTCCCACTGAAGGCTCTTGGGAAATATCCTTCCTTGCCTCTTCCACTTTCTGATGACTTCAGGGTATCCTTCTAATCTCTGGCCTTCTCCCTGTATCTGTGTCTTCTTCTTTTTCTGTCTTGTCTAAGGATTCTTGTCATAAGATTTAGGGTCCACACAAATAATTCAAGATCCTTAACTTATATCTACAAAGACCTTTTTCCAAATAAGGTCACCTTCACAGGTTACAGGTGTTAGGATATGAATTTATCTTTTGGAGGGCCACCATTAACCCAGTACAAAGTGATAGCATGCTGTGTTGAAGGAGCTTGGGTTTGGCCTTTGGAGTCAAAACATGTGTTCAAATCCCATCTATGCCCCCAACTCACTTGGGCAAATCACTCAACTTTTCTGACACATAAGTTTGGGTCTTCTGAGAAACAAACACCATGTAGAATTAGACATGCAAGAGATTTATTGGAAGAAAATTCCTGTGAAGGATAAAAGGCAAAGAGCAGGAATGGGCAAGGACAGTCTTAGACTCCAAGGCGGGTCTGACATCTGTGAAAGAAGAGTGGTAAGGAAGGAGGATTGTGTAGGAAAAGCCCCAGATTTTTCTGAGACATTTTCAGACAGGCCAATGGGAAGTCCCTGAGTGAACATTGCCCATTAGATAAGACCTGCATCCTCCAGGAATGGGCCATCTCTGATGCCCCAGCTGTGTTCAGTCACTGGCCAGCAGCAGCCCAGGGAAAGCAATGCCTTAGTTCAAATTTGGGAATAATTCTAGAGTAACAGTGGGGCTGTCAACTAACTATACTCTCCACAGAAGATTCTCTGGAAGGAGATTTGAGCAGAGTATTTTCATGGCCACCACATTAGTATTTTCTTTTATGTTTTTTAAATTTCTAAAATAGTAATAATAATACCTACTTGGCCACAATGCTGTAAAGACTAGACACATGTAAAGTGCCTAAGGTGGTCCTGGCACACAGTAGATCCATTGTAGCTCACCTTCAGGATGGTCCCCAGTGATCCCTGGTTCTTGGTAATCACTCTTGTATAACCGCCTCCTGTTGAGTGTGGGCTGGATTTAATAACTCACATCTAACAAGTAGAACAAGACAGAAGTGACAGTGTGTGGCTTGTACAATGCATAAAGAACCCATCAAAAAGTCAGAATTCTCTTCACTTAGAGAAGTAGGAAAAGGCTATAATGTGTAACCATGAATCTCTGACATAGCATGTAATCTAATACTTAGATGTGAGGGCAGGTTTAATGGATGACTTCCAGGAAATATTTTCTTATTCTTAAGAAAAGAATTCTTCTTTTCAAGAAATATCAAATATTTAAGGAACTGACACCAGTCCTTCTCAAACTTTTCCAAAATATTGAACAGGAGGAAATACACCCTAACTCATTCTAGGTATTCCAATTTCCCCGTATCCTTGCCAATGCTTGTTTTTCGATTTTGTTTGTTTTGTTTTTGATAATTTCCATCTGAGTGGATGTGAAGTTGTATCTCATTATGTCTTTTATTTGCGTTTCCTTAATGATTAGTGTGTCTTTTCATGTGCTTATTGGCCATTTGTGTAGCTTTGAAGAAATGTCTATTCAAGTCCTTTGCCCATTCGTATATCCAGTTGTTTGTTTTGTTTTTGTTAAGTTGTGGGAGTTCCTTAAATAGTTTGGATATTACTCTCTTATCAGATATATAATTTGCAACATTTTCTCCCATTCTGTGGGTTGCCTTTCCACTCTGTTTATATGGCCTATGATACATAAAAGGTTTTAATTTTGATGAAGTACAATTTATCAATTTTATCCTTTGTTGTCTGTGCTTTTGGTGTCAAAGCCAAGAAATCATTGCCAAATCCAGTGTCAAGAAGCTTTTCCCAATGTTTTCTTCTAAGAATTTTATAGCTCTTGTATTTAAGTCTCTGATTCATTTTAAATTAATTTTGGTATATGGATGAAAGGTAAGGGTCCAACTTCATTATTTACATGTGGATATCCAGTTTTGAATTAGTTATTCTAAATGAATTTAGACTTATGGAGAAACTCACTGCATTATTTTTATTTTTCCCTGAAGATTAGCACAAACTTTATCAGAGTCTGTGGAATGGTCTTTGGTAACCCCAGTCTAGGGAGAGACAATGGTGGCCTGAAATATAGCAGAACAGAGTAGGGTGGGAGAAGAAGGGCTTAATTTGAGAGTTTCTCTGATGCAGAATTGATAGGATGTCATGGCTGGCAGAAAATGGCCTGTGAAGTCAGGGCACAAGGTCTGTTCAATTGATAGGGCAGATCATATTTTCTTTAACAGTGCAACATAGAGAAAATATTCTAAAAGCTGGAAGCCACAGTACAATTTCTCTCAAGGAGCAATTTGGGTTTAAAAAATATCTTGGTTTATTCATCGGGGTGGGAAATAAAACATAAACCTTGCTGTAAAGAAGAAGATAAGAAAAAGGAAGGCTGAACTAGTTTGCAAAGGAAATGAGAATGTTCTGGTTTTGCATAGCAGCTGGAGAAGAAGAGGGTGAGGGGCCCAGGAAGTGAGGGAAAATAAACAAGATGCAGGGAAGTTGGAGCCAGAGTTGTTGAGCATGGTGGTGGAAACTGGTGACTAAGGGGAAAAGAAAGCCAGATTGGAGGGGGAGCATAGAGACTTTGGAAAACAGGCTAATCTTTTATGTTGAGTTTTTGTTGTTCTATGTGTTATGTAGCCATCTCCATTGTCTTCAACTTCCAGTAAACATCTGCCACATACTCTGCCTTGTGGTACTGGTTCTTTGGGAAGGTTAAGTCAAAGAAACAAGGACTCAGTACCTTTATAGGTACAAGGAAGAGAGAACAATGAGGTGAGATGCAAAAGGGAGCTGTTTCCTTCCACAACTATTAAACAAAACCTTGCACTTTCCAAGATTGAACCAATTTGAACGAGTCCCTGTGGTGCAAGGAACACTAGGTGCTGATGGGCTTTTCTTCTTTGGTTACTCCCTGTCTTCACCCATTTTGTGCTGCTATGACAGAATGCCACAGATTGGGTAATTTATTTATTTATTTATTTTTATTTTTATTTTTATTTTTTTTGAGACAGAGTCTCACTCTGTCACCCAGGCTGGAGTGCAGTGGTGCGATCTCAGCTCACTGCAAGCTCCGCCTCCCGGGTTCATGCCATTCTCCTGCCTCAGCCTCCTGAGTAGCTGGGACTACAGGTGCCCGCCACCACACCCTGTTAATTTTTTGTATTTTTAGTAGAGACGGGGTTTCAGCATGTTAGCCAGGATGGTCTTGATCTCCTAAACCTCGTGATCCACCCACGTTGGCCTCCCAAAGTTCTGGGATTACAGGCATGAGCCACCACGCCCGGCCCAGACTGGGTAATTTATACAGGAGAAATGTATTTGGCTCACAGATCTGGAGGCTGGGAAGTCCAAGGGCGTAGTGCTGGCTTCTACTCAGCATCTGGTGAGGGCCTTCTTGCTGTGTCATTCCATGGTAGAAGACAGAAGAGCAAGAGAACAAGAGGGAGTCAAGCTTGTTATAACAAGCCCACTGTCAAGATGACTAACCCATTCCCTTGATAACAACTTTAATTTATTCATGAAGGCAGAACCTTCATGACCTAATCTCCTCTTCCTAGGTCCCATGGCCCAACACTGTTTCACTGGGGATTAAGTTCCTAACACAGAAAATTTGGAAGACACATTCAACCATAGGACTCCCCATCTCTGAAATAATCACTGAGACGAAGAGGTGAGGTTATACTGACACCAACAGGGGCAGGGTCAACCCACTCAAATCATGGCTTCTACACATGGAGGAAGGGCAGGTGAGTGTGCATGGATGCTGGAGAGACAACTGCAATGTTCACTTCATGGGTTTGAGGCAGTTTTTTTTAAATTAGTACATAGTATGTATACATGTATTTATAGAGTAGATGAGATATTTGATACAAATGTACAATGTATAATAATCACATCAGGGTAAATGAAGTATCCACACCTCAAGCATTTATCGTTTCTTTGTACGACAAACATTCCAATTGTACTCTTTTAATTGTTTTAAAATGCACAATAAATTACTGTTTAGTGTAGTCACCCTGTTGTGCTATCAAATACTAGATCTTATTTAATCTTTCTAACTATATTTTTGTAACCTTTAATCACCACTGCACCCCCCTCCCCCAACACTACCCTGCCCAGCCTCTGGCAACCATCATTCTACTCTCCATCTCCATGAGTTCAGTTATTTTAATTTTTAGCTCCCACTAATGAGTGAGCATATGTGAAGTTTCTCTTTCTGTGCCTGGCTTATTTCATTGAACATAAGGACCTCCAGTTCCATCCCTGTTGTTGCATATGACAGGATCTCATTCTTTTTTATGACTGAATAGTACTCCATTGTGTATATGTATCACTTTTCTTTCTCCATTCATCTGTTGATGGATACTTAGATTGCCTCCAAATCTTGGCTATTGTGAATAGTGCCACAATAAATGTGGAAGTGCACATATTTCTTCAAAATACTGATTTCCTTTCTTTGGGGTATATATCTGGCAGTGGGATTGCTGGATTATGTAGTAACTATATTTTTAGTGTTTTTTAAGGAACTACCATACTTTTCTTCATAGTGGTTGTACTAGTTTACATTCCCACCAACAGTGTATCAGGGTTTCCTTTTCTCCACATCCTCAGAAGCATTCATTATTGTCTTTTGGATAAAAACTATTTTTACTGTGGTGAGGTGATCTCTCATTGTAGCTTTGATCTGCATTTATCTGATGATCACTAATGTTGAGCACCTTTTTATACACCTGTTTGCCATTTTTATGTCTCCTTTAGAGAAATATCTATTCTGCTCTTTTGCCCATTTTTAATCAGATTGTTAGATTTTGTCCTATAGAGTTCTTTGGGCTTCTTATGTATTCTGGTTATCAATCCCTTGTCAGATGGGTAGTTTGCAAATATTTTCTCCCATTCTGTGGGTGGTCTATTCACTTTGTTGATGTTTCCTTTGCTGTGCAGAAGCTTTTTAACTTGATGTGATCCCATTTGTCCATTTTGCTTTGGTTGCCTGTGCTTGTGGGGTATTACTCAAGGAATCTTTGCCCAGTCCAATGTCCTGGAGAGTTTCCCCAATGTTTTCTTTTAGTTGTTTCATAGTTTGAGGTCTGAGATGTAAGTGTTTAGTCCATTTTGATTTGATTTTTACATATGGCATGAGATAGGGATCTAGTTTCATTCTTTTGCAGATGGATATCCAGTTTTCCCAGCACCATTTATTGAAGAGACTATGCTTTCCCCAATGTATATTCTTGGCACTTTTGTCAAAAATGAGTTCACTGTAGATATGTGGGTTTATTTCTGGGTTCTGTATTCTGTTACATTGGTCTGTGTGTCTGTCTTTACGCCAGTACTATGTCATTTTGGTTACCATAACCATAGCTCTGTGGTATAATTTGAAGTCAGGTAATGTGATTCCTCCCATTTTGTTCTTTTTGCTCAGTGTATTAGTCTGTTCTCACACTGCTAATAAAGACATACCTGAGACTGGGTAATTTATAAAGGAAAGAGGTTTAATTGACTCACAGGTCCACATGACTGGGAAGGCCTCACAATCATGGTGGAAGGCAAAGGAGGAGCAAAGTCACCTCTTACATGGCAGCAGGCAAGAGAGCATGTGCAGGGGAACTCCCCTTTATACAACCATCAGATCTCATGAGACTTATTCACTATCATGAGAACAGCATGGGAAAGACCTGCCCCCATGATTCAATTACCTCCCACCAGGTCCCTCCCACAACATGTGGGAATTATGGGAGCTACAATTCAAGATGAGATTTGGGTGAGGACACAGCCTAACCATATCATTCAGGATAGCTTTGGCTATTCTGGGTCCTCTGTGGTTCCACATAAATTTTAGGATTGTTTTTTCTACTTCTGTAAAGAATGTCATTGGTATTTTGATAGAGATTACACTGAATCTGTAGATTGCTTTTGGTAGTGTGAATATTTTAACAATATTGATTCTTCCAATCCATGAACATGGAATATCTTTTCATTTTGTATGTGTGTGTGTGTGTGTGTGTGTGTGTGTCCTCTTCAATTCCTTGCATCAGTGTTTTATAGTTTCTATTGTAAAGACATTTCACTTCTTTGGTTATGTTTGTTCCTAGGTAGCTTATTTTATTGGTAGCTATTATTAATAGGATTAGTTTCTTCATTTCTTTTTCAGATTATTCACTGTTGGAATATAGAAAGGCTACTAACCTTTGTTTGTTTATTTTGTATCCTGCAACTTTACTGAATTTGTTTATCAGTTCAAATAGTTTTTTGGTGGAGTTTTTGGGTTTTTCCAAATATAAGATTATATCATCTGCAAACAAGGATAATTTGACTTCTTCCTTTCCAATTTGGATGTCTTTCTTTTGTCTGATTGCTCTAGCTAGAACTTCCAGTACTATGTGGAATAACAGTGGTGACAGTGGGCATCCTTATCCTCTTCCAGATCTTAGGAGGAAAGGCTTTCAGTTTTTCCTTATTCAATGTAATACTAGCTGTGGGTCTGTCATATATAGTTCTTATTATGTTGAGGTATGTTCCTTCTATATGCAGTTTTTCAAGGGTTATTACCATGAAGGGATATTAAACTTTGTCATCTACTTTTTCAGCATTACTTGAAATAATCATATGATTTTTTTTCCTTCATTCTGTTGATAATGATGTATTACATGGATTGATTTGCATATATTGAATTATCCTTGCATCTCTGAGATAAATCGCACTTGATCTTGATGAACGATCTTTTTAGTGTGTTGTTAAGTTTGGTTTGCTAGTATTTATTTTGTTGATAATTTTTGCATTAATACTCACCAGGGATATCTTTGGTGTTTTTAGAAAACTAAAAAAAATCATTTTTTTGGATGCATCTTTGTCTGGTTTTGGTATCAGGGTAATACTGGCCTCATAGAATGAGTTGGAAGTATTCCCTCCTCTTCTTTTTTTTTTTTTTAATAGCTTGGGTAGGATTGATATTAGATCTTCTTTAAATGCTTCAGAAAATTCAGCAGTGAAGCCATGGGGTCTCAGGGTATTCTTTACTGGGAGACTTTTTATTATGACTTCAATCTCATTACTTGTTATTAATCTGTTCAGGTTTTAGATTTTTTCATGGTTCAATCTTGGTAGGTTGTATGTGTCTAGGAATTTGTCCATTTCTTCTAGGTTTTCTAATTTATTGGCATATAGTTGCTCATAGTTGTCTCTAATGATCCTTTGAATTTCTGTGATATCAGTTGCAGTGTCTCCTTTTTCCTCTCTGATTTTATTTATTTAGGTCTTCTTTCTTGGTTTACTAGCCTGGCTAAAGGTTTGTCAGTTTTGTTTATCTCTTTTTTTAAAAAAACAAGTTTTGTTTCATTGATTTTTTGTATTGTTTTATTCATTTCTATGTCATTTATTTCTGCTCTGATTTTTATTACTTATTTTCTTCTACAAATTTTAGGTTTGGTTTGCTCTTGCTTTTATAGTTTTTAAAGATGCATTGTTAGGTTGTTTGTGTAAGTTTTTCTGCTTTTTTGATGTAGATGTTTATTGCTACAAACTTTCCTCTTACTACTGTTTTTGTTGTATCATATAAGTTTTTGTACTTATTGTTTCCATTTTTTGTTTCAAGAAATTTTAAAATTTTCTTCTTATTTTCTTAATTGACCCACTGGCCATTCAAGAGCATATTGTTTAATTTCCATGTGCTCGTATAGTTCCCAATGTTCCTCATGTTATTGATTTCTAATTTTATTACATTGTGGTCAGAGAAGATGCAATATAATTTCAATTTTTTTGAATTTTTATAAAGACTTGTTTTGTGGCCTAACATATGGTCTATCCTTGAGAATGATCCATGAGGTGAGGAGAGGAATGTGTATTCTGCAGCCATTGGTTGAAATGTTCTGTAAATATCTATTAGGTCCTTGTGGTTAATGGTGCAGATTAAGTCTGATGTTTTGTTGTTTGTCTTCTGTCTGTACGATCTGTCCAATGCTGAAAGTAGGATGTTGAAGTCTCCAGATATTATTGTATTGGGGCCTATCTCTCTCTCTTTGGCTGTAATGATATTTGCTTTATATATCTTGGTCCTCCAATGTTGAGTGCTTATATATTTACAATTGTTATATCCTCTTGCTGAATTGACCCCTTTACAATTACATAATGACCTTCTTTGTCTCTTCTTATAGTTTCTGTCTTAAAATCTATTTTGTCTGATATAAGTATAGCTACTTCTGCTCTTTTTTGGTTCCCATTGGCATAGAATATATTTTTCCATTTCTTTGTGTGTCTTTATACATAAAGTGTGTTCCTTGTAGGCAACAGATCATGGGGTTTTGTTTGTTTGTTTGTTTGTTTTTTGAGACAGAGTCTCACTGTCTTGCCCAGGCTGGCATGCAGTGGCACAATCTTGGCTCATTGCAACCTCTGCCTCTCAGACTCAAGTGATCCTCCTACCTTGGCCTCCTGAGTAGCTGGGACTATAGACGCATGCTACCATGCCTGGCTAATTTTTGAATGTTTTGTAGAGACAGGGTTTTGCCATGTTGCCCAGGCTGGTCTTGAACTCCCGGGCTCAAGCAATCCACCTGCCTCAGGCTCCCAAATTGCTGGGATTACAGGTGTGAGCCACTGCACTCGGCTCAGATCATGTTTTTTAATTCATTCAGCCACTCTATACATTTTGATTGGAGAGTTTAGTCCATTTATATTCAATGTTATTATTGATAAGGACTTACTTATCGATTTTTTTCCTGGTTGTTGTGTGATCTGTCCTTCCTTCCTTCCTTCCTTCCTTCCTTCCTTCCCCCCTCCCTCCCTCCCTTCCTCCCTCCCTTCCTTCCTTCCATCTGTCCGTCCATCTGTCTTCCTTTTTGTGAAGGTGATTTTTTTTTTCTGGTGGTGTGTTTTAATTTCTTGCTTTTTATTTTTTGTGTATCTAATGTAGGCTTTTTTAATTTGAGGTTACCATGAAGCTTGCTAATAATGTCTTATAACCAATTATTTTAAACTAATGACAACTCAACATTGATAGCAAAAACGAACAAGCAAAGACAAAACTAATACAAAGTCTACATTTTAACTTCATCACCCCTACTTTTTAACTTTTAGTTGTTTCTATTTATATCTTACACTGTCTGTCTTGAAAAGCTGTTATCGTCATCATAGTTGATAGGTTCATCTTTTGGTCTTTCTACTCAGTGCATGAGTAGTTTACACACCACAATTACCTTGTCATAATATTTTGTGTTTATCTCTATACTTAGTATTATCAGTGAGTTTTGTACCTTCAGATGTTTTCTTATTGCTCATTAACAAGAACATGAATCACAAATGAATTTTTGTGAACATGAATTTGCATGTCATCCTTGTGCAAGGGCCATGGTAATCTTCTCTGTATCATTCCAATTTTAGTATATGTGCTGCTGAAGAGAGCATTGAGCCAGTTTTTACAATATTAAAGTGAGATTTGGAAGACCTAGAGATGTCCAGGTTGCTAATGCTTGGGTTGTACAAGATAAGAAATACTAAAGTCCAGTAAAAGAAAAAAAAAGCATATTGGCTTGATGTTCTTTGATTATAGTGTTTGAGCGTTTTTCAACCATCCTGATTTTAAAATATCAACTTCAGTATATTCATGGAAACAAGGTACAGTTGTTGAGAGCCAGTGTTTCAGGGTTCAAATCCCAGCTTTACCCCTTACTTTTACTTCTGTGATTCAGTCTTCTCATCCATACAATGAAGGTAATAATAATGCTTGCCTCATAACATTATGATATGGTTTGGCTCTGTGTCCCCACCTGAATCTCATCTTCAATTGTAATCCCCATGTTTCAAGGGAGGGACCTATAATCCCCACATGTTGAGGGAGGGAAGCAATTGGATCACGGGGGCGGTTCCCCCATCTTGTTCTCACAATAGTGAGTTATCATGAGATCTGATGGTTTTATAAGTGTCTGGCATTTTGCCTGCTTGCACTTCTCTCTCCTGCTGCCATGTGAAGAAGGTCCTTGCTTTGCCTTCACCTGCCACCATGGTTGTAAGTTTCCTGAGGTGTTCTCAGCCATGTGGAACTGTGAATCAATTAAACCTCTTTTCTTTATAAATTACCCAGTCTCAGGAAAGTTCTTGATAGCAGTGTGAGAATGGACTAATACAGAGAATTGGTACTGCGGAGAGTGAGGTACTGCTATAAGGATACCCAAAAATGTGGAACCAACTTTGTAACAGGCAGAGGTTGGAACAGTTTCGAGGGCTCAGAAGAAGACAGGAAGATGTGGGAAAGTTTGGAACTTCCTAGAGACTTGTCGAATGGTTTTGACCAAAATGCTGATAGTGATATGGACAATGAAGTCCAGGCTGAGGTGGTCACAGATGGAGATGAGGAACTTATTGGAAACTAGAGCAAGGGTCATTCTTGCTATGCTTTAGCAAAGAGACTGGTGGCATTTTGCCCCTGCCCTAGAGATCTGTATAACTTTGAACTTGAGAGAGATGATCTGAAATTGGAACTTCCATTTAAAAGGGAAGCAAAGCATAAAAGTTTGGAAAATTTGTAGTCTGACAATGTAATAGAAAAGAAAAACCCATTTTCTGGGGAGAACTTCAAGCCAACTGCAGAAATTTGCGTAAGTAACAAGGAGTCAAATGTTAATCACCAAGACAATGGGGAAAATATCTCCAGGGCCTATCAGAGGTCTTCACAGTATCCCCTCCCATCACAGGTTGGGAAGCCTAGGAGGAAAAAATGGTTTAATGGGCCAGGCCCAGGGCCTTGCTGCTTTGTGTCATCTCAGGACTTGGTTCCCTGCATCCCAGTCATGGCTAAAAGGCGCCAACGTACAACTCAGGCCATTGCTTCTGAGGGTGCAAGCCCCAAGGTTTGGCAGCTTCCATGTGGTGTTGGGCCTGCATGTGCACAGAAGTCAAGAACTGAGGTTTGAGAAACTCTGCCTAGATTTCAGAGAATGTATGGAAATGCCTGGATGTCCAGGCAGAAGTCTGCAGGGGCAAAGCCCTCATGGAGAACCTCTGCTAGAGCAGTGCAAAGAGGAAATACAGGGTTGGAGCCCCCACACAGGGTCACCACTGGGGCACTGCCTAGAGGAGCTGTGAGAAGAGGGCCACCATCCTCCAGACCCCAGAATGGCAGATCCACCAACAGCTTGCACTGTGTGTCTGGAAAAGCCTCACACACTCAACACCAGCCATGAAAGTAGCCAGGGAGTGGGGCTGTACCCTGTAAATCCACAGGGATGAAGTTGCCCAAGGCCATGGGAGCCCACCCTTTGCATCATCATGCCCTGGATTTGAGACATGGAGTCAGAGTAGATTATGTTGGAGCTTTAAGATTTAATGACTGCCCCACTGCATTTTGGACTTGCATAGGACCTGTAGTCCCTTTGTTTTGGCCAATATCTCCCATTTGGAATGGATGTATTTACCCAATGCCTGTACCTTCATTGTACCTTGGAAGAAATAAACTTGTTTTTGATTTTACAGGCTCATGGATGGAAGGGACTTGCCTTGTCTCAGATGAGACTTTGGACTGCAGCTTTTGACTTAATGCTGAAATGCGGTAGGACTTTGGGGGACTGTTGGGAAGGCATGATTGGTTTTGAAATGTGAGGACATGATATTTGGTAGAGGTCAGGGATGGAATGATATGGTTTGGCTCTGTGTCCTCACACAAATCTCATCTTGAATTGTAATCCCCATGTATTGAGGGAGGGACCTGTAATCCCCACATCTTGAGGGAAGAACGTGATTGGATCATGGGGGTGGTTTCCCCTATCCTGTTCTCATGATAGTGAATGAGTTCTCATGAGATCTGATGGTTTTATAAGTGTCTGGCATTTCCCCTGCTTGCACTTCTCTCTCCTGCTGCCATGTGAAGAAGGTCCTGGCTTCCCCTTCCCCACCATGATCATAAGTTTCCTGAGGTGTCCCCAGCCATTTGGAACTGTGAGTCAATTAAACCTTGTTCCTTTATAAATTACCTAGTCTTAGAAAGTTCTTTATAGCAGTGTGAGAATGAACTAATACACATTAGTAGCAAGATTAAGTGACTAAATATTCATAAAACCCTCAGAACAACGTCTGACACATGGTGTTTATTAAATAAAAGATTAAAAACTAGAATCTTTTGAGGTCTCTAATTGTCTCCTAGATTTTATCCCTCTTCCCAGAACATATCTGCCTCCTTCCTCTCCTGACCCAGAAGAAAAAGTCTACTGAAAAGCAGAATGCAATCAGTTGACTCTCCCTAGCCTCCACAAAATAGATTCATGTCCAAGGACCAAGAATAAATAATTGGCCTGATATTGATTTGGTTTTAGGGTCATTCTTTCTTTCCAGTGACTAAGTTGTTGTATTTAGAGCACTAAGAAATCAGTGATTTACAAAATGGTGTTTTGATTGTGGAGTGTAAAAGAATGGATACCCTCGTAAAATGGCAAAGTTAGTGGAACGGTATTTTGGCTGGGCAGAATGTTTCAGGTTATCCCAGGCATTTAAAATCACAGGTAATGATTCTGTCTTAAATCCTTGATTGAAACGTTTTTTCCCACTCAGAAATTCAGACAATAATTCAGACAATGTACTGTGATGTTTATTACAGTATATTTTATAATAGTGAAAAATTGAAAATAATTTATATGCTCAACAATAATAGGGACTAGTAAATGAATTATGGTGCAGCCACATACTAAAATTATGCAGCCACTGAAAGATGTATTTCAAAGAGCTTTCAATGACAGTTCAATGTTTTCAGTATAATGTTAAGCGAAAAGAGCAAGACACAAAACAGCGTAAAGTGCAGAATCTCAATTTTGTGACAAATATACACACTCACCCAGATGCTCAAAGGAAAAACAAAAAGACTAGAAGAATATATGTCAGAAGCATACTGGCGGTTGCCCCTGGGAGGTGAGATACTAGATGGTTTTAATTTTTTCCTTATATTTTATATGCATATCCCTAAATGACAGATCTTGACAAAGGTCCACACATTCCTGCTACTGAGATCCCTGAGCTGCCCTATATTCTTCACATCCTGTCTGTCAAACTCTCTTTCCATTATGTGTGATTCCCTTGTCTCCACTCAGGAATTTTCCCTTTTTCTTAAGAGGGAAGATACGGTTTCAGTTGCTTGAAAATAACAGAATATTATTAGTACTATGCCCTAATTGCTTCAGATGCATATATTTCGTATCCTCAACTAAATTGTTAGTTCTTTGACACTATGGACTAGGTCTTTTAGTTTTCTCTGAGTTCTTGGTACATAGGAACTCAAATACTGGTGTTTCCCTTGAATAGGCTGGGAGCCTAAAAAGGCACATAACAAACGTCTTCTAAATGAATACAGGTGACTGAGAGGCGTAAGTCGTGGGGAAGGTGATACACAACAAATAGCATATCCTCCCTAATCAGCTGCTGAGGCACATGACCAGGGCTTTTCGAGAGCAGAGCTAGTTTTTAGGGGAAGAAAAAGTCCATGAGTGCTGATCCTGTTATAAAAACACTCTTTCCCCTGCTAGTCATTAACCTGTAAGCCCAAGTCACTCAGAGAGTGCATCAGCAATGCATGCCCTGCAGCAGAATCCCTCTCCAGTTGAATTTAACTGAGGCTTGGATGGCATAAACAAGGATCAATCCTGGGGACGTTTTAAGGGGACTTTCTGAAGTCAGAAAATGCACACCTGCTTACATACTGAAACCTTCCAACTAGGCTTCTTTTTTTAATGAAACGGTTTCATAGATAATGTCTATTTTGTGCAATAAGTTTCTTTACAAGCATCATGCAATATCTATATCACCCCGCTAAAAGGAAATTGAAACAAAGGTAAGTATCACTGCTTCTACACTGCACTTGGTAGTCTGTCCTTCGTGTCCATGTGTCTGTCTCCTTTGGTCTCTGCCTGTCTTTCTCCAACTCTCTTTTTGGGTTTTGGTGCTGCTCCCTTGGCCAAGAATGATTCTGCCCATATTTCTTCCTGCCATCACCTGTTCTCTGCTTAGATGCCACCCCCTCCAGAGTCCCTTTTATGAACCCCCATCCCCACGCAAACTTCTCCCCTTCCCTCAGCCTAGACTGGCTAAGATGTCCTCCTGTGTGTCTCCTTTGCACTCTGCTCTCACTCTTCACAGCATGTTTTACACTGAATGGTAATGGTCTGCTCATCTGTCTTCCCACTAAAAGATCTGCCTCATGCAAACTGCATGAGGCCAGCGACTGGCCCTCATTCACCCCTGCATTCACTGTGTCAGCATATGGTATAGAGTTCAGTCATTCACTCAACAGACATTTGCTGAATGCGTCCTATGTGCCAGGCTCTGTACTAGGTGCTGGAAACAGACCATGAATAAAAACACAGTATCTAGATTACTTACCTTCTAGCTTGGAAGACAGATGTGAATCTAATAAACATACAAATAAATATTATTAAACATCCATTATAGTGCCAAGCTCTGCTCTAGATACTGGGGACTCAACAGTGAATCCCTACCCTTGAGAGTTTACATTTCTAATTACACTGTGATTACCATACAATAGAGAGATACATGGTGCCAGAGGACTTATAACAGGGCACTTGACCTGGTCTGCAGGGTGATCAGAGAAGACTTTCCTGAGGAAGTGACCTTGAAACTTCCTAAGCCTGTGCCCCGCCACACTCCATTTATTGTGCCATACACACAATAAATTGAGTGTGTGTGTGTTTTTGTGTTTGTGTGTATGAGTATCTACATCCACATCTCTATTTACATATAAAGCTCAATATAGACATAGACATAGGTATAGACAGACATAGATACATCCTGGGTTCTGAAGGATGAGCAGAAGTTACCTAGGCAAACAGGAAGGGAAGGAATATTCCTGGCAGCTGGAGGGGTGTAGGCACAGGCTCTGATGCCGATGGCATTACAGTGCATTCATGGAGCTGATGCAATGTAGAGACAATAGGGATGTGGAGAGAGATGGGACTGGAGAGGTGGGAAGTGCTGTTGGATACAATGGCTGTTGGATGACCAATGAGTTAGCAGCATACACTCACTGTGGGAGGTGTGACCTGCATGCATTTGCCATACTAGTTGAGGACAGTTTCTTCTTCAAGCAGGTGTACATTTCCTGGCTCTCGGTATTTGCTTCCCCACCAACCTCCTGAGTATTTGCTGATTTATTCCAGTTGAAGCGACCACTGATGGATGTGGTGTCCCAGACCTGGCCTCATTCTCATGGTCTTTATTTTTTATTTTTTGAGGTAAGGTCTTGCTCCGTCACCCATGCTGGAATGCGGTGGCACAATCATGGCTCATGGCAGTCTCAACCTCCTGGGCTCAAGCGATCCTCCCGCCTCAGCCTCCCAGGAACTGGGAATATAGGTGTGTGCCACCGTACCCGACTAATTGAAATTTTTTTTTTTTTTTGTAGAGATGGGGTCTCACTATGTGTCCCAGGCTGCTCTCGATCTCCTGGGCTCAAGTGATCCTCCTGCCTTGACCTCCCAAAGTGCTGGGATTACTATAGGCATGAGCCACCATGCTCAACCCCCTATGGTCTTTTTAGCAGTTTCTATGTACAGGCCTCTCTCTTCACACCCATGATGTTTTGCTGCCCCTGCATATCCCTTTGCCACACTCTGTAATGCCGATAGACATCAGGGAGCTGCAATATGTTATAAAAATATTGTAAAACACAAGCAGATAGCTTAATCTACAGTCTTCACAGAGTGAAAAAAAATCGGACCACATCATTTTCTAATTTTGTTATTAGAACTCTCTCCTCCTTACACAAAGCTGAAAAATTCCTTAGGATGATCATGTAAAGTTTCCTTGAAGGATTTCATATTGTGCTTCTAAAACCTATCTTGTGCTTATTGGAACAAACCAGTAAGCTATTCCTTCGCTTGTTTCTCTCTTTTAAAAGGTCTTTTTCATAGAGCAAATTATGTCTAGATGCTAGAATAGGCTCTAATTACTTGTTTGCTTTTCATCTAAGACTCACAGGCTCCTGGTGGGTGGAATGAGTCACACTGGACCAAGTGTATGACCCCTATCCTTGCTGACTATGAGGCTAAGGAAGAGACAGCAGAAGGGAGGAAAGACGACAACAGCATCTCAAAAACAAAAGAGCAAGAGATGATGGTGACAACAGGGATTAGGAAGTTACATGTCAAAATGCACAGCAAACAGAAATAAACAGGGCAGTGAAAAACACACCTGGGCCAGGCTTTGAGCACCAGAGGCTCATGTCTACCACAGATGGCCCACCTGAGGGGAACATCAATGGAATAAAGGCTGGACAAAGGTGAGATGGCGCCGAGCTAGGCTAGATTTGAAAGCAGAGTCAGGAAAATAATAGATACTGGAAATCAAGAAATCAGGGCATTGAATGATGACAGGAGAGCATGACTTCCTGGAGCTGGAGACATTTCTAAGCAGTTGGCCTCCTATAGATTTCCTATGAGGTGTATCCTGGATCTTCTAGAAGATATCTGATAATTAGATACCAGGGTAAAATGGAACTAGTGAACATATTAATGTCCTTTTTTTTTAATGTATTTTTCTGGTCGTAAAAGTAGAACATACTGATGCAAAGTGTAAAGGCAAAAATAATCAAATCCTATCACCAAGGGAACTTATTAAGAGTCTTTTTGGGGATTCCCTGTTCAATAAATGATGCTGGGATAGCTGGCTAGCCATATGCAGAAGTATGAAACTCTGGACCACAACTTTTCACCATATACAAAAATTAACTCAAGATGGATTAAAGATTTAAATGTAAGATCTCAAACTATAAGAATCCTAGAAGAACACTTAGGAAACACCATTCTGGACATCAGCCTCGGGAAAGAATGTATAACTAAGTCCTGAAAAGCAACTGCAACAACAACAACAAAAAAATGGACAAGTGGGACCTAATTAAACTAAAGAGCTTCTGCACAACAAAAGAAAATCATCAACAGAGTAAACACAACCTACAAAATGGGAGAAAATATTCACAAACTATGCATTTAACAAAGGTCTAATATCCTGAATTTATTAGGAACTTAAACAATTCAACAAGCAAAAAACAAATAACTATTAAAAAGTGAGCAAGAGACATGAAAAGACACTTCTCAAAAGAAGACAGACAAGCAGCCAACACACATATGCAAAATGTTCAACCCCATTACTCATTAGGGAAATGCAAATCAAAACCACAACAAGATAGCATCTCACACCAGTCAGAATGGCTACTATTAAAAAGTCAAAAAATAACAGATACTGGTGAGACTGCAGAGCAAAGAGAACACTTATACACTGTTAGTGGGAATGTAAATTAGCTCAGTCACTGTGGAAAGCAGTTTGGAGATTTCCCAAGGAACTTAAAACAGAACTGCCATTCAACACAACAATCCAATTACTGGGTATATAGCCCCAAGAAAATATATTGTTCTACCAAAAAGACACATACACTGATATGTTTATCACAGCACTATTCACAGTAGCAAAGACATGGCATCAACCTAGGTGCCCGTCTACGGTGGATTGCACAAAGAAAACGTGGTACTTTTATACCTTGGAATACTATGCAACCATAAAAACAATGAAATCATGTTCTATGCAACAACACGGATGCAGCTGGAGGCCATTATCCTAAGCAAATTAACACAAGAACAGAAAACCAAATACTCCATGTTCTCACTTGTAAGTGGAAATTAAACATGGATATAAAGATGGCAACAATAGACACTAAAGACTACTAGAGTGGGAATGGAGGGAAGCAAGGGTTAAAAAACTATCGAGTACTATGCTCACTACCTGGGTGATAGAATCAGTTGTACCCCAAACCTCAGCACCATGCAACATACCCATGTAACAAACCTGCGTATGTACTCCCTGATTCTAAAATAAAAGTTGAAATTATTTTTTAAAAGACTCAGGTATTTCCTTAGGTCTTTGTTTTATCTGTGCATATACAAGCACCCTCAAACTTTCCCCCCTAAATAGGAAAAATATGAAATATTCCATGTTGTAACCTGCTTTTCTATCTTAAACATATATAAAGTTGTTCTTTATCAATATATATAATTTTGTACCACTTTAATGACTAAATAGTATTCAATCATATGGATATAAGTAATTTAATCTAGGGGCTCAAAAGGTTTTTTTTATTTTTAATCATTATAAATAATGTTATAATGATGCGTTTGCTGATAAAATTCAGTACATAGCTATGATTATCTTAGGATAAATTCCCACAAGTAGAATTGATAGGATAAAGGACACGCATGTTTTTAAAGAATATGAATACTATTCCAAATTTCCCTTATAAAGGTCATGCCAATTTACACTCCTGGGTCCTTCTATCAGCATATAAGCATTCCCATTTTTTCACTTTCTCAATAACATGTACTTTTCAAGATGTTAATTCAGGGGAACACTGTCCATGCTAATTAAGGAGATTTGAAGGGAAGCACACATCAAATTCTTGTTATTGCAGTTTTCTCCCATTCTCAGCCTTTCTCACACTTCCCTACACTCTCCCCTTATTTCCTCCTTGTCATTATTCGGTACCCATCTATCTCTTGCATTAAAGTTGCTTAGAAGAATCCCTACCCTTGAGTTCCTAACAAAATCCTTGCCTATGTTGTCCGTAGTCAGCACACTCATTTAATTATGCATTCATTTGTTCCAGCACTCATCAGGGGCCTACCAAGCACTGAGCACATCCGTGAAATAAAACACAGGGCCAGGCGCGGTGGCTCAGGCCTGTAATCCCAGCACTGGGGGAGGCCGAGGTGGGCGGATCATGACGTCAGGAGTTTGAGACCAGCCTGACCAACATGGTGAAACCCCGTCTCTACTAAAAATACAAAAATTAGCTGGGCGTGGTGTTGCATGCCCATAATCCCAGCTAATCAGGAGGCTGAGGCAGGAGAATCGCTTGAACCCGGGAGACGGAGGTTGCAGTGAGCGAAGATCACGCCACTGCGCTCCAGCCTGGGCGACAGAGCAAGACTTCGTCTCAAAATAAACCAAACCAAAACAAAAAAAGAACACACAGTTGTCACACTCAAGGATTTTACCATGGAGTTGAAGAGAAGAAACATACACATTTCAACAACAGTGATCAAGCATTCATGATGTAGCAGGCCCCCAGAATACAGAAATAAAAAATACCTAGCCTGTGATCTCTAGCAGCTTATGATTTCATGGAGAAGAGAGACCATAGACAAACAATTTCACCATCACATGGTTAGTGCTATGGATATCACAGTCCTGTGCAAGCAGAGGGTACCATGGTGTGGTGGGGAAAGAATGAGCTTCAGAATCAGGCAGCCTAGGTATGAATTTGTGGTTTTTCAACTTTCTAGTTGCGACCCTAGGCAAGCCACTTGATGCCTGTTTTCATATATCAAACTTAATGTGCACATCAAATGAAATAAGGTGTGTGCAGGGCCCTGTTACACTACATGGAGACACTCGGTAAATGGTTGCTGTTAGCAGGGTATGGTCAGTGATGGATTCTTAGAAGAGGAGGGGCTGGAATGGGAATCAGAAGATGTTGCATCATTGGGCACAAAAGGTAGAGAAAGGAATTCCAAGCAAGGGAACAGCACTTGCAAAGTAGGGACATGAAAACACGTGACTTGTTTGGAAAATTATGGAAGTTTCGTGGTGTAACATAAAATGAGAGATAGGGAAGGGCAGAAAACAACGAACAAGAAGTGGGCAAAAGATCTGCAGAGAGCTTTGTAAGTCACACTGAGGAGCATGGATGTTATCCTCTGTAGCTGTGCTGTCCAATACAGTAGCCACTAGCTGCATGTGCCTATTTAAATTTAAATTAACTAAAATTAAATTGAATTTAAAATTCAGTTCCTCAGTCACACTAGCTGCATTTCAAGTACTCAGTAGCTGCATACAGGTGGTGGCTACTATATTGGACAGACACCATCGTAGAGACTTCCCTTGGACAGTGCTGCCCTAGAGCCTTACTACTCAAAGTGATCTGCAGACGAGCAGCATCGGCCTCACCTGGGAGCTAGTTAGAAATGGAAGGTCTCGGGCTCCACCTGAGACTTACTAGCCTGAGACCTACTAAATTAGAATCCACCTTTTAACAAGATCCATCCCCACCTTCATGGCAGGTGATTCACTTGAATGTGGAAGTTTGAGAAGCGCTGCTCTCTAGAATAAGGAGCCATTGAAAGGCTTAAGCAGGAGCAGCATGGTCAAACCCACATTTTATAAGTTTGTAAGTGGGAGGATGAATAAGAAGAGGGCAAGACCAGAGGAAGAGAGACCAGGCAAGAGATGGTGGCAACAGGGCTGCTGCTGCCACATTTGAGCAAGTTAGGAAAAGGTACCTTTTCTGGGTAGAAGCACCAAACAGGCGTGATGAGCAGAGTCAGGCTGGATTTAAGCTCTCCCTCTGGCGAGGCACCCCGGGCAGTGAGCACCCTGCATGAGCTTACAAGGCAGCATGGTGGCAATTGTCCAGGTGGGTGATGAGGAAGGCCTGAACTACATGGCTTGAGGATATTGATTAACAGAAAAAAGCCACCACTACATAGGGTAGTGTTTTGTAAAACGCCATGTGCTGTAGGAGGAGAGTGCAGCGGCAGGCGTAAGAGAGTAAGGCTGTGCCCTGCAAGAAGCAGAAAGGAGGGCTGGCCTCTTCACATCACATGCTAATGGGCTGCCCTGCTCTGTGGTGTCCCTGTCTCATTTCCCATCAGGAAAGTGATTAAACTAATTGCCTTTAACCAGTGCTGTATTTCGGGCATATAATACCCATAATTTGGGGTTTGAATACAATTGCAGTAGATTATACTAATCACAGGAAAACTTCATTAAACTAATATGGGTTTATTCAAAAGAGTGTAGTTTTAAGCAATCAGTGCTCCCTAGTTGAAATGGTGCTTTCTTGTTTTATAATAAAATATATTGGATAATTCAAAACTCTGTTAATTGGAACTCCATTTTTTTCTAAAATGGACTTTTTAGAAAATGTTAACCCATTTGAAAATGTGGTCATCTTTTAAAACATGAGCCATAAAGAAAAAGAAAACTCAGAAGCAACCTTAAAGTAGAAGATCTTGAAACTTAGTTCTATTTTGAATACTTTTGGATTTCTGGGACAGGGCCCCTGTGGTAGAGGGATGCAACAAATTTACAATGAACCAGCAGGAAAGGAGTTGAAGGAATATATGCAAACCTCACACTCCTCCCTCTCCCTCTTCTTCTCCTGGCATCCCCCCACCCGCTGCCACCCCACCACTGGCCAAACCTAACAGGAGGCCAGGTTGGTAAGGGAAACTGTTGCTGCAGTCCATTCAGGAGAGACTTCCAAAATACAAAGCAATGTGGAAAAGAGTAAAGAGTGAATCCACAAGAGTGAAGGGTGTGAAGGGTAAGTAACCAGCACTTGCCCCACAAGCACACTCACAGTTATCCACAAACATATTTGTGTAACACCTTACAGTTAGCAAGTACTCAACTTTCAAACATTTTTCAAATAAGTACTTGACCCATAGCAGGTACTCCATATATATTTATTGGACAAATCAATGAAATATATTATTTGTCACTGAATTGATTTTTTCTATTCCCAATAATTGGGCTTCTTTATAAATTACTTTATTATGGAATAATACCACAAAATTTACCATTTTATCCATTTTAAAGTATACAATTTGGTGCCATTAAGTTCAGTTGTGATGTTGTGCCACCATCATTCCTGTCTTCTTCCAGAAGTTTTCATCATTCCAAATGGAAACCCTATATGACAAATTATTTTTGAAGTGACAGACTTGTTTTTCATGCAAAGATTTGTGAAAGACAAAGGATTTATAAGATCTATTAGATAGTATGATAATTTTCCTATTAGTCAAGATTTTAAAAAAAGACTTCAATATTATTTTATTAATAGAAACAGTGAAATACATAGAGCAGTTACATAGAATTAACATACAGACAGCAGTTAATTCAAACATGGAACCTGAGTATTTGAGGAAATAACTTCCCATTGACTACCTTGATTGATTGAATTGGCCAGAAAGTCGATTAATTTTTCATTTCAATTGGACTATAGAGAGATGCTAACGCCCTAATAGCACATCCTTCCTCCTTCTCAAATGATGGAATATCCACTTTCAATTCCCAACCTTTGCCAATGAAGCCAGATAAATCTCTAAAGAGTTTTGATAACATAATTTGACAATCTCCATCAGCCAGTTCATGGCAGATGGGAGGTCTAGTCCTGGTTCTGCCATCACTAGCTGCAAGCATGCAGGGGCAATCTGGCCTCCCTTATCTGTAAAACAGGGGTTTTGGGGGCTGGACTTTGATTCCCTAAAACTCCTGGCAGCTCTAACATCCCCTGTGACTCTGGCTCTGCCCACAAACCTCTGAAGCTTTCACTGGAAAATGCTCTTAGTCTATGCACATCAAATATCTAACACACAGTATTTACCCTTCTGATGAAACAGCCAGAGTGGAATTTGACCTTTTCAACGAATCATGGATGTGAGAGCCAACATTCTGTGCACGTAAAGCCAGTTGGGGACAGGTTTAGCATTTGGGCATGTAAGTAAGGCAGATTTGTTGACTAACATGTTTTCAGTGAGTATTTTAATGATATGGGGAAGCTAGTTCTGACCTATTGTCAGCAGCACAGTTTTCCCTACAGAACTGGTTGACTGGCACTAATTCATCCCCATTCTCCCACCTGGTCTCCTTGGTAACCAAGGTCCTAGATCTATGAGATATTTGCAGGACATCTGGCCAGGATTAAGGCACAGACTAGTGCTATCAGAGATCAAGCCCATAGCCTTGGCCTTTGAAGATCCCAAGCGAATTAAAGAACTGCAACCACAGGCAGGGATGTGAAACCACCCAATCCTGCTGCTGAGTCAGGTTAGCACAGCAGCTGAGAATGCAGGCTCTGCAACCAGGCTGCTTGGAACTAAACACCAGCCTGTCCCTTACTTATAGTGGAACTTTGGGCAAGTTAATTTGATTCTCTGGGCCTCAGTGTCCTCCTCATTCATAAAATGAATTTAATAAAAGTACTTTCCTCATATGGCTGTTGACAGAATTAAATGCATTAAAATACTAAGAGAATCTAGCCCTGTACATAGCAAGGGTCCATTACAAATTAGGCAGTGGTAATACCAATGTGATGACCAGTAGCTAGGTTTAACACCAATAAGAAAAACAGGGATTTTCAAGACAACCACAGACAGCATTGTTTTAGGGAGATCCACAGCAAAGATGGTAGGACTTTAAAAATGTAGCTTTGAAAGCCTCTGCTAGATTGCCATGACCAAGTATGCAAGGTTAGACTATCAGGCCAGGGATCTGAACACAGTAAAAGGTTGTGGAGATTTAAGATCATAGGTTTTGGCATCAGATAGATGTGAGTTGGGATACTAGCTCTGCAGATCACTAGCTGTGAGAACTTGAGTAAGTCCATCTATTGGAGCCTTGTTTTCCTGAAATGTAAAATGCGGATAGAAGCAGAACCTGTCCCAGAGAGTCATGCTAATGACTAAATGGATAACGCATGCAAAGTCCTCAGCATACTGCCTGGAGCATAGCAAACCATCAATAAATATTAATGGCTATTGTTACCAGGTCTGATGATGCACATATGACCCCAGTTTTCTCCCGTATTCCTAAGTTTATTCACTTACTCATTCATTTCATCTGTCAAACATTTGTCGGTACTAGCTTTGTGCATTTTATCAAATGGGACACCAAGGAATTAAAAAATGATTAAGAGATGAGGTTCATGCTCCTATCTCATAGACTAGCCCAGAAGTGAGTAATAGATACTCCAAGTAACAGGAGGGCCACTGCCCAGCCCCCTATGCACAGTTTGGGATCACAGAAGGGAGCAGCCGCAGGAAGCAAGAGGCGGGTCAGGATTAAAGGAGGTGTGTGGAAGAGGCTCTCGATGGCTGAGGAAAGGCTGTACGGCCTAGCGGTGAGGGGCACAGGCTCTAGACTCCAAGGGCCTACACTCACAATTCCAGCTCTGCCACCATGAGCTCCCGTGACTTGGTTAAGCTACTTTATTTCTCAGTGCCTCAGTTCCTCTCAGTTACAAATGATAAAATGATAATACTTACAGAATTAGTGAGTTAAAACATGGGAAGCATTGAACCGTGTCTGACTTGTAGTAAAAGTGATTGTTATGGCATGGATAAGAGAATGGGAGAATTCTCCAGGCAGGTTAGTGCTCAGGAGCTTCCTTTTTTCCTTTTGAAATGAGATACGCCCACGTAATCCTGCCACTGTGGTCCTCAAAGTCCAGAAAGATGAACCCTCTTAGTTTATCTCAAGAAAAACTTAATCTTAGCTATGGCTTATCAGAAACACATGTGGCCCCTAATAGATTATATTTCTAGTATGTACTATATATATTATCTACTATATATGTTGCATGCATATAATACATATATATGTCTTCACTTTCCCTTTGGGCCACTTTTCAGCAAGCACTGATTCAATATTATGTGGCACACAGAAACCACTTCCCCTTGGCCTCCTGGCATCCCACCCTCTCAACACTCATCTCCCCAGGTCCTAGCCTCATACCGTCATTGCCCTGGGGTGGAGCTGATGAGTGTCATCTTGGAGGGCTCTCCATAGTTCCCTGACTGGGGTCCTGTTTGCCTGTGTTTTCAAATTCTTTAGGTAGAGTACCCACCACATAAGCCAGCCTCTTTCATGCTAAAACCAATCATCTCCCATAGAAAAATATGTACCTATTTTATGTTAAAAGACCCCCTCTGCACTAAGGCAGAACAAAGAAAAACAATAGGGGTGGCCACAGCATTGAACCAACAGGAAATATGTTAAGAAATTTTCTACTTAATTCCCCACACAGAGGTCTGGTACAGAGACCATTTCATGGCTTTCTTTATAAGGTCACCCAATGCCAAGCTTAAGCTCCTGAGGTCTAATTTAGGAGGGTTAAGAACTTAATAGAGAATTCTAAGAGCAGCTGGGTAGATGCATCATTCCCTAAACCCCACTGGGATCCTGATTCCAGCAGCATCAAAAGTCTTACCTCCTGACCACCAGTGACTCAGTGAGCAGCCTGGCTCAGTGTGTCACCATGATGCTTGTCAGTGGATGCATCTGGCCTCACCGGCCATATGGTGGTTTGGAAGAGCTCTTTTGTAGTTTGATGGTTTGGAAATGACTGGGGCTCTCTTCACATTCTGTGCTGTTGGCTCATTTCTATTGGAGAAGAGCGGCTGCTTCTAGGGCTGACTTTGCCCTTGACACTGCTGATGGAAGCCTTATGAACTGATGTTTTTCATCATTCAAGCCATAATATCTTAACTTGTTAAGGCAGATAGGTAAGAACTAGTAGCTTAGGAGCAAGTTGTCAACAAGCAGCATTTCTTGAACAATTAAGATGTGTCAGACATGGTGTTGGTTGCTGGAGATACAGGGAGATAAACAAGACAAATAAGTCAGACCAGTTGGGGAGAGAGATGAAAATGGCGATCACAGTCAAGTGGGACAAGTCCATAGGAGAGGGTGTGCGGGAGGCCATGGGAACTAAGCGAGCCAGAAATAGCTTCCAAAAAGTAGCTCTACTTGAGTTATAAAAAAAGAGTACCATTAATTGAGCACCTACCATGCCTAGGTCCTCTCCCGTATATTTTACTTGTGTTATTTCAATTCATTCTCTCACCAAAGACACACAGCTAATAAGCAACAGAGCTAGGGTTTGAATACAGGGCAGTTTGAACCAAAACCCATTCCACTCCATCCCACTGCTGAGAAACTAGGCAGGCCTGGGACAATGGGTGGGAAGATAGGATCTCAGGTCAGGGAAACAGCCCTAGTAATGGGAAACAACTGTGGACTCTAAGCCAAACAGAAATGGCAGGTGTAGAAATCCTTTCCCAGGCCTGCGGCAGCATGTAGCACACGCTGTTACTAAGCCCCGAAACGGCCTTAGACTCCTTCTCAATTCACCCCTGCAGGATCACTATGAATCAGTTTTGAACGCTATTTGCTAACTGGAATAACTAGATAAATCTGGAAGGGCCATAGGGGTTCTAAAGGAAACTCGCAGAGCCAAAGGCTCAGGAAGGACACTTTTTTCCAAGTTCTCAGTTGCCTCAAAGGGAAGAACGTTAACCCTGGAAATTCTACTACTCAAATGCTGAGGCTAACGCTTACTTAAGGAACAGGACCTGACTTCAAGGTTAAGGTGCCTTTCTTTGATGTTTCAATCCTGGTATTAGCTACCAGCAGACACTTGTTGACTAGCCCAAATCCAGACCCTAGAATGGCACTGAAAGCTTGGAAAGAAGTGCTCAAACTTGGGCTTTGCATTGAATATCTTAAGAACAGATTCACATCAGCTACTTGCTTCACTCTCCTATTTAATTAAAGCACTCTTACTGTCGTTACGGAGAAGCATTAAAGGCTACTCACCTTTGGTTGAAATGTTTATATTTGGCTGCACCAACTTGGAAGATCACTTTGACCCAGCCAGAACTTTGATTAATAATCTCCAACATTTTCTGCCTCTACAATTTTTGAGCACTCGGCTGATGTTTGATGCCCAATTGGGATTAATCTCCATTTCCCATTAAGAGGAGTAACTATTTCTCAGGTAGTTTTTTTGTGTGTGTGTGTGCTGGCTGCAATCTTTGCAATATCCTTGCAGGGGCTCCTGTGGGCTTAAACATATGACATTCAAAAAATAATATGTAAATGAGTTTCTATCCATTTTATCAAGGGGGTTGTTTTCTCCATTTGTAATCTGTTTTTATGATTTTATTCTTCCTGCAGGAAAAAAAGAAGTTAGAGGTGCATTCAGCCCATACCCATAACATTGAGACCAGCTCTCTGTGATGAAACTGGAAGCAAATTCCAGATGAGAGCCCCAATTGTGCCAGAAAAGCATTGCAAAGCCCAGTGATCCTGACTAAATTGTCACACACAAAGCAGAACCTTTGATAAGAGCCATACAACCTCTGTTGCCTGGGTAACCATCAATCCATCAAGCCAGCCTTGAGTCATAAACGGTGAGAGGAGAAGGGCTGCCAGGAAAAAGGGGTGTACAGACACTTCTTGTTCCTCCCCACCTCCAGATGTGGCCTGAGGCTGCCATGCAAGGTTAATAGAAGCCTACTGTTATGTCCCTACAGACCTAAAAGACCCCTCTTACCTTAACCCTAATTCAAGGATTCTTGGATCTCCATTAGTCTTATTACAAAACCTCCTCAGGTTCTTATCAGTGCTTAGCACCTTACCAGCCCTAAGCCATACTCCTCAAAATGCCGGTCCACTGATTGGCACTATGTTGTTCACAGGATGCCTCCTGGACTGCACTTTAGTAACACTAGACTAGGGTGTCCTCAGGACAACCGCGGCTGCTCACCAGAGCTCACGCGCTTCCTGTCACTTTCACTTTGGACTGTGCTGATGAGAAATCTACTCTATGGTTCTGCTTTCCATCACATCCAAGATGCTGCACACAAATTGAGAGAGAAAAATTGATAAATATGCCTTCACTGAGCAACTAGTTCTAGTTCTGTACCAACACTTCTAGGTATATTCCCAAAAGAACTGAAAATAGGTGTCAAACAAAAACTTGTACGTGAATGTTCATAGCAGCACTATTTACTTCCCATAGCCAAGGGTTGGAAACAAACTAAATGTCCATGGATGGATGAATGGATAAATAAAATGTGGTATAGTATACAATGAAATAGCATTTGGCCATAAAAAGGAATGAAGTGCTGATACCTGCTACTACATAGGTGAAACTTGGAAACATACTAAGTAAGTGAAACAAGCTGGACACAAAAAGTCACATATGGTATGATTCCATTTACATAAAATATTCAGAATAGGTAAATTAGTACAAACAGAAGCAAATTAGTGGTTGCCAGGGATTGGAGAAGAGGAAGTATGAAGAGACTTCTTAATGGATATGAGGTTTCCTTTTGGAGTGATCAAATGTTTTAGAACAACATAGAGGTAATGGTTGTATAACATTGTGGATGTGCTTAATGCCACTGAATTGTACAGTTTAAAAATCTTAATTCTATGTTATGTAAATTTTACATTCATAAAAAGCAGTACAATGAAATTTATTATTTTAAAATAAGAAAAAGCAGAAAGAAAAACATTACCCTATAATTCTACCACCCCAAACCAAATTCTGTTCCCAATTTATTCCATGTATGTTCCATAGTAATAATTCATACTGCACATATAATTTATACTTTGTTTTAAAACTTAATGTTATTTCCAGGATGGGAACAGTGGCTCATGCCTGTAATCCCAACACTTTGGGAGGCTGAGGCAGGCCCAGCCTGTCCAACGTGGTGAAACCCTGTCTTTATTAAAAATACAGAAAAAAAAATTAGCTGGACTTGGTGGCGGGCGCCTGTAATCCCAGCTACTCGGGAGGCTGAGGCAGGAGAATCTCTTGAACCCAGGAGGTAGAGGTTGCAGTGAGCCGAGATAGTACCACTGCACTCCAGCCTGGAAGACAGAGCAAGACTCCGCCTCAAAACAAACAAACAAACAAAATGTAATGTTATTTTCAGAGCATTATCTTTGTTACATAAGTTTCATAATCTTTAACTACCGAAGAAACTTTCTTAATATACATATTTTAAATTGCTTCTTAAAATTATTGTACTAATTTATATTGACACCTGAAATATATGAAAATATCTATTTCACACACACCCTTGCTAGCATTGACTAGTCTCCCAAAAAGAGAGGAAAAAAAGTTAATTCATTTCATTTGATTGTTAGGTTGTTATTGATTTTATTTGACTATCTTGAAACAAAAAATTTTGTTTTCTGTTTTGAAACTAATCCAATGTTTAGTAAAGACTCCTCTATGCTTTATTTTGTTAGAGTAGATACTAGTTAGTCGTTATTGTTTTGGGGGTAATCCCACAGTAAATGCTTTTAAACATACTATACTAGAAACAGTTTGTCCCTGAAGGAGGAATTAGAAAATTGGAAGACTGATATGATCAAATTACCTACTGCAAAACTGAGCAGAGATAGAAATTATGAAAGATAAGACATAGAAATAAAAGTTTAAAGTTCCGGAAAAAATCAAATAGATCGTATCAGTGAAGGATTTGACCTAGTACAATTGTTGGAAGTGGTTAGACACCCCATGAAGCTATCGCCTTCCTGTCTGATGCTGCAGTAGCCACCATTTAGCCCCTCTGGCTGCCAGTAGTCACAGAAATAAAACAGACTGGCATTGATATATTTCCTGAAGTGTGGGTTGTTGGGGTTTATACATGGTCACCTCCTTATACCCCAAGGTGTGTGTGTGTGGTGGGGGAGGGACAGTGAGTAGTGACACCAGGAGCTGGGACTGTGGAAGCCACTTGTTTTTTCTTCTCCAGGAATTAGTAGAGATTAAATTTCAACCCTGAAACTTAAAAGTAATCACAAGAGCAATTTTTTTTAAGTTTACTCTTTAACATTATTCTGTTGAGATGCCACTCACATGGCAATGTGGCAGAAAGCCACAGAGGTCACGCACACTTCACTGCAACTTGGCTTGTTAACGAGTCACTGGAGATGAGGCAGAGGAGAGCCACATCAGTGGCTGCCCTGCGACCTTTGCCCACAGCCTTTCTGCTCCTCACTGAGCCTCCTGGCTAAAGCATCCCTTTGGAGGATTGTAAAGAATGGCTTAAAAAAAGGAGAACTTTAGGATTTCCATAGACATTGCCCAAGATTAATCTTGTATTTGTTCTCTAGTAAACCCAGGTAAGAATATCGCAGAATAGTCTACCAGGTGGCGATCTGTCAAGATGCAAGATTCTCCTCTTTCCTATATTAGAGTAGAAATAATGGGAGAAATGGGTTCAACTTCAGTGTGCAGAAGAAACTGGGATTGAACTGTGATAAAACTTGTTGAAATAAAGCACACACATCATATGGACTCCACTTACAATGGGAGGAAGCTGTGTTCTCACTGGTCATTCCTCCATCCTTCAATGCCAAAGTGCAATGCAGGGTGCTGACTTCCACACTCTATCACGTAGAGCCATTGTGTCCTGGAGGCCAATCCCACCTTTCGATCCCAGCAACTCTGTTCATATCTAATGTATATATTGGAATTATATTAAGATGTTGTTTGGAAACAGATCCCAAATTCCAAAATTAGTTTGTAAACCCACTGGTTTTTTTTTTTTAAACCTATGATCTATAATCTATAATTAATTGGTTTGGGTCTCAATTTTAATTTCTTCAAGCTGTGTTATCTTAGGCTAGCCACTTAGTATTTTGCCTCTCGAATTCCTTACCTGAAACATTGGTATACTGACTATTCACTGATGTTTCTGAGGATCAGTCATGCGGGCAGTAAATAAGCTGTAGGCCCAGGGGCCCAGAACAGCTATTGAGAGGTGACAGCATGCTGGCAGCCCTCGCAGCCCTCGCTCGCTCTCGGCGCCTCCTCGGCCTTGGCACCCACTCTGGCCGCGCTTGAGGAGCCCTTCAGTCCGCCGCTGCACTGTGGGAGCCCCTTTCTGGGCTGGCCAAGGCCGGAGCCGACTCCCTCAGCTTGCAGGGAGGTGTGGAAGGAGAGGCGCGGGCGGGAACCGGGACTGCCCCCGGCACTGCCCCCGGCGCTTGCTGGCCAGCAAGAGTTCCGGGTGGGCGTGGGCTCGGGGGACCCAGCACTCGGAGCGGCCGGCCTGCAAGCCTCGGGCAGTGAGGGGCTTAGCACCTGGGCCAGCAGCTGTGCTCACTTCTCAGCGGGCCTCAGCTGCCTCCCTGTGAGGCAGGGCTCCGGACCTGTAGCCCGCCATGCCTGAGCCTACCCCCAACACCATGGGCTCCTGCCTGGCTGGAGCCTCCCCAACGAGCGCTGCCCCATGCTCCACAGCGCCCAGTCCCATCAACAACCCAAGGGCTGAGGAGCCTGCGCACGGTGGGGGACTAGCAGGCAACTCCACCTGCAGCCCAGTATGGGATCCACTGGGTGAAGCCAGCTGGGCTCCTGAGTCTGGTGGGGACTTGGAGAATCTTTGTGTCTAGCTAAGGGATTGCGAATGCACCAATCAGCACTCTGTATCTAGCTCAAGGTTTGTAAATGCACCAATCAGCACTCTGTGTCTAGCTCAGAGTTTGTAAATACACCAATCCACACTCTGTATCTAGCTAATCTAGTGGGGACATGGAGAACTTTTGTGTCTAGCTCAGGGATTGTAAAGGCACCAATCAGCACCCTGTCAAAACGGACCAATCAGCTCTCTGTAAAATGGACCAATCAGCAGTATGTGGGTGGGGCCAGATTAGAGAATAAAAGCAGGCTGCCCACGCCAGCAGTGGCAACCTGCTGGGGTCCCCTTCCACACAGTGGAAGCTTTGTTCTTTTGCTCTTTGCAATGAATCTTACTGCTGCTCACTCTTTGGGTTCCCACTGCCTTTATGAGCTGTAAGACTCACTGCAAAGGTCTGCAGCTTCACTCCTGAAACCAGTGAGACCACGAACCCACTGGGAGAAACGAACAACTCCAGACGCGCTGCCTTAAGAGCTGTTAACACTCACTGCGAAGGTCTGCAGCTTCACTTCTGAGCCACCAAGACCACGAACCCCCCAGAAGGAAGAAATGCTGAACACATCCGAACATCAGAAGGAACGAACTCCAGACACGCTGCTTCCAAGAACTGTAACACTCACCGCGAGGGTCCGTGGCTTCATTCTTGAAGTCAGTGAGACCAAGAACGCACCAATTCCGGACACACTATTGCAGTACTCCACGTAGGAGATGATAATGGCTTAGTATTGATAATGACAGGATGAAGTATTTGTACTCGGAAATATTTTGAAGGTCAGGCTGATAGGATTCGCAGACTGATTGATGAGGAGTGTGAGAAAAAGAGAAGAATCAAGAATGATGCCAAGATTTTTATCCTGAGCTGCAGAAGAAAGGTAAAGCCATGTTGGGAAAAGCTGAAAGCAGGGGAAAGAGAAATAAAGAGAAGCAAGAATAAGAGATGGGGTCAGAGTCCTAATGAGCTCTCAGTGCTTTTTACTAAGACCTAAGAACTTCCTTGCCCTCTGTAGTCCGTTTTCACACTGCTATAAAGAACTGACCAAGACTGGGTAATTTATAAAGAAAAAAGGTTTAATTGACTCACAGTTCTGCATGGCTGGAGAGGCCTCAGGAAACATACAGTTATGGCAGAAAGGGAAGCAGGCATGTCTTACATGGCAGCCGGTAGGAGAGGTGTGAAGGAAAAACTGTCAAACACTTATAAAACCATCAGATCTCGTGCAAACTCACTCACTATCACGAGAACAGCATGGGGGATCCACCCCTATGATCCAATCACCTCCATCCCTCAATAAATGGGGATTACAATTCAAGATGAGATTTGGGTGAGGACACAGAGCCAAACCATATCACCCTCTGATCATGGAAGACACCCTGGTGTCCTCATTATTCATTTCCCCCTTTTATTCAAGCTAATTGAATTGGTTTCTGTTACATGCAACCAGAGAGCCCTGGCTAATAGAAGTGCTGTACCATCTGTGTGCCCAATACTGTGCTGGGCCCTGGGGAAATGGAGAGGAATCAGCCACAGCTGCCTTCCAGGAGTGGCTCACAGTTTGTACTAGTCAGGGTTCTCCAGAAAAACAGAACCAATAAGATCCGAGTGTGTGTGTGTACGTATACATATATATATATGTAGACAGAGAGAGAGAGTGTGTCAGAGACAGAGAGAGACTGAGTTATTTTAAGGAAATGGCTCATGCAATTATGGAGGCTGGTAAATCCAAAATCTGTATGGTTGGCCTGAAGGCTGGAGCCCCAAGGAAGAGTTGATGTTGCAGCTTGAGTCCAAAGATGGTCTGGAGGCAGAATTCTCTCTTCCTTGGAGGGTGGAGGGAAGGAGTGTCAACCTTTTTCTCTAAAAGCCTTAAACTGATTAGATAAGGCCCACCCATATTATGGGAGGTGATCTGTGCTTAATTCGTACTGATTTACTAATCCTGAAAAATGTCGTAATTGGTGCCATGTGGTGCCTGAATTGTTCTCTGAGCAAGCGTAGCTGTGGTTTTGCTTTTGCTTTCTCTTCTGCAAGATCTAAATGCCTACCCTAAGGTTCCTTCTCTATTTCTGTGTGGGTTTGCAGCTGGTCAGGGTTCTTGGTTGTAACAAAGAAACTCAAAGTCTACTGATTTAAATGTTAATCTCACTAAAAAGTCCATCCACAGTAACAGCTAGAATCGTTTTGACTATCTATCTGGGTACCATGGCCTAGCCAAATTGACATATAAAATTAACCATCACAAAGTCTAATAGGGGAGGAAGACAGGTCAACAGATAGATTCTTAGGATAAGTATTGGTTCTCCATATTGATTCACATTAGAAATATCTGGAGAGCTTTTTAAAAATACTGATTCCTAGGCTCTACCCCAGACCAATGACATCAGAATCTCGAGGGGTAAAGCTAAGAAAAGGTATTTTTTACAAAACAACCCCAACAATCTTAATGCCCAGCCACAGTTGAGCATCTTAAGTGTTCAAAACTGATAGAAAATGTTCTGGGAAGACAGCTGGAACAATGAACGCTGCCTGGGCCATGGTGAATGGCATCAAGGAGTGGGTATTGGGTTTGAAAGATTAGCAAAGATTCATCAGATGGGGAAGGCATAGGAGGAATGGCATTCTAGGCATGGGGAACAGCATGGGCCAAGCCACAGAGCAATGAAAATGTACTTAGGGAATAAAGTTCAATGGATAAAGCATATCTATTGTGTCACCTTACACATACACACACACATACACATACAAACGCTCATATCTTTATTCAAATATAAGCAGATTATCTCCTACTGTTGGGTGAGACCGTTGCTAATAATCTAAACTTACATACAACTCTACATCAAAAAAGGATGGAAACTATTTGGAGCTAGGTTCTTATTGAGGAGAAAATGTGGAAAGAAGGAAGTTTCAAAAGTGAGAATTGCTAAAAATACATTTGTTTGTATCTTAGTTTACATATTGGGATTTTAATATGGCGCAAATTGTAGCAAGCAGCAACAATCCCACATCAGTGAATCCCAACAGAATAGTTACACTCAGCCTAGACTGGTGGGGGTTTTTCTGAGAGATTTGTTCCCTGGTTTTGGGTCTTACTGCTCTCCCTCTGCACCTCTCCTTCCCCACTTCTTGCCTCAGTGCCTTTGATCATATCATACACATTTGCCAAGATGTTCCCACTCTTTGCCCCCACCCCGCCCTGGTTAACTCCTACTCATTCCTCATACCTCTCCTCAGATATTACCTCTTGCAGGAATCCTTCCCTGAAGGAGAGCACTTAGGTTGAGCCTTGATGATCCCTTACCCTGTTTGTAAATTCAGAACACTTAGTATTTTTCTGCATTCTCTTTGGGTGTACAGTAAAGTTTCACATTCTTTCCTAATTCTGGAGCACAGGTCTGAAGGAGATTTTTAAAGCTGATGCCATTTCAGAGCCTGTGAAGCAGCTGGAATCCCCTGTGGTCATTATTTCTCAGGAAGCAGATTTGAAAGATTGTAGCAAATGGGTGTTTGTTTTTCTTGGGTACTACAAGAAACACTGAGGAAGGCTTTAACTCTAAGCTGTGGCAGGTGGTGTTATTCCAGCGAAGAAATGAGGCATTAATAAGGATGGTAACACTAGAATCAGATGTGTATCTTCTCTCTGTGTTGGGAAGTTGGTGGAAGGATGCCAGGGTGTTGCATGGACACATCTGAAGCTCTCTAAGAAACAGAATTTGATCCCAAGAGGCCTTTTACAGGCGAAAGAAGTTTGTTAGCCATAAAGCTCTTAACCGAAAGTGAAAACCCCACATAAATGTTTATCTTTCCCTCTCCCTGGAGTTCCCTATGGCAGAGAACAGAGAAAACATGCATGCAAAAGTTTTAACAAAACAAGGAATTGAAGCTGGCAGTGAGGCAGGCGTAGGTGGTATGAATTTTTAATGATGAGATGTCAAAACTATCATTTGGGACAAGAATTGTTGAGTTGAGTACTTCCCTACTTAAATAAAATGAAAACATAGGTACAAACAGGCTATGCCTGATGAGAGGTTCTGTGAAAATAAAAGCCAGAAAATACTATATTTAATGTCATCCTAACTCTACTTCAAAGCAGGAAAAAATACTGCTTACAAAAAACACTTTAAGGAATGTTATCAACATTTTGACAGCGATTTCTATGAGTGTTGAGATTACAGGGAATACTTTTGCTTGATTACATATTTTGGTGTTTTATATATTTTTCTATACTAAGCACACATTGCTTTTATGATAGAAAAGCAGTAAACTTTATTAAATAAAGTAAATAGACAATAGTAAGTTAAAACATGAGGATATGTGTGCAGGAAGAGGGCTTTGGCTGGACCTGGGGCCCTGGGTCCACTCAAGCTGTGTACTTGCAGAGCGAGGGCATGGCCAAGGTCATGCTTTGCCAACTTGACAAATAAAAAGAATAGTAACTTAGTGTTGTTTAAGCTTTGTTAATTTGAATAACCATTGTTGTTGAACACAGCCTTTGGAAAAAACACTGAGAAAGCATTTCAGGTATCTGCCATGGAAAATACCATCAAGTGGGACACCCGCAGCGATCTCTGTACCCACAAAAGTCACACTTGCTATCCTTGGTGAATTTTCCTTAAAAACTGTGGATGAACTTCCAGTGACTGCGTAAATAAGGTTTGTGGACTTCTGAATTCAACCAGAGAATTGTTGCCCTTGCGTAGGAACTCCGAACTCAGAGTGGTTCTGTGGTTGGTAGGTAGATGAGGTGGATGTGCTTTTGAGAAAAATAATAGGACTATCCAAAGGGGGAAAAGACAGTTAATTGGCTACATTTGATTCATGCAATTGGTGCCCTGGGAGCCCCCATGCCAGTCTTCATCACTGGATGAGTGTTCCATCACTCAACCAAGGCAAACCATCTGCAATCCAGCAGGTACCCGGTAGACAGGATTGCCTAGTTTTCAGAAGCAAGTCAGCAACTGATGAAGAGTGGGCATAATCAGAAAATAAGTGAAAAAGAGATGGATTGGCCGGGCATGGTGGCTCATGCCTGTAATCCCAGCACTTTGGGAGGCCAAGGTGGGTGGATCACCTGAGGTCAGGAGTTTGAGACCAGCCTGACCAACATGGAGAAACCCTGTCTCTACTAAAAATACAAAATTAGCCAGGCGTGGTGGCGCATGCCTGTAATCCCAGCTACTCGGGAGGCTGAGGCAGGAGAATCGCTTGAACCCGGGAGGCAGAGGTTGCGGTGAGCTGAGATCGTGCCATTGCACTCCAGCCTGGGCAACGAGAGCCAAAGTCCGTCACAAAAAAAAAAAAAAAAGGAAAGAAAAAGAGATGAATCAATCCTTATAGTTATTTCTATAATTCCACCCCGCCACGCAGACCCATCGAGAGTCTTCCCAGGAAGCAAAAATAATCCTTTAGTCCAAAGGCACCCCTCTGGAAGTCCTCACCCCATTTTGAGCCATGACTTGCTGGCTTTCATGCCAGGAAGAAGAGTTACTGTTAATAACTTGTCCTACACATATGAACCATTGGGAAAACACTTCAGAGTTTCAGAATGCTGTTATCATAATCTGCATCATCATCATCGTCATCATTATTAACTCGGGAAAGTTAACAGCATTTTTAGCTATCCTTTGCGGAACCAATTTTCTGAAGAAAATATTCCTAGATTTACTTCAGGATTGAATGAGGTTTTAGCATGCCAACAGCAAGAGAGAGTTGGCATGAGCTTGAGTAGAGGTTTAGCAGGGTGGGGGAAGTAAAAACTAGGAATACGTAAAACAAGTAGACAATAATCAATAACAACTATTATTTATATAATAAACACTCAATGATATCAATATTTATATCAATGACCAAATTTTTTTAACTTCATTTTTAAAAATTATCATACAGTAAAATCAACCTTTTTTTGGTACATAATGGTATGAAGTTTAATACAGTATGGATTCATGTAACCACTACGGTAACCACACCAGATCAATCTGGCTCAACTTTTTTTTTTTTTTTGAGCCAAGAGTCCCACTCTGTCACCCAGGCTGGAGTACAGTGGTGCAATCTTGGCTCACTGCAACCTTCGACTCCCAGGTTCAAGCGATTCTCTTGCCTCAGCCTCCCGAGCAGCTGGGATTGCAGTAGGTGCCCACCAGCATGCCTGGCTAATTTTTTTTTTTCATACTTTAGTAGAGACGGTGTTTCGCCATGTTGGCCAGGCTGGTCTCGAACTCCTGACACAGGTGATCCGCCCGCCTCGGCCTCCCAAAGTGCTGGAATTACAGGTTTGCGCCACTGTGCCCAGCCACTGGCTCAACTTTTATGCAACAATGTTGTGAGTTGTTTTTCATTTGCCATAGACCCCCAGGATGAAGGTCATGTAACCTGAGCATGCCCAGATGAACCAAGTGTGCAATCACAGGGGGAACCTAAGTGCCCAGACTGAGGAGCAGAGACTGAATTAAGAAGCAGACACTGCATGTCAGGATCCAGGATCCAATCAGATCGAGCTCTGGCATTGCCCCACGGTCGATAGCAGGATCCAGTCAGATCATGCCTCCCAGCATCACTTCATTGCAAGATCCAACCAGATCACACCTCATTACCCTATGTTTATAAAACCTGACCCAAACCCAGCTTGGGGAGACACACTGGGGCATTTCCTCCTGTCTCCTTGCCAAATAAAGAATTTTTGCTCAAAAGTGAGTGCCATGGTATTCACCTCTGTGTACATCAGGCAGCAAGCCCATTGATTTCTCGGTAACACTACCACAGTCAGGATGCAGAATAATTCTATCACTCCAGAAAAATTCCCTTAGGCTGCCCATTAGTAGTCACATCCTCCCCTCACCCATATCCTTGGGCCACTGATCAGTTCTCTATCACTATAGCTTTGTCTTTTAGAGAATGTCACATAAATGGATCATACAATGCATAACCTTTTGAGAATGACTTCCTTCACTCTGCATAGTGCTTTTGAGATGCATCCAAGTTGTTGCATGTATTAATTGTTTTCTCCTTTTCATTGCTGAGTAGTATTCCATTGTATGTATGCACCACAGTTTATGCATTCACTTGTTGAAAGATATTCGGGTTGTTTTTAGACAATTGAGAGTAGAGCTGCTATAAATATTTGTGTACAGATTTTTTTTATGCACACATTTTCATTTCTCTAGGGTAAATACCTAGGAGTGGAATTGCTGAGTCATATGATAAACCTATATTTAACTTTATATGGAAGCATCAGCATAGCTTGACTATTTTGCATTCTCATCAGCTATGTCTGAGAGTTCTGGTTGTTCTGTATCCTTCCCAGCACTTGGTATTGTCAGTATTTTTTTATTTTGACCATTCTACTTGGTATGTAGCAATACCTCATTGTGATTTTGATTTGCATTTCCTTAATGGTTAAAGATGTTGGGTATCTTTTCATTTGCTTATTTGCCATCCATATGTCCACTTTAGTGAAGTATCTGTTTGTCTTTCCTGGCTTTTAATTGATTTGTTTGTTTTCTTACTGTTGATTTTGAGGATTCTTATATATTCTAGATATTAAGTCATTTGCAGGATATTTAATTTACCAATGTTTTCTCCCAGTCTACAGCTTGTCTTTTCGTTCTCTTAACAGTACATTTCAAGGGTAAAAAGTTTTGATGAAGTCTAATGTATGATTGTTTTCTTTTATGAGTCATTCCTTTATGTCTAAGAATTAACCCCATGTTATAGTTTTGCCTGTGTTCTTTTTTTAAAAGTTTTATAGTTTTAGATTTTTCATATAGATCTTTGAAAGATCTTTGTGTAAGATAAGCTTTGTGTAAGATATAAAGTTAGGTCAAGGCTCATTTTTTTTGTTTATGAATGTCCAATTGTTCCAACACCATTTGTTGGAAAAGATCATCCTTTCTCCATTGAATTGCTTTTGCACCTGTGTAAAAAATCAATTGGATATATTGAAGTGGCTCTATTTCTGGACTCTCTATTCTGTTCCATTGATTTGTGCATCTATATTCCTTCATCAATACCCTCATTTCTTGGTTACTGTAGCTTAATGATAAGTTTTAAAATCAAATTGTGTGATTCTTCCAACTGTATTCTTCTTTCTCAAAATTCAACTCGTTCTCAATGAGCTTTTGCTATGATTCCAACATCATGACAAGCACTTTACATGCATGATCTCATTTAATCTTCACAACAAACCTTTGAGGATATGTGTCAGTTCAGGCTCACCAGAAAGCAGGTGGATTTAGAAGTGCGATGGATTTATTGGGAGGAATGGCTGTGGAGGATAAAGAGAAGAGGGAGCTGGTCTAACAGGGAAATATTTCAGATGTGAGGCTGGTCTGACCCCAGCAAAAGGAGAAGGGAAGGAAAGAGGCTTGAGTAAGAAGAGACTTAGTCTGTAGTTTAGCTCTGAGAAAGTCTCAGCCAAGGTTATGGGGGAATTCCAGAGCAAAAGTTTCCCAGTAGAGGTGTCCCATTTTGGGCAGAAATCACCAGGCTCTTCTACTCCACTGTGCTAGTCATTGGCTTGGAGAAGTCTGGGAAAAGTGTGGCCTCAGTGTGAATGCTGCACAGGAATTAAAATAGCGACTCTAACTATTATTTCCCCAAATGCAAATTTCACCTCATGATTAGATTTAACTATACTATAACAAACATGTATATAGTTTGAATCCTTCCATGCTCAAAAATGAGTATGTCAAGGTTTATAGAGTTACAAGTTTTACAGCAGTTTTCTGCTCTGGCAAGACCCAAATATTCATATGCAGTCAGCCCCCCATATACATGAGTTCCACATCTGCAGATTAAACAAACTGGGGGTTGAACATATTTGGAAAAAAAAAAACAATAAAAATGATAAAAACAGAAAACAATATAGTATAACAACTATTTAAATTGTATTATATTTTATACGTAATCTAGAGTGATTTAAAGTATACGGAAGGGTATGCATAGGTTGTATGCAAATACTACATTATCATTTTATGTAAGAGATTTGTGCATGCATAGATTTTGGTATCCGTGGGGAATTCTGGAACCATTGTCGCTCAATATAGTGTTTTTGTGATGGAATTTAGATTCATTTCCCTGGACAGAGGCAGGGAACTGGACTTGGAATCTTTTTCTTGCCCTAGCTCCTTGTTAATGGATGTTTCTTGCTTTGATATTATTGCTCTTTCCCCTTCTTCCTTTCTTATCCCACTCTATAAATTTCTTCAGAGATCAAAGTCATCATCCACTCATGTCCTCCTGTCTGGTTAACAGAGGCCAGCTGTCTTCTGCTTTATTAAAATACCACATTCAGGATCTCTATAAGCAATGATCCCATTTAGCATCTGTAATAAAGTGCTATATCATTGCATAGATGAGGCCTTTCTGCAAAGCCTGTCGCTGACTGACAAATGTTTCACTGCACCCTGATGCTGTAGGCGCATCCCCTTTGAACATTCTGAGGCATCCCTTTGTACAAGATATTTTTAGTGTGTCCTTACTAAACATGTATACTGACAAGCAACTGGCAAATTGAGAACATTTCTCCATTGATTTTTTTCACTGATTTTTCTATTATTTAAGAAAAGAAACAGTGATAAATTAAAAAGGTATTCATTTTAGTAATAACAATAACATTGACTTAAATGTATATAGTTTTCTTTACTCCAGAATGTGCTTCCTTCTTTGAATCCTGATATGTATGGGAGGGAGGCAGGGCCAGTGTTATCACCTCCCTTTTTACAGATGAGAGCAGTATTGCCCAGAAAGCTAGTGGGAAATCCAAGGCTTGAATCATGTGCCCTCTTCTCTACACACAAAAGCCTGTATACAGCATCATAATATGTAAACATAGAAGATATACAAACCGTTAAAAAAGGAAATCATTGACAGAAGGTTTTGAGTGTTTGTGAACATGGAACATGCTAGGCATACACATGTTTATGTAGGAGCCCAACCACCCACGTTAATAAGAGAGTGACCCAGAGACCATTCACTCCCTGAATGAAAGAATGAATGAATGAACGAATAAATGAGTGAATGAATGGAGGGCCTGCCCCAGACCTGAGCAAAGCAGCCACGTCCAGCATAGGGGCTCAGAGGGCAACCACAGGGTTCTGCCATTTTGAGAATATGTCTTTCTGTGTCATAATCTCACTTGCCCTGAAAGCCCTGCCAGGAAGCCTCTACTAACAGGCAGATAGTGGAGTACAGTGTTTTCCCTGGGCCTGGACAAAATACACTTTTATGTTCTGGAAGGAAATAGAGATGGTGGGTCAGCCTTTGCAGTGAGCACATTTAAGCCCATTGAATTCATCAGGAAAATGTATTGATTTCCTTCTATTCTTCCTCCTGCATTACCACTCTCATCGTTTAACTTACCATGTTGTCTGTCAGTCTCCTTCATCATTTAGTGAGCAACATGATTATAGGAACACACTCATTCATCTTTATATTCTAAAGTGCCTATTACAGTTCCTGGCGTAGTTGGCACTCATTAAGCCATTGTCCAAATGAAGGAATGAGAACTATACGCTAAGCATTAGGGCTAGGTTTTCTAGCATTCAGGTAAGGAGGAGGAGGATGTTATCAGTTAACATTTATCAGCATGTATTATATGCCAGCAACCCTGCTACTTTTTTTTTATATACACAATCATATTGAACTCTCATACTAACCCTTATGAGTTAGGAATTTTTACTAGTCACATACACATATTAGGAAATTCAGATTTATTGGAATTAAATAATCTGCCTAAGATCACACAGTGAATATGTGGCAGAATTCTGTCTGTTGGACTCCAGGAAGCACAGTCTTAATTTCTATGTTATTCTTCTGGCCATACTGTCCAGTCTAGAAAGCTGATACATGGTCCACACCTTGATCTTTCAAAGGGGACAAAAAAGATTCCCTGGAAAATCTCAGCACCAAATCACCTTAGCTATGGGGGTAAATCTTAAATAGAAGGCAGAGTGCCATATTCAAGGAATTTATAGCTGTAATAAGCAGATGAGACTACCACACACATTAGAGAGAGAGGGAATATGAAATTGTCTAGATGTTCACTGATTTATGTAGACAGTCATATCTTTATGAGTTGGTGAATGTACTCTGTATGCCCCACACTATGCTACATGCCTCACATCTATTATCCTAATAATCCTTCCAAGGACCTTTAAAAAATGTGTATTATTCTGTATTTACAAATGGAGAAAATGGAATTAGGAAAAGTAAGTAATTTGCCTTAAATTGCAGAACTAAGAATACATGGTGGATTTGGGCTTCCAAGCCAGGCCATGTGATTGCAGAACCCAGATTGTACAACTCATTCTCTCTGCACTCTGAACCCAGAATGGCAGACAATGATGCCATAAGATGAGAGTGTCTCCAAAATATGCTGTTAAATGTAGACATCTTTGTGAAAAATGAGAATCCTTAGCAAAGACTCATAGATCTGATATAGATTAGCTTTTTTGGTTAGCTAGTAATTCAGTCAGTATATTAATGGGGCTGGAACACAGGAAAGATAAATATTTTATCCTCTGCTCAAAGATGAGACACCTGAATAAGGGCCTCATGAGGCATCCTGAGTAGATAGGGTATGACCCATGAAAGGATGCAGGTACTATAGCCCAAGGACCCTGGAAATCCGAAGAGAAGCAGGTCCACAAAGCAGAAAAGGGGATGATGAAGACCAAGTCCACGATTTCACTTTATTGCTTAAAGGAATGGAAACATCATATCTTGGAGACTTATTCTTGGAGGTTATTCTGCTTATTTTATTATTCTGCTACTTTATAAGCAAAATATTATCTAGTAAAATAGCTAACATTGTGGAGCACTTGATATATGTGTGGGCTGTGTTCTATGGAAGCTTTACATGAATTATACTTCATTAAATCCTCACAATTAGCTATTAGGTGGTTGATTTTCAACAAAGATGGGCTGAATAAAAGAGTATCGTATGTATTAATCTGCAGCTTGCTTTTTATTTAACATAACAATACATTTGGAGCTATTTCCAGGTAAGGATATAGTGACTGTTACATTCTTATAAATGGTCACATATTAGTCTGTAGTTCAATGTACCATGATCCATATAACCATTCTCCTATTGTTGGATATTTCGGACACTTCTATTTTCTTTACATAAACAGTAATCCAACAGATATCTTTGTTCACACAACCTTGTATACATTTACCAATATTTCTGTAGGATGGACATCAAAAATGAAGTGACACTGTTCTTTCATAATCAAAATCCAAGTTTCATTAATTGTTGAGTTGATGAAACAACTTTAACTTCTGACCTAAATCAGCGTTTGAAACGTTCTTTTTCTCTTTTAATGTAAAGCTGAAAAATATCTTTTTAAGGATAGGAGGTATAAATTATAGGCCTTCTCTTTGAGATAACAGAGCAAAAAGCTATGTGCAATCATAATAGAGCTATAAAATTGTATTCTGTTCTTCAGCATGAGGCAAATGCAAAATTTCAGAGTAATGAATATAATTGTAGATGTTCTGATGTCAACTTCAGGCCTTATATCTTACAGTAATGCTCTTCATTAATCATATTTTCAACTGATTTCTTGAGTAGATTTGTTTTTCTACATGGCACATCAAAATGTGCGGGAAATGTACTAGTGACTACTCAAGTGCTTTGTTTTTTTAAACAAATAAAACCTTACATTGTATCTATTCATGCATCGATTCAACTATCATCTAAATACCTGAGTGTGTTATTTCAGAATTAGAATGTGGTTGGTAAGGAAGGTCTGTTGGAGGTAGAGAAATAGAATTGATCTAAAATATTACCTGTAGAACCTTTCTTTTGCAGTGAAGCCTCCTAGGTTCTGAAAGAATTACAGATAGGTAGACCGAATGTCCACCGATGGATGAATGGATAAACAAAATGTGGCATATACACACAATGAGATAACGTTCAGTCTTAAAAATGAAGAATATTCTGACACATGCTACAACGTGGATGAATCTTGAGGGCATAATGCTAAGTGAAATAATCCAGTCACAACCTGGCTGGGCGTGGTGGCTCACGCCTGTAATCTCAGCACTTTGGGAGGCTGAGGTGGGTGGATCACCTGAGGTCAGGAATTCAAGAACAGCCTGGCCAACATGGTGAAACCCCGTCTCTACTAAAAATACAAAAATTAGCCAGGCATGGTGGCACGTGCCTGTAATCCCACCACTTTGGGAGGCCAAGGAGGTTGGATCACAAGGTCAGGAGTTTGAGACCAGCCTGACCAACATAGTGAAACCCTGTCTCTACTAAAAATACAAAAATTAGCTGGGCGTGGTGGCACATGCCTGTAATCCCAGCTACTCAGGAGGCTGAGGCAGGAGAATTGCTTGAATCCAGGAGACGGAGGTTGCAGTGAGCTGAGATTGCACCACGGCATTCCAGCCTGGGCGACAGAGTGAGACTCTACCTCAAAAAAAAAAAAAAAGAAAAAAGAAAAAGAAAAAAAGAAAATTACAAACAATCTAACCCAAATAATAAGGAATAGCAACAAGGAATCTGACTTAGAGTAACTAACCTCTGTGTGCTCACATCTAAAATTGTATTATCAAATTTAATTGTAGTATTTGGGGTAGCCTAGATCCCAGTAGCAAAGTGTCCCCCAGATGTAAAATGGCTAAAACACTACAGAAGATAATTTATCTCATGAAACAGTCCACGTATGCAGTAGATAAATGCTTGTTAAGCGAATGAATGAATGAATAAATAAGTTAATGGATGTAGCTTATAAGACATGTACAAACCATATTACCAGATATGAATCTCAGGTTACCAATTCAGATGTGAAAGAAATGTGGCTTTATTCTTCCATAATTAAACTTAAAATATATCTTGAACTTTCCTTCTGCTGGGTTAAGTGGCCAAAATGAAATCTGAGACAACTCCTTGCCACTCTACAGTAGGCAGAATAATGGCCCCCAGGGATGCTTGGGTCCTAATTCCTAGAAGCTATGAATATGTTACCTTACATGGCAAAGGAGATTTTGAAGACATGATTAATTTAAAGATAGAGAGATAGGGAAAATATCCTGGATTACCTGGGTGGGCCCAGTGTAATCGCAAGCATCCTTGTAAGTGAAAGGCGGAGGCAGGAGAGTCAAAGAAGATATGGCAACAGAAATGGGGGTCAGGGTTAGAGAGAGAGAGATTTGAAGATGCTACACTGCTGGCCTTGAAGAAGGGAGAAGGGACCATAAGCTAAGAAAGGACCATAAGCTAAGAAATGCAGGCGGCTTCTAGAATTTGGAAAATGAAAACAAACAAACAAAAAATAACAAAAATAAAAACAAACCAAAAAACCCCACCAAAACAAAACTGGATTCTCCCTCAGAGCTTCCAGAAGAAACGCTGCTCTGCTGACACCTTGAGATTAGTCCAGTGGAACCCATTTGAGACTTCCGACCTCTGGAACTGTAAGATAATACATTTGTGTTGTTTTACTCCGCCAAGTGTGGTAATTTGTTATAGCAGTCATAGGAGACTAATACACACCCCACTGCCACTCTCCTGGCAGTGGTGGCTGAATTCTGGATTGGAAAGGAAATGGGGCTACAAAGAGGCCACAGAGTACAGGGACTCGGGAGAGAAACCACCTGGATTCAGAACTCAGCTCAGTCACCTGTTTGCAGTTACCCTTAGTGAAGGGATGCAACCTCTCTGAGTGTTAATTTCCTCATCTGTAAATTGGGAAGAACAGTACCTACCTCATCAGGTTACTGTGAGGATTAAATATGTTCATTTAACAAAAGGGCTTAGTACAGTGCCTGGCATGTAGTAAACAGTATATAAGTATTAGCTATTATGGTGATTTTTTAAAAAATTATTTATATATATATATTTTTTGAGATGGACTCTTGCTCTGTTGTCCAGGCTGGAGGACATACGGAGGCCTTAAGGGAAGCCACCATGCTGCAGTGGTGCAATCTCGGCTCACTGCAACCTCTGCCTCCAGGGTTCAAACAATTCTCCTGCCTCAGCTTCTCGAGTAGCTGGGATGACAGGCGCCCGCCACTACACCCAGCTAATTTTTGTTTATTTATTTATATTTTTCCTGAGATGGAGTTTCACTCAGTCGCCCAGGCTGGAGTGCGGTGGTGCAATCTCAGCTCAGTGCAACCTCCGCCTCCTGGGTTCAAGCAGTTCTCTTGCCTCAGCCTCTTGAGTAGCTGGGATTACTGGCACCCGCCACCATGCTTGACTAACTTTTTGTATTTTTAATAGAGATGGGGTTTCACCATGTTGGCCACGCTAGTCTCAAACTCCTGGCCTCAGGTGATCTGCCTGCCTTGGCCTCCCAAAGTGCTTGGCCTCCCAAAGTGCATGACCCACCACGCCCAGTCAATGTTTGCATTTTTAGTAGAGACGAGGTTTCACTGTATTGCCCAGGTTGGTTTTGAACTCCTGACCTCAAGTGATCCACCCACCTCGGCCTCCCAAAGTGCTGGGATTACAGGCGTGAGCCCCTGCTCCTAGCCCTATATTGATTACTCTTACTATCATCATCTGATCCTAGGTCTTGAGTAGTCCATGCTGCCAGATTCTGCTCCTCAGTCATAATCCATGCAGATTTCTGCTAAGTGGGTCCTCTCTGGGGCAGAAGATGCTGGTGCTCCAGCCGGATCCCTTGAATCCCTTTTACTGTTGGTTGGTATGCTTGTCTCCCCAGCTTTTGTGGATGCTTGGCTGAAGGCTCACCCCTGCAAACATGTCCGGAGAATTGCCTTTGGGCAATGGAAGCCACCGTGCTCAGAGCTGAGATGACTTCATGCGTGGCCAGGAACCCCTGGAGGAGGGTATTAAAGTCCTGCTCCCAGTCTCAAGGCAGGACAGACTCTGCAGCATAATTTATGCTCCAGAGCTCACAAAGACCTGTTGGGAGCCATGTCCTTTCCCTTCCTTATCCTGCTGCCTCCCTCCCCTGTGGATGTCTCCTGAGAGAGCTCTCTCGATATGTCACATGCACACACATGCGCACAAAGTTTTGTCATGGGCTTTTTGTTTTGTTTTGTTTTAAGGGAATGTGACCTAAAATGTGGTCTGAGGCCTCAAGACACTGGCAGCTGTGTAGGCACGTGACAGGTAGCCCAAGAAACACTAAGGAGCTGTGGGGCTGCGGAGGAAGAAGAGGGTTGGGCTGGAAGAGCAAGGAAAGCCTCACAGAATGGGCTGAGCCAACATTCAGCCTGCACTCACCTCATGAAAACAGCACACATTTAGACCAGGCTTTGTTCTATCGGTCACCTTCAGATGTCATTGTGTCCTATGCACACAGAATGTGTAATGCTATTTTCAACCCGGCCTTAATTGCCACAAAGTCAATTCATTTACTGCAAAAAAAAAAAAAAAAAAAAAGGCACAATGACTTCTAACCCTTAAGGCCTCCGTATGTCCTAGATCTTAAAAGTAAAACTTAAAAGCTCAAATTTTTGGTGCAACTAGAAACCCAATAAAAAGTTTCCGAGACAAGCAAAATTATATTTGTAGTTTTTCCTGAAGAGTGAGAGAAAAACAGAAAAAAGACTAAATAAACCATTAAATTTTGAGACATCTCAGCAATTCATACTATTATCTTTCTATTTTTCCTTTAGGTGATATATTGTTTAATATGTAAGCATTTATTACCATAGTGTCTATGACCATAGTGTTTATGAGTTTTTGTCATTGCATTTTCTGTCATTTACATATTTATGTTTCTTCCTGACTTCCCCTACTATCCAAGACAACTCCTACCTCAGTTTACACTCTTCTCTTTCATATCATCCATATAAATGTTGCCTCTCCTCATCCCGATATATTGCTTTTTTTTCTTTAAAACAAAATAACTAATGGCCATTGGCAAGCTACCCTGGGAACTGAAAGAGCACTGTTTCTTGGATTCACTGAAAAGTTGGACAAATTCACTGAAAGACACTGACTACATACTCCAGTGGAGGTCCAGACAACAAATCTAAAGGACAGTGTTCTCCCCAGGACATAAAAGTGTTCCATGAAAGGAGCAACTGACAATGACCAATCACTTGCCATTGGAGAGGACAAGAAAATGACAATTAGTGATTCTCCACCATCCCTTTGCTTCTCTAGCCCCTTCCATCTTATCCACCACCTTTCTATTTTTTCTGAGCAGTTGCCAAGAGCTAAACACAGACCAAACTGAATTGTGGGACCTGCCTTGAGCTGACTCAGTGAGGGAACCAGGCTCCTCCAGGCCTACAGGGTAACCAGGGACAGCCTGGCCTGGGGAGATTGCCCCAGTCATGGCCCGGTGAAAGGCTGCAGGTCCTCCCTGGGACAGAGGTGCTTAGGCATCAAAGGTGGAACTTGGGAGGGATGGAAGAGAAGCTACTCCTGACCTGCCCTCTGTTAATTTCCAACTTAGAAACACACTGGCATTTGTGTTGACACTTACTCATTGAGTCTCCAATGTAATTAGTTGATTTTTGTATTTTTAGGGTATAAAGTTGAAACTTGGAAGAAAAGGACAGAAAAGATACTTTTACTCCTTCTTCCTATTCGTCTCTTAAAAATATACAATAATATATATTTTGGGACCTTTCTTTGTTTACAGAGTCTTTTCTAGGATTCTTTACCTTATTCTTTTTAGTTCTAAACCAAGAATAGTGATAGACCAGAACCCAGATGCCTTACAAACTACTTTAAGGGAAAATAAGGAATTGTGCTAGTAAACATAGCATGTAGTACTTACTCATTCTCAACTATTTTTATTTATGACAAAGGCTTGCAAAGTGTGCTGGTAATCTCTATTTAACATATTAACTAAATGAATGAAAAATAGAATGATTTGTTCAAAACTCATCACATTCATGGCATAGGCAAAGCAGGAAATTAAGAACTCTTTGATGGGAACCCAAAAGAGCTTGTATAGCTTCTAATTTGGGGGAAAAGTTGTGAGTACACATGTTTGAACATAAAATGAAAACAGAAATATAACCTCTAGTTCATTTACTAATTATGAGAGAATGTAGCTTTCAGTTTTAGAGTTTAAAAGTGTATTTCAATATTTGAATAGTTTTATGATGGCCTCAACTGAGCCTTCATTTAGATCGCTATTAGCAATATTACTACACAAGAGATTTTCTAACAAAAATAAGTAAATGCTTATATATCTTCTTTCCCCCACCCCTAAATGTGCATTACTATTTTCTATTGTACATAAAAGCAATAAAGCCATTGTCAACAATTTCCACCTAAACTTGAGGCAGGAGAATAGGGTCTGGAGGAAAAGAACCTAAGGCCAACTCACACTTACTTCCTAGAACTGAATCAAAAGGACAGGCTGGAGTGCAGTGGCGTGATCTTGGCTCACTACAAGCTCCACCTCCTGGGTTCATGCCGTTCTCCTGCCTCAGCCTCCCGAGTAGCTGGGACCTCAGGCACCCGCCACCACGCCCTGCTAACTTTTTGTATTTTTAGTAGAGACGGGGTTTCACCGTGTTAGCCAGGATAAGGCTGCCCCCTTTGCTATCTGCCCCCCTCCACTATTGCAGATGAAAAATAGAAAGTACCTCTAATTGGTCCCCTACTGCAACCAATCAGACTGGTCGCTGGCCAAGTCTTCATTTGCATAGGGTATAATCAAGTAACCAATGGGAAATCTCTAGAGGGTATTTAAACCCCAGAAAATTCTGTAACCAAGTCTCTTGAGCCCCTTGCTCCAGCCTGCTACCACTCTGTGGCAGGTACTTTCGTTTCAATAAATCTATGCTTTCGTTGCTTCATTCAAAATGCCAAGAATGTGGATGATGCATAGTCAAGACCCTACCAGTAACAAACTGATAAGTGCCTTTATAAGTTACTCTTGGATAACTATACTGAGACTACTAAAGAGGAACAGAAGAACTCTAATTCAAGCCCTGCACTTTAAAAAATAGTATCCTTTAGTCTATAACAAAGGGTCTACAGTGAGAATGTTAAAGATGAGCAAATTGAAAGGTACCAAGAAGAAAATCTTACAGGGAAGAAGAATATCAGAACATACATAGTGGGAAGAGATGAAAGAATGTATGGCCTTTCTTAAAATTATCAGGTTTGGGTAGGTTTCTTGGCTTATTTTTGTCTTAATACTTTATAAATAAGAAGATACTTATATTTATTATCAGATAAAATATCCAAGAGTATGATCTTGTATTTGAATTGCACGAAGGGCTTTCTTGTTCTGTTTTCAGTGCATAGTTGACTAAAACGGAACTACTGCCTATTTAATTATTTTCCCCCTTGTTTTCCTGTTATCTAAAAACCTGAGAATTAGATTTAAATTCAGTTTGTAATTTAGTTTTTGGTTGTTGTTGCTGTTGTTATTGTTTAGAACAATTATTGTTTCTAGTTCCAGCTGTATATTTACTCTCTCTCCTAGGTTCATTAGAGCTAAAAATAAATTGGATTAGGCTTAGACAAAATTAAACTGAATGCAATGTCTTTTTTTTTATTATTATACTTTAGGTTTCAGGGTACATGTGCACAATGTGCAGGTTAGTTACATATGTATACATGTGCCATGTTGGTGTGCTGCACCCATTAACTCGTCATTCAGCATTAGGTATATCTGCTAATGCTATCCCTCCCCCCTCCCTCCACCCCACAACAGTCCCCGGTGTGTGATGTTCCCCTTCCTGTGTCCAAGTGTTCTCATTGTTCAATTCCCACCTATGAGTGAGAACATGCGGTGTTTGGTTTTTTGTCCTTGTGATAGTTTGCTGAGAATGATGGTTTCCAGCTTCATCCATGTCCCTACAAAGGACATGAACTCACCATTTTTTATGGCTGCATAGTATTCCATGGTGTATATGTGCCACATTTTCTTTATCCAATCTATCATTGTTGGACATTTGGGTTGGTTCCAAGTCTTTGCTATTGTGAATAGTGCCACAGTAAACATACATGTTCATGTGTCTTTATAGCAGCATGATTTATAATCCTTTGGGTATATACCCAGTAATGGGATGGCTGGGTCAAATGGTATTTCTATTTCTAGATCCCTGAGGAATCGCCACACTGACTTCCACAATGGTTGAACTAGTTTACAGTCCCACCAACAGTGTAAAAGTGTTCGTCTTTCTCCACATCCTCTCCAGCACGTTGTTTCCTGACTTTTTAATGATCGCCATTCTAACTGGTGTGAGATGGTATCTCATTGTGGTTTTGATTGGCATTTCTCTGATGGCCAGTGATGATGAGCATTTTTTCATGTGTTTTTTGGCTGCATAAATGTCTTCTTTTGAGAAGTGTCTGTTCATATCCTTCGCCCACTTTTTGATGGGGCTGTTTTTTTCTTGTAAATTTGTTTGAGTTCATTGTAGATTCTGGATATTAGCCCTTTGTCAGATGAGTAGGTTGCAAAAATTTTCTCCCATTCTGTAGGTTGCCTGTTCACTCTGATGGTAGTTTCTTTTGCTGTGCAGAAGCTCTTTAGTTTAATTAGATCCCATTTGTCAATTTTGGCTTTTGTTGCCATTGCTTTTGGTGTTTTAGACATGAAGTCCTTGCCCATGCCTATGTCCTCGATGGTAATGCCTAGGTTTTCTTCTAGGGTTTTTATGGTTTTAGGTCTAACGTTTAAGTCTTTAATCCATCTTGAATTAATTTTTGTATAAGGTGTAAGGAAGGGATCCAGTTTCAGCTTTCTACATATGGCTAGCCAGTTTTCCCAGCACCATTTATTAAATAGGGAATCCTTTCCCCATTTCTTGTTTTTGTCAGGTTTGTCAAAGATCAGATAGTTGTAGATATGCGGCATTATTTCCCAGGGCTCTGTTCTGTTCCATTGGTCTACATCTCTGTTGTGGTACCAGTACCATGCTGTTTTGGTTACTGTAGCCTTGTAGTATAGTTTGAAGTCAGGTAGTGTGATGCCTCCAGCTTTGTTCTTTTGGCTTAGGATTGACTTGGCAATGTGGGCTCTTTTTTGGTTCCTTATGAACTTTAAAGTAGTTTTTTTTCCAATTCTGTGAAGAAAGTCATTGGTAGCTTGATGGGGATGGCATTGAATCTATAAATTACCTTGGGCAGTATGGCCATTTTCACAATACTGATTCTTCCTACCCATGAGCATGGAATGTTCTTCCATTTGTTTGTGTCCTCTTTTATTTCATTGAGCAGTGGTTTGTAGTTCTCCTTGAAGAGGTCCTTCACATCAACTGAATGCAATGTCTTTCAATTGAAAAAAAAGAACCTCAATATTCTTTATGCCATTAATGATAACTACTATTGGCTCATCAATGTGATGACGTAGTCCAGAAGAGAGGTAAATGTTCTATAGGCCAGTAAAAGTCTTTATGGAGTCAGGTTCAAAACCTTTATCTGCAACATTAACTTAAATTAATTTGGGGTTAGAATGTCTGGGGAGATTTGCGCTACACATGCAAATTATTATTACAATAAGTTAATTCCCTGTAGGGGTCAATATAAGGGAAATGAGCATAATTCCATGACTAGGCTGAGGGGAAACTTTTCAACAAAAACAATCACATGTTGGAATGAGAAATCTTTTCTCAGAGAAATCTTAAAATGAGTCAAATATTTGTTTGTCCTAAGTGATTTAGTTGAAGTGTCTCTGGAGACTGAGTGATGAATTCTACAACTCCGAAAGCCCTTCCCATTCCTATAATCTGACGATAAATCTCTGGGCAGTTCATTAGATTTGTGTTCTCATAAATGGGTGACTTGGTCTTCTCATCTTTGACTCTAATGAGAAAAATATATATTGAGAGGTTTTCTTCTTAGGCACTCTGTCAATCTTTCTACCTGAAAAACGGAGAATACGGAAATGTGATTTATAAAGAGAAAAACAATAATAAGTGAAATTGGATCCCTACTTCATATCAAACACAAAAATCAATTCTAAATGGTTTAAGGATTTACATGTCAAATGTAAAACTTTAAAACTTTCTGACCATGGATCTTTGAAAGAGTACATCCAAATGCACTGGTCATAAAATAAGAGCTTGACAACTTTGACTAGATTAAAATAAAGGACTTCCGCTCATCAAAGAGACCTTTCAAAAGTGAAAAGATAAGGTACATATTGAGATAAGGTATTTGTAACACACATAATAGATAATAATAGTTTTAAAGTATATAAAGCTAATAAGAGTTAATAAGGAAAAGACAAATAACCTAATAGAGGCCTACCCAAAAGTAATGGAAAGGCATTTCACAGAAGAGATAATATACATGGCCAAAGCAACATTTGAAGAGATGCTCAAGTTTATTAGTTAAAAAGGAAATGCAAATCAAGACCACAATGAGATACCATTTTATACCCTTTCAATTGGCAAAAATTAATTTGACACCGAGTTTCAGAAGGATGGGACTCAACAGGATTGCAGGCAGGAATGTAAATTGCTACATCCATTTTGGAAAAACAATTTGGCATTATCTTGTAAAGTTAAACATTCCCATATCTCATGACCCAGCAATTCTACTCCTAGGCATATTCTTGTGTTCTACCTCAACATCCATATCTCTATGAACAGCAAAAACTGATATTCACACTAGCAGAATAGATATTCTGTGACATAGTCACCCAACAGGACAAGTGAACCATAGCTACCCACCAGAACATAAATGAATTTGAGTAACATAATAATGAGTGAGAACAGCAAGTTTGAGATATAAAATAAGCAAAACTAAACAACATATTGTTTATGTATATACAAAACATGATAAACACAAAACTCAAAATGGGGGTGTTTCTAGAATTGAAGATAGCACACAGGCAAGTTTTGTTTTTTATTTATTTTTATTTTTTTGAGACAGAGTGAGTCTCACTCAATTGCCAGGCTGGAGTGCAGTGGTGCAATCTTGGCTCACTGCAACCTCCGCCTCCTGGGTTCAAGTGATTCTCCCGTCTCAGCCTCCCGAGTAGCTGGGACTACAGGTGCCTGCCACCATGCCTGGCTAATTTTTTGTATTTTTAGTAGAGACAGGGTTTCACCATGTTGGCCAGGATGGTCTCGATCTCTTGACCTCGTGATCCACCCGCCTTGGCCTCCCAAAGTGCTGGGATTATAGGCGTGAGCCACCACACCCAGCCAAGTTTTTTATTTTTAGAGATGAGGCTTCATTCTGTCACCCAGGCTGGAGTTCAGTGGCATGATCACAACTCATTGCAGCCTTGACCTCCTGGGCTCAAGTGATCCTCCTGCTTCAGCCTCCCAAGTAGCTGGGACTACAGGTATGCACCACCATACCTGGCAAAGTTTTCAGTTTTGGGATAATTGTAGATCTTAGATTGAATGGCAGGTTCATAGGTTTTCATTAATAATTAAGCAAAAACAAATTAGAAAATAAATAAGTGAAAAATAAAAGATAGCTTATGTGGACCAAAGATAATAGCGTTTGTGAACCAAGGATCGATTACACTTAACCCAATTTTGTATGTGTGAGATTCTCCTATATCCCAAAAGGTAAATCACAATAAAAGTAGTGACTTCACAATTGGTTTATTTGCTCTCTTACAATAATTCAAGGATTATAAAGTATTTTACAAGTTTCAATTCAAAGAGTCTTTGCCACCTGAAATCTTCTTACCCCTCCCTCCCACTTTGTCTGTTTTTCCTTTTTGGCTTACAGTTAGACAAAGGCAATGCTTAAATTTTACAGTTGGAGAAAGAGAAAATGCTTAAATGTTATTCTCAAATATCAATGGTGAGCCTAGCAAAATGACTTCCTGGGCTTTTATCGCTGTACCCAACAATTCATCAGTGCATATTTCACCCTAATAGCAGCAACTGACATGCATAGTTCTTTGAGTTTTTCATTTTTTGCCTGTGGGGGCTACTTGGATTTTATCTTGCTTCCTCCAGGCTCTAAAATTTACATTACCACTAGAAATCAAAATGGGCTTTGAATGCCATTGGTAAGCAAGGAGCTATTGGGACTTGAAGAGGCCATTTACTAAGACTTGTAGAGACAAGAAGACTGTTATCTTTTGAACTGTAGTGGCTAATCCACCTCCTCCCAACCCTCCACCCACTGGGCAATTGGAATGGGACCCAATCTGGCACCAGACTCAGACTCCAAAGGTAGGTAGGTATTTTACCTGAAGCAGTCTGAGTAAGTGCAGCAAGAGTTGAGTAGGATCCACGTTTTCGAGTGTCCTGCACAGTCCAAACGTGAAAATCCGAGTTCAGCCACCAAATCCAAAGGGTGAATGGAGCCAAAAGAAAAGGAGGACAAAGCCAATAGGACAGGAACCAGTGGAATTCTGGTTGTAAATAGTCTTGGGCTATCCCAAGGAAAAAGATTAAAGTACCCTAAAATGTGAGAATGAGTCGGTTTAGTTCAGTTTCGTTTAAAGGCACAGTATTGGGGCTAATATTTACAAAACCCCCACTGTTTTAGTTTAACTGAATTCTTAGGTCTCTTTTCCATGAATGTCTGCCAACATAATTCAGATCTTTATTAGCAGCTAGTTTTTTGTCTTCAAATACTTCTGAGCAGAGGCAATTGTATATTAAAAGGGGAGGGCAGATTCTATGATGGAAGGAGGTTAATCAGGAAACAACAGAAAAACAGGAAACATCATATGGGTTCATGCCAATGGTTAATCCAAATATTATGTTGTCAAGGGCTATTTTGTGACATATATTTATTTTTTCCTAGGAAGATAGACTGTCAGTATTCACAGGGCAGTTAATCCACTGTAAAGATAGACTGTCAGTATTCACAGGGCAGTTAATCCACTGTAAGCATTTAGCCAACATCTGCAATATTCCCAACAGCAGTGTATGAAGTTCCAATTTCTTCACATCCTCACTAACACTTACCTCCAAATACCACTACATTGAGGATTAGACTTTAACATACGGATTTTGGAGGGGCATAAACATTCAGTGTATAGCACCAATTTTAGAAGGAAAGTGCTCAATATTTCATAATTAACATTGGTGTTAGCTTAAGGTCTTTCAAAGTTATTATGGCAGATAGTTTCCAAAGATGGACTCAACAATATTTTTTATCCTACATGTTTTTCTAGAACCTTGCCATGATACCAGTAGGAGGTGGAGTTTATTTTCCCTCCTGTTGAACATGAGCAGGCATTTGTGACTGTCTCAATCAATAGAGTATGATGGAAGGGAAGCATGTGACCTCTAAGGGTTGGTCATGAAAGATGCCATGCTCTTCTCCCTGGAACTTTTGAGATACTCATTCTCAGAACCCCACTGCCATGCTGTGAGGAAGCCCAAGAAGCCAGATCAGGGTTCCACGTGGAAAGGAACCAAGGTTCCTAGCTCACAGCTCAGCCGAGTTCCTGTCTGACAGCCAGTACCAACTTGTGAACCATGTGACTGAGTCAGCTCGAAAACAGAGCCCCCAGCCTCGGGTCAAACTGCCCCAGCCGACATTGCATGAAACAAGCTGACCTGTACTCCCTGAGCCTTACTCAAATTGCAGACTTGTGAGTGAAAAAAAAAAAAGAATGGTTGTTCCAAATGCCCATCAATGACAGACTGGATAAAGAAAATGTGGTACAATACATATACACCATGGAATATTATGCATCCATAAAAAAGAACGAGATCATCTCTTTCGCGGGAACATGGATGGAACTGGAGGCTATCATCCTTGGCAAACTAACTCAGGAACAGAAAACCAAATACTGCATTTCTCACTTATAAGTAGAAGGTATATGATAAGAACATATTAACCCAAAAAAGGAAACAAAAGACACTGGGGTCTATTTGACAGTGGAGGGTGGGAGAAGGGAGAGCAAAAAAGATAACTACTGGGTACTGAGCTAAATACCTGGGTGATGTAATAATATGTACAACCCACCACCGTGACACATGTTTATCTGTGTAACAAACCTTCACATATACCCCTAAACCTAAAATGAAAATTTAAAAATATATATATTCAAAAAATTGGGGCCTGGTGCAGTGGCTCACTCCTATAATCCCAACACTTTGGGAGGCCGAGGTGGGCGGATCACTTGAGGTCAGGAGTTCCAAACCAACCTGGCCAACATGGTGAAACTCCGCCTCTACTAAAAATACAAAAATTATCTGGGCGTGGTGGTGGGCTCCTGTAGTCCCAGCTACTGGGGAGGCTGAGACACGAGAATCACTTGAACCCAGGCAGTGAGCTGAGATCACACAACCCAGGCAGTGAGCTGAGATCACACCACTGCACTCCACCCTGAGCAACACAGCAAGACTGTCTCAAAAGAAAAAAATTGCTTGTTAAAGCTGCTGCATGTTGGGGTGGTTTGTTTTGTAGTAATAAATAACTGAAGCAGATGCTCATTAGACTGAGAAAGTTACTTCCTATTGTTCATGTGCTGAGAGTTTTATGATAAAGTCATAATTTTTATCAAATATTTTTGCTGCATCTATTAATAAAATATTTCCCCCTTTTTTGTAATATGGTAAAATGTATAGATCATTTTTAACTATAAGGCCATCCTTGCATTCCTTATTCTTTTAATATATTGCTGGATTTGATTTTGTAATCTTTTGCTAAGATTTTTGTATTGATGTTCATAAGTGAGACTGGTTTGCAGTTTTCTTTCTTCGTAATATCTTTGGTAGGTTTTGTTCTTAGGGTTACACTGGTCTCATAATGGTTCCTTTTCTTTTTCTTTTAGATACATAGCATATAAAAGGTATTCCTTGTCATTCATCATCAGGGAAATGCAAATAAAAATAACAGTTAGATACCACTATGCACCTATTAGAATGGCCAAACTCTAAAACATTCACAACACCAAATGCTAGTGAGGATACAGAGCAACAGGAACTCTCATTTATTGCTAGTGGGAATGCAAAATTGTACAGCCACTGTGGAAGACAATTGGACTGTTTCTTGCAAAACTAAATATACTCTTACCATGTGATCCAGGAATTCCATTCCTTGATATTTATCCAAAGGAGTTGAAAACTTATGTCCACACAAAACCCACACCTAGACGCTGATAGCAGCTTTATTCACAATCGCCCAAACTTGGAAGCAATGAAGATGCCCTTCAGTAGGTGAATGAATAAACAGTGGTACATCCAGACAATGGAATTATCACTTAGCACTAAAAAGAAATGAGCTATCAAGTCATGAAAAGACATGAAAGAAACCTAAATGCCTATTACTAAGTGAAAAAAGCTCATCTTAAAAGGCTGCATACTATATGATTTCAACTGTATGACATTCTGGGAAAGCCGAAGTTTGTAGGCAGTAAAAAGATCAGTGGCTGCCAGGGGTTGGGGGAAGGAGGGATGAATAGACAGAGCACAGAGGATTTTTAGGGCAGTGAGACTATTCTGTATGATATTATAATGGCAGACACATGTTGTTACAAATTTGTCCAAACCCATAGAATGCTGTGTGTTGGGGTAGAATGTACAATATCAAGAGTGAACACTGTGGGCTTCTTTGCTGCTTTTCTGTAGGACCTTCAAACTTCCTTCATGCCTCTTTCTGAAGCACATTAACCCCAGCTGCATCTGGTATTCCAGGTGAGCATCCACTATAGATATCCCTAAGAAGAAAGATCACTTAGCAAAGACTTTCTTTTGCTTCTCTCTCTTTTTTTTTTTGACAGAGTCTCACTCTGTCGCCCAGGCTGGAGTGCAGTGGCATGATCTCGGCTCATTGCAACCTCTGCCTCCCAGGTTCAAGCGATTCTCGTGCCTCAGCCTCTCCAGTAGCTAGGGATTACAGGCACGCACCATTGCTTCTCTTAAGGTCCCCTTTTGCTCAAAGCACATACCAATGACAGATAGAAATATCCAAATTACATTCTCTGATGGCGGTACAAGTCATTTAGTACTTGATACTAAAAAGATTTTAAAAATCTACAAATGGGGAAAACTAAAAATCACATTAAAAAACAAAACTGAAAACATTCTTGGTGAGATATTTATAAATTTTGCTTGAGCCTTTAAAAAGCTAACAGGTAGCTAATGCTTCCAATTCCTGGCCAAGAAGAATTTATGGAAAAGATTTCAGAAGACTTTTAAAAGCTCCAAATACATTGGGCTGGGAATCCTGGCTCTAAAATTCACTAGCTGAGTCAATTTGGACAACTCCTTCAGCTATAGTTTCTAGTCTATAAATGCAAACATTCCTTGGTCTGCAAGAAGCTTTTTCCCTGAAATACTCACCTTGCAAAATGTTCCTTTTTTTTTTTTTTTTTTTTTTTAAGACAGGGTCTCACTCTGTTGCCCAAACTGGAGTGCAGTGGCACAATCACTGCTCACTGCAGCCTCTACCTCCTGGGCTCAAGCAATCCTCCCACCTCAGCTTCCAGAGCAGATGGGACTACAGACACACGCCATGATGCCCAGGCAATTATTTTTTTAATTTTTATTTTTACAGATGGGGTTTCACTATGTTTCCCAGGATGGTCTTCAATTTCTAGGCTTAAGTGATCCTCTCACCTTAGCCTCCCAAAGTGCTGAGATTACAGGTGTAAAACAGCTTGTCCAGCTTGAAAAGTACCTAGATTACATGTGTGAGCCACCACACCCAGCAGCAAAGTACTCTTGTTATTTAAACTTCCTCTGTTCTCACTAAATCGGCTTCTAACCCGGATCTGTTTGACTCCATATCCTTTTCCATTTACCCTGTTATAATTTTGTTAGTTTATTTCCTTTTAGAAAATATAACTTGGTGGCCGGGTGCGGTGGCTCACGCCTGTAATCTCAGCTTTGGGAGGCAGGGGCTGGGAGATCACTAGGTCAACAGATGGAGACCATCCTGGCCAACATGGTGAAACCCTGTCTCTACTAAAAATACAGCAAATTAGCTGGGCGTGGTGACAGGTGCCTGTGGTCCCAGCTACTTGGGAGGCTGAGGCAGAAGAATCACTTGAACCTGGGAGGTGGAGGTTGCAGTGAGCAGAGGTCGCACCACTGCACTGCAGCCTGGCAACAGAGCCAGACTCCATCTCTGAAACAAACAAACAAACAAAAAAGAAAATATAACTTGGGGAGTTCACAGTAGCGGTAGTCCTGAGCACATCCCCATTTGCCCTCATGTATACTGTTGATTTTCCCCAAGAGGATCCAGAAGAGAAATGGGCCATGCAGCGTCTGTGAGGTAGGAGACACTGCCTGCTCTACGTGGGTATGCTAAGCCTTCCTGGCCACCTCTGCAAAGCCAAAAGGGGGCAATTCTTCTCTGCCCTTGAGACTGAGGACCAAGGAAGAGAGAAGCTTCCTGTAGGTAACCTGGCAGGGAAGCAAGAGAACTGGCAGCAGACTGCCCCATGGGTGTAGGGACACCTGAGAAGCCCTTTGTCTTCCACCACCTGTGGGTCCCCATTGTGAAGATTCTCCACCAACCAGGTCTGAGACAGAACCAGCCGACAAAGAAACATGACACTGCATATGATGGCACCCAGCAGCCAGAGAGAGGAAAAAACCAAGAGAACAAGCACACGCCCAAGGAAATACAACTGCTACAGGAGACAGACGAAAACATAAGCTGGAAACAAAACAAACCAACAAAACCAAGCACTTAAAGAGCCCAAGTGCATCTGCAAATAATAATAATAATAACTCATTAATAATAAAAACACGAGTTCTCATTAGAAATTTCACAGGGAAATTAAAGGAGAGAATGGTCACTGATCTGAATTAGTGGTTTGGAAATTCATGGACACAATCAAACAAATGTGAGAAGTTGGAAATCATGACAGAAAATGTAAGGGATTTGGAGGCTATCTATTCAGGACATTTAAAAGACAAATAATAGAAGTTTCAGAAAGAGAAAACAATATATTGAAAGAGAGAAAACAATTTTTAAAAAACTAAACAAGGCCAGGCACGTTGGCTCATGCGTGTAATCCCAGCACTTTGGGAGGCCAAGGCGGGTGAATCACGAGGTCAGGAGTTCAAGACCAGTCTGGCCAACATAGTGAAACCCCATCTCTACTAAAAATAGAAAAAAATTAGCCCAGTATGGTGGTGTGCGCCAGTAGTCCCAGCTACTCGGGAGGCTGAGGCAGGAGAATCGCGTGAACCCGGGAGGCGGAGGTTGCGGTGAGCCGAGATCGCACCATTGCACTCCAGCCGGGGGGGTGCCATGCGAGACTCAGTCTCAAACAAAACAAAACAACTAAACAAATGAAACCTTTCACTTGAGGAGAAAGACTTGAATCAGTAAACTAAATGATCCATTGAAGAGAAATCACAAGTACACAGGCATAGCATAGTAAACCCCCTAAATTCTAGGGACAACTGGAAAATCTTATAAGCTCCTAAGCAGAAAGGACAAATTATCCACAGAAAATGCATAGCCTCAAATGCTGTTTTATCATTAAAGAAATTAAAAATAAAAGAACTTAGAATTTCAATTAAGAAATTATAAAGAGATCAATTTTTAAAACAGGAAAAGGAATGACAACAAAGATAAAACAACAAACAAACACAAAAAGAGTAAGGAAAGTTTATGTAAAAGTGTCTTTTGAAAAAGATTAATAATAGAAATAAATCCCTCAGGAGCCTGATAAGAAAGAAGAGAAAGCCAAAGAGACAAGGTAAAAAAACGAGAAAAAAAATGCAAGAGAAATTTTTAACAATAAGGAAATATTTATCTCTCTAAAGGCAAATCTGACAACAGGTTTTAAAACCTGGAGGATAATAATGGTTTTCAAGCAAAATACAAATGACTAAAATGGACCCAAGAAGAAATCGTAAATCTGAATAGACCAATTATGACAGAAGAAAGGGTAGTAAGAGAGCTACTGCTTAAATAGGCACCAAAACCAAATGGGCATTTGGACTGGGTGCTACCTAATTTCTAAAGAACTGATCATTTCAATGCTATGCAAATTAGTCCAGGATAGAGAGGAAATATAGAAAAGTCTCCAACTCATTTGACATAGCCAGCAAGACCTTAATGCCACAGCCTGATCTAGTAGAACACAGGATAAAAAATTATAGACCTATATCACTTTCAAATAAGATGCAAAACTTCTAAACAAAATAAAGGAAGACATCAGCAAGTTCTCAAAAACTGGTGCGCTAAGATCAAGCACATTTTTTTCAAGGAATGTGGGAGTGATTTGCTTTCTGAAAATCACTCTCAGTGACCATCAGCACAATCTATTACATTAACAGACTAAAGGATAAAATCCATAGGATTATATCAGTAGATTCTGAAAGAGCTTGAATAAAACTAAACAACCATCTCTAACAAAAACTCAAGATAAGTAATGAAACTTTTTGATCTACTAAAGACAATTCACAAACAAACCACAAGTGTCATTCCAAATTATAACACACAATACACTAAACCATTTCCATTAAAACCAGGAACGAGTTGTTAAAACTAGTTACTAAACAACTGGCATAGACATTAAAAAAGATATTAAAACCACATTTTTTGCTGATGACCTAATTGCCTACCTAGAAATCCATGAGATTCTAGTAAAATATGTACTGGCTTCACTTAAAAATTATTGGTAAGATGGTAGTATACAAAATAAATATTAAAGATAGACAGTTTTTCTCTGCTCTAGCAGTAAGTTCTTAAATGAAAATAGGGGAAATTCTATTTATAATAGTGACACAATGTAAGTAAATAATGGGAATATATATAACAAGAGGTTCACAGGATCTATAGGAAAACTATAAAATCTTATGAGCAGACATTTAAAAAAGATCTGAACAAAGTTGAGTAAAACATTTTCTGGTTTGAGATGACTTAATATCATAAAAATGTTACTTGTACCAAAACCAATGAATAAATTTAGTTCAATTCCAAATGGAATCCTAAAATGGTTTATTTTAATTGTCTAAAATATCTTTAGAATTTATGTGGATGAAGAAAATGCCCAAAAATATTCAAGAAAAGCATGGGAAAAACAACCACCAGTGTCTGGTAAGGGAGAGCAGGGAGATTGACTTTGGGAATATCAGAGGGTTCTATAAAGTTGTGGTAATCAAATGAATATGCTATGACATGGGAATAGACAAACAGATCAGTGGGTAGAATAGATAATTGAAAGTGGTTACAGTATATATAAGAATATATGCGGCTGGGCACGGTGGCTTACGCCCATAATCCCAGCACTTTGGGAGGCCGAGGCAGGCGGATCAGGAGGTCAGGAGATTGAGACCATCCTGGCTAACACAGTGAAAACCCGTCTCTACTAAAAATACAAAATATTAGCCCGGCGTGGTGGCGGGCGCCTGTAGTCCCAGCTACTCAGGAGGCTGAGGTAGAAGAATGGCGTGAACCCGGGAGGCGGAGGTTGCAGTGAGCCCAGATCGCGCCACTGTACTCCAGCCTGGGCAACAGAGTGAGACTCCATCTCAAAAAAAAAAAAAGAAGAATATATGCAAGATGGATTAATAACATAGTAATGTTAATAGCAATCATATCAGAGCTCTTCCAAAAAAAGCATATTACCATGTAGAAAGGTGGGGAAAAGATATGAACAGACAGTTCACAGAAGACCAACTCCAAATACAACGAACACATGAAAAGATGCTCTAAAGCACTAGTAGTCAGGAAATTGCACATAACAAGAGCAATGAGCTGTCACTTCATACTTATCAAACTGGCTGAGAAGAAAGCTAACACCTATTGCTGGCTGGGATGTGGAAAAAGGAAAAAAAAAAAAGATACCCTCAACATCACTGGTGGGAGTGTGAGAACTTGTTGTTGCTGTAAAACTGTCAAGCAACATCCCATAAAACTACAAACATTTATACCTTCCAATCCAACAATCCCACTCTAGGGAATCTAGCCCACAGAAAGAAAGTCACTAGTAACTAAGGAAATATGTAAAAGGTATTTCCTGTCATATTATTTGCAGTAGGGGAAAATACTCGACTGGAAACAAAAGAGATGCTTATTACAGGGAAATGGCTAGATCAAGTATGAAATACCAGTACCGAGGGGTAAGAGACTCACATTATATACATGAATGAAGGTTCCATCAGGTGACTTGGAGGGATTTCGACAAGATGAAAGTGTGTTTAATAGGATTCCATTTTTAAAAACAACTAAGAACAAAACAAACAAGCATTAAAAACTCATGCGTGGGGCTGGGCTCGGTGGCTCATGCCTGTAATCCCAGTACTTTGGGAGGCTGAGGCGGGCTGATCACCTGAGGTCAGGAGTTCAAGATCAGCCTGGCCAACATAGCAGAACCCCCGTCTCTACTAAAAATACAAAAATTAGCTGGGTGTGGTGGTGTGCGCCTGTAATCCTAGATACTCAGGAGGCTGAGGTGGGAGAATTGCTTGAACCCAGGAGGCAGAGGTTGCAGTGAGCCGAGATCGCATCATTGCACTCCAGTCTGGCCAACGAATGAAACTCTGTCTCAAAACAAAACAAAACAAACAACAAAAAAACTCATGTGTGTGTCATGGATTTGTGAGTGTATCCCTATAGGATTATACAAATAGAGAAAGAGAGGACAATTCATACCAGGCTATTCACATGGGTCACCTTGGGGTGTTGGGGTGTGCCTGTGGTGAGTAGGGGTTGGGGGATAGGAGGAGACACTAGCTTTGGTGGTGCGACACTGGAATGAAACCTGCAGAGAAACCCTCAGCCTTTGTCATTTGTATTACTAACAGCTACAAGAACAAGAGCAAAAAGTAGACATTTTGAGTTCCCATTTCATGATAAATTGTACTTTTTTCTTTCCCTGAAGCATTTTTCTTATTTCTATCTGAACTCCTAGGAGCATTTGATTTTCATTTTAACAATTCAAAACTATTTACTGCTATTTCAGAACTTGCAAGTTTGGAATTTTATACTATTTTCCTGGGTTCTTAGTTGGATTTAAACTTGTTATGGCACTTAAAAAGATAGAATGGTGTGTGTTCTTGTTTCCTAGGTCTTTCTGAGTGGTATTCAGTTTTATGTTTATACTTTTAGCCACAACAGAACATGTTTCTAAGAGCAAATTTTATAGCAACTCCAATATTCCATGCTAAGTTAGAATTAATTATCATAAAAGTCTGTTATCTAATCTGGTGGATCAGCGAAGGCTTCCTGGAGGAGGTGTGCAACACACAGTAGGCATTCAGATATTTGCTAATGAGGACACTTCTAAACTGACCCTTAAAGGGCAAGCAGGAGTTAGGCAGGCAAAGAGAGTTGAGAGAACAGATGAGTTATTCCAGGCAGAGAAAATACTAGTCACAAATGGCATTTGTAACAACTGGCATTTATTGAGAGGAAACACTAATAACCACAACTGGCATTTATTGAGACAACTGGCATTTATTGAAAGTTCACTAGGTGCAAGGTAGCTTGCTAAATACTTTATGCGTATTATTAACTCATAGGCTCCACACATTAACCCAATTATCTCCAAACTACAGATGAAGAAACGGGTTTAAATTTAGTGGCCTGCTCAGGTGTCAAGGCCTTTAAGAACACTGTAAGAGTGGAACTGGGATTCAAACCCCAGTCTGTATATTTCCAAAGGCTGAGGTTTTAACCACTACAGGGCACAGCCTACCCTAACAGCCGGTGTAAGAGCCTCTGTTAGGTATCCTTAATGTATTGGGTTACTTAACAACTCAGCCAGGCGTGGCTATCCTACCTGTTTCTCATTTCACTAGCTGAAAGAATTTAGTAACATTTTCACACCTGGACATTTGTGTGCCTTGACCTCTAGATCTTTTAGAAAAGTGTTCAGTGAGGCAATTCCTGGCATTAACTTGTAGGTGTTCCCAGTGCTAATACTATTTAATTCAGCAAAGAATCTACGTATTCTACTCTGCTTTTAGAGTTTTAAAGATACCAAATTCTACATGGAAAACACTTCCCCCAAGGTAATTCATAAGTAAAATTTTTCTTTAAAAGTTTGTGTTTTCTCCTGAAAATCTAAATAATGTTAGTAGTAGTTTATCTTCACTAAAACTGTTCTTAACTATACATGGCTCATAAAACACTAAATGGCAAGATTTCCATTCTATCCAGAGTGAAGCTAAGGTAGTCAAAGCTCTTTGCTTCATTTTCATCTCTGTCTTGGGCTGGCTTCATTTGTTTACCAAGAAGTAGTAATAAATTAATTACTAGTAAATTTAGCTCTTTAGCTAAAGAAAAATGAGGAATTTACCTTAAGGATACCATAGTATCTTGTATAACCTAAAGGAAGAAAGTTTATTTGGGTTTCAAAACAGGCTAGAAAAGGGACTGGAAAAAAAAAAAAAACCAAAATCCGGAAAACTACATTATTCTGGAGCCATATATCCTCTGTTGTTGCTTCTCTCTGTTCATCTGCTTCATTCTTTCCATTTTACATCAACCTTTTCTCTCTCACCACACAAGGACCCCTTAGCAATTCTGGATTACTCCCAGGTCAACAATGTACAATTTAGTTAGACTCTGAGTTCCTTGGCTCAAATAATCTGAAAGGTGAATCTGATTGGCCACTGGCCCACTAATAAATTGCCTCCCCCTGCTTCCAGCCCTGGTCTACATAATTGTGATCAAGGAGGTGTGGAATCATCTAAATGATGATATGTAACATGTAGGCCCCTTTCCAGGGCCTTGGAGAGGATGGATTTCTAAGAACAGTCAATGAGGTTAGAGCTAGTTACCATTAAAGTAATCACCTGCAGAGAGTAGTAATAAGAGTAGTCCCAGCTGGTCACGGTGGCAAGTACCTGTAGTCCCAGCTACTTGGGAGGCTGAGGAGGGAGGATCACTTGTATCCAGGAGTTTGAGGCTGCAGTGAGTTATGATCGTACTACTGCACTCCAGCCTGGGCCACAGAGTAAGACCCCCTTTCTAAAAAGAAAAAGAAAAAGAAAAAAAAGAGTAGGACTGTCCACCAACAGATGAAGAAAATGTGTGGTGCATATACACAATGGAATACCATTTAGCCTTATAAAAGAAGGCAGCGGGGCTCTTCCAGCTACGTGGAAGGATTGCTTGAGCCCAGAAGTTGGAGTTCAGCCTGGGCAACATAGCCAGACCCTGTCTCAAAAAAAGAAAAAAAAAAAGAAATTCTGTCATTTGTGATGACATAGGTGAACCTGGAGGACATTATGCTAAGCCAGGTATAGAATGGCAAATACCACGATTCCACTTATGTGTAATCTTAAAAAGTTGAATTCATGGTAAGTTCAAGAGATCTGTTGTATATCATAGTGACTATAGCTAACAATATATTGTATCCTCAAAAACTGCTGAGAAAAAAGATTTTAAGTGCTCTTACCACAAAAAATTTGTTTGTGAGGCAATGCATATGTTAATCAGATTGATTTAATCATTCCCCAATGTACACATTATTAATTAATTAATTATTTAATAGACAGGGTCTTGCTCTGTCACCCTGGCTGGAGTGCAGTGGTTCGATCATAGCTCACTGTAACCTTGAACTCCTAGGCTCAAGTGACCCTCTTACCTCAGCCACCCGAGTAGCTGGGACTACAGGTGTGTGTGCCACTGCTGCACCTGGCTACATATTTTTAAAGAGCATGCTGTACACCATAAATATATACAATTTTTATTTGTCAATTTAAAAAATAGTACCATTTTACATAAAATTAATCAAGGTTAGACTTTCCTGTTCAACTGGATATATACAAATGCAATGCAAAATAACTTGAAGATACCTCTGTGGTACCTTCCTGGATTCATACATCCAAATCTATAACATTCAAATATGGCTCTTTGGATATGTATTTTAGTCCATAAATAATGTTTTCTTTAAACTTTATCTGATTTTAGAATGAAATTCATCATGTACTTTAGTCACAGATTCATGACTTGAGAACAACTCTTAGTTTAAAAATGTATTAACTCTAACAAGGTTCAAGAAAATTCATGTGCCTACCCAGTGAGTACCTGAGTTGCAGCAGGTGATCCATACATATTTGTTGACTGAATGTCAAATTTTGCCAGCCTTTAAAGAACCATACCACACTGTTAGAAAAACTGACATGAAGGGCCAAGTGTGATGGCTCACACCTGTAATCTCAGACCCTTCGGAGGCCAAGGGGGAGGATCACTTGAGTCTAGGAGTTCGATGCCAGCCTGGGCAATATAGTGAGCCCTCGTCTCTAAAAAAAGAAAAAAAGAAAAAAAAGAAAAAGAAAAACAGAAGTAACTGTTTTATCTCCTGTCTTATTTTATGTATTATACACTTCCTTGATTTTCCTGTGTCCTCCTATCCAAAACTGTAACAATTTTGTTCAACATTAGCACCATATCATTTTATGAAACTCAAATCAGCCAACTTCTCTGGGAAGGGGTTGATGGAGGTGAATAAAGAGAACAGTGGAAAGTTTGAGGCTGAAAATAGACTTTTTTTTTTTTTTTTTGGAGACAGAGTCTCGCTCTGTTGCCCAGGCTGGAGTACGGTGGCATGATCTCGGCTCACTGCAACTTCTACCTCCCGGGTTCAAGCAATTCTCCTGCCTCAGCCTCCCAAGTAGCTGCGACTACAGGTGCCCGCCATCACACCTGGCTAATTTTTGTTGTGTTGTTCTTAGTAAAGACGGGGTTTCACCGTGTTGCCCAGGCTGGTCTTGAACTTCTGAGCTCAGGCAATCTGCCTGCCTCGGCCTCCCAAAGTGCTAGGATTACAGGTGTGAGCCACCGCGCCAGGCCTGAAAATAGATTTTTTTGGATTGCCTGTAGATTTTGGTCATGGCCTCAGCTCACTTGCCAGTATTAGCGATGGCTCATTAATGGTTGGCTGGATGGATATCCTATTCCTCTCAGCTTCTATCATCTTTCAAGTGAATTTCATAAGAGCCAATCCTACCAAATTGATTTCTAGCCTGGACTCCTGGTAACAGTCCAGGGGGTGCCAAGTGGAAGAACAACCGAGAACAACAGAATGGCATCTTTTTTTTCCGCTATCCCCTACTCTGACAACTCACCTCAGGACAGAACACCTGTTTATCCACGGTTGTAATGTGGTATCATTTGTTACCGTAGTGACAGAGTCCGATGTGTCAGTTTAGGTTAAAAACTGTCTTTAGTAGCTTTCATTTCTATTTTTTCACTTGTCTGGTTCTCTTTATTTTTTATTTGTTTTTACATGTTTGCATCTTAATCTCTATGTTGTTTATTTTTAATATTTTCTCCTGAGACTCTTGAAGTGTGGTAATTATTCTTTTAGCAATCAATGAAGCTATTTGGGAAGTGATTGGTTAAGCTGTGCCCCTCAAAGCATAGCCCTCAAAACCTGAGGACTTGAAGTATATTTGCAAAGAACCTTTGGTTCTAGTCACAAGCTATACTTAGTGAATTAGATATACTACACAAAATTCTGCCAAATTTTAGTCCCCATCAGTTTTTTAAACATTTCCAATTAGCAAAACACACAAACAGGCCTACATCGTTTGCGAATTTAGACAAATCCTGACTAATACCAGCGGACCTCCCCTGACTTCTGTCCCCATCCCCACTCAGCATGGGTGACCTCTTTGTAGCCAGCTCTTGTGTAAGTGCTTTTTATACTGTCAGATTATCCTTCTTGCCACAGCTGTTAATAAATCTGAACACAAGATCTTGAATATTTGTTTTCATCTCCTTAATATTGTGTCACTCAAAATGGTACCAATTCCCTTATTATATATACTCTCAATGGAGTATTTATCATCTTTAAAGAAACAAGTCACTGAGCATCTCATCAACACCAAGAGCCTTGGGGTGTGCCTTCAGGGCAGCAAACAGATAATATCCCTTCAACACGTGTATCCACTTATTCATTTTTTATCACTGTCTGCCCAAGCTGAATCAGAGAGCATTCACCACGCTTCTTGTTACATGGGTGCCCCAGTAAACAGCAATAACTGTGAGAACCAGCAAATCAGTGGAGTGCACTTCCTGTTTTACTGGAATTCCAATTTATTTGATGAATACTTAACTGTTGGGGACAATGGAGGTGTGGCCTTGCCTGAAGGCTGGCGAGTAGACGAGGCCTCTTATGAGGACAGAGCTGGTATTTTATGGCTCTTTGCATGTATTTTGCATTGCTGCTTTTCCTTTGGAGGCCTTTTTAAGAAGTCTCCCCATCTCATGAACCTCTTCAACCCACAGACTCCATCTTAAAAATAAGGGCACTAGGCTGGTGGCTCACGTGTCTAATCCCAGGACTTTGGGAGGCTGAGGCAGGCAGATCACTTGAGCCCAAGAGTTTGAGACCAGCCTGGGCAACAATGGAAAACCCTGTCTCTATAAAAAACACAAAAATTAGCTGGTGTGGTGGCCTGTGCCTGTAGTCCCAGCTACTTGGTAAGCTGAGGTGGGAGGACTGCTTGAGCCTGAGAGGTAGAGGCTACAGTGCAGGCCACTGCACTCCAGCCTGGGCAAGAATGAGACCCTGTCTCAAAAAAAAAAAAAAAAAAAAAAAAGGCTGTGGTTCATTCTTTCAAAAGCTAAGTGGAGCCCACATTGGCACAGATGCCAGCTACAGTGTCTGTGGAATCAGAAGCATCATCTGATGTTACAACTTCTGGCCTATTGCTCTTTTTCTTCTTTCTCCTTTGCCTACTCTTCTATTTCTCCATATTACCTTTTTGTTGGCCAATGCCTTAGACTTGCTCATGAGCATTTGTAGGTTTGGTAGCTGGCACACAAAACCAAAGGAATAAGTGTCTCCAAGTTTGAGTTGTAATTCTCCAGTTAAATTTCTTTCTTTGAGATTTATTACAGTAATAGGTTACTAAGACATTTAATTCTCACTGAGGGTATGACTGTATTTTATTCTAATACTGAGTTGAAAAATTACCATGGCCTCATATCTATATATCTACATTGGTGTATTTTAAAGGCTCACAACTCTTATACGGTATAAATTGAGCTTTAGAGCAAAATTTATTCAAGATAATATTTATCATGTGTCTTTATGTACCAGGAATGAGAATACAATGGTGAACAGACAGAAAAGTCTCTGGTTTCCTGTAGTGGGCATTCCAGGAGCAGAATGGCGTCATAATTCATTTACTCTATAAGTCAGAGAGAAAAATGATGGCACGAACTGCAAGGGATTTGTGTGTAAAATTTGTGACAGTAAGAAAAAGAAACTGGAAGGGAATACGCATTTGCCATGTTCTATAATATGCCACAGACATTGTAACAAAATATTTCATGTCAGCTACTTCCATTTAGGAAATACATGTTCATTATTTTCTTCAAACTAAGAATTACTTTATCCCTCTTTTCTTTGAAGTTATCTTAAATCTGTTATTATTCAGGGTCTCTATCCAACTTCTCATCAAATTACCCTATTTGTAGCTTCCAAACGTTAACACCTATCTGCTAAAATGGAGCCTATAAAAAGCCTTAGTGGCATAAACTGTGTGTGAGGGAGAAATGGTATTTAAGCCCTTAATGAAGTTAGGAGCTTTCAAACTGTTGCACTTTGGGTTTACAGGATCCTTCCTCCATGTCCCTTTTTTGGGGGTGCGGAAGGATTTGGGAGAATGGGAAACACTCTCACTATATATTTATTACATTAATTATCTTCTCTTTTAAAATGCAATTTTCATGAACTGGCGATTTATGAACACTTCACATTGCTTGAAAGCATCTTACACTTTTTTTTTCCCTCAACTCACAAAGCAGTTTCTTTCTACTGGTCGAATTCTCAAGGCAGAAAAGCTACATACGTCTCTCGTTTCTTCACTAATTGTTCTCTAGAAAAGGGAAAGTGAAGAAGGGAAAGAGAAAAGACAACGGGGAAGAAAAGAGCATAGAGGAGAGAGGAAAAGTGGGGAGAGAAAGGAAGAAAAGGACTGAGAAAACGCAGGAGCCCTGGCTTGCCGGTGAGCAGAGCCGGCGCAGCCACAGCGCGGAGCCGCGGCGCCCACTGGTCCTCGGAGCTGCCAATCGGCGTGTAATCCTGTAGGAATTTCTCCCGGGTTTATCTGGGAGTCACACTGCCGCCTCCTCTCCCCAGTCGCCCAGGGGAGCCCGGAGAAGCAGGCTCAGGAGGGAGGGAGCCAGAGGAAAAGAAGAGGAGGAGAAGGAGGAGGACCCGGGGAGGGAGGCGCGGCGCGGGAGGAGGAGGGGCGCAGCCGCGGAGCCAGTGGCCCCGCTTGGACGCGCTGCTCTCCAGATACCCCCGGAGCTCCAGCCGCGCGGATCGCGCGCTCCCGCCGCTCTGCCCCTAAACTTCTGCCGTAGCTCCCTTTCAAGCCAGCGAATTTATTCCTTAAAACCAGAAACTGAACCTCGGCACGGGAAAGGAGTCCGCGGAGGAGCAAAACCACAGCAGAGCAAGAAGAGCTTCAGAGAGCAGCCTTCCCGGAGCACCAACTCCGTGTCGGGAGTGCAGAAACCAACAAGTGAGAGGGCGCCGCGTTCCCGGGGCGCAGCTGCGGGCGGCGGGAGCAGGCGCAGGAGGAGGAAGCGAGCGCCCCCGAGCCCCGAGCCCGAGTCCCCGAGCCTGAGCCGCAATCGCTGCGGTACTCTGCTCCGGATTCGTGTGCGCGGGCTGCGCCGAGCGCTGGGCAGGAGGCTTCGTTTTGCCCTGGTTGCAAGCAGCGGCTGGGAGCAGCCGGTCCCTGGGGAATATGCGGCGCGCGTGGATCCTGCTCACCTTGGGCTTGGTGGCCTGCGTGTCGGCGGAGTCGGTGAGTGGGCCAGGCGGAGGATGCGCGCGCCGTTTAGGGTGTTTGAAGCTACGAGAGGAGCCCGCAGGGAATAGGGGAGCGCCACCTGGGGAACCCCCAGTCCCCAAGTATACACCGGAGATCCGCTGGGACAAATGCGCTCGTCCGGTCACCCTTTCCCCCTCTTCCCTTCCTCAGAAAAGCGCTGCTCGCTGGCGTTACCCCGCGGTCCGCGGGAATGGGGGCACCGAGAATTGCGGTTTGGTCTAGCCGCAGAGGCCCCTGAAGTCACTCCCAACTTCTTCGCCCTCGGCGGGTCTTGCTGCGTGGTCTGGGAAGGACGGAGGGGAAAGGGTGGCAGGAGGGGGGAGCCTGGGTCGGGCCCGCGAGGGAACGGCTCCACTCCGCGCGCTCCTCGAGACCAGGGATGACCTGGAAACTTCGGGGTCCCTTCCTCCGCACACCATCCCCCCCGCGCCAGCTTTCCTGTTTGACTGCATGCAAGTTCTGGGGAGATGGGGGCCAGATTTAAGAGACCCGCGAGTGTCCAGAGAGAAAAGTTTGCAAAAGTTCTTTTGTTTGATGCTCCCTGCGGCTAGGGCGAGGTAACCGACACTACGTGGAATCGCAGTAGGCGATCCCTCAAGGGGATACTGGGGGAGGCACGGAACGCGTCCGAAAATGCTGGGACGCCGGCCACTGGATTCCCAGTCCTGCGGCGACCCCCTCCTCGTTGAGGGGTGGAGGTTGCACCGCGGGGCGTCAGGGACGGGAGGACATTTTCATAGGAGTTACACGGGAGTGCCGCAAGCAGGGCGAGGCGGGGTACGTGTGACACGGCGCTCGGCTTCGGGTCGCCTGGCCGCTGGGGGACAGAGGCTTCCCTCCCGCCACGCTCGCCCTCTCTGGCCCTGGCGGGGCGCTTCTGGGGCCGGGAGGAGTCTCGTCTCCGGCGGAGCGCCTGCCGGCACCCAGCTTCCCTCCCCCGCCCTGGCGGTGGGAACTTGATTTCTCCTTTTGGTCGCGCTTCGGGGGCTGGAGCTTGTTTCCCCACGTCGCCCAATGAGCGCCCTCTAAAGGGAACTGCCTCCTTGGCCTCCTCTCGTCCGCAGCTGCCTCCACCTGGGCGCCAGGAGCTCTGTCGGGCCAGGTGGAAGCTTGAGCACCCCAGATTTCGTCTGCAGCCTCAGTGCCCTCTGGGGTCTCAGGGAGTGCGGCTGTTTCTGGCCCTTCTGGTTCCCCACGTCCTCTCCCTTTGCCATTTAATAACGTGTCAATTTCTAATTAATTGAATGGTCTTTTCAAAGACAAATTATATCATCTTAAGGTCTTTTAGGTAGTTTTATGAGTTTGAGTCTCCCTCCCCCCCTTTTTTGTGCTGAGGCTAATTTAGGACTGGGAAACCTCTTTGGCATCGAGCGGCAGATGGACATTTTTAATCAGTGTGGGAGCCTCTGTGTGTGCTAGCAGATCCCCATACGTTCTTTGTGGTTGGAGAGCATGTAGAATTGGAAACTGTACAGACTACATGAGTATTTTGGGTGCTCAGGTTGTAAAATAGAACTCCCAGCCTTATCAGTGTTTCCCTTTGGCAAATGATGGTTTAATCCGTTGGTATTAGTTATCTCCCAGCCAGTTAGGATGAACTTTGGCTCTTTGTACACCAAAAGGCAGCAGTTCTCTTGTTTATTTCAGATGAGCGTTGTTGCTCCTCTTGTTGCAAAACAGGGCAAAGGGACTTCATCTAATAAATTTCAAGAGCCTGCCTAAAAAACTGCACATGGTTAAGGAGGCCCTTTTTTTTTGCTGAGTCTTATTCATGGATTTGCTAGGAAATGTTACTGTTTTGGGATTCTGGAGAAAGAATGTTTCTGTCTTCTGCTCCTCTGGGTTTTTGCATAAATCTACCAGTGCTCCTTAAGGAAGTTTTTTGGCCGAACTATATACCTGTCCTCCCCGGTGACAGCTTTCCCCTGAACTGTGTATCTTTGGGGTTCTAATATTTCTCAATTTGAACCAGAACTGGATGCTTTCCGAGTGAACTGCTTCATTGTGATAGACACTGTTTTCAGTAATTGGAAAATCATCCAAAAAGGGTGATTAGATATTTATAAAATGTCAACTTAGAGACTAGCAGAGAATCTTTGTTAGGCAGTGAGTCAGTCTTTCTAAATAGAAGCTGTTTCAAGGCCCAGAATGGCTAACAGTCCATTTAAATTACTTTTCAGTCTCCGTTTGTTTCATGTATAGCAGCAAAAATATAAATGAAGTCAAAAGACTGAATTTAAAAAAAAATTAGCAATTACAGAATATTATTTCCAGGACTTTGCATTTTAATTTGAAAACTGCAACTGTTTCCTGGGATTTAGAAGTAGTGATTTGGGTTTAAAGTCTCCCTTTAAAGGAAGAAAGGAAAACTGCCTACAGTTAGTGAATTCTTAAGTTTTATACTTAGCTCTGGGGGTAAAAAAGAGGTTCTCAGGAACTAAGGCTCAAAACTGCCTATGAAAAGGAACTGGTAGCTGTTCCTTTATGGATCCTGGAGGCAGCTGGGAAAGCCTGTTCCTAGTGATCCATTCATACTTTCCACTGGCAGGTTAGGACTTTGGCTGCGGAGCACCAGGCAAGGGGAAAATCTGACTGAGTGTGGCAGTAGTGATATGCTGCTGGTTTTCTGTCCATTTTGTACATGACTGTTTATCTTTAGAAATAATATATTGCAGACTGCTATAAACACATAATTTGAACTGGAAATATGTTTAAGAAAAGGAAGTGTTTTGAACTAGAGGAATTTTATAAACATTCTTAGATGTCTGTAAATTAAAAGAAACTGTCAAGTCATTTGGGCCCATGCATTATCTCTCGGTGTATTATGAAAGGCAGGCTCTGGAAAGTTTGCATTAGAAGGGTAACTAAAATCGAAATCATGTAACTTTGCAGTTCTTTAGAAAATATAGTTTGGCTGTTTTATGAGTGAAACAAATTGCTTTTGCTAGGGAATTTTATAAAAACAAGGGCTCTTTCTCTCTTAGTTGGGTATTAGCAGAAGGAGGATGTCATTTAAGAAGGAAAGATCTTGAAAGATCAGGCTTGCAGAAAATGGATGTCTGAGAAGCAATTTGAGCATGCCCTTCAGCTTCTGCTTTTAGGACCTGATATGTCTAGTTTTGATGGTAACCACCCTTCGAGGGGTAGCCTACCCTGTGTAATATGATCACTTAAATGGCGCCTTGGATAATCATTAGTTTGGAAAGGATTTCAAAAGGTGAACTGGTTTGTTCCCTGGGTGGAACTAGTTTTCAAGTCTCCAAAAGCCCCCAGAGACCTGACTGGCCAGCTAGAGGTGGCTTGGAGTCTCCTTAGGTTGGCAAGGCCCCTGAAGCTGACCCAGTCACACAGAGCCCCACCAGCCCTGTCATTAAGGTTTATAGCAAGTCCAGTCAAGCCACTGTGCTGTTGGCATACCTGCTGGTGGGGATCCAGTTGTCCTGTGAGGAATGCCATCTGGGTTTAGATTCTCACTAGATTGTCCTTCTTCCATTGCCAAAAATCAAACTAAAAGATTTTGCCCATCCTTTTCTTCTTCCCAAGGCAGAAGGGTGCATTGCAGAATCTCCAAACCACTGAATTCTTTTCGTGGACTAGAGGCCAAAATAAAGTCTTAGAGAAAAGCCAGAAGTAATGAAGAAGAATCTTTGCTAAAACCAATCTACTCTTATTTAACTTTTTTAGTCAACTGTGACAGTACTATCATTTTCATTCTAATCATTTGGATTTAAATCTTGAAGAAGCCCTGGACTCATTCATCTTTGTTGGTTTCCACGTCCAGTCTGCCTCTAAGTCCAGCTGTGCATTCATTCTGCAGATATTTATTTCATACCTACTAGGTGCTTGAGGTAAAGCAGTGAGCAAACCAGGCAGATATCCCCCTGCCTTCTTGGAGCTTGCATTCTAGTGATCTTTCCGTTCATTTTTTCATGCCTTCAGTGGCCAGCGTGGAACTTCCTCAGGAGTGCCAACCGGCCCCAGAATGCCCTGGCCCATGGGAACCTGCACTTAAAGATGCAGCACCAACAGGTGTTTACCCAGCTCCTGACCTGAGCTCAGCACTGCAAAGAAGTCGGGGTTTGGAAATGTGGTCCCTTCCTGCAGCGCTAATCTTTTTTTTTTTTCCTCTTGAGATGGAGTCTCACTCTGTCACCCAGGCTGGAGTACAATGGCACTCTGCAACCACCACCTCACTGCAGCCACCTCACTGCAACCACCACCTCCCAGGTTCAAGCGATTCTCCTGCCTCAGCCTCCCGAGTAGCTGGGACTACAGGCACATGCCACTGCACCTGGCTAAATTTTGTATTTTTAGTAGGGATGGGGTTTCAACGTGTTGGCCAGGCTGGTCTCCAACTCCTGACCTCAGCTGATCCACCGCCTCGGCCACCCAAAGTGCTGGGATTATAGACGTGAGCCACTATGCCTGGCCATTGGTCTCTTCCTGCAGCACTAATCTTGATGGGACAGAAAATTTCAAATGAAGAGCTTTCCCTCTTTTTTTCTTCCTTGGGGGCATGCCAGCTTGTGCTTCTATGTCAGTAGCCTTGTAGTTGCCATTCCTGGCCCAGACACTTGCATGCAGTTTGGTTTGTCCTCCACCACTTTGATCATGTTGCCCATGGTCTAGACACCTCCGTGTCCTTGTTATCATGGCATATAGTCTGTATGCCTCTGCTGGATTTATAAGCGGCCCCATAATAGCCTTCCTTTCTGGTTACCCCCTTGATCACTTTCCACCACATCTCCCAGCCCTGGCCCATTGATATCACTATCATGAACACTCCCTGGACATTGCTACTTTTTCAGTGTTTCTCCTTTTAAATGCTATTGATTAAATGCAAGCTCCAAATACCTTTTCATGGCTGATCCAGCCCTGTTGTTTTTAATCCTTCTGTAAATAGCAAGGCATACTGATGATCAGAATCATTGAAAGTATGTGAAAATACAGATTTCAGGCCTCCTCTCAGACTTACACAATCAGAAACCTGAATGGGGGTGGGAGTGTGGGGGAAACTGTATTTTTATAAAGCGACTGAGATGATTCTAATGAATCAGACTAATTTGGGAATCGCTGGTCTAGATCACAGCATTACCCCTTAATTATGTGCTATTCTATGTTACTACTAGAGTTTTCAGCAGTAGCTGGGCTTAGAATACAAAGGGCTTGGGCTTGGGAGGTGGACAAGTCTGGGTTCAGATGCTGGTACCTTGCCACTTAATGTGTCAGAACTTGGACAGTATATTAAAGCTCTGAGTCACTTAAAAAAGTGTGTGTGTGTAAATTGGACCTAAGAATGCCTTTATAACATGACTGTTGTGAAGATGAAATGAAGGGAGCATATGAATGGTGCTTGAGGCACGGAAGATAGGACATTTTTTTTTCTTCCTTTCCTCTCTTGGCCTTTTTTTTTTTGGCAATGAAATGAATGAAATGAGGGAGCCATGTCAGATGTTCTTACCTCTCTGACATTCTAAATAGGTGAATTTTCTCTCCCATCAAGGTTAGTGCTATAGGAAGAAACCATGTTTCCAAATCTCCTACTCCTGTGCAGTGCTGAGCTGGGTAAACATCTGTTGACACTGCATGCTGAAGTGCAGATACCCGTGGGCCTGGACATTTTGGGGTTGGTTGGCACTCCTGAAGAAGTTTCACGCTGGCCACTGAAGGCATTATGGTTCAGGGTCAACTGAATACACCAGCCCCCAGTGGACCTGGGCTAGTTGTCCAGTTTTGATGCCTCTGCACTCAGTGTCATCAGCATTGCAGGGTTGGTGTCAAGAATAAAGAAGACATTGATGTAACGTCTTGACACATCAGCTGTGCACAGTCACACCTCCTCCTCTTCCCTGAGGCTGTGCTGAGATTCCAGCACATGGGAAGGAGAGAGTTAGAATTTAGTCTGTATCATGCGTTGGTATGCCGTTGGTCATTTAGAATGAGGTGGCAGGGGTAGTGAGTATATTTTGGGGATCTGGGGGCAGAAAAGGGATTATTTTTATTTTTTAAGTGTGGAAATGTGGCCTGGCGCGATATCTCATGCCTGTAATCCCAGCACTTTGGGAGGCCGAGGTGGGCCAATCACCTGAGGTCAGGAATTCGAGACCAGCCTGGCCAACATGGTGAAACCCCGTCTCTACTAAAAATATAAAAATTAGCCGGGCGTGGTGATGGGCACCTATAATCCCAGCTACTTGGGAGGCTGAGGCAGGAGAATTGCTTGAACACAGGAGACGGAGGTTGCAATGAGCCGAGATCATGCCATGGCACTGCAGCCTGGGCGACAGAGTGAGACTCCATCTCAAAAAAAAAAAAAAAAAAAAGAGTGGAAATGCATTAAATTTCTTCTTTTAGCCATTGGGCTTTAGGTCTTACTATTAAAAATCTCAACTGCATTTTGATAAGTCTGTTTCTAGGCAGCATTAGCTTTAGCAACAAGGATGGAGGGGTGAATGCCTCTGAATGGGAGAGGACACTGTTGAAATAGAATTGTGAATGTCTGTTTTTCTCAAGTATCTCAAAGAATTGGTAGGAGTGGGAGAAGAGAGAAGCCTTGAAATCTTTGGAGATTTTCCATTTGCATTTCACATCAGCAGAGTGAAGCCAATGAGTATGCAGCTGGTGGCGTGATAGCCAATGCATAGTCTTGGAAAAATGGAAAAATGTTATTAAAGACATGTTTTCACAGTTTTTTTCTCTACTATTCAGTCTATTTTGTGAAAAATGTCACAAAGACTCAGTAAGTATGCTCTCTACAAAGCATTTTGGTGTTTTTTTTTATGATTACACAGGTATATTAAATACAAGTAACCGTGATGTTTAAGGAGTGTGTGCAATTAATAGAATTTAGTCTCATGGTATAAGAATGACACACGGGACAAGATACGCAATTATTAAAGGAAAATTTTTTTTAAGGGAAAAGTTAAATACGTATTTCTTTTTTTTTTTTTTTTTTTTTTTTTTTTTGAGACAGAGTCTCACTCCGTCGCCCAGGCTGGAGTGCAGTGGCATAAATGAGGCTCACTGCAACCTCCTCCCCCCGTTCAAGTGAATCTCCTGCCTCAACCTCCCGAGTAGCTGGGATTACAGTGCACACCACCACGCCTGGCTATTCTTTTTTTGTATTTTTAGTAGAGACGGGATTTCACCATGTTGGCCAGGCTGGTCTTGAACTCTTGACCTCAACTGATCCGCCTGCCTCAGCCTCCCAAAGTGCTGGGATTGCAGACGTGAGCCACTGCAACCAGCTGAGTTAAGTATGTATTTATGTGTAATTTGTTATTAAATATAAATACAGTAGACTAAATATACAACATTTTAAGTCAAGGCAAAAGCAAGGTTTTATACACATGTAATTAACTGTCTTAATCCCTGTGAGACCTCAGTTTTCTCATCTCTAAAATGATGGAGTTGAACGAGAAAAACTCTCTCTCCTTAATATTTACTTTTTCTGCACTTTAGGGTGTGGTAGGAGAAATGTGAAGATTAACTTAATAAGTAATTATTAATCCCCTGTCAAATACTTCTAATTTTATTATTGAAACATGGAATTTATTCACCTTACAGAAAGGCAAGTAATTTCTAATAGCTCATGGTAACCTGTTACCTTGAACTGAGTGTTCATTGTTTACTAGGAGTGGTATACATTGTCCTGCGTATTCGTGATCTAATGTCTATTTGTATTAGTCTGTTCTCACTCTGCTAATAAAGACATACCCAAGACTAGGTAATTTATAAAGGAAAGATGTTTGATGGACTCACAGTTCCACATGGCTGGGGAGACCTCACAATCATGGTGGAAGGCAAAGGAGAAGCAAAGGCACGTCCTACATGGTGGCAGGCAAGAGAGCTTGTACAGGGGAACTCCCATTTATGAAACCACCAGATCTTGTGAGACTTACTACCACAAGAAAAGTATAGGGGAAACCGCCCCCATGTTTCAGTTATCTCCACCTGGCCCCGCCCTTGAAATATGGGGATTATTACAGTTCAAGGTGAGATTTGGGTGAACACACAGCCAAACCATATCACTAGTATTTTTTTATATATTTTCTGATACAAGCCAGTGTAACATAAAGAACAGCTGCGTGGTAAAAATAACTTTCATTCTAGATAGAAGACTACATGACTTGATATACTGGGGGTCTTTTTAAACTATAAATCTCATAAAGTGTTTTAGTCTCCTCATATGGTTTCTGGCCTGGATCTCCATTTCCAGAGTGGGGCTTTTAACTGGTGCCTTCCGTTTGGTCCCTCTCTAGAGCACTTGAGCCTGGTCTGAGTACTGTGCAGACCACAAGCAAGAATCTAAATGAGCAGACTATGGTAGTGTTGCCTGGGTTTGGATACACTTATTATGTAACCTTGGGCAAGTTTTTTAACCTTCTGGGCTCAGTTTTCTCATCTGTAAAACTGAATATCCTAAAATAAGTTTTTAGGATTATGTGAGACACAATAAGTAGGGACTTTTTAGCATAAGGGAATGTCCATGCGTTGTGTCACATGCTAGTTATAATTCCTGGCTTTCTGCTTCTCTGAAGAATAAGGGCTTGGCACACACATTAGTTGGGCTCATCTGATAAGCTCTAGCCCAGAGGGTGGCTCAGCATATGCATGCTAAGGCCTACTTTTTCATAACAGGGGCTTTCTTCTTGTCTTGGGGTAGACTAGTTCTACGCTGAGATATTGGGAATATGTTTGTAGTCAGCTTTTCTCTAAAAGTGGATGATGTGAGAAAATATGCCATTTATTATTTCTGGCTGATGAAAGGTTCCTTACAGGGACAGGACAAATCCGTGTTAAGATGTGAAAAGCTCATCTTTCCCAGTAATTTTACCTCCACAAATCTGTCCAAAGGAAATCATTACCAGGTAAATAGTATTTAATGTCTTTGTTGAAGTCTCTTACTTATAATAGTTAAAAAAATGGAAACAACCCAAGTGTACAATAATAGAGTAATTGTTAAATAAGATTCTAATTTAGACACTGAATATCATGTGGCCATTAAAGATTTATTTGAAGGGTATTTATAACTTAGAAACTATAGTACACAAAAAGTTAGATATAAACCTATGTATAGTGAGACCTTGGTTATATTTTAAAAGGTGTGTGTGTGTATAAAGATAATGTATATATACAAATCCATACATGTCATAGAACTGTGTAGATACACATACACAAACATACACAGCATGAATACAGGTAAAACTAGGAAAATCAGAATAAGATTGGTAGATTGTATCAATATCAATATCATTGTTGTGATGTTTACTGTAGTTTTATAAATGTTACCATTGGCGGAAACTAGGAAGGGGCACAAGAGATCTTTGTATTATTTCTTACACTGTGTGTGAGTCTATAGTTATCTCAACAAAAATTTCAATCAAAAAATGGCACCAGAGCTAGATTGTTGTTTAAGTAAGTTCTGCTGATCCTTCAGAGAAAGATATGTTATAAAGCTCAGAGAATGATAGAAGGCTGTTCTTTCTCATTTTAGGAGGTTAGCATCACTCTATGTCAAAACCAGACAAGAAGAGCAGAAAAAACAAACCTATAGGCCAATGTCATCTATATTAGATGTCAAAATTTTAAATAGAGTATTATTAAATTGAATACAGCAGTTTATTAAAAGAATAATGATGAGCCCAATTGGGATTTTTCCAAGGACAGTTTCAACATCAGAAAAGCAATGCAGGTATTAACAGTTTAAGGGAGATAACAATATGATCATCTCAACAGATGCAGAAAAAGCATCTGACCAAAGTACATGTGAAAGTATTAATATAAAGGTTCCCAAATTCTGGTTAACTGAAGGCATATTATATTTGGCTAGTACATCTGTGCTTCGGACTCAATTCACTTGACATGTTTAGGAACCAAAAGGCCTCTGTTTACAAAGTTGTTAGGCAACAGTCTCTAGTTGCATGAGTGACAGGTGTGTGACAACCCAATAAAGGATGGGCCATGACATATATAGATTCTAATTCATATGGAGTTGTTCTAGCATTGCCCAGGTTCACTGTGTACTCTCCCAAATTAAGAAAATGCAAGAGATGGTTTTGAATGTTTTAGAATCAGATAAATTGGGGTTCAGTTTCTGGTATTACCACTTAAAAGCCATGAGAAGTCTCTTATCATCTCCATGCTTGTTTCTTCAGTGTGAAACTGGGATTAGAATATTTTGCTTTTTGGTTATTTTGAAGATTAGCCTCAATAATGACTAAAATCTTCTAACACAAAGCTTGACCCATAGTAGGTGATTTAAACCTGTTGGTTTCTCTTTTCTTCCATCTTTAAGTTTTGTGATTCTGCAGTATATTATATGTTTATGTATAAATATATACGCATATGTTTTGTGTTTCTCACTTGCATCCTGACTCTTAACACTATGGGACATATATTTTCACAAATTTAGAACTGGTTTTTATTTTTATTTTGTATTTTTTTTGTGTGTGTGAGCAACAAGGCTGTTTATTTCACCTGAGTGCAGGCAGGCTGAGTCCGAAAAGAGAGTCAGCGAAGGGAGATAGGGGTGGGGCCGTTTTATAAGATTTGGGTAGGTAAAGGAAAATTACAGTTAAAGGGGGGCTGTTCTCTGGCAGACAGGTGTGGGGGTCACAAGGTGCTCAGTAGGGGAGCTTTTGAGCCAGGATGAGCCAGGAGAAGGAATTTCACAAGATAATGTCATCAGTTAAAGCAGGAACAGGCCATTTTCACTTCTTTTGTGGTGGAATGTCATCATAAAACTGGTTTATTTTTAGTCACGCAAGTTATGATGCTTAATTATATTTTGTATTTCCCCTGTCACCCATATTTCCTGAATAATACTTAGCTAAAACTTGCATACAAGTTGGAAATTTAGTTAAGACTGGAAAATCTTTGGTAGTACTTGGATTATAATTAAAATACTTAAAGAAGGTCAGCATCGGAACCCTAATTATTTTTATTATTTTTATTTTTTTTTGAGACAGGGTCTCGCTCTGTCGCCCAGGCTGGAGTGCAGTGGTGCGATCTCGGCTCACTGCAGCCTCTGCCTCCCAGGTTCAAGCCATTCTCCTGCCTCAGCCTTCTGAGTAGCTGGGACTACAGGTGCACCACCACACGCAGCTACTTTTTGTATTTTTAGTAGAGACAGGGTTTCACCATGTTGGCCAGGATGGTCTCAATCTCCTGACCTCGTGATCTCCCTGCCTTGGCCTCCCAAAGTGCTGGGATTACAGGCATAAGCCACCGCGCCCGGCCTGGAACCCTACATTTTAAACACTGTTTTATATAAATTTACTAATGAATTAAAATCTTAACTTTATTTATGTCCCACTTCTGAACTCGCTTAAATAAGAATGGTGTTTTGATTTGATTATTAGATTTGATTAGGTATTGTGATTATGCTGATTAGTTATTGAATTAAGTTTTGTACTCGATAAATCAGTTTAACAATGGACACACGTTACTATAAGCCAACAAAGGACAAAGCTCTATGTTGGTCCTGCAAGTTAAAAAGAAATTATGACATGGTACTCACCTTCAAGTAACTACTGTCTACCTTATGATTATTTAGAGAATTGAAAATGAGTTGGGCCAGCACTTAAAATATGTGTTATATGTAAAATATGCATCAGTTTATGTTGAATCTAGTTCGGCATTTGTACAATCAAAATTGCCAAAAAACCACAATGGAGAATAAGAAGAACCCCTTGTAGAAGAGAAGTCACTGGTCTCCTGGAAAAGCAAAACTTTCCTAAAACCTTCCTTGAAGTGGCACAGTATGTTGGAGAAAAAGGAGAATTCTGTTGATGACTTGGAGACACTTGATTTTCATATGTTTCTCTTTTTCCCAATCTTCTCTTCAAAGAAAGACTTCCAAGTGGTAAAATGTACAAAAGGTAGAAAGAGTAAGAAATTGTTTAGAACCTGAATGATCTGTTGATATTTCTATCAGGGGAGAAAGTAACCTTATATTTCAACCAGTCTTGATTCTCCATATTCTATAATCTTTGGGGTCTTAAAAGTGAGAGCTGGGCCTTTGTATATATCATATGTAATCGGGTAAAAAGTATACATTTATAATATATACTTATATATTATACACATCATATATTATATACATTACATATATGTATCCGGTGAAAACTTATAAGAGACGGAGTCTCATTCTGTTGCCCAGGCTGCAGTGCAGTGGTGTGATTATGGCTCACTGCAACCTCGATCTCCTGGGCTCAAGGCATTTTACTACCTCAGCCTCCTGAGTAGCTAGGACTACAGGCACCAGTCCTGGCTGAGTTTTTGTTGTTGTTGTTCACATGGGGTTTCACTATGTGGCCCAGGCTGTGGACCTTATAGTAGGTGTTCAGTTAGATCAAATAGCCTTAGCTGGCCGGGCACGGTGGCTCACGCCTGTAATCCCAGCACTTTGGGAGGCTGAGGTAGGTGGATCATGAGGTCAGGAGATCCAGACCATCCTGGATAACAAAATGAAACTGTCTCTACTAAAAATACAAAAAATTAGCTGGGTGTGGTGGCGGGCGCCTGTAGTCCCAGCTACTCGGGAGGCTGAGGTGGGAGTATGGCGTGAACCCGAGAGGTGGAGATTGCGGTGAGCCGAGATCACGCCACCGCACTCCAGCCTGGGCAACAGAGCGAGACTCTGTCTCAGGAAAAAAAAAAAAAAAAAAAAGATAGCTAAGTAATCAAAGAGGTATAAAAGTGTTGGGATAATTCTCACTGTATTCTTTTGGATTTTGCTTTTTTAGTTTTTGTAACAACGGATTTTAGAGCTGGAATGGACTTTTAAAAGGAAACACATCCAGAGAGGTTAAGTGATTTATCCAAGATTACCTAGGTAATTAGTGGCAGAGTTGTAAATTTAGCCTACGCTGTTTTATTAGTGTATTTTCTTATAAAACATTCCTTTTCTGGCTGCTTCTACTCCCTCATTCCCCACATTAATGATTAGCACCTAATGCACTTATTTCTGGCACATGTTTGACAAATAAATGAAATACCATGAAACATACATTTTACGTTATACATTTAGCATCAGTGTGGTTAGTGGGTTTTGTGCAGAATCCTTTGGTGTTTAGATACTTTTTCTATTTCCAGCAAAACTGTGCTCCAACTAATTCCTTTACTTGCTGGTGAAACTTCAGGCTAATTATGGGAAGACAGTTGAGAGGACTGAGATTTGGAAGACCCAGAGACTGAAATAGAGTTGATTTGTAAGTCTTAGGAAGATTGTGGAGATTTATAGATAGAAAAGGAGATAAAAGCTTCCTGGAGATAAGAATCGGGACCAGAAGCAAAATCCTCATGAATTAATACTGCATTTTCTGGGGGAAAGAAGGCTGCTATTGTAGTTAAGAGAAAACGAACATTCCTTGGATTTTTATGCTAAAAATATGTCAGTGCCTTCCAGGAGAGAGTCTGATGCACTTACAGCCCAGGTAGAAGTGCTTTTTTACCCAATTCCTTTTGCCAATCTTAGATGTAGGCTCCTCTTTTCTCCCAAGAGTTTCCTCTTGAATATTGGCCGGCTGTGGTGGCTCACGCCTGTAATCCCAGCACTTTGGGAGGCAGAGGCGGGTGGATCACGAGGTCAGGAGTTCAAGACCAGCCTGGCCAACATGGTGAAACCCTGTCTCTACTAAAAATACAAAAATAGGCCAGGCGCGGTGGCTCATGCCTGTAATCCCAGCACTTTGGGAGGCCGAGGCGGGTGGATCACGAGGCCAGGAGATCAAGACCATCTTGGCTAACACAGTGAAACGCCATCTCTACTAAAAATACAAAAAATTAGCCGGGCATGGGGGCGGGCGCCTGTGGTCCCAGCTACTTGGGAGGTTGAGGCAGGAGAATGGCATGAACCCGGGAGGCGGAGCTTGCAGTGAGCAGAGATCGCGCCACTGCACTCCAGCCTGGGCAACAGAGTGAGACTCCGTCTCAAATAATAATAATAATAATAATAATAATAATAATAATAATAATAATAATTAGCCGGGTGTGGTCGCGGGCACCTGTACTCCCAGCTCCTCAGGAGGCTGAGGCGGCAGAATGGCTTTAACACAGGAGGCGGAGGTCGCAGTGAGCAGAGATTGAGCCACTGCACTCCAGCCTGGGTGACAGAGCAAGACTCCATCTCAAAAAAAAGAAAAAAAAAGATTATTGGTTTATAAATTTTATCATAACACAAATGTATTTGAGTCAAGCTTTTTCAGAAAAATAAGTCTGTGAGATATTTTTAAGGAAAGAATTTTATTAAAAGGCAGTAACATTAAAAATTACCATTACCACAGCCTTCTCCTACTATAGATAGGCATTTTCCATTCATTGTCTATAACTGTCTCACAACTGCTAGGCGGTATTACTTGCCAAGGCTGCATTTTATGTGGCCCAGCACAAGTTAGAGCCTCAGTTTTTCTAGCTTTAAATAGTCTTTCTATGATACTGTAATCTTTCAAGAGAGCAGTGAAAGTGTCTAACTGTATCACCAACTGTTTAATGTAGTCCAATGGGTACAACCCTGGATCATGAAGTGTCTAATGGTTGCAGCCTCAAATCATGAAGTATCTAATGGATGGTTGCAGCCCCGAATCATGAAGTGTCAGAATCTTCCTTTTCATTGGTTGGCCTAATCTTCCAGGTCACTGATATTCTGATTTCTTTACCAACTTTTAGCATATTGCTTTAATGGCTTCTCTCTGCAAACTTCAGTCTGGTAATGGGAGAACTAAGAGGTAGAATTAATGGAACCTCTCTAAATCTCAGCTCTGCCAATTTCTGGACTTGGGCAGGTGATTTAACCTCTCTATGCTTCCATTTTCACATCTGTATAAAGGAGATTAGTCATAGTAGCCACCTCATAGAGGTGTTGTGAGGGCTAATGCCTTAATTAATGGGTGTCAAGCAGTAATAAGAGTGCGCAGGATAGAGCCTGCGCTAGACTCTCAGTGTTGATGATGATTGAAATGGACAGCTAATTGGATGTACTGACCAAAGAAGACAGTGTCAATAGTCTTTTGAGGTTTTGAACATGAGGCAGAGAAGACTGATGGTGCCACTGACCAGATCAGGAGGACAGACCGATTTTTTTCCTCTTCTTTTTGTGGCTCTTGTGTTTTGGTGAAAGGAGGAGGCATTTTGGTTTCTCTAGGTTTTCCATCTGGGTAGTGGAGGGCATATTCTCCATCACGGGTTTTCAGCCCTTGCTGCCGATTACATAAACTTGGGGAGCTTTTAAAAACTATTCATGCCTTGGCCCCACTCCAGACAATTAAATCAAAATCTATGTGGTTGGGGTCCAGCTCCCTGTGAAAGCTTATTCTCACTTCCAGAAGGCTTGAGAACCTTGCTCTAGAGGACTTCTTAGTCTCCAGTTTAGAGAGCAGCCTAGCAGGTAAGATTTTGTATTCTTAACGTATGCTTTCTACTGCTGTGATTAAGCCCCATGTAATGAGGTGGCTTTCCAGGACTCATCTGCTGCCTGTCACAGTCTAAGCAGTGTGGAATTGGGAAATCCTTGCTCCCTTCCAGCTTTTTCCTTTTCTCCAGTGTCTTTTCTGCTGGATCATACTTTTTTCTTTTGACTATTATTTTGGTGGATTTGGAAACATTCGAGAGGTCTTTAGACAGAAGACTGCATAGCTATAAAGTAAGTTTATCTGAGGATGTCTTTTAAAAAAATGCACACATTGCCCTTCCTGAAGGAAAACTTTTCCTAGTGGAGCAAGGGACACTCGTCCTCTTGGTCTGGTTACAGAAAAGCATGTTTGGCCAGCTTATTAGATTTGCCTGAGTTCATACTTTGAACAGAAAAATTGCATGTTTTACTGATTGGAAATACATTCTGGGACTTGATTGAATATACTGATCATGTATAGGTCCTACATAGGTGTCTTAATAATGGTCTTCTTACCGTACCTGCACTTAAGTTCAGCAATTTGGACCTGGTTCAAGTCGCTTCAATTCCATGGAGCTGTATTGTTTGCAGCTGAAATAGGAAGAGAGAGTGCTTTAGGCTGTCTTGTGAGCAAGACATCTGAGTTGTCTTTAGTTCATGCTTAAGCACAAAAGCAGCAGCCCATCATCTAATCTATTCATAGTTTACTTTGTTCGGGTATCTAATTTGGGAGCATGCTTGCCCTCACTCACTTCTAAAACACACAATTTGAATAAAAGGGTCTATCTTTAATTGACTCAGGGAACAAAACCTTGTTGAAGAATTCTGGATTTCTCAAAGCTTTTAAAAATTGCTCTGCAGGATAACATTACAATGCTGACCCTACTGCCACTCAACATGTATCTGTCCTACAATGGAGTTGGAGGAGGGATTATTCTGAGAAGGCTATTAAAATGAACCATTTACTATGATTCATAGGCTTTTAAACCCAGTAAGTCTGTAATATCTAGAGTAAAATTCAACATCAGTTTATTATTTTGGTGATGATGGGGTTAAAGTGTCTTTACAAAGTATTAAGCATGCACAGAGAAAATGCAAATGTGAATTCTCTTCGTTCTCCCCGTTAGGAGTGTATGCCTGATAGATAAATGTTCCAGAGCATTCATGTAATACAATTAGTAGATATAAGTGCTTTTTCTCAGTGGAAATTGAGGTCTGTTACAAGGAGTAACAGATTAGGCCAGTGGTTCTCGAAGTAGGGACTAATCAGCAGCATCTACAGCTCCTCGGACCTTGTTAGAAATGGAGATTCTGGGCCTCTCTGCAGACTAAGCAATCAGAAACTTTGCAGGTAGGGCCCAGCAGTCTTGAGCTTTAAAAAGCCCTTCAGGGGATCCTTCTGCATGCTAACGTTCGAGAACCTCTGAGCTACGGTTCTCACCTTGACAGCACAGACACTATTGAGAGTCCCTGGTTGTGGGGCACGGGTGTCAGTATTTTTGTTTCTTAAGCTGCCTTGGTGATTCCAGTGTTCAGTCAGGATTAGAGGCTGCTGCTCTAGGACCTTGCTACCCAAAATGAGGGTCCCAGACCAGCAGTGTGGGCATCACCTGGGAGCTCTTTAGAAATCCAGGCTATCAAACCCCACCTGAGACTTACTGAATCGTATTTAAGTTTAACAAGATTCCCAGTGACTCATAAGCACATTAAAGTTTGTGAAACACTGATTTATAGAAATAGTGAGTTTCCTTTGTAGAAGCCAGCCCTTAGAACGCCCTTAATTTAAAAGTTTTGTGAGGAGGTAGAACAGCTGTTTTGGCTTCTGCCTGGCAGTGACTCAGGGAAGCAATCACTGGGGGCAAGGCAAGGCTCCGAAAGCTGTGAAGGACCCAGGACCATTTCATCGAGTGAGTGCTGGTGCAAGTAATGAAAATCCCAACTCAGATTGGCTTAAGCAATGGAAACTTTTTGGTTCAGATAATGGAAGAGTTCAGGAGTAGTTCTGTTTTCAGATCTGGCTGCATCAAGAGGCTTATGTGATTTTTTTTTTTTTTTTTTAATCAGCCTCAAGGCTTACGTAACTCTCAGCTCAACCTTACTTTGTTAGATTCACTTTCAGGTTTTACAGAATTAGAGTAACAGCTAAGCTGTTGTTAAAAAGAGATTCCTAAACATAGTGGCTTAAAGTAGATTTATTTCTGTTTGACACAACAGTCCCAAGACAGGTCTGGTGGGATAGCTCTGCTGTGCTCACACGCAGTTCTTACCTGCTGGTCCAAGGTGGCCAGTCCATCCATACTGTCTCCCAGCCAGGAGACAGAGTCAAGGGGGAGAACATACCCATTCCTTTTAATGCCACAGCCTGGAGGGGTAACATGTCACTTACACTTATATCCCACTATTTGCAGCATAGTCACGTGGTCACACAAGGTACTATGCGGGCTGGGAAATGTAGTCTCTACATGGGTGGCCACGTGCCCAACTAAAATCTGGGGATGTTTTGTTACTAAAAAGGGAAGACTTTAGGTATTGATGACAACCAGGAGCGACTTCTCCTCTGGTGGTGGCAAGATGGAGTCTGGCAACTTCAAGTTAACAGCCTGTCCTGTCAGCAGTTTCAGTAGAAAGCACTACTCTTTCCTAGTTCTTCCAGTAAGAATCCCAGAATAGCTTCCTAGTTCCTTAATTTCTGGGAACTACACATGAAGAAGTGTCCCCAGAATCCCGTGGACTGTGATAGAAAAGGATTGGTTCCCCCAAAGAGAACTGTTTAATAGCAGGCTTAGAACAGAGAGACCTTTACCTCACTCCTTTGTGAATTGGCATTTAGACCCAGACAAGAAAGGAAAGTGGAGAACATGGGGGTGCTCAAGCCAGATGTGGGGGCATTGGGGGCTATTTACTGTCGAGTTAGTCAAGCATGGAATATTTGAAGATTATTAGCACGTGACATAAAGGGTATTTAGGAATAAATGTGTTTGCTGAGTTTAATAAACATAGGAGACTGTAACAGTGTACTTTTGATCTTCTGATCTCTTATTTTAGTGGTTGGTAAATAAGAGTAAAAGAAAATATAAACTTTGACAAATGCTTTTAAGAATGTTTTAAATTATTTAATCTTTAATTGCTAAAGATTATGTAAATAGAAGCCTTTAGTGCATCAAACGATGAGTGTTGGAGAGATGATGAATTGAACTTGTGTTTACCGTCTCCTTCTCAAGGTTTTGTTTTCTTAGTATGTTTTTTATACTTTATACTTAGTACTTTTTTATACTTTATTCATTACACAAAGGATTTGAGGTAATTTCCAAGACTAAGGCCTTTCTCGCAAGCTTTAGAAGAAAATTCTAAAAGCATACTACATCCTGCTTTTAAAAAAAGTTGTGACAGTCTTACATGATAGAAAAATAATATATCATATTCAAAATAACATGGTATTTCCAAGGTTCTCAACTGCTTATTGTCCTTTTAATGAAAATGTGGATTGTAGGCACATCTGCTATAAATGAATTAAAATTTCATTTGCCCAGAACTTTGTGTATTCCATTAATAAGATTTACCCAAAACACTATTGTTGGTTTAATAAATATTAAGAGAGTCTTTGGGATGTGCCTCCTGGCGTTTGTTGTTTCTCTCCTTTGAGCATTAACTACCCTTCTGAGCCTTCACAGGCTGCTTTTGTTGTTTTGTGCCTTGAGATATAAATAGAGGCAGAAAACCCAGAAGATGCAAACAGATTTAATACTATAAACTATTTACAGATGTGTTTAGTATTCATTCAATAGAACCTTTTAGTTTATTGAATATAAACCAGCTTTAGCATTCTACATGTGCCAGGGGTTCTGTTTTTTCTTTTATTGGAAATTTTAAAAACGACAAAAACATCTTTTGGTAGTATCATCATCTAATAAGCATGAGAAAGATGTAACGTCATGACTTGCACCTGACCCTTTGTCTTCTTGGATCTTACATACTTTTGGACAACCAAGAGTGAAAAGGGTGGAAACTTCCGATCTCGACTGAGTAAAAGGAAAGCCTTTCTAAGAGGCAGTCAAAGATGGAACAGGCTACTTAAGCAGGAGGCAGGACCCATACCTGGAGCTAAGCTGGTGTTTGTTTGGATGGCTGTTTACTGAGGATCTTTAGAGGAGATTCAAGCCATCAACTGGCTGGGGAGAGTCGCTGACCTTTATAGCTTCCTTCTAACCTTAGAAGATTCTGTACGACATTTTAAAGGTGAGTGCTGAGCAACTTAAACTATATTTTATTTCCTTTCCTGATAACTTGGTCTGACTGAGACTAGACATCTTTTGTTGCCTATAGTTGAAGGAGTCTGGCATTCTAGGACCAACTTGCTGTTAAACTGATGGCAAGATCTCTATTTGCCAAAGTTAGGGGACTGTGTATGTAACCATTGAAATCTAACATTACCTCAAACTTCAAGGGACTCTGACAGGTACTTTAACCAGTTAGAATGGCACACTTGACTATCTGGTTTGAGTCAGAGCAGTGAGTGCCTGGGAGAAAACAGCAAACTCAAGACACCATGAGTGGACTTTAGGGAGAGGGAAGAGAGACAGAGGGCCCACAGGCCAGCACGAAGAATGTAAAGGGAAAGTAGCCACTGTCCCAACCTGCCAGGGGTTTGGGAGGCACTGTTAATTTCCCAAGCATTCACTTATCCGCACTTTGACCAGGCAACCCTTCTTCGGCTGGACAGGGACACTCATGCTGGACCTTGATCACCCATGACCCATGTGTCATAGTGCAGAGCTTTCCTTCTGAGGCTTAAGTGACCAGTGTGACAAGAACCCTGAAACACCTAATGTACAGAAGGACTCTAGGTCCATGGTCCCCAACCTTTCTGGCACCAGGGACTGGTTTCATGGGAGACAGTTTTTCCACAGGTGTTAGGGGGGATGGTTTTGGGATGAAACTGTTCCATCTTGGATCATCAGGCATCAGACTCCTTTCACAAGGAGTGTGCAAACTAGATTCCTCGCCTGTGTAATTCACAGGGGTTTGCATTCCTAGGGGAATCTAATGCTGCCACTGATCTGACAGGAGGCGGAGTGCAGGCGGTAATGAGATTGGATGGCTACTCACCTGCTGTGGGGCTGGGTTCCTAACAGGCCATGGACCAGTACTGGTCTGTGGCCCCGGGGGTCGGGGAATCCCTGCTCTAGTCATGAACCATTTGTCTCCCTCTTGATTTTTCCTGTGCTAGCGCTCACTTCCATGTTTCCTTCTTTATTCTGGGTAAAGCAAGAGAATGCTGGACAGGTAGCCAGAAGACTTGGGTTCTTATAGGCTGGCCTTTCTCTGCCAGTTACCAGCTGTGACCTCTGGCAAATCACTCAACCTCTTTTACCTCAGTTTCCCTTTTTGTAAAACCAGCTAGTCTCTGCAGTCAAACCTTCAATAGTTCTATAATGGCTATGCTTTTCTTAAGGAGTCGCTTTTTCCCCCTACTTTCTACTTACTGCCTTGCAATGAAGTTTTTAAAATTCCAGTCCAGACTTTAACACTGTGTTCTATTCTCCTCTCTTCTCCTTTGGCAGCCAACTAAATTGGTTACAGTTGTCATTTAGAATGCGGTAATCTTTCATGACTAACCATTTCCTCTCTTAGAGATGCCACTTCATCTAGCTGCTGTAGCTCGGATTTCTTCCTCACAGATAAGAGGATGGAGGTTGCTCTTGATATGGGAAATAGAAGGATGGAGGTTGCTCTTGATATGGGAAATAGAAGTCGGAGTAGGAGGTAAAGTTCCACTGTAGAGGGAAAATGTCCACCTGTTAGAGACAGGAAACAACTGGGGTGCGAAGGGCCAGCTGTCCGTGTTCTGTGGATGAAAATTCCCAGCAGATTTTTTCTGTATTTTTGGCTCTGAATATTATACACTGAACATAGAGTCTTGTCCTGGAATCTGATAGTTTTCTTAAACACTGGACAAGTGAATATACTCCAAAAAGATCATGAGGCCACGGGTATTGTATTCTGAGGTCCCGAGAAGTTGATGAATCTTCTCTCCCAAAGGCGGATATTTTTACCAGTGTGAGCTACCCAGAAAATTTTAAATTTGAAAATCTCCCAAATGCCCATGATTTTGATGGCAAGAATTATTAGAGGCAGGTGGAAAATACTGCCCAACTGTGATCATGACACTTTCACCAACTTACGGCTCCCTAGCCCTGGGACTGGCCAAAGAACCCAGTGTTGGGCTGGAAGGGGAGCCCTTCCAGGCTGATGGATCTCTTTGCCCCAAGTACTGTTGTCACACTGCCGGTGTTCGAATCACCTTGGGGATTGGGGTTATTTGTTAAAAATGCACATTCTTGCATCCCATCTCAGACCCTGCATTTGAATGTAGCTGAAACATACTGAAGTTACAGAATCATTGCTTTTGGCTGAAAACCTAGAAAGCTTGCAATGGCTTTCTGTGGACCCCACCTCTCTGCTTAACCTTTTTGGGTTTTTAGTTCGGGATCTAAGGCCCTCCCCTCTCTAAAATGCAAAATGTGACACTGAGCTAAAGATCAAAACATAGCAAGCGTTATCTAGAAATTATTCCTTTAAAAATAGTTTATTTAGCCATGCAATAGGATAACTGTCAAACAATATTTTATGCTACTTAGAGTTGTACATATAGGTACATAACATTGAATAGCTTTGTTGAAGTATAATGTACCTGCCACAAAAATTCACCCATTTAAAGCGTAGTTTTTAGTGTATTCACACAATTGTGCAACAGTGACCACAATCTAACTTGAGAATATTTTAATCACCCCCCCACCTCAAAAAAAAAAACCTGTACCCATTTGCAGTCACTTTTCATTCCACTCACTTCAAGGCCTAGGCAACCACTAGTCTCCCTTCTGTCTCTGTAGATTTGCCTATTGTGGACATTTTATGTAAGTGGAATCATGTAATATATGGCCTTTTGTGATTAACTTCTTTCAGTTAGCATGTTTTCAAGGTTCATTCATGTTGTAGCACTAGTACTTCATCTCTCTTTATTGCCAAATAAATATTTATTGTGCATTGCATATAGTCATACCCCCTTTTCCATTTGTTAGTTGGTGGACATTTGGGTTGTTTCAACCTTTTGGCTATTAGGAGTAATGCCGCCATAAGCATTTGTGTCCAAGTGTACAAGTTTCATGGGGCTATATGTTCATATATTTCCATTTCTCCTGAGTATATATACCTACGAGTGGAATTTCTGGGTGATATGGTAACTCTGTATAACATTTCAAGAAACTGCCACACTGTTTTGCAAGGTAGCTGTACCATTTTACATTCCCACCAGCAGTGCACAGGGTTCCAGTTTTTCCACATCCTCATCAATATTTATTATTGTCTGTCCTTTTGATTACAATCCCTATTGGGTATGAAGTGGTATCTTATTGTGGTTCTGGTTTTCATTTTCTTACTGACTGATGATGTTGAGCAAGATGTGTTTTTGTGTTCTTAGCCATTTGTATTTACTCTGTGAAGAAATGTCTATTCAGATGTCTATTCTGTGGGTTGTCTTTTCATTCTCTTAATAGTGTCCTTTGAAGCACACAAGTTTTAGATGTTTATGAAGTCAAACTTATCAGTTTTTTTCTTTTGTTGCTTATGTTTTTGGTATCATATATAAGAAACACTGCCTAACTGAAAATTGGAAACATCTATTCCTATTTTCTTCCAAGAGTTTTATGGTTTTAGTTCTTACATTTAGATCTAAAATCTATTTTGAATTAGTTTTTGCATATGTTGTGGGGTTGGGGTACAGTTTATTTTCTTCTTTATGCATGTGGTATCCAGTTGTCCCAACACTTTCTTAGAAAGTCTTATTCTTTCCCCGTTGAATTCTTGGCACACTTGTTGAAAATATATTGACCATAAATGTAGGGGTTTATTTCTGCACTCTCAATTCTGTTCCTTTTATCTGTATGATTTATATGAAGTACTATATGTACATATTTTTGTATGTATATATGTGTGTGCATAAATACACACGTTTGTGTGTGTGCATGTGTGTGTGTGTGTGTGTGTGTGTGTGTGTATATATATATGCACACATGAATCTTAAAATTGTTTTTCCTGTGGCCTTAATTTAGGTGATTAGGGAAATGGACAAGTCAATAGGTAGGAATTAAAGACGTTAACTACACCAGGAGACTTGACCATGAAGTCCCTCCTGCCTCAGCTGAGCTAATTTAACAGGGATACAAAGAGCCGCAGAACGATTGGTTTGCTGTTGGTTTTTTTCTTTTTCTCTCCCTCCCTGAAATGGAATGCCTTTCAGAATGTTTTGGAGTGGGGTGCATTTTAGATATCTCTAGTCCTTGGCCTAGCCCTGACAGTGAGGTCTTGGCTAAGATACTTAATGAGTTCTGAATGCCCCTGTCCTCACCCTTAAGCAGCTGATTTTTCGAAGTTTTGTTTCGCTTCATGGTATAAAAAGCCTAGTCATGTGATCTTTGTAATGTTTCTTGGTTATTTTAATTTTTAATGGTAAAAAATGCCTGACAGAAAAAAAAAGAAAAACCCAAGACTTTCCTGTGACACGGTGCACTTCTGCCTTGTGGACCTAGTTGGAGAGACTGCCTTACCTTGAGAGGTTTTTTTTTTTTTTTTTGAGACAGAGTCTCTCTCTGTCACGCAGGCTGGAGTGCAGTGGCGCGATCTCGGCCCACTGCAAGCTCCGCCTCCCAGGTTCACGTCATTCTCCTGCCTCAGCCTCCCAAGTAGCTGGGACTACAGACGCCCGCCACCAGGCCCGGCTAATTTTTGTATTTTTAGTAGAGACAGGTTTCACCATGTTGGCCAGATGGTCTTGATTTCTTGACCTCGTGATCCGCCCGCCTCGGCCTCCCAAAGTGGTGGGATTACAGGCGTGAGCCACCGTGCCTGGCCTACCTTGAGAGCTTTTAACTACAGATAAAGAGCTGAAACTTCTTGTGAAAATGTCTTAATTTTATTCTTGGGTCCGTGGGAATTTAGAACTATAGGCTTTTAATTGTTCACAGCTGGTGCATGAATAGAGTGGTAATAATAATTAGGAATAATATGGTTCACCTCCTAAGCTGTTAGTTTTAATCCGTTAAATTTTTTTGAACTGACGTCTGGCACAGTCTTCAAGTGAGACCATTTGGAGGAGGTCCATCCTAGGTTTCAGTCAAGAAGTGTGCATGTCTGTCTTGTCCTGCTAATTTGTTACAGTGATTTCTATGGTTTGATTTTAATGTTTTTCATCTAAAAACACACATGCAAATCCAGCCTACGCTCAACAAAATCCATCCAGACACTCCCACTACAGAGCCCTTGCGTGACAATTTTCTGTATCTAAGTTAGAGGGAGCTTGCAGCCTCTCCTACATCCCTCTGCGGTGGGAGGAGCCTTGCTAGGGGAGAGAGGGGGTTTGCTCTAAGTCTCTTGTAAATGGAGGCCGACCCAGAGTGCCCAGAGTGCAGTGCTTCCTGTAATTCCCCAGAGAGCAGTTTGGAAATCATAAAGCTGATTTACAGTTATTTATTCCCTGCCCCTCCCCCCACACTATTTTTTGTAAAATCCTCAAATTTCAAAGTATTAGTACAATTGATTAGTGATGTTTACTTTTCGTCATTTCTTAATGCTCCACGTTACAGAAATTTTTCAAAATGTTTCAAAATGACATATTTAGTAGAGAATAAGGATTAAAGAAGGAATGTGTTCTTGAAGAGTGATCTGGTTGGAGGTTGTTTTCTGGGAAGGTTTAACAAAATAGTTGTCTTAGGAGAACACATCATAATATCACATTATTTAATGAAACCTCTTTTATCTTAGATAATCTAGGGGGGAAAAATCCTAAATTTACACTTAAGTGGTGAAAAAAATTAAATCGCAATTTAATTATTTTTTAGAAGTAGTATAAATTTTTTTTTTTCTTTTGAGACAGAGTCTAGCTCTGTCACCCAGGCTGGAGTGTAGTGGTGCAATCTCTCCTCCCGGGTTCAAGCGATTCTTGTGCCTCAACCTCCTGTAGCTGGGATTACAGGCGCGCACCTCCACGCATGGCTCGGTTTTTATATTTCAGTAGAGACAGGGTTTGTTGGCCAAGCTGGTCTTGAACTCCTGACCTCAAGTGATCGGCCTGCCTCAGCCTCCCAAAGTGCTGGGATTACAGGTGCGAGCCACCACGCTCGGCGTTAGAAGTAGTAGTATAAAATTGATGATATCAACAAGTTGATAGCTTCTCATAATTTATGCTGCCCACTAATTTGGCTAATTTAGTAAATAGTTGTTACCTGGAACTAAATGATTTCTCATAACATGCCTTCTTGGCCTTTCTCACGGGACTTCCTGGAACAAGATGACTTTTGTTGGGTAGAGCTGATATAAGAATCCAGCCAATGAAACTGTAGTGACAACTTTTTACTTTTAAAAGTATATATTGTAAAAAGCTCTCTTGAATCTACAAATAGAATCCATTTTACTAAAGCTAGGGTGTTAGTCACATTATATTTCCAAGAAAACACAGTATAATTGTCACTTTCAAGGGCCATCGAACTGAAGTAGAGAAAGGTGGTGACTTTATGGGAACACCAGATTAGTATTAGAAATTAGCGTGAGATCTATACATTTAGCAGTTTCTAAAGGTGATTTCTGCTGCTTCACTCACTCTTACTGTTTCTTGAAGTATTGATTGTCAAAGTGATTAGAGGAGCAGTAATAATTCATTTACAGGGAGTCTTACTGCCTTTTCCTTTCCAGAGCCTCTCCTCACATTCCCAAGCTGTTTATATGTGATGTTCAGCTTGTGGACAGGGTGTGTGCTTATGTTTTAAGTATTTGCTTCTGGAGAGCTAGCTAGAAAAAGCAAAACAGAGAAACCCATTGGCGTGTTGAGAGTTGAATCCACAAGAAGATGTTGTTTGCAATGTGCCGAAAACATAAGGTCCAAACAGCCGGAACAGGCCTGGTGCCAGGCAATTTCACTGTGAGAGAAAGAGGAGGTCTGATGCAGTTCTCTAAGGATTAGCTGCAACTCAGCAGCTGCTGTCTGAGTTTGATTATGCACATCCTGAGACCTGCATTAACCCTTGTGCCCCTGGGGGAACCTCAGGGCTGTCTTCTAAACAAAGGACTTTTCCCCTGGACACCCAGGGGCAAAAGCCAAAACAATATGGAGGTTAAAAGAAGGCGGAGCTCTGGGAGACTGGATTTGAGAGAACAATCTAGGAAGGAAACGGATTGTAGAATTTTGGAACTGCAAGTGCCTTTTAAGACCCTTTCATTTTATTGATCAAGAAGCAGAGGCTCAGAGAAGTTAGGTGACTTGCCCAAGGAGAATCAGTCAAAACTTAAGTCCAGGTGTCTTCATTCCCAGCTAAGCTGTTTCATGCAGCACCACATCCCTAATGGGATGATTTTCACATTCGTATAAATAATATGTTGTGTATTTTTGAAAACTGCGCTGAGAGGAAACCAAAAGCATTTTTGAATTATGTGTTAATCACTTCTTATAGACTGTCCAGGGATATTCAGATTTTTCTTTCAAATAACATTTTATTAGTGTGTAAGTCTTAATAAGTGACAGGTAAATAGATCATTCCAGTAGCTACCATGTATGATTCATAAAGGCAGAACAGGCGTCCTGGGAAGGTGTTAGGAGGGAAAGCTCGGATCTAGGGAGACTGCTCTGAAAACAAGGAAGGATGTTTATGGAATGAACTCTTTTGTTCAACCATGGCGATGTCTGGATCAGGGCAGCCTTGGAGGATTTATGGCCTCCAGTCTGGAGAAGGTAGGTGGGCTCGCATTATCTGTGTTGTAAGAAAAGTGTGTGAGGTCTTTGAGCCTAAGGCTGTCCAGGTAACAAAAGACTCTGTCAAAAAAATATGTCTATTTAGAGTTCTTTGAGAGTAATATGTTGCTATTTATTTCACATCTGTGTCGGGTATTGAGCATTTTCCTTGCTTTGCGGTTGTAACAAGATCCTCAGCTTTCTTCCTTTTAAAGGTTGGGGAGCTAATTTCTTGTAGGAAATAACACATTAAATCCAAGCGTATCACTAAAACATGTGTGCCTTCTCTTTTTGCTCAATTAAAAGATTGAGCTGTTCGTGTTTTGTTTGATATGGGGGTACTTATTGAACATTGTCAACCTAAAGCATTTTGAGTAACCAAGAGAAAAATCAGGATGGCCTAATTCACTAAAATTCCAAGTACATTTGGGATGTATTTTTATACTTCTTAATTATGAGATTTTAAATTGCTTTATTTTTAAAGGTTGAGTGTGAGCTGAGTGTGTGTCTTTTTCTGTAGTCCTACCATCCTTTCTGCAAAACTCAAGTGAAAATTATTTATTTAGGATGCCCTATTGAGATATAGTGGAATGTCTTTGTTTGCATTTATTCTTTTTCTGGGATTTTGGTTATATCTATAGCTGTAAATAAAGGGGAAAGGAAGGCTTGGAGTGCATGTTAGGACAAGAGGTCCCAAGTAGGAAAAAAAGTCTTGCCTTAGAGCTATGCCTTGGGAAGTGCTTTTTATTTAGTAACCTAATCAGGACATGCCTGTGTCTATTTATTGTTGGATGAGCTTTTGAAGTACATATTGCCTGAAAGAGAATTTTTCAAGTGGTTACCTATTTTTTTTTTTTTCTCCTCTGGCTGGAGAAAAGTTAGAACAGAAGGGAACGCCGTGTATTATTTTTGTTGTTCTTCACTAAAGACATAGTCTTGGCTACTTCGGAAAAAGAAGGAAGGTATGAAATGGTGGTTAATCCTTTCCTCCATTTTGTCCCCAATTGCTTGCAGTGTCTCTTCACCCTATCGAGAAACACTTTCTCAAAGCTGTCTCTGTACTGTGCTGATATCAGAGGAGTCAACTAAAAGTGATTTTCTCTGTAGACAGTTATTCTAGTTTATGGGATGTATTATAAAACTATTGGGGAAAATCACTGAACTACTAAGGTAAGGGAAATAGCTTAAGGATCTATGATCCATATTTGAAATAGTCATTAAGTTATATAATTGGATTTTTAGAGAACAAGATAGAGCAGTTTCAGGATGTAAGGTGTAAAATAAATCTGGTCCATGAACTGCTTCCAAATTGTCACCCTGACCAGAAGAAGTAACATTCCTCAGGTTGTGGCTTTATCTAGAAAGGGGAAATGGCTATTTCTGGATTAGCTTTATACAAATGAGTGTATTTCCCACCTGCTGCTTTTGCCTAGGGTTGGAATTTTTCCTTTTCACTGCTTGTTACTTGGCGTTTGGATGGAAACGTATCCTCCCTTTCAGAGCCAGAAGATTCTGTGTGAGTCATCAAGAAAAATTTCTCCGAGGAGTTATTAATTCAGTTAGTTGCTCCATAGTAAATGGTTCATGCAACAGTGATAAACCTCTGAATTTGAAATCTTTCTTTAAAATCTTTTTTCCTTCAAAAAATGCATACAGTGGATTGCTGAGCATCTAAAATCCCGCACTGTTCAGCACTGTCATTCTTGGTAATTGCTTTTTAGAGGATTTGGTGGTGTTTTGCTGCTTAAGCTAAACCACGAAGTTAAACTTTTGTACTGTGGAAGTAGTTCATGAATCCTTTAGATTTCTTGGAAGAGGAAAGATGAGTGTGTGGTGAATATATATGAATATCGCATATTTGAATGTGTTACTTACTAGTTTTGGTTGAGCATTAAGGTTGCCCCTAATGGATGGGATCTCTGCCAGGGGTAACTCTTGGAGTCCTAGGTGCTATTGGGGAGGAACCTTTCATTCTCGGCATTCTGGGGGAGATTTACATCTGTAAGCCGGATAAAAATATGTGGAAAGGTGATTAGTTTAATTGGCCCACTATTATAATTATTCAGTAGGAGGTGGCTGTGGGACTGCTATTATAGCCCAAAATGCCTGGTAGGAAGAGGCGGAGACTCATTGAAAACAGCAGCAAGGTTATAAAACGTTGGTTTAAACGTGCATTTAATAACAGATTACCCTGGTGCTTTAAAGACAGAGGAATGCTTAAGTATTTGGTACAAGAATCCATCCAAAAAAAGACGCGGATTTTTTTTCAAAGATAATTGTGGGAAATTCTGCTAATGATTTCTTTTCCCTTAAAATATCATACAGGGGAGTAGGATTTAGGTAGGTGTAAAGTTGCTCAACGTGTTGGTAACTTTAAGATTATTTCTTCTCTGGTTGTTGCCACAGACACTCAGGGTGGCCACAATGGTGGTGTTGTTTTAGGCTTCTTTCAAAAAAGAAGTCCAGTCCAGGATAATGTTGTAAAGTGGAGTATTTTTCTTTCACATCAAAGGGCAAGGAATGTTTTACAGACAGTGAGCTAAGAAGTAGGGCACAGATATTTCAGTACTTGCGTTGGGAAACTATGTGTGGAATGTCATAGTTCATATACCAGAGACCCCGAAGTGAATCCAGGTGCCTGCACGGTGCTGACTTTTCCTGGAGTGAGATGACTGTAGGCAGAAATTGCAGCCAGATGAACCTAAAATAAAATTGATGGCTTTATTGGACATTCTTTTCATGAGATTTAACTTCTTAACGTGCACATACATCACTCTGGGGATGTCATTATCATGGCTGACCTTTCGTTTGGGGGAGCTGCTGCTCGCTGTCTGTGCAGCTCCGATCAGCTTGGCTTTGATTACCACCCACATCTGTTGAGCATGTGAGAGAGAGATTTTGAAAAATCTCAAGCACACTGACAACTGGCTACAAAGATTTAATTAAGACCGGTCAGAACTAATTTCAGTTATATATTCCAGTTTAGGGTATCAACTCCTCTGGTTTCAGAAGGGGGAGTTATGACTTCCTAAAAGTTGTTGTTGAAGGCAGCATGAGGAAATCTCCTTGGGCAAGCAGTGGGTTTCTTTGTCCTAGCTCCCCCACTGCTACCTGGGGTTAATGATTGCAGGGTGGCTGGCGTAATGAACCAGTGCCGGAAAGCTTATTATCAACATGCTGAAGTCATATTTAGAAATCATTCCTCCTCCTTTTTTCTCCTTTCCAATACAAGTCAGAGCACTGCTGTGGTTCCACCTAATAAATACTGCAGGCTTCATTGGGCTGTTCAATGAGACCTAATATAGTATCATTTGTGCACTTTAGTGGGTGGTTCCTATTTATATTTTTGTGTGGTTTACTGCTCAATCTTGGGAAGATGTGGGGTTTGAGGGTTTATCAGTTGCAGTTTTTTGTGGAACCAGTTTGAGTGAGACAAGACTTTGGCCATTATTTGTCGGGTTACATGGATCTCCATATGAGCTATGAAGATACTGGAATAATTGGGTCACAATAATGTAAAATCGTAGTCTGTACTTTCAGCTCATTCCAGAGGAATGATTGGAAGCCCTGCTCTCCCTCTCTTCTGCATGCAAACCTCAGGTGTGATTTCGGCCTGTGCCCAAGTGTTCTTGAAATGTTCAAGGCTGTCCGTTCCCACTCTGTGATGAGGCTTCCGGTTGATGTGTGACATCACTTAGGGCAGGAACTGGCACTGTCTTGATCCTGGCTGTCCTAGAGAAGCTTCTGTGCTTGGCCTTGGGAAGCCACCCCATTTGGTGCTGCTGTAGTCTCCTTTCTGCTCCTCTTTTAACAGCTGCCTCCCACCTGTGCTCACTTCCACCTGCAGGCCTTGTTTTCCAGTGGCACTGGAGTGCCATGCTGAGGTCACTGGACAAGTTCCTTATCAGAGCCCCCTTCCCATTAGAGTGAGGCTGCACCCCATCCTGCCTGGGCTTACTTTGTGCGTTGCTTGGGGGCATGGAGAAGGTTCTTGCCCTTGCTGCTTTATATGAGGTCCAATTCCTCCAGTGTTTGCCATCTCCTTTAGAGCTCTCTGGTGACAAAACCTTCTTCAGCTTGTCTACCCTCCAGGCTGGTGAGTTGAACTCAGACTGGTGCTCGGAAAGGTTAAAGGACTTGTCCAAGATGTTACCTTACTGGCAAACTGCATTCCCAAGTCTTTATTGATCTCCGAGGGCATCTCTTAATTTGTTGGAGTTTTCTTTTCCTGGAAAAAATACTGCTTGGGTCTCAGTTTCTCCACATATAAAATCAGAATAAGACCATAAATTCATGTAGTTGAAAGGGGCGGTTTCAGGAAGAAAACTAAGATAATGAAAGCCTCCGGAAAAGGGTCTGGGACGACATTATTTACAGAGTACTTTCCACACATTGTCAGGGTGGGGCCGCACAGGAACCTTGTGGGGTAGGCATCATTGACCTGTTTCAAAAATGAACAAAGTCAGTCCCAGAGACCTTGAATGGAGGCTTATCAAAGCTAAGCATACGGCTTCAAGTTTAACCGTCAAATGGTAGAGTTAGTCATGGCTTTTGGATGTGCGGGCCAGGCATGGTGCAGGGCCAGGTATGTTTTAGCCTTGTGGTTCTTTTCCTGATATTTCGGTCCTGTGGGCCTCCCCAAAGTGGCTTTGCACCTATGTTTGTTATGGGCATAAGGAAGTTAGAATTCTATGAATATGTACTGATTTTTTGTGATTCTGAATTTAAATAGGCCTCTATAAAGCTAATACTTGAAGTTTTGTTGTAATGAAGCATCACAAATACTTTTACATAGGAAAAAGGACCAAGCTGATCTCCTTAAAGCGGTTGCAAAAACCACCCAGTTGTTATACGATTGTTTGTTTCATGTTTCTTGTTATGTGGCATATTTCCAGTAAGTGGAGGGACCAAATATTTTATAGTTACAGAAACTTCTTCTCTCCCTCCTTGAAGTTTAAAAAAGTGGATCAAATGTCTGCCTATTTTCAAGGAGGCAGGGAGACAGAAGATCTTTTCCAGATTGCAGGAAGGCCAACGCAGGTTGCACCCAGAGAACTATGGAAACCACTGTTGAGGAGGAAGGAATTGGGTGAAAATTAAAGAATCAAGCTAGTAAAAGTGAAAAGAGGCCTTTGGTTTTTTTTTTTGGACAGTTTTTAAGGGCCTTCATAAATACTTGGTGTACTCCTCAAAGACCAAGCGTTGAAGGGTTAAGTCAGGGAACTAAAACTTGGATTGTGTGTTGACCCCTGTGTAGCTGTGGCCAGGGCTCCTGATTTTCCCCTGACGATCCATTGGTAGAACAAGGCCAGTGGTACTGTTTTCTGGTGCAGGGGAGGCTCGGACCTGCAGGGGAGTTACGGAGGCTGGCCACTGGTTTGGAGCAGACAGGTAAGTAGCCTCTAGGGAGGTGGTAGCTCTGTACAACAGTCTGTTCCCAATGTCTGGGTGACTCTTGTTCCCAATACTTGGCTCTCTTTTTGGATGTCAGAGTCATATTCTTCATTCTCCATGTCTCCTGCTAATTTTTGGCATTGACCCATCCAGGATTTATTTCAGCAGCTAGCATGGTGCCTGACCTATCCATAGTAGGTGCTTAGTAAATACTGCACTCCACAGGGGGAAGAGGGCAGGCACGTTCTGCCTATTGACGTGGTGGGAAGAGAGACCGTGCTTAGGGACAGGTTTGGGAGCTTCATTATTTCTGCCTTGGGACTGTTTGAATGCACCCTATTTTGCTATAGGGGAAACACTGCAATAACATAAATCCCACTTGAATCATTCTTTGTTCTATCACCCCTGCCCTTATCACTGCTCTTGTAAGACAGACATCATAGGAGACTCCTAATCCTCTCCCTGCCTCTGGTGGGTGCATGACACTGATCTAGCTTCCACTTGCACAGTTCTCTCTCTCTCTGCCCCTAAAACAGAAATATGATCATGTTATTCTCCTACTTACATGCCCGTCAGTGGCTCCCCAGTGCCGTACTGCTGTGGCACACAGAACCCTACGTGATCTGGTCCTGCGTGCTCTGTAAGTGGCAAGTCCCAGGGCCTCTTCGTGCAGGCTGTTCAAGGGGGTCTCATAACCTACCAGTCCGAGTTAGACTTGTTGAGTCTTAAAACCAAGCTGCTTTGAGTTGGGTCTTCAGATGAACTGGGAATCAACATATTTGGGATGGATCTGTAGGGTGCATTTAAAAGGCACTGAATGTTTGGAATGGAGTGCAAGAATTAATGTTAAGTTACCAGAGAAAATTGAGGTATTAAGGGATCTGCGCATATAGTTTTCAAAAATCAATTAAACAAAAAGCCTGTTTTTTAACTGATTCTATAGTTCATTTGGAAGACTATGTATATTACATTATATCATATATCTACATGTGTGATATATTTATAATAGAAAAATGAAGCAGAAACTTCTACTACCAAATATTAAAACACATTATAAAGTGCTGATAAAAGATGATGATGTGGGCATAAAAACATGCAAATAATCCAACAAAATAGCACTTTTCAAAACTTTTTTTAGCGTATGGAATAACTTAATTATAAGTCGTTGGGGAAGGAACAGATTATTTGATGAAGGGGGTTGTGAAATTGGGTATTTTAAAAAATCTATTTATATCTTTGCTTTGGTGACACACCAAAATATCTTTCATACGGATTGGATTTAAGTATATATATTTAAAGCTCTAAGCGAGAAAAAAAATGTGGAGAAAATTTGATCTCTGAGAAAGAGGATTTTTTTTAAGCCTAAAAGCCAAAAACTCTAAGTGATTGCTCAACTTAAGTACATAACAGTATTCATTTTACTGAAGAATTACAAATAACTAATAATGATCACTAGAACAGAAAAATGTCAAAAGAAAAAACACACGGTATTCATTGTCCTCTCATAAAATTAAGAAAGATTTAGAAAATGCAAATACTCAGTGCTCATAACAATATGGTTAGATTTTCAACACTTTCTAAAAGGAAAAATGTTAAAATAAATTCCAAAGAAAAAATTTTTTAAATGGTTTGGTTTTTACATATACTGGGGAAACTTACTATTTAAAGACTAGAGTTAATTATTTCAAAATAAAAATAGTCTTTCTAATTTTAGTTTCATAATGTTGTTTTTTAATCTTTGTTTGATTTTAAACAACCTTTTAGTCTTTGGGCTGTCCAAAATTATAAATTATATGTCTGTAATTTACTATTGTTAATCATACAGTTCTCCATATAAAAAATGGCAGAGAGAAAAACTGGAAAAATATGCCCTGTGAAGGGGATTTATGATCCTTAATATCCCAGAAGAAGACCATAATGAGGCATCTTATGTAACAGAGAAGTCATATAGGGCTTCAGTTTCTAAAGTGCTCAAATTTTAATTCATAGTGTGACTTTGAACAGGCTACTTTACCTCTCTTGGTCTCAGTGTCTTCATCTGTGAAATGGGAGGGTTGGGTTAGATCAGTTTCCCAGCTGAGATGCCCCGGCACAGCTGTGCCAAAATTCTGATGCCCCTCGGCCCTAAAGACAGCTGGACAGAGCTGGGGTGGAGGCCCTAGGTCAGTTACTTCCACCCAAGGGCAGCCATTTGTTTTTCCCAAGGAAAATAGTACCACAAATCACTCTCAATGCACTCTTAGATAATGAGTTGTCTTACTTTTAAATTCAAGAGGTGAGAGCTACATGGAAGAGGAGATAATTTTGGACATCACAGTGAACCATTCGTCCTTCCCAGTCAATATTCAATAGGTATGTTAAAAAATGAATGGAAGAAAACACATCAAAATGTTATTAGTAATTATCTCTGGTGATTGACTTACAGGTAATTTTTATTTGCTTATTTATAATATTCCGCCTCATTCAAATTTACTGTTAAGAATTTGTTAAATTTAAATAAGAAAAGTTATTTAAAACAAATCCCAACCTGTACCCATTTTTACATTTAAAAACTCCATGAGTACGAGTGACGGCTATGGCTGTCAGAGTTAAGAATCTAACAAAAATAAAACGGCAAACATGGACCCATTTCACATTATGGAAATATCCTGGGATATTTTCATTCCAAGGTTTCTTGCTCAGTGCTTACTTTCAAGGCTGGTTTCAGGTGTGAGGAAGAAGCTTTGAGCAGAAGGCCTGTTTGTAGAGTGAGTGAGTAGCCTTCTTACTTGGGGCAGCTGACCCCAAAGGTCTTCCTCTCCATCTCCCTCCTTCAGTGCTTTCTTCCCTTATTTTTCCCCTTCCCTGTGACCCCTGAATTGCTGATAATTCCTTTCCTTCTTTGTTCTTCTCAATCCCTGGTGTGTATATGGTTAGAAGTTCCGGTGCCCACTTAGCTGAGCCACAGAGATTCCATTTTTAACTGGTCCCTCATATGCCAGCCCATCTAGTTCCTCAGGCATTACCGCCTTCCCTCTCCCAGCTTTATTCTGCTTATTTACATCTTTCTGGGAATGATGTGCTTCAAACTTTCCAACCTATTAGTTTAAACCAGATTTAGTGGCAGGGGCGGGGGGAAGTAGACTTTCTCTGCCCTTTGGTTTTGCTTTACTTTGAGATAAACACTATATACATTAAAGGTGCTTAAATGATGTTTTCTCTGACTTCCTAAAGGGGTTACTTTTCATTGACTCCTAACATTTTAATTCTCTGATTGTGATTGTTTTGTCTAAATCATGGGGTGGAGTGCATGTGGGGAATTAGAAAACTAATTGTCATTATAACCTTTCAGCAGAATTTTGGAATGATTAATAGCTATGTTAATATGCCATAACATAATTACTTATAAAAATCAGAATATACCACCACCTTGTTAGTATTAAAATGGTGCTAGGCTGGGCGCGGTGGCTCACGCCTGTAATCCCAGCACTTTGGGAGGCCCAGGCAGGTGCATCACCTGAGATCAGGAGTTCGAGATCAGCCTGGCCAACATGGTGAAACCCCGTCTCTACTAAAAATATAAAAATTAGCTGGACGTGTTAGCGGGTGCCTGTAATCCCAGCTACTTGGGAGGCTGAGGCAGGAGAATTTCTGGAACCCAGGAGGCAGAGGTTGCAGTGAGCTGTGATCGTACCATTGCACTCTGGCCTGGGAGACAGAGTAAAACTCTGTCTAAAACAAAACAAAACGAAACAAAAAAACCTGCTAAAATATAAGTTACTTTCTTTATATAACATTTTAGGACCTTACAGTGTACCTTAACTTTCTGAGCATAGATAACAAATGAAGATAATAAGAAATATTGTTTTATATTGTTTATAAAGCACTGTGCCCTACATTGCAGTTTATAGAACCACATAACAGTTGGCCATGGGCAGTATCTCAGGAAGCCTTAAAATCTCGGGAAGACTGACAGAATGGCGGAGCTAAGATGGACCTCAGGGTCATCTAATCCAGTGTTTCCCAACCATTTTCACATCATGGCACACATTGAAAAGGTGCACAGCACACCCTGGGGAAATAAATGACTGCTCTTGGCTGGAGGTAGTGGATCTGAGGACTCCAGCCTAGGCTGTGTCCAGCTCCCCTGAGGGCTGATGGGCATCAGAACCTTGGCGCAGCTGTCCTGGGGCATTCCAGTTGGGAACTGTGATCTAACCCAACCCTGCCATTTTACAGATGAGACACATCTGCATTTACATATCGAGACCCAGAGAGGTAAAGTAGATTGTTCAAGGTTACACAGTGAATTAGTGACATTATGATAAATAGAATTTGAGCATTTCAGAAACTGGAGTTTAATATAACTTCTCTTTTACATTGCATGCCTCATTATGTTGTTCTTACAGTACATTAGAACTTTTATAGGGCACGTTTTTCCAAAAGGTTTACCTCTGCCATATTGTATATGGAGAAGTATGATTAATATTAGTAAATTATAGATATATCTCTTTTGGACAACCTAAAGAATAAAAGGCTCTTTTAAACCCCAAATTCAAGTTAAAAATTAAGATTACGATGCTAAAAATAGTCTAACATATGTAAAAATGATTTAAAAAATTTTATTTACACAAAGAATGTACTCAGGCTATGAAACTTGTATGCTGGCAGTTGCCTCACTTTAAAAAATAAAAGAGAGAAAAGTAAGATGGAAAAGAAAATTAAAATTGTAAACATTTTAATGACTCACCACTACCTCCATCCTTAGATTTCTTTGCCATCAACTATTTAAACCCTTTAAGAATATTAGGAAACCGTGGTTACTTGGCGTGGTTTTATAAATCTGTTCTGGTAATCTCTAAATTCTCCTTCAACCCCATGATGATTCACTGATTCTAGTGTAATGAGGGCTTGGTTCAGCCTTACATATATTTATGTGTGTGTCAACCAAGATGTACATGGGAACATGGCATCTCATCTTCAGTTCTTTGTCTGAACCACAAAATTTATGTGCCAATTCAGGACAGTTTATGGCGCTAGGTTTGTAACATCAGAGTGACTTGTTCCACCATGACCTCAAGATGGTAGCTGTAGACTAGCGACACCTTCCATTAACAGCTGGTTGACCTTGGAGAAGTTCTATAATCTCTTTTTTTGCCTCTGTTTTTTCATCTGTGAAGTGAAGGACAGGCTGCCTACCTGCTAGGATTGTTATATGGATTAAATGCATTAGTTAGTGCAAAGTCTTGAACAACACCCAGTGCACACAGAAATAAATATGATAAATAAGTACAGTGAATGTGGGCCGTTTTCATCACCATTATTAGTAATAGCTGCCATGAGTTGTCATTGAACAGGGAGCAGTAAGGGGGCCTCCAGGTATAAACAAGACCCACCCTGCTTTGTCAGTCTCAGGTTTTATAAAAATAGTCGCTGCCTAACTGAGTTCTTGGGGCACTAAGGAATAGGATTATTATTACCAGATGCCCCTGAGTCTCTCTGCTTATTGAGGCGTTTTTTTTTTTTTTTTTTTTTTTGGTAGGGCTTTGTTTGGGAAAAAAAAGAAAGAAAATCTACCTCCAGGGACATGGGTAAAATATTTTTTCCCTTAGTTAACGTTAAATTCCAGTCATTCTTTTGCAGAAGTGTTGTGGAACAGAAGGGAGGGGTAAAGATTCCAACTTTAGACATTAGACTAAGAATGCATGTAATGAGTACCCAGACAGCATGACACTTTTTCAGTTATCACTGCCACCCCCATCCCCCCAAAAAAACACACTGTGAGGGAAAGAGCAAGAGCTGTGAACTCAGACAGGCTGAGTGCAGCCCCTAGCCCGCACTTAATGGCTGAGTACATCCGGGCTATGCATTCACCTTCTCTGATGGGTCTTCTAGGTTGGAGTCATCTTCTAGAGGTGCTGTAAGCTGGTGTAAGAGACTAGCAAAGTGCCAGCAGCATAGGCCCTGTGCCCTAAATGGGCCCACATTTTTCTGAGTTCATCTTTGCTAAAGGGATTTTTTTTCTTAAGTACATACTGTATCCAGAATTGGTGGGTTCTTGGTCTCACCAACTTCAAGAATGAAGCCGCAGACCCTTGCGGTGAATGTTGTAGTTCTTAAAGGCAGCGTGTCCAGAGTTTGTTCCTTCTGATGTTTAGATGTGTTTGGAGTTTTTTCCTTCTGGTGGGTGCTTGGTCTCGCTGGCTTCAGGAGTGAAGCTGCAGACCTTCGTGGTGAGTGTTACAGCTCATAAAGGTGGTGTGGACCCAAAGAGTGAGCAGTAGCAAGATTTACTGCAAAGAGCAAAAGAACAAAGCTTCCACAGTGTGGAAGGGGGACCCGAGCAGGTTCCCACTGCTGGCTTGGGCAGCTTGCTTTTATTCTCTTATCTGGCCCCACCCACATCCTGTTGATTGGTCCATTTTACAGAAAGCTGATTGGTCTGTTTTATAGAGAGCTGATTGGTCTGTTTTGACAGGGTGCTGATTGGTGCGTTTACAATCCCTGAGCTAGACACAAAAATTCTCTATGTCCTCACTAGATTAGCTAGACACAGAGCACTGATTGGTGCATTTGCAAACCTTGAGCTAGACACAGGGTGCTGATTGGTGTATTTACAATCTCTTAGCTAGACGTAAAGGTTCTCCAAGTCCCCACCAGATTAGCTAGACACAGAGTGCTGATTGGTGCATTCACAGACTCTGAGCTAGACACAGAGTGCTGATTGGGGCATTTACAAACCTTGAGCTAGACACAGAGTGCTGATTGGGGCATTTACAAACCTTGAGCTAGACACAGAGTGCTGATTGGTGTATCTGCAATCCCTTAGCTAGACATAAAGGTTCTCCAAGTCCCCACTAGACTCAGGAGCCCAGCTGGCTTCACCCAATGGATCCTGCACTGGGGCCACAGGTGGAGCTGCCTGCCAGTCCTGCTCGGTGTGCCCGCACTCCTCAGCCCTTGGGCAGTAGATGGGACCAGGTGCCATGGAGCAGGGGGCGGCGCTCGTTGGGGAGGCTTGGGCATGGCGGGCTGCAGGTCCTGAGCCCTGCCCCGCGGGGAGGCAGCTGAGGTCCGGTGAGAATTCGAGTGCAGTGCCGGCGGGCCAGCACTGCTGGGGGACCCAGTGCACCCTCCGCTGCTGCTGGCCCGGGTGTTAAGCCCCTCACTGCCCGGGGCCGGCGGTGCCCACTGGCCGCTCAGAGTGCGGGGCCTGCCGAGCCCACGCCCACCTGGAACTCACTCTGACCTGCAAGCGCCGTGCGCAGCCCCGGTTCCTGCCTGTGTTTCTCCCTCCACACCTCCCTGCAAGCTGAGGGAGCTGGCCCCAGCCTCGGCTAGCCCAGAAGGGGGCCCCCACAGTGCAGTGGTGGGCTGAAGGGCCCACCTCTCGAACGTGGCCAGAGCGGACGCTGAGGCTGAGGAGGTGCTGAGAGCAAGTGAGGGATGCGAGGGCTGCCAGCACGCTGTCACCTCTCAATACTTTAGGCAATTTCTTGTGGTGGCACATTTGAGACTGTTTCATGCCAGTGGCTTTTCCATTTTCCTTTCTTTTTTTGAGACTCTTGCTCTGTTGCCTAGGCTGGAGTACAGTGATGCGATGATAACTCACTGTAACTTCAAACTCCAGGGCTCAAGCGATCCTCCCACCTCAGCCTCCTGAGTAGCCAAGACTATAGGCGCATACCACCATACCTGGCTATTTTTTTTTTATTTTTTGTAGAGACGAGGGCTCGTCATGTTGCCCAGGCTGATCTCAAACTCCTGGACTCAGCCAGTCTTCCTACCTCGGCCTCCAAGAGTGCTGGGATTCCAGGCATGAGCCACTGTGCCTGGCTGGCCTTTTCACTTTCTATTAATGGTTCTCGGGGTCATCTCCCGCTGCCCTTCTCCCCCAGGAATATTTTAGCAGCATTCTAAGTTATTTCAGCTCCTTCAGTTTTGTTGCTCATATCTTTGCTACCCTTGCTCACCATTACAATTCAAAGCCTCACTGTTCTTGCTTTCTCACTGATGGGTTAACCTTTTTTTCTTCTATCACAAATAGGGTTGCTAGATAAAATATTGGGCACCCAGTTAAGATGGAATTTCAGATAAATGCCAAACAATTTTTTTTTTTTTTCGAGTCAGAGTCTCCCTCTCTAGCCCAGGCTGGAGTGCAATGGTGCGATCTTGGCTCACTGCAACCTCCGCCTCCCAGGTCCCAGTTCAAGCAATTCTCCTGCGTCAGCCTCCGAGTAGCTGGGATTACAGGCATGTGCCACCACGCCCAGCTAATTTTTGTATTTTTAGTAGAGATGGGGTTTCACCATGTTGGCCAGGCTGGTCTTAGACTTCTGACATCATGATTCGCCCGCCTTGGCCTCCCAAAGTGCCGGGATTACAGGTGTGAGCCACTGTGCCCGGCCCCAAATAATTTTTTAGCCTAAGTGTGGCCCATCCACTATTTGGGACATACTTAAACTAAAAATTATTTGTTTATCTGGAATTCAGATTTAACAGAGCATCCTGTATTTTTAAGTCTGGCCACTCTACAAATATCTGTACCAATTCTCCCATTACAACTTTTTACCCACACGGCAGCATGTTTTGGCCAAGAGGAATAAAAGAGGCTTCTCAGATATTTCCTAAGGCCCTGTTTTGACGAACTTAAAGAGAAAATGCCGACAGGTTAATAGGAGATTCTGACAACGAAGAGGAATTCCTGTGATTTTAGGGGTAGAGATATATATCGACTTCGATTTGGGAGATCACTTGGTAAATGTGAGGTGTCTGTATTTTGGGCTGAATGTCAACTCTGGAAGTAGGTAAAAGTTAAGTTTTATATCCACATGCTATTCCACCTCCGTTCAAAACTTAGAAAAATATTGTCTTCCATACCTAATTCACAGTCCTAATGATCAGGTATTAGCTGAACAGAACAAAGAAGCCTGCCTTAGAGGATGTTGTGAATGGGTTTTGGGGATGGAGACTTGAGACACAATATAAAAAGATGGTCAGACCAGTTAAGTATGACATGAGGCAGTTTTATGAAACGTAAAAATGGCTTTTTCATGCAGCTCAGAGGCATGGATATAGAAAGGGAAAAACCAAAAAGAAATGATTTGTGTATGTCAGCCCACTAACATTTTTGGAAATGTGCCTGAGGACTACCGAAGTAATCAGATGACATGGACTTGCCCCTTGAGGAATTTAATTTATGGGTGAGAAATTTGAAAAGAAAGTGGCTTATCCTAGCTTTTCTTTTTTTTTTTTTCCTTTTGTTTCTTCCAAAAATTTTCTCCCAAGGGACAGAAGTGGGTCTGCCACAGCTATGGATAGGAATAACCAAGTGAAGGGAGGCAGTGACGTGGGTACTTCCACATAGAGGCTGCACTCTGATGATTCAGGAATATTTCTTGAGTACCCTTTTATTTTATTTTATTTTATTTTATTATTTTGAGACAGGGTCTTGCTCTGTTGCCCAGGCTGGACTGCAGTAGTGCGACCTTTGCTCACTGTAGCCTCAACCTCTATGGCCCAAGGGATCCTCCCACCTCAGCCTCAACAAGTAGCTGAGACTACAGGTGTGTGCCACCATGCCTGGCTAATTTTTCTAATTTTTGTAGATACGGGGTTTCACCATGTTGCCTAGGCCAATCTCCAACTCCTGGACTCAAGCAGTCCCCCTCCCTTGGCCTCCCAAAGTGCTGGGATTACAGGCATGAGCCACTGAGTTGAGTACCTTTTAGGTGGATTGTCATCATATTTGAGTGCCTAGCATGGTGTTAGGTGCTGGGGATGTAGCAACAGTCAGCAAGGGCAGAGTCTCAGTCAGCTCTGTAGAGCTTGTGTGCTGTCATCATAGGTACTTTGAGAAATGCAAAGGTAGACCAGGTAGGATAGGGAATTCTGGCCTCTAGGAGCTTCCTTAGGGTTGATTACCTATGCTTTTCCTTCTGTGGCAATTGGAGACTCAGTCTGCTGTTGGCCAGAATACTGGATAACTGGCAGGTAACTCTGCATTGTTAGGAAGGCTGATCAGACTTCAGGTCCCCCATTGAGGAGTTTTACATCTGAATCTTCAGCAGCTGGTCTAAACTGACAATGGCAGGCTTCAGTAAAATCAGCCATTCAATTTATCTATATTATAAAATGATGAAGGCATGCTCCATCTGGTATCAGATAGAGTACCTTCTAATATTGGTGCATTATCAGTACCTTTGTGTGTAGGGGGTCTGCTGTAATGAAAAACAGTAGAGCTCGATTCATCCTAATTACATTTTGAGCAATTTTAGGGGGCTGAAAAGATTGTACTGTGACAATAAGGTTTTTCCTTCTTACCAAAAGAATTTATAAATGGTACAGAAAATGAAAGATGGCTAGTGGTTTTAGCAGTTCTAATGTTTTTTCTTTTTTTAGATAAGGAAAAAAACCCCACTCTGATTCTAAAACCCGCTGGAATTTGAACTGTTGCCTGTGTTCTGAAAGTGTCTTGAATTGCTTGGGATCCCAAGCCTGAAGTTTACAGCATCTCATGGTGTCCAGGTATCCAAGAGGAGTCATAAAGTTCTCCGAAAATTGTGAAAACCATATACTTAAGGGACCACACGCATGCAGTGGAGTATTCTTCGATGGCAGCATTTTCTTTTGCGGGAAATAGCAAATCAGGCAGTAATGAGGTGTAAGGTCAGAAAAACTGCATAGAAATCAATGACTAGGTGTTCAGAGAAGTTAAAAGAAATTAATAATTTTTCTTCTGTATGATTTTTGCTTTGGGATATTTTGGTTATTTTTTACTGGTTTCGGATGCTATTTTAATGAGTATTTTGTTTATATTTTGTAGGCCCATGAATATGAAGGATAACTTAGATTTTAAAAGTTCTTTCTTCTATTCCCCAAGGGCTGATGGACTTAAAAATACCTGTCAGTTGAGCCTTCAAAATCTTTTTATTGACAAGTGACTCCTGACTTCAGGCCTAATTGGTTCCTGAATGTTTAGTCTTGGGGCATGGTCATAACACAAACTCTTACTTCCTGCAGGCTGTGTTATCTGTAAAGCTTATGTTTTGTTTTTTGTTTGTTTGTTTGTTTGTTTGTTTTTGAGACGGAGTCTCGCTCTGTCGCCAGGCTGGAGTGCAGTAGTGCAATCTCGGCTCACTGCAACCTCCACATCCCAGGTTCAAGCTATTCTCCTGCCTCAGCCTCCTGAGTAGCTGGGATTACAGGCGCACACCACCACGCCCGGCTAATTTTTTATTTTTAGTAGAGACGGGGTTTCACCATGTTGGTCAGGCTGGTCTTGAACTCCTGACCTTGTGATCCACCCTCCTTAGCCTCCCAAAGTTCTGGGATTACAGACGTGAGCCACTGCGCCCAGCCAAAGCTTGTGTTATATATTGGGCTTCCATTCCTGAAAGCTGGTTTTATACTATACAAATAACAAAGTCAATATGAAAATGTGTCAAAAATATGAATGTACCTCTTAAATACACATATTAACTATTTCAAACAAAAGTACTAAAGATAAAAAAAAGTTATACTGTAAATGTTACTTTCAGGGAATTTTTTTCTGCTGAGGTTGAGTTGACTGAAGCTTTTAAAGTCCAATGTTAAGTCTTTCTAAAGCATATAGAGGTATTTTTTTTTCCAGTGTTTCAAGGTCTTTTAAATTGTGTTAAAAAACAGAGTTATCTGCTTCCAATTCTATTGCATATGAAAAGTGTAGAAATGCTGGGAAGTTTGTTAATTGCTAAAAGTTGAAGGAGGGACAGTTTCCATGGCAACTTCTTCAGTAACCCATGCTCTGATATTTCAGAAGGATATTCTTTGCTGAGCTGTGAATGCAGTATTAAGAATTCAATCAAATCTTCAGAATGTGAAGAGCAATTGCTAAAGAAAATCATTAGCCCTGTGCACAGTTAGACCAAACAGCTGGCTGGGTCTGGGCTGTCCCGTATTGAGTCAGCCTTACCTGTCCACTAATCAAGGCGTTGCCTTCTGGACGTAGTCCTTGGTGAGTCTGCTAGCCGTCTGGTTTTGGTCATCCCTATGAAAGTCTTAGGAAAGGCAGTAACAGGTTGAGCTGTCTTTGATTGAGTTAGATTCATGACTGAATATCATTAGGGTGTATTCCTTTAATCTGTATGTGTTGGGAAATGATTTGTGTGTCTGAAGAAAGTAAGCAACATATAAATTTTGTCTAAAAGGCCGCATTTATGCTGTAATAATTTTCTCGTTTTTCTTTTAAATAAGGGGACAAACCAGGGCCTGACATTATCTTGTAATAACGAGTACTGAGCATAGAATTTTATGTGTCCATGTCTGTGCCTTCATGAATTGTCAGATTCTACAGACATGACCTGAAAGGGAGATCTTTTATCTCCCATGTTTTCAAAGATGAAACCCATCTACATGTGAATGAGATGATATAAAATTATTTTCTTCAAACATTTTTGGGTACTTACATTTTCTTACTGATCTTCTCGACTAGATTTTGTGCTTTGTAGGGTTGTGCACGTATAAAGTACTGAAGTATTTATGGATTTTATAATATGTTGACTCATTTTCTGGTTGAATTTATATTTTCAAAAATTATTAAATTATATTAAAGGAAGAGAAACAATCATCTTGCATTATTGCTAATAGTCAAGTAAACATCAATCTCTAAATGAGCGTGTTAAGTATAGTACATATTTGCTTGCCTAGCACTATGCCATAGGGATCAAAAGGAAATGTAGGAAATGATGCCTGCATCGTTTAAGTTGCCCAGTCTGATTTTATAACCTCTTATTCATAGTTGAAAAGCAATATGACGTGAATTTAATTAGGTTTTCACTTAACAAGGCAGTCTACTCCGTTTTTTTCATTCATTCTGTTTTCTCGTGTTAGATGGCATTTCTGATATTTATAGTCTTTGGTCATTCCCCTACCCAGGTTTTCCAATTTTATAAGGTGTCATTTCTGGAGCAAGGTATAATTTAACCCTTACCTACCCTTAGGACACCATATGATATAAATTAACTTATCCTGACTTCCATAACCACAGAAGGGAACCTGCTTGGAGGCAGGGTCTCACTGTCACCCAGGCTAGTTCTGACCAGTTAACTTGGTTGGGAAAATGGGGACATATTGACGGAAGAAATCCTTTTAAAACCAGTCAAGCCTCCAGTAAGTTTCAAGAAATAGGAAGAAAAATGTAGTGTTCATTACATGAATATGAAAATCATCTATGATTATGCCTTTCTGATGTCTGTTCAGAATCTCAAGGAGGGGAGAAGAAAGAAAAAAAAAAGCCCCCCCGCCCCGCCAGCTACAGCCTTGACAACTATCAGAATTGCACAGGAGGCCAGGCGTGTAATCCCAGTACTTTGGGAGGCCGAGGTGGGTGGATTGCTTGAGCTTGGGTGTTCAAGACCAGCTTGGGCAACATAGCAAAACCCTGTCTCTACTATATATATGTGTATATATATATATATAAAAATTAGTCGGGTGTGGCAGTGTTTGCCTGTGGTCCCAACTATTCAGAAGGCTGAGATGGGAGGATCGCTTGAGCCTGGGAGGTGGAGGTTGCAGTGAGCCAAGATCCGAGCTACTGCACTCCAACCTGGGTGACAGTGAGACCCCGCCTCCAAAAAAAAAAAAAATCTGTATGGTAACTTCAGTTGGGCCTGCCTCTGCTCACCCGCCCATCTTTAGGAAGCCAGTCTTAGAAAGACAGTGGCTGGCCAGAGGCCTCCCTCCCCAACACTCCTTTCCCCCAACACTCCTTTTTCAAACTTCTGTGGTTATGGAAGTCAGGATTTGAAAAGAGATTTAGCAATGTTTTTCTCATTCTGTAGTGGTTTTCTTTTTCCGGTTGAAGAGGCTATCCTCTTGGCCTTCATGAAGTAGGTTTTACCACAGCGTTGAAAGTGAAGTATTAAAATATAAGCTGATAAGAGCAAGGAAGTTTACCAGAAAAATTTCAGTTCACATAGGGCCAAGTAGGTTATTGAGTCGTGCATTCTTTTTGAGTGGTAGGAAATAGAAGAGAGCCTTGGAGAAGCATTTTCTTACCTGACTTTAGTTCATCTCTGTTTATCTAAGAAATTTCAAATATTCCAGTCTAAGAGATTTGAAATTCTGTCAAATTTAAGGAGACTGTCTTTCAGTCTCTGAAGTATAGTTATTTAATTGATTAAAAGGTATTATAGATAAACAAAAATATTTTTTATGGATATGTGTATACATACAGTGGAATATTATTCAGCCTTAAAGAAGGAAATTGTAGACTGGGCACGGTGGCTCACACCTATAATCCCAGCACTTTGGGAGGCTGAGGCAGGCAGATCACGAGGTCAAGAGATTGAGACCATCCTGGCCAACATGGTGAAACCCCATCTCTACCTAAATATGAAAATTAGCTGGGTGTGGTGGTGTGCGTCTGTAGTCCCAGCTACTCAGGAGGCTGTACCCCGTCTCTCCTAAAAATACAAAAATTAGCTGGACATGGCGGTGTGCACCTGTGTTCCCAGCTACTCAGGAGGCTGAGGCAGGAGAATCCCTTGAACCCGGGAGGCGGAGGTTGCAGTGAGCCGAGATCGCACCACAATACTCCAGCCCGGTGACAGAGCAAGCCCATCTCAAAAAAAAAAAAAAAAAAAAGAAGGAAATAATGCTACAACACGGATGAACTTTGAGGACGTTATACTAAGTGAAAGAAGCCAGCCAGAAACAGAAAGACAAATATTTCATGATTCCATTTATATGAGGTACCTAGAGTAGTCAAATTCATAGAGGCAGAAAGTACAATGGCGGCTGCCAGGGGCTGAGGGAGGGGGCAATAGGGAGTTAGTGTTTAATGGACACAGATTTTTAGTTTTTTGAGATGAAAAGAGTTCTGGAGATGAATGTGGTGATGATTGCAGAACAATGAGTATATTTAATGCAATTGAACTATAGGCTTAAAAATGGTTAAGAGGGCAAATTTTATTTTGTGTGTATTTTACCACAGTTTTTAAAAATGTTTATTGAGCACCTGTTCTTTGGTTCCAGTTGAGCTCCAATGACTGAAACAAAGGCCCTCAGCCTTGAGGGAGCTGACAGGTGAGTTAGAGGTGAGCATGTGATGCTGCTGGAATAGGGAACACAAGGTCATTGTCATGGATTAGGATGCTCTGGTCCTCAGTGCAGGTGAACTTGAACCTAGCCATGAAAAAGCACCAGAAATGGCTCTCTTTGTAATTTTCACTTCTCCCCAGCTTCCCCTCCCAATATGTAGTGCTGCCCCACTGCTGCATCCCAAAGCCAATGCCGTGGATCATTTTAACCGGCTGCTGCTTTAACTGGTTTGTCTTCTGCTCTTTTCCTAAATCCAGCTCTGCTCCTCCTCCTTGGTCTGCACTTGTAAGGCCTTTATTTGATGTGCATGTATCTCCCATTTTATAGCCCACATCATTTTTCATCTTGGACTATAAATTCAGAGAAGATGTGGGCTATGCACTTTGACCTTCACAGCACCCAGCACAGTAAACCATAATGAATGTTTTGGATGAGGATGAGGCTCTGAAGTTGGAAGCTGACATGGCTAATGCCTATTTAATTGAAGGTTATTAATGCCTCTTTAGCAGTGAAGGCTAGATAGTCTTCTGTTTACAGCAGAGAAGGAACAAGCCCTCAAGCTTTTTCCAGTGGTCTCAAAGAATTCTCTGTCAGGTGTTGCCCCAGTACACACTGACCTGAACTTAGCATCCCGGAGAATGAAAGGGACAGTTGGGGCAGTGGGGCAGCTTCCCCCCGAGAAGACAAGCGTCTTCTCCTCTGGGTTCATGGTTCCCAGGTGGGAATTCAGGGCGGGGGTAAGTCAGAATATTTATGTTCTAGTTCAGCTTATTAAATATGAGATTTTCCATCTCTTAGTGAATAGAGTTTGCCTTCTGTCCAGCATGATAGTTCTAAGTAGGGCGACCATATGTCCCAGTTTTAATACCTATTTGCCTGGATTAATTATTAATAGCTCCCCCTTTAAGAGTGCCCTGGTTTGGATGATAAATATTATTGCTATCCTTGTTACAAGGGGGAACATATAGAGAGGATAGTTATACAGGGGAAGGTGGGGAGAAAGAGGGAGGGGAACTTAGGCAGGCTGCTGGAGATTCAGAAGATAAGGAATGTGAGAAATAGCTGTGTAGTCAAACATTTAGATGTTTTTTGGATGGAAAAAATTATTTGGCTTTTAAATGATAAGCTAGTCTAATAAGTTAGGATTTGAAAGTCTTGATCAAAGGGAGATTTTATTTTATCAGTCATAGTATAGGATCTTTTAGTGCAGGTTAACAGGTTAATGTGTATACTCAGAGCTTCAGGTATTTTATGGCTAAAGACAAAAGACTTTAATGTACAAATATGTGTATATATCTCACATTTGTTTCTTTAACTATGAAAATGAACTTAGTCTGTTTAAAATCCTGTTTTTATTTGCATATGTATTTAACTTAGATAATGGTGTAATGGATATTCAATATTGATTAACCTTAGGTATGAGGAAAAGCCACATTGGTAATGAAGGAAATTAGGTAGGACCATATTAATTCCTTCATATTTGTTAAGGGAACATCATGTAATCTGAACAAAATAAGTGTTTTATAATCAGGTGTTATTTTGGAATTTTTATATTCAAAGTTTTTGTTTAAATCAGTTTGAGCTGGTTTTCGGTGAAGGAGTTGTATCAATATCACTTTAAATCAATGGAAAGTCTAAACATAGGGTGCTCTAGGGTTGCTCCATCAAGCAGCCCGGCAGTCTTAGCCGCATCCTGTGTCTTTCCATTTCTCTTTGGCGTCCCTGGTGTGTGCTTCAGCCTGAGCCAAATGCTCACCTTGCTCTGGGGAAGCCATCATATTTGAGTTTTTAAAAATCATAACAGTATGTGTATATGAGTGTGTATTATAAGTGCGTGTTCCTTGTGTACTTACAAATAAATTTATAATTTTTCAAAGTTATCTGGCGGTATTGCTTTACATTTTGAAAGAGCATTACAGTTTTAGAAATGACTATTTATGTCATTGGATCAGCAAACAATTTTACAGGATGCAGAAATTATCGATTGTATTCTGTATGTTAGTGACTTACTCGAGATGCTAGAGCTGTCAGAATGAACTTAGACTAAAACCCAGGTCTTCTGACTCTATGTCCATCACCCTACCCATGATATTGACTTGTAGATGTCTTGCCCAGTAAGTATATTTCAGAAAGAATTTTTCTTTTACAATTGCTTTTCTGTTTTGGTTTAATTTGATGTTGTCCTACAGTATTCCTTGTTAGGAAAAAAAAATAACCTCGGTGCCTTTGGGCTAATTGGATGTGTACTTACCTATCTGCAAAGTGTACTTACTGATGCAAAATTATCACCATCCTACCGGTATACCTTGATGGTGGTCTCAGTTCAAACATCCTTTTGACAACTCTGCCTCAGTTGCCGTCTCAGTACATTTGTACCATAGGAGCTTTTCTGTCTGTATTCTTTACCTCTTGTCCTTCCTGCTTGCTGACTGTCTTTTCTATTCTAACCTCCACTTAAAAGACTTATGCTCATCCTTCAAGAACTACCTGAAATGCTGCCGCCTCAATGATGTTTTCTCTGTTCGTTCTAGCGATCGCTCTTTTCTCTCTTGAGTTCCTGTAGTGCCTTGAATTTCTCTTCTGGCCCTTATCATACCCTGCTTTACACCACAGCCATTTGTCTTTATTATATTCCTCCCTACAAGATTGTGGTGAGCTTCTCAAGGGCACTGGCCATTTCTCATTCATCTTGGTGTCCCCACAGCACTTTGCACAGTGCCACATCCCTTGGAAACTCTGCAGTTCATTTTGTTTTAAATAAATGAATGGGTTTAGACATGGTTACACCCACTCATAAGATATGAGGTGATTGTAGATTTTTACAGCATATGGAGATTACAGAGAACCTTATATTGGTATAATTATCACCTGGTTTGTGCATAATTAAAAATGTAATTGTATATTTTTATGCAATAGGTTATCATGTACTGTTTTAAGTGTGTACAGTTTTTTATGGGCCTACCATTTAGTTAAATTGCATAGATGCTTTTTAGAATGCTACTGTGAAGAAGTGCAGAGTTGAGGTCGTTTTTAGAAGCTCAGTGAGTTGGCCCCTTTTGCTCTCTGTATTATCCTTTTAGGCTAAGCTGCAGCACAGCTGTCCCACCTGACTAGCTTTCCTCCTGTGGCTCTTATTGTCATTGCATTAGCTGAGAGAACAGGTTTTAAGATTTTTAACTCTTCTCTGCCTAGCCTAGGTTTCAGAAATATTTTAGAGGGTTTTTAGAAAGTCGAAATTCAGTGGATAAGACTTTTGATAGTTTTCAGGTTCTCTTTGTTTTATGTAACCTTCGGTTTTTAAAAATGTTTACATTTCACTCCATTTTCTTCTAATCCTGTAGATATGGGACTGGCCTAGGATCTGGCGTTTTAAATAATCTTTTCACTTCCCCTTCCCCCAACAAGGTAATTCTGATGTCAGGGAGACAGGGAAAAATTCACCTCGAGAAACACCATGACAGGTCAGTATTGGGGAATGAGGACTTGAGATTTGCCTTTCAAAATGAGTAAGGTTTAAGTGGATGGAGAGGAGATGATTTCCTTGTGGAGGTAAGAAATGGAGCAAAGTCTAAGGTGAGAATGAGCACGTAATATTAGGAGAGAAGGAGGGCAAGGAGGATGCTAACCAGCTTTCAGTGGAAGATTATTTTAGAGCAATGTTCTCAAACTGTGGGTACATTAGAAGTGTACCATGGGCTTGTTAAATAGCCACATTCCTGCCTTCCACCCCGACCCTGAAATTGCTTGTTTGGGCATTCTGTGGGCTTAGGGTGGTGGCCTGGGCGTCGGCATTTCTAACAGACATCCAGCTGAACTTGGTGTGATGGAATCCCTGCTTTATGGAATAAAAGAGGGTCTGCTGACAAGGCAGCAGGGACTGCATTTTGGCAGTCCTTACTGTGTTAGATGAGGTTTCGGAGTTAAGATGGGGACACTAGAACTCTAGCTGGGAAATCAGGTGCAGGGATGCTGCATAATCCCCTGAGGTGATGCGTGCAGCGAGGCAACAGCAGTCAGGCTCTACAGGGTAGAATTTATTCTCAGAAGAAGGTATAGACCGCTGACAAAGGAGTTCACTCCTCTGTAAACTGTTAAGGAATTGCAAAGAAATTTTCCATTTGTAATCTGCTGACATATTTTAGAAAGGTAGCCTCCTTAATCCACCCCTCTAAAGACCTGATGGTGGTCCCTCACAGGTATCCAAAGTAGCCTTAAATCAGAGACTGGTCTAGTTGGAGGATGTGACTTGGAATCTATGAACCCTGGATGTACTTGAGGGCAACTCACTTGAAACTTTGGAATTTCATGTGGATGCATGTTTTCTGGAGAGAGGTCCTAGAGTCTTGACCATATTCTCAGACATGCCCTTACTTGGATTTAGGATAAGATGATTTAGTACTTGGCTCATTGGGTGGCTGGCTTTCTCTCTCCTCTCTTTTTTAAAAACCCAGAACAAATTCCTATTAGTGAAAAAGAAACAATAGCTTGAAGAACAAAGAAGGCCCCAGACCATAAGATAGAATGATAGAAGAGCCCTAGATTTTCCAACAGATGACCCTCCCTTTATTTTTGCTTGGGTGGGTGTGCCATTATTAATAATAAGCCAGGGGAATAGGGGATTGAGAAGCTCTTCGTAGAATGTGTAATGAATTTTTCTGTTCCTTGTGGAGCAGTTTCAGTGGTTTCAGCTGAAGTACACAGAGAGGGCTATGTTAACAGTAAGGAGGTGAATTACTAGTTATTGCTATCAAGTTTGGAGCTGGGGAGAAAGCGGGTGTATGAAACAGGACCATGTGTGAATGGATTTCTCAAGTGTTTCATTAAAGATCCGTCAGAACGGTTAGCACTCTAACCATGCTTCAGTCTCTGGCTTCTGATTCCTTTGTGGAATTAAAAATGCTTTTGGGAAGAGGGGCTAAACAAGCCTTTTGTCTGAATTTCCATGTATTGATTAATGGACCCAGCAGAGCATCCTGCTGTGAATTCTGTCTGCTGATGGTAACTCTTACAATGAGCAAAGCTTTTCTGAACTGGCATTTTCCACTCAGCCTGTAGGCTGCTGTATTGGGTGTGACAATTTTTTAAAAGCCATCATGCTAGAATGAAAATGAGCCATTTCTAAATGGCCTATTGATTTGCAAAACCTTTTTGTGTTGGATTGAATGGTTTCATATCTCAGCTGAGGGAAAAAGATGCAGGCTATTTTTAATTTATTGTTATTTTATCTTAAAGATTTGAGTTGACAACGTTTTGGTCATGATGTTTACCTACTGTTGAAAGGTCTACTTGCATGTCATGACTTGATAATAAATGTAAAACTCTGGTTCATTAGCTTACACTATAAAAGAGTTCTACAGCTCCACTTACAGTGTGAGCCACAGTCAGTAAATATGGATCCAGAAGTCCTAATTATGACTCAAGCTCACCCATAAACTTGGGGACCACCTTCGCACCAACGCTGTCCACTGGGCTATTTATGGAAGAAGCCACTAGGAACTGTTAGGCGGCTCCATGTGTCTGGCTAACAGGGTCTTTATTCATTCACCTCATCACGGTATTCAGTCTTGATGCTAGTGTGCACGCTTCCTAAGAATTACAGATGGGAATAAAAGGTGTCTGGGTATACCTGGGGAGTATATGTTTTTGCCTGCTGATATAGGATACTAGGGTAGCTTGTATGCAAAAGCATGAGCGTCTAGGTTTAAAGGATTCTTTTTGTTAATATCTGAGTTGACTTGGTATGGATCCTTGTTTGATTTTTTTTTTTTTAAATTTTTATGTATGTATGTATTTGCTTTTGAGACAGGGTCTTGCTCTGTTGCCCAGGCTGGCATGCAGTGGCATGATCACAGTTCACTGCAGCCTCGACCTCCTGCTGCTCAAGTGATCCTCCCACCTGAGCCTCCCAAGTAGCTGGAACTACAGGCGCACACCACCACACCTGGCTAATTTTGTTTAATTTTTTGTAGAGATGGTTTTGCTATGTTGCCCAGGCTGGTCTCAAACTCCTGGGCTCAGGCCATCCTGCCTGCCTCAGCTTTCCAAAGTGCTGGGATTACAGGCGTGAGCCACCACGCCAAGTCCTTGATTGATTTTCTTAACCCCTTGATGGCAGCTTTTGTAGATGTTTCTTACTTCCAACAATAATAATAATGATAAATAATAAACATAGTTGAAATATCTACTATTTGCTAGGTGGAGCAATTTCAGTGGTCTCAACTGAAGTAGCTGATTTTTGTAAAATGCAGAAATTAAAATCAAAATGAAAAACAGGATGGTTTTCCCAGCCTCTCTGTACAATTTTGATTAGGGTACAGTTACAGGTTGGGCATCCCAAACCCAAAAATCTGAAATGCTCCAAAATTCAAAACTTCTTGAGCACTGACATAATGCACAAAGGAAATGCTCACGGGAGCATTTTGGATCTCAGATTTTCAGATTTGGGATTCTCAACTGGTAAGAATAATGCATACATTTCAAAATGTTTCCCCAGACATGAAGGGTCAAAGAGAAAGTTCATTCTAAGAGTCACAGATGCTTTTTGCTGCAGATAGATGATATGATTCATCTTGACAGAGGGATTCTTCTCTAATCTGCAGACAGGAGTGAGCAAAGTGCCACCTTTTCACTTGTTTTAAACCTGTACTTTACTCCAACACTTCAGTATCTCCTTTTTCTCTTCTTGAAGTGGCATGAATCTTAGGGAAAGGTGAGGAGCTCCTAGAAGTAGCTGTCACCAGAAACGGGCCAATGAACTTCCTGGTCCAAGTCTTCTGTTTAAACTCCCAGTTTTAACATTGAGCGTCTGCTTTGCAATGAACATGAAACAAGGAATTTGCAGCATTGAGGGTCGTACGCTTCACTGACTTGAGGTCAGTGTTGCTGGTAAGTAGGCCTATGGCAGTGAAAAAGCTTTGACCCCAATTCCGTGGGGGACAGAACTTCCTAGAGCATTCTAGAAAACAGGGTACACGTGGAGTAGATGCCATATTCAGTGCGATTTTGCAGCATAATGTTGTGTTGTGGAAACTTCCCTCTTACCACTGTGCCCCAGTAAATTGAACTCGAAGGTGCCTCTGTACCTTTTGTCTCTTGTATAGGAAATTATATCTGTCAGAAACATTTCTTAGGTAATCTGAGTATAGGAATCTAAAAACTGAGTACTCTTGTACTAAAATGAGACACCAGTTTCTCAGGAAAACTTAAGGAAAGCATGTTATTTAAAAACAATTTTGAATATTTCTAAACTTTCTCCTTTGCATTTTTTTCTCCAACCAGAGGCCTTGGCTTAGATAAAATAAACTAATAAAATCTTTTTTTCTTTTCTTGTTTCCTGTTGTTGAATGACAACCTCCCTGAGCAGCCTGGTGGCTTGGAGGCTCTGATGTGAAGTATAGAATAGGTGGAGGGCGAATAACAAAAGCCTTATCATGTAGATAGCCCTGAAATGGGACCACAGTCTTTATCTTTGAGAACTGTCCAGTGACTGCTGCAAACTGGGCAGCTCTTTTGGAAATGAGCAGTCTCTGATACAGCTGGTAGGTAGAACCAATTTGGCCCCTAATAGGCTAACTGGAGCCAGTAGTTTAAGGGGGTGATTATTAATTTGCCTTGTGTTTGTCTTCATTTAGAGTAAGTTCATCAGGCTATGTTTTCATGGTACCTTGCATCAAGGAAAATGTGGTTCTGTAAGTCTTCATATCAGTTTCTCTTCGAGAGTAGGAGTAATAATGCATATATGTTTGCATATTTCCAAATGCCTTTGTTTAGGGACTCAATAAGTATTTACTATTAAATTTGATTTTTTAGTTGAATAAACATGTTTTAAACAAAAATTATTTCCTAATTTTGACTCAGAGCCTAGAAACTGTTATAATGTGTGGCATATACACTTCTTTTTTGGCTAAGAGTAGAGTTAGAATCTACTTTCTAATTCATCCATTTTGAACGTTGAACCTGAAATCCAGCTCATCTTTAAGATTGTTGTATCTGCTAGGTTTGGAATTTTAAACTTGGAATTTTGGGGTCTCCTTGGTGGTGTATAGTACTTCCAGATATAGACAGCATAGATGGGTCTCTTAGCTCATCTGAAAATGGGAGCTCAAAATTTTTTCAAAGATCTCATATTTACAAATGAATAAGTATAATGTAAAATGCAAAAATGAAAATCAAAATGAAAACAGGGTGGTTTTCCTAGCCTCTCACTAGGATTTTGATTAAAATACAGTTACAGGTTGGGGTTCCAAAAATCCAAAAATCTGAAATGCTCCAGAATTCAAAACTTTTTGAGCACTGACGTGACACACAAAGAAATGCTCACGGGAGCATTTTGGGTCTTGGATTTTCAGATTTGAGATTCTCAGCTGGTGAGGATAATGCAAATATTGGAAAATGTGAAAAAATATGAAATCCAACACACTTCTTGTCCAAAGCATTTTGGATAAGGGACACTCAACCCGTTTAATCCAAGCACTTGGTGGAGAATGTTGACAGTCACTTTCAGAGGTAGACAAATTCCACTGGCAAGTTTAATGACTGATGGTATTATTATTGTTAACTCACACTTGTGTCAAAGGTGCTTGTGACATAGGGAGTTTTGCTCTCTCCAGCATGTCCATTGACTTGAGCTGGTTCCCGCTCAACACACAGACCTCAGGGCCCTGGGGAAATAACTTAGGCAGCCCAAACAAGACCCCTGACCTCTGCTGTATAGGCAGATTTCATTAGCAAATCAGAAATGTTCTATTTAAAGTATATTACAGTGATTCATTGTAGATTAACTCACAAATCAAGACAGACCAGTGCCCTTTTGTGATTATTTTTCATCAGCCTCAGGAGCCTCTAGAAGCCTCCTGTGGAGGTCTCACGCATGGGGTGACAGGAGTCAAAGTGCTTCCTGCTGATGGGTGTCCTGATTTTTTTCTAGGTCTAATAGTATCAGCTGTGGGTTCCTTCCTGTAGTCTTTGTGATCATCTGACTGGCAAGGTCTCCAGGTATCCACAGCTCACAAGTTACTATTGGCGAGGGCTTGGAACTTGCCTCCTGCCCAGCCAGTGATAGCATGTTCATGCAAGTCCCCACTGGCCAGCAGGGCTGCTGGAATAGTAGATGGCTCTCCCTGGGGAGTTCTGCCTGGTTCAAGCATCATTACCGTGGGGAGGATTTCTTTGACCCACACCTAGTCTAGGCAGGTGGTGCAAGTGCAGAGACACCTGTCACAGCCTTGCTGTGGGTTGCATCACATTCCTCCTAAAAGCTCCAAGAAGTTCACTTCTCACTCACTAAGTGGGATTGAGAGAAAACCTGCCTGTAGTTACAATTTTCCTAATCGAAACTCACCTCTTTTCAGTAGGACAGTACAAAACAGGCTACTTTCTCAGTAAATAATTACTAATAACTAACACTGATATACTGCCTGTTTACTATGTGCCAAGTACCTATTCCAAGCATTCTGTGTATTTTAAGTCATTGAATCCTCCCAGCAATCTCATGAGACAGGTATACTATTATTAGCCCTAGTTTACAGGCGAAGAAACCGGAGACAGAGCAGTTCAGTAACTTGTCCAAGGTCTCCAGTCCAGTGGAACCTGGAATAACTCATCCAGCTCCAAGGCCCACCTCCTCACCTGTCATGCCTCTCATCACCAAATGCAAGCTAGTTTCAGGGTGGTTAATTTTGGAGCTGATGAGCTTTACAGGTGATTGAATTTAATCATTTATGAGAGTAGGCAGGTAGGATATGCCAAGAAAGAGATCTTACTCAGTAAGTTTGGCAGGCCTCCATATTTTGGGCCTTTCTTTGCTTCCCCCTGTGATCCCAATGAACTTGGGTACCAAGTCTTCTTGTTCCCATTACCCTTTTCTTGGAATAGATTTTCTCAGATAATCTCCATCTTTCTCCCAATCTCCTCTTCCTTCTTCCTTTTTCTTAAACAGGATGAGCCTGTTTACTGCTGGGGGCAGGGTATGTATCCCCATGAGTCAGGGGCTTGATTGGTAGGGGAGGTGAGTGTTCATGCTGCGTCCCTAGACATCTTGAATGTCCCCCAATTTGAGCAAGTAACACATCACTTAGTTCTGCAACAGAACCAGCCACACATTGGTGTGTGTTTGGCTTGCCTCTGATTTGATGTTGCTCTTTTCTCACGAGGCTTGGACAAAACTCCTGCTTTACTCAAATCTTGTTTGAGTTAATATCTCAGCCTCCAGGTGAAATGAGGAATGAAATACAGATTTTAGTATCTAATATAAAACCATAACTTGTTTTTACTCTGAGCTCCATCTTGGGACTATATTCTATCCAGAGGCCCTGAGGAACTTCTCTCCCTCCTTTGTTTTGATTTATTAAAGTTCTTGAATTATATCCCATGTTATTGATCTCAGCAAATGTGGGTTTCAAAATTGAGAGAGAAGTAAATCGTGCTGTGTTGTTACTGTGCGTTTGGCTGAATTCTGTTCAACCTCTAAAGGAAAGGAAATATATCATGCTGCAGTCTTTTAACATAAAATCAGTTTACACTTTGCCATTCTAAAAAATTGATCAGTTCAATACATTTGATAAGTGCCGCAAGTAAGGATTTACTCTGATTCAGTATCATTGTCAAGTCCTAAATTTTACTTAAATTTTTTTAACTTACAAGCTGTCTTCCTCTAAATTTAGGATGGAAGGGGACAAAGAAGTTTTTAGATTTTTGTCACTGATTTATAGCATGTAATTAAGGTCATTTTGTACTATTTTGAAGCTCCATTTTGTTTCTTGGTTATGTTGTTCTTAGAAGGAATACTTTAAAATTGTTGAGTGTATTTAGTTAATGTTTCATATAAAATGGTATCTACTTCCCCTCCCCCAGGTTAGGAGACTCTGAATGATGAAATTCCTCTGAATTATCTTGAAGTATCTTCTTAGAAAGTAATGTTTCTCCAATTCATTAAGCTACTAAGAGTTTTCTGGTATTGAATGAAAAAGAATTGTAGGTATTTCAGGAATTCCTGAATAGCTGTTTTATAACCAGACTGATGAAAAGAAAGCCATTTTAGATGTGGGGTTGTATGTAATAAAAGTTTCAAATTTTAAAAATAACACAGAAATCTGACATTTATTTTAGAAAGTGCCTTTTTTACATTGAGGGAGAAATTACCGAAAGGCATAAAATAAGTTTTATCTGATAAATATTTAAAATAGAAATGTGTCTGTGAGGTATAACTTTTTAAAAGACTCAACCCCCACAAACCAGTATTTCTGTTGATATTAATTTTAGAAAAGATTAATTACAAGTATTCAATTTTGATGCTGATCTATAAAATATATATTCTAATTATGCAGGCTCTATGTGAAAATGCATTCTTATTGGATTTTAATATTGTTTTATTTTGATTTTAAAAATAATTTTGAAGATACCTACAGCATATTGTAAGTATAAATGGCTCAGAAGTTAATACATTTTAAGATACATTTTCAGAAAATTACAGGTTTTTTTTTTTTTTCTTTTAAGTCCACAACTAAGTTTGATTGCTTTAATATCTTCCTCTTAGGAAGAGATAAGGGTAATGGGAAGTTGTAGAGATAAGCTAAACTTATACCAACACTAGTTTGAGAGCCATTCGATTTTTTTTTTCTTGCTATTTTTTGGCAACAAGAACCGCACACACCAGTAGCAGAGTAGATAATACAACCATTTATCAACCTTAAAGAACCACAAGTGTTATTCTTTATGCTTTATTACTTTGCTTCAGAATATTGCCTTTAGACTGTGAAATTGTACCCCTGTTTATTTACGATTTTTATTTAAAGATTTTTTTTTTTGTTTTGGAGACAGGATCTCACTCCAGTTGCCCAGGCTGGAGTACACTGGCACAATCTCGGCTCACTGCAGCCTTTACCTCCTGGGCTCAGGTGATTCTCCCACCTCAGCCTCCCAAGTAACTGGGACTTTAGGCATGCCATGCCCAACCAGTTTTTTTGTTGTTTGCTTTTTGTTTTGGTATTTTTAGTAGAGACGGGGTTTCACCATGTTGCCCAGGCTAGTCTTGAACTCCTGGAATCAAACAATCTGCCTTGCTTCAGCCTCCCAAAGTGTTGGGGTTACAGGTGTGAGCTACTGTACCCGGCCTAATTTTATATAAAGATTCTTAATCTGTCTGTCTGGTTTGGACTTAAGCTCTCTGTATAATAAAGTAATTGATAAGATGATATGCAGTTCTGGATTTATGCCAGATACATGTTTTATAAGAAATTTTACATGGTAATTACTTAAAATATAAGATTCTGGTGTATTGAAATACGTATTTGAGTAGCCTGCCATTTTAAAGTTATAATGCAAGTTAACTTCTAAATTTTAATAAAATTTTGAGTTTTGTGAATACCGTTTTCTTCAGCAAAGCTCAAGTATTAGGCTATTCGTGTAAAACTATTATATCTTTGGGCACATGTTTCTTAATATGATTTTAAAAGGAAAAAAAGTAGGTTTTAAGCAGGTCATGGTTTATGTTCCAGCATTTAGTTAAAAAAAAAAGACCTCTAATCTTATAATGCTGTTAATTTGCTGAACACTTTATCTTTGCAGATCAATTTCACATACTTTTATCTGGTTCATTTTTCACAGCCTTGCTCCGAGTGAGGTGTTCTTATCATCAGTTGACAATGATGGGACAGAGATGGCTCAAGGATGTTGGGCACCCAGGGGTGGTTGAACTGGCAGTTACGACTTGATCCAGGTTATCTGATTTGGGATCCAGTCTGCTTTCTCCTAGGTCACAGAAGCCTTTTGATTTTGTTTTTCTTCTTTTTTAATGTTAAGACAGGTAACTGACTAGGGCTGCAGGTCTGGCGGCTGCTTGTTTTGGGTTGGTCTTCAAACCCTGTTGTTCCCTGACATCCTGCCTTCAGCACAGGTTGCTGTACAGCTTTTCCTGTGGGCCCAGCTCCTCCCTCCAGGGGCCTTTCTTTGCAGAAGCTGCTCTTTCTGCCTGGAACTCTGTTCCCTTTCCTTGTTTCTCTTCCTTTCCTTCTTCGAATTTAAGCCTAATTACCCTCCACGTCAGCGCTTCCTCCCACCTTCCCCACTGTATACTCTCCAAACTCCATCCACTTCCCTCTGCTTGGAACTCTTTTTCTGCAGTGTATTTTTGTGGCACTTGAGTGGCTTTGTCCTTAGACTAAGTTCTGGGAGGATGGGATCTTTTGCCAGTTTTTTACCCATTGTATTCTCAGCCTTAGCAGGATGCCTCATACTTAAGAGGTACCCACATATTTAGGTGGATGGATGGATGGATGAAAGAATGAATAATGCCGATTCTTTCATTATATGGACTTTGTTTCCTTTCTTAGACCATTGGAATCAGCTGATCGTCTAGCACTTGGCTAGATTTGAACAAATTAGGAATCCTATGTTCTGTTTAGTTCCAACTCCAATCAATTAACCAATATTTATTGAGTGAGAGGCAGAATGTGAAGCGCTGTATCTCTGTTGTCTTCTCTGTTTCTCTCTCTTAGCATTTTTTCATGTTTACAGAGCATCAAGCATGATTCAAGTAGTTGCTGGAAGCCGCCAGGTCAAAGTGTGCAGAGAACAAATACCAGTATGAGGGGAGCTACATAAACATATGCACACATATTAAACATAAGCTATGTCATCTGTAGAATTTAATAAACTAGGCTAGATTTAAAATCTTTCCCTTTGATGTGTAATACGTCATGGTTTTGAACATTTTCAGAAAATGGGGCCACTTCTCAGTTACTCCAGATAAAACTTACTCTTCAAATATGACAGCATTTTCTTCACCAATGTATTTTCTTCACTCATTTTTCAAAATCCCTTTATTGACCCTGGGTGCCAGATGAGTGCAAGTTGGGGCACCCATACAAACCCACATTTTAAACTTCTTTGTTTGTTTCAGGGAAGGTTTGAAATAGTGTAAATTTTCTCTTAGTCCAAGAATAGGCTATTTCCAGCCTGAGCTATAGTACCTTGTTAAACTCAGTGAAAGCTACACCTTTCAACTTCGTAAGCTTGGTTGCCAAAATGTAGTTCGTTTGGAATGAATTATTAGAATATCACACACACACACACACACACATACACACACACACACACACATTCAAATGTGATTATCTACTGGAAAGTCAGTAGATAAATCAGTTGACTAGAAAGTTTATGGTTTGGATTATTTTTGTAATGTTATTTCATATTTCCCACCCTTATATTCCCCTCTTTGGGAATGATAATTTGAGAAGTTAGCTATGTATTAGCCTTAGTAAGAAACTGTATTATGTTTATCAGAGAATGAAACGAAACAAATTATTCCTCCTCTTTTAGCTACTCCCCTCCCCCGCCCCACACACTTTTAACCAGTTTTAGGATTTTATTAATTAAATACTTTGCCACATGTCTGGTCAGTTGGTGTCTTTGTATAAGAATGGTACCACTTCCTGGTACCAAAACAGAGATATAGATCAATGGAACAGAACAGAGCCCTCAGAAATAACGCCGCATATCTACAACTATCTGATCTTTGACAAACCTGACAAAAACAAGAAATGGGGAAAGGATTCCCTATTTAATAAATGGTGCTGGGAAAACTGGCTAGCCATATGTAGAAAGCTGAAACTGGATCCCTTCCTTACACCTTATACAAAAATCAATTCAAGATGGATTAAAGACTTAAACGTTAGACCTAAAACCATAAAAACCCTAGAAGAAAACCTAGGCAGTACCATTGAGGACATAGGCATGGGCAAGGACTTCATGTCTAAAACACCAAAAGCAATGGCAACAAAAGCCAAAATTGACAAATGGGATCTAATTAAACTAAAGAGCTTCTGCACAGCAAAAGAAACTACCATCAGAGTGAACAGGCAACCTACAAAATGAGAGAAAATTTTTGCAACCTACTCATCTGACAAAGGGCTAATATCCAGAATCTACAATGAACTCAAACAAATTTACAAGAAAAAAACAAACAACCCCATCAAAAAGTGGGCGAAGGACATGAACAGACACTTCTCAAAAGAAGATATTTATGCAGCCAAAAAACACATGAAAAAATGCTCATCATCACTGGCCATCAGAGAAATGCAAATCAAAACCACAATGAGATACCATCTCACACCAGTTAGAATGGCAATCATTAAAAAGGCAGGAAACAACAGGTGCTGGAGAGGATGTGGAGAAATAGGAACACTTTTACACTGTTGGTGGGACTGTAAACTAGTTCAACCATTGTGGAAGTCAGTGTGGCGATTCCTCAGGGATCTAGAACTAGAAATACCATTTGACCCAGCCATCCCATTACTGGGTATATGCCCAAAGGACTATAAATCATGCTGCTATAAAGACACATGCACACGTATGTTTATTGCGGCATTATTCACAATAGCAAAGACTTGGAACCAACCCAAATGTCCAACAATGATAGACTGGATTAAGAAAATGTGGCACATATACACCATGGAATACTATGCAGCCTTAAAAAATGATGAGTTCATGTCCTTTGTAGGGACATGGATGAAATTGGAAATCATCATTCTCAGTAAACTATCGCAAGAACAAAAAACCAAACACCGCATATTCTCACTCATAGGTGGGAACTGAACAATGAGATCACATGGTCACAGGAAGGGGAATATCACACTCTGGGGACTGTGGTGGGGTGGGGGGAGTGGGGAGGGTTAGCACTGGGAGATATACCTAATGGTAGATGACGAGTTAGTGGGTGCAGCGCACCAGCATGGCACATGTATACATATGTAACTAACCTGCACAATATGCACATGGACCCTAAAACTTAAAGTATAATAATAAAAAAAAAAGAATGGTACCACTTCTTGCTGAACAGTATTTTTATCTCTTTGATGACTTTCCCTTGAACCAAGAACACACTGTTTTGTAGCAGGAAGATCCTATAACTCTATGCTGAGTATTTTTGTTTTTTAAAAGAAGATACATAAGTACTGGAGGAACACAGTGCGTTAAACTTATCCTGAGGATAGATGTTAGGGTGTGTCTAACCCATGTCTACATTTAGGGTACTTTGTAAATAAAGCCCATAATTGGTACACATGAGTAGTTAGAGCAGTTCTAATTGCATGAAACCTGTCTGAGAGAAGGATTCATTCTGTTCTTGGTGGTTGAGAAGATTATAAGTGTAGGGTAGAGCTGTGTGTCATTTAGAAATGTTTTGCTAGGGTTCAGACATGCTGCTTTTCTGGTGAGTGGATATAGGGTGAGAGGAAAGGAGCTGGATTTGCCCTGATTCTTGGGAAAGGAGAGGGGGTTGGGGATTCTGGCTCAGGGTCGGGGGTTCTGGCTCAGAGTTTGGGCATTGGGAGCAATGATTAAGCAGAGGAGTTGGCTTATGGTGTTTTGTGGCGTGCAGCTGATAGGCCTTCATGGATAGGTATGTTTCCTGTGTAGATGGTGGTCTTCAGTTACAGCCTTGCCATGGAGGAAATCTTTTTAAGGTAAACATACAACACAGAATTTCTGAATTTCACCGTCTGAGATAGTCTTAAGGTTCTCATAACTAAATGTCTATACCTAGTAAGTGCTTAGAAATATTTGTTGAATAAATGAATGGATGTGATTTTTAAATGAAATGTCTCTATAAATTGATATCTGTTTCTGAAGCATCTTAATGAATCAAAGCTTTGGAGCACCAATTCTTTCCATTGTAATCCCAACACTTTGGGAGGCTGAGGTGGGCAGATCATGAGGTCAGCCCCAAAGAGGGGAATATAAGGGTGGGAAATATTAAATAACATTACAAAAATAATCCAAACCATAAACTTTCTAGTCAACTGACTTATCTACTGACTTTCCAGTAGATAATCACATTTGAATATGTGTGTGTGTGTGTGTCTAATAATTCATTCCAAACAAACTCACAGATCATGAATGTAATAGTAAACTAAGTGATGCACGGTAGTAAAGAACCTCAATGAAAAATCTTAATGCAAATATTATTTTAAAAGTCACATTTAATTTCCAGATTATTTCATGGATTGCCAGTGGAGGAGCTGGCTTATTTTTAGACTGTTTTTACATGACTTAATGTAATTGGTGAGTAATTTTCTGCACAGTAATTTAATGAGTAAGTCATCTACTTTATGCTCAGTCTGGGCTGGGTGCTTGCTCTCTGGGATCTCCCTAAGGAGTACTGGTGGAAATGAGGTTGCCATATTTGACACAAGGGCCGATGGTGGCTGTGTGGGGTGTGATGACATGAGACAAGAGTGTCAAGGCTTGAATGTCCAAGGAGGTAAAACTTGAGGTGAGGCTTGAAAGATTTCAGATTTTAACAGTGAGAGGAGAAAGGAAGGAATTGCTAGATAATCTTCACTAACTTGGAGATTGAATAGTGAAGAGGGTGACCGACCTTGTTGGAGGTTGTCTGTTGTTAAAAGGTGGAAATGACATGATGTTGTGGGGCCAGGCAGAGGAATTGGGATTTACTAAAGTAAGTAGTAATAGGAAATCACTGCAGATTTCTGAAGAGAAGAGTGAAACTGCAGTTTAAAGAAGCTTGACTTGCTATGTTCATGAGTACTTCTCATGACACTGGTATAATTTGCTGCTTATATAGCCATATACCAGATACTGCCTCCAGTAGGTTTTGCTTCCTTCCCTTTTTAGTGGATTACCAGTGACGATTTAGTGATTCAACCTTTGTAAATATCAAGTTTTGTTTTGAGTTTTATACCTCTGTGAGTTATAGAGTGCAAGTAGGTCTTGTAGTCTCCATTCTCTAAGAAGGGAAATGAAACTCAAGAATTCTTCAGCAGAATTCTAACCAAGTGTGGAATCCATCCAGGAATAGTAAGCCAGCTTTTCTCTTCCACTTACTACTGAACTTCCTAATGTGAAATGAATTGTCTGTTTTGGAACAAAACACCTAGGCTAAATTTACATTTTTGAGTTTGTATTCTTGATAATTTGATCTTAAAATGACAAAATATCAATAATTCATTTGCCTCCTTAATTGTCAACTGATTTTTTAATAGCTGTAAAATGTAATTTACATACCATTCATCCATTTAAAAAGTGTCCAATTCAATGGTTTTTAGCATATTTAGAGTTGTGGAACCATCACTACAATCAATTTTAGAACTTTTTCATCACCTCCCTGAAAAACCTGTGTCCATTAGCAGTCACCCCTACCCCTACCCTGTCATTCTCAACCCTTTCCAGTCCTAGGCTATCACTAATCTAATTTTTGTCTCTATAGTTCAATTGGTATCTTTCTAAACTAGTATTTTACAAAATGTTACTCTGGATTTTGTTATCAGAAGATGGTTTCAGCCTCAGCTTGCTAGTACTATGACCTTGAGAAAATTTCTTAACTTTGTGAAATTTATCCCCATATCTGTAGAACATGAATAGTCATATCTTCACAGATTATTTTGACGATTAAAGGATATTTATGTGAAAGTGTATTAAGTGCTATATGAGTTAACTGTTCTACCAAAGATATGTAACTGAATTATTTTATTAAATGGTCTCATTTTAATCTTTTAAAATAGTTGGTGGAACATAATAAAACACATAATAAATGTTTGGATAGGAAAGGATGGAGTTTTATGTTTTTAAGGCGATGGTTTTATTATGTATGTGATTTTATGGTTTGACTTTTAAGATGGAAGGAGTTTTTCTGAATTTCCCTGGAGAACTTAATATAGTTGTACTTATATTATTTTTGGATCATTAAACCCTTTGAGAATCTAAGGAAAGCTATGTACATATACTTGATTTTCCAAAAAAAAAAAATCAAGAGGTTCATGGATCTTTAAAACTATTTACACAGTCCCTAATACCAGGTTAAGAGCCCCTTTATCTAAAAAGAGAGATATGCCGGGCGTGATGGCTCACGCTTGTAATCCCAACACTTTGGGAGGCTGAGGTGGACGGGTCACTTGAGGTCAGGAGTTCGAGACCAGCCTGGCCAACATGGTGAAACCCCATCTCTACTAAAAATACAAAAATTAGCTGGGCATAGTGGCACGCCTGTAATCCCAGCTGCTCAGGAGGCTGAGGCATGAGAATCACTTGAACCCAGGAGGCGGAGGTTGCAATGAGCCGAGATGGCACCACTGCACTCCAGCCTGGGCAACAAAGCAAGATGCTGTCTCAAAATAATAATAATAATCATAATAATAATTAAAAGAGAGACAAAATAATTCTTCAAAGCCGGGCCAAGTGATTCCACACATTGGGAGGAAGACACAGCCAATCAGCCCAAGGTATGTTTATTTACTGTCCAATTTTCAGTATGTTCTGTTGTTCATATAAAAGTATACTCAGTATATGCTTGCTCAAGCAAGGGGGATTTTCTTCTAGCTATGAGATTGTAAATACACTATACATAGAGAAGACATGAAGACAGCTCTTGAAGACAAAGCTGAGGGGAGGAAGAACAGGCAGCCAGAGTGCCTTTCATACTGTAGCAATACTCTTTGGGCTGCACATTTTAGAGCGCTTGTATAAACAAGCATTGGATTCCCAAAGGCCCTAGGGGAATGCTGTACAGGTTGTGTGGGGCGGCCTGATTGAGTTTATTCTCCAGATGGCTATTACTCACAGGCCACTTAATAACCACTGTTGTTTATTTCATTGTTGTTAGATGGCCCAACAGTACAGCATCCCTCAGTCCATGTAACAAAAATGTTCTTACCATGTCTAAAAAGCAAATTTCTTCCTTACCAAGTCTATTCCCAGTTGCTTCCCTTAATTTGAGATGTATTATTGTGGAAGAATTTGGATACCAGTAGTGAAAGAATCCAGCTGAGAACAAAACTCAGAGGTGCTGGAAAGGGGAGAAAAGAAATGCCAGTTAATGGAATGGCTGGATGGTCCTATCAGGTAAGAGGGCAGACCACTTGCCACACAACCTTTGGATAACAGTCCTTTGTCAGGCATGGGGTTTTTGTTTGTTTGTTTTGTTTTTCCAAATATTTTTTCCTAGTCTGTGACTTGTCTTCTCATCCTCTTGACAGTGTCTTTCCCAGAGAAGTTTTTAATTATAATGCAGTCTAGCTTATCAATTATTTCTCCTGTGGATCATGTGTTTGGTGTTGCATTTCAAAAGTCATCGCCATACTCAAGGTCATTTTGATTTCCCCCCCATTGATCTTCTAGGCATTTTGTAGTTTGCCTGTTACATGTAGGTCTGTGATCCATTTTGAGTTAATTTTTGTGAAGAGTTTTTAAGATCTATGTCTAGATTCATTTTGTTTTTGCATGTGGATGTCCCATTGTTCCAGCTCTATTTGTTGAAAAGACAGTCCTTTCTCCATTGTATTGCCTTTGCTCCTTTGTCAAAGATCAGTTTCCTGTATTTATGTGGGTCTTTTCAGGTCCACAGCCTTTCAGTGACTTAATGCTGAAAAGAGGTGGCATCTTTCCCTGGGGCTGCCTCCCCTGCTTGCCCATGGCAGGATTTCTGAAGGCCACAGTCAGCCTGGGAAGTTAGGATGCCAGGGAGTTGGCATGGAGTCCCTGTGGGACTTGGTAGCTCTGGGGGGCTTCTGAGGAAGAGACTCATTGTTACTGGAGTGAACGTCAGAAGCTCTGCATTGGTGGATTAGTGAGTCCTTTCCTCATTTTCTCCTCTTGTGCAGGCTTCTTGTTCCTAATGCACTCATTCTAACTGATGAGATAATTACAGCAAAATTTTGTATAGCTACTAGAACCAGGAATTCCGTCGACACAATTAGAATTGGTAATCCTTACCTTCAAATCTTCATTCTAGTGAAACCTAAAATAAAATTAGCATTGCTTTCAAGCAGAGCTTTTGTGCTTAAATTGCCCCATTTCTGTTCCATATCTTAAGGCTGACCTCCATTCCAGATTTCCCATTTGGGGACTTGGATGGTTCTCCTGTGGAGCCAAGGTGAATTTAGTGACAGGTTAGTGACTCTGGTGGGGGACATGTTTGCAGTAGAGCTCCACTCTTTTTTTTTTCCTTTCCTGACAATATTTCCTAACTTTTCGCCTTCAGACTATCATTTTGACGCACATCACCCCTAATTTGTTTTCGTGGCTCTGTACTCCTTTCTCTCCAATTACTGTTCCATTGTTACAGCTACCTGAAAGACATTTTCCCTTGACACACGCTGTCCGTATCTCAGACACCTCAGCGAGGTGACTGTGTTGCCAAGTCTTGTCAAAGGTTCCAATTTTGAAACCTTATAAATCTCTCCCTTGCCTGTATTCAGCCTTGCTGGGATCAGCTGTCTTGACAGCCTTCCATCTGGCTTTCCTAGCCCTTCCTAGCCCACCATTCTAACGGCCTTACTTCCTGCCTCCAAAATTTTCAAGAGCTCCCAATTTTCAGGGAGAGTGCGGGCTTCCTAGGCTAGCACTCAGTGTCTTGAATTTCCTGGCTTTTACATAACTGTCATCTTTAATTCTAGCACATCCTCTCATGCTCTTTGCTACCTAACTAAGCTGAGTGCTCTCCCTTCCTTCCATTTCCTATAAATATCTTGTACTTTTCCACTTTTATGTCTTTGTTCTCAGACTTCTAAGCCAGTGGTCCTCAAACTTAGGAATGTATCAGACTCCACATGGAGGCCTTGTTATAGCAGGGAACACGGGGCCCAACTCCCAGAGTTTCTGATTCATTAGGTCTGGGGTGGGGCCTGAGAATTTGAGATGCTGCCGGCCCCAGGGACTGCACCTTGAGAACCACTCTTCTAAACAGTTCTCTAATTCTAATACGTTTTGGTTAAAAGAAACATCGAATTCATTGGAGGCCATTGGTTATTCAGATCTGTGCATTGGATTTTACATCCAACAGTGCTAAAATTGTGTTTTGAACATAAATGCATTTTGAGCTCCTGCTTGGTGCCAGCTGACAGGCCCTTTGTCCATAAAACTACTGATGAATTGAAGGTTATACTTCTGTTTCCTCTCTGCATGTTGGGTGAGGACACTTACATATTTAGCTGTGAGCCACTGGCGGCTACACTCTGTCATTACAGACCAACAGGCCCTACAGCCAGTCAGCTGCCAATTAACAAACTACAGGCTTGTATTCTGCAGGCAGTTTAGCCAAGGGATGCCAGCATCTCTGTTGTTCCTGCCGTTACCAGGCCTAGGCATTGTCTTGCAGCTTGGTAACTCCACCTTTCTAAAGACTCAGGTGTCCCCAGTTGTACTGGTAAAAGGTTTTGCATTTTAGTGTTATGGTTAAATTTGGGAATTAAAAAAATGTAGGAATCATTCCTTTGTCTCATTCACAGTGTAATTGTCAACCACCTGTATCATTAGTGTTGGCGGGGAAAGGAGGGGTGAGGAGTCACTGTGGCCATGGATACATGTCATCTGTCCAGGCCTATAGCCTATTAAAGGCACTTGATTTGAGTACTTTCAACTTTGCAGGGGGATGGGATGTCCAAGGGTGAATGTGATTTGAGTAGGGCATCTGGAACTTTTTAGAAGATAATCAGTACCTAATAGATTTTTTACCGCATAGATTTTTCACTTCTCATTGCACTTGCATTTTGCTGGTGTAGAATGCAGGCCTTGACCGTAGAGTTGTGTGGGTTGCACGTGGATTAGCCTCACACAGAGAGGTAAAGGGTCTCTAATTTAATGGACCTTTGTGAAGGATTCTAAAGTAAAAGTGTACAGAGTGCTTTCTGATTGGCGAATGTACCTATGATACGTTTTATTTGGGCGTATTTTCTTGTTTTCCTTACACACCTGTAGACTTCTGATATCTGACATGAAATAAAACTTTCCAAGAAAATACCTCAAGATTCCAGGTTTTTTCCTACAGTTCAGCTTACACGTGTTATCACATCCCATAGGTAAGTGATGAAGTCTGCCGTGCCAGTGCTTTGGGAAAGCACCCTGCCCACCGTTTTGGGAGTTGAACTTTGTGATTGTTTAGAATACCAGCTTTTAATTGTTTGTTGTTAAATTTTAGTCAATCTCTGTACATTCTTCACTTTGCTTCATAAACTTTGATAAGTTAGCAATGGGATATCCCTTTCTGCCTAGGTATATTTATTCTTTAAAAAATGTACATTGAGGAAGGGAAAGTAATTTTTAGGAAAATTACAGTGTGGTAAGCATACTGATCACTGAGACCATCCTAAATTTGATTTTTTTTTTTTTTTGTTGAGATGGGGAGTGTTGCTCTGTCGCCAGGCTGGAGTGCAGTGTACGATCTCGGCTCACTGCAACCTCCGCCTCCCGGGTTCAAGCAATTCCCCTGCCTCAGCCTCCCGAGTAGCTGGGACTACAGGCGTGCGCCACCACACCCAGCTAATTTTGTTTGTATTTTAGTAGAGACAGGGTTTCACCATGTTGGCCGGGATGGTCTCGATCTCCTGACCTCGTGATCTGCCCGCCTCAGCCTCCCAAAGTGCTGAGATTACAGGCGTGAGCCACCGCACCCAACCCCTAAATCTGATTTAATCTTTGATTCAGAAGATATCTCAGAGTCTTACAGGATCCATGTACATCTTCATTTTTTTTCCTCCATGTTGAAATGAATTTAGTTTGAGTTTTAACTTAATAGGGTTTTGGATAGAATAAATCTATATGTATATGTATTAGGATAGAGACATAATAGGAAGTGTGGTGTTGGGAGACAGAGAATTGAAAATCTGGGACCCTAGCAACAGTTGCTTCAATAACTATAGTACTGAATGTGTGGCCTTTATATCTGTGTCTCAGTTTTCCCCGACTCCAGTCATACCTGCATTACACATAGTTTGGGAAAGACTGCCTTCCCTCTGCAAAGTCCATCTGATTGGAAAGGCTGGGTAGATAACTGCAATAAAGAGATTGAATGTAACGGCGTTCCTCCTGGGGATGGGAGGTGAAGGATTCAGGGATAGGCAGTAGAGTGATCAAAGACCTGGAAGTTGTAGAATTCAGAGTTCTGCAGCCAGTTGACATAGCTGCCTTGTTACCCCACAGAAGATTCATATTGTTAGTGAAAAATATGCCACCGAGAAGACCTGGGCTTGAGTCTTGCTTCTTTCCTGCCCTGTACACCACGTACCAGCTGTGTGATCTTGGGGAGGACCTTAGATGAAGTCCTTTTCCCATCTGTAAAATGTTGGTGATGACCACCATCTGGTCTTCCTCACATGGGCACAGTGAGCACTCACTGGAATAGTGTTCTTCCTGTCATAGATGTAAAGCAGCAAACTGAAAGTTCTGGTGGTTTATCATGATTATTATACTTGTTGGCTGACTTTCTCATGGGCTTCTTAGATGTTTCTCTTAAAGGCAGAATTTTAATTTAAAAATGCATATTATGTAAGAATATTGTAGTTGACTTTGAGAATTCATGAACTGAAACACTTAAACTCTCTCAGGACCTCTAAATATTTCTTGACTATTTCAGAGCATTTGATTTGTCCTAATGCTATGGAGTTATAAAACCATTAATGGTATGATAGCTCTGGAAACAAACATTAATTCATTTGAATTCATTAGAATGATAAAGCATATTGTGCAGGGGTTTTCAGGCATTCAGTTCATAACTATCGAAATGTGGATCATAACAAATTTTGTTTGGGTGTGTTTTCATGTCTAAAGAGGATCTTATCATAACTCTCATACTTATTAGTTTTATGTGAAATACAACTAGCAAGCATATATACATAACAAAGGAAATTGCAGATTGTAGTTTCTCTGAGATTGATCTATTTTATTAAATTATTTTTATTAAATAATTTTTTATTTTATTTTTATATTTATTTTATTATTATTAATTTTTTGTTATAATTAAGTCATTCTGACCTTATAATTTGAGAAGCATGTGCCCTGTTTTCATGCTTTAGTTTTATTGTAAGCATCTATATTTAGGGAGGGGGGTGTGGTTATGTGTTTGTATATGTATGTTCAAGTATATCTTTATTTTTATTTTATTTTTGAGACAGAGTCACACTCTGTTGCCCAGGCTGGAGTGCATTGGCATGATCTCGGCTCGTTGCAACCTTTGCCTCTCAAGTTCAAGCGATTCTCTTTCCTCAGCCTCCCAGGTAGCTGGGATTACAGGCAGCAATCACCACGCCCGGCTAATTTTTGTATTTTTAGTAGAGATGGGGTTTCGCCATGTTGGCCAGGCTGGCCTGGAACTCCTCACCTCAAGTGATCCACCTGCCTCGGCTTCCCAAAGTGTTGGGATTACAGGCGTGAGCCACTGCGTCTGGCCTATATCTTTATTTTTTAAAGTTTACAAGGTGATAGTTTATTAGTAAGCGTTCATGCCAATAACAGTTTCTGTTCAAATGTAGTTAAAGCCTGACTTGAAGAATTCTGGTAGCGAAAGGGGAAGATTTCATACCTCTTAATTGCAATTTGAACAGAAAGTGGCATCTTATAGAAGTCTTAATTTTGGCATGTTTTGCCATTAAAAATTTTTTGAATTTCAATAGCTTTAGGGATACATGGTTTTTGGTTATATGAATTAATCGTGTGTGACGAAGTCTAGGATTTTAGTGCATTTGTCACCTGAATAGTGTCCATTGTACCCAATAGGTAGTTTTTCATCCCTCACCCTCTTCTCTTCCCCACTCTGAGTCTCCAGTGTCCACCTTACCATTCAGTATGCCTTTGCACACCCGTAGCTTAGCTCCCACTTAAGAGTAAGAACATGTGGTATTTGGTTTTTGATTTCTGAGTTACTTCATTAGAATAGTGGCCCCCAGTTCCATCCAAGTTGCTGCAAAAGACATTATTTTGCTCTTGTTCTGCCATTTTTAATCTGATTAAGAATCATAAGAATAATTTCGTTGTCATAGATATTTTTTTGCTAAACTTATTTTTATCATAAACACCTAATTATTCACCCATAGTCTGAGAGGTGGAGTGGAGTAACACCTCCGTTGAGCACCTCCGTTGAGCACAGTGCCAGGCACTCTTAGACAATGTGCAGGCAGTTATTATAACTCCTGTAGAATGCAATGGCTTTATCCTCACTTTTTGGAAGAGGAAACTCCTTCAAAGTGTTGCTGTCATTTGAACCCAGGTCTGCTGCACACTAGAAGGTCCGTATTTTCTCCCATGCTTTTGTATAGAGGCATAATTACTGGCTCTTTACCCTAGTGTATGGCAGTAAAACAAATTCTTGCGTTTTAGCATCAGTAAACTTAAAGGAGAATTGCCTCAATTTTCTTTGCCTTCTGTTACAAAGTTATAGGAGGGTTAAGCTAAGTACACCCTCTTTCTCCAGCAAAGCCTGCGGGTTTTCCTCTCTTCCTCAGAAGTTCTTAATTACTGTTGGCACATCTTGTGGTGAAAGAATATACCTTGTGGGGGTGGAAAATGAAATGTTATCTGTAATGAGTAAGATTGTTGGCCAACCCAAAGAGTTGGTTTAAACAAAAGTGGGGAACAGCTTGAATGAATCTGCTTTTCATAGGTACTTTTAACACATAACCATAACCTGTCAGACATACCAATCGACTGTCAGTTGCTTACATGATTGTTTTAGTGTCTGGTGGTGGAGCCCCAAAGCTCTGTCTGTATTTGCCAGACAGGCATGGTAGTTGGAGCGATGTATGTGGTCAAAGAGGTCCAAAAACTTGCCTAAGTGAAAACCTGGAAATGGAGCTCTTGGTTGGAGTTCTTGATTTATAGGTAGAAATAAATACCACAGAAACAGTGCCACCCTTTCTTGTATCTGCAGGTTTGGAGATTGTGAACTGATTAAATAACTGTAAATTGAGCATGGGTGTGCTGAACCCAGAGCTGGTTAGTGCAGCCCTGTCTAGGACATAATTCAGGCCACCATTTTAGAAGTATGGGTCTTTAGTCCTAAGAGAAACTAGGGGAAAAGTGAATTCATTCAATAAACATGTATTGCTTCATGGTAGGGAAACAGGTAAATGGGGAACTGTTCATCTATTTGGGATAGGCAGATGTAACCCAGAGTGCAATGCAGGTGAGCAGTGTGAAGAGTAAGGAAAAGTCACTGGGTGTCAGGGAAGGGAAATTACACATGGCTGCTGCTTGGATAAGAATGGTAGATAAGATAGAATGTAGAATGCTCACTGCTTCCTCCTCCTTGTTTTTGTGTTTGTTTTTGAAACAAGGTCTTGCTGTTTTCCCCAGGCTAGAGTACAGTGGCACAATTATGGCTCACTGCAGCCTTGAACTCCTAGGCTCAAGTGATCCTCCTCTCAGCCTCCCGAGTAGCTAGGACTGCAGGTGCACACCAACACGTCCGGATAATTTTTAAAATGTTTTGTAGAGACAGGGTCTCACTACGTTGCTCAGGCTGGTGTTGAACTCCCGGCCTCGAGCCATCCTTCCACCTTGGCCTTCCAAAGTGTTGGGATTACAGGCATGAGCCACCACTCTCAGCCTCTTCCTTTTTCTTATACTCTCAGCCTAGATATCCTTTCCTCCATGAAATGCCTTCCCTGACTTTCACCCCAGTTCTAGGTTAGGTTCTCTTACTGGGCCAGTGTAGAGTACAGTACACCACACTTAGCAGAGTATCTACCTCCTGGATTACCACAGCTCTTATCTCTCTCCTACCTGACTCTAAGCTCCTGTAAGAGCAAGAGCCTTATAGAGACAGTCCCCAGTACATAGTAGGTACTTAAATATTTGCTAAATGAACTAAAATGAAGCTGTAAAAGTTGGAGTCCAATTGTGGAGAGCCTTGTAATAATACTAGATGATATTTATTGAGTGCTTACTATGTTTTAGGCACTGTAAAGGTACGTGGCATATATTAACTCATTTAATTTTTCAGTAACCTATAAAGTAGGTACCATTGTTAATCCATTTTCTAGTTGAAGAACCTGAGGCATGGGAAGTTGGGTGTCTTCTCAAAGGTCGTTCACTTTGCTCCCTGCTTCTGGCTCCTCCTGTACTGCTGGGAAATTTAGAGTGGCTCCTGGAGGCGGTGGGGACTGTTAGTGCTATAAGGGGCCCGGAGGTGTGAGCACATGTGCTCTCTGGGAAAGGAGTCCTGACATTGTATGTAGATGGACTACAGGAAGGGGAGTCGCTTGAAGCAGTCCAGAGTCACCTCTGAAATGGCAATGCAAAATATATTCGTGTGATTTGTTGATCTAACACGCAGGATGCTAAGTGCTAGGCATTGTTGAAAGTGCCTTAAATGTTAACTGATTTAATGCTTTTGGCAGCTGCTTGAGGTAGGCACTATCACTATCCTCTCCATTTTATAGATGATGAGCCTGAGGTGCAGAGAGATCCCGCAGCTGGTAAGTGGCAGAGCCAGGCAAGTCTGGTGCCAGGGTTTCAGCGACTATCCCAAGCTCTGCTTAGTCTTCCTGTACAAAGGGAACGATAACTAGTAGTCTCCAGTGATGTTTTTGTTCCAGATAGTACAGGATCAAAGTGATATTTTGGAGACAGATCCTTCCATTTTCAAAAGCATCTGCCTTAAAGACATTTGTCTAGAAATATTTATATGATTGTATCACACTTAATATGTGCTTGGCTTAGAGCAGGCAAAAACAAAAAACAAAAAACCCAAAGACACAGGTCCTGCCCTTGGGGAACTCATACTCTGCTAAGGGGAGATAGAGAAGTATGTAGACTTACAAAGAAAAAAATAATTTCGGCTGAGAAAGGCAAATGAAGAAAATAAAACAAGCCAATGAAAGAGACCTGTGCATTCCACTGTGATAGCCACGAGGTGCATGTGTCCATTGAGTACTTGAAACATGGTCAGTCAAAATTGAGAAATGCTCTAAGGGTGAAGTACACACTGGAATTCAAACTTAGTATGAAAAAAATATATAAAATATCTCAATAATTTTTACATTGATTATATTTTAAGTGTTCATACGTTGGGTTAAATAGAGCATGTTATTAAAATGAATGCTAAGTGAAATAAGCTAGGCATAAAAGGACACTTTTATTGCACTTATGAGGTAACTGGAATAGTCAAGTTCATGGAGGCAGAAATTAGAACAGTGGTTACCGGGGGAAGGGAGAATAGGGAGTTACTGTTTAATGGGTAGAGTTTCAGTTTGGGATGATGAAAGGTCTAGAGATGGATGTGGTAATGGTTGCACAACGGTGTGACGATACTGAATGCCGCTGAACTATACACTTGAAACTAGTTCAAATGGCAAATTTTAGGTATATTTTACTACAACTTTAAAAAGCCAAAAAATATGTGTCACACTTTTAAAAAATGTGACTACTAGAAAATTTTAAATTGCACACGTGGCTTGCGTCATACTTCTGTTGGAGTGTGCTGGGTAGAGAGTAATGGGTAAGATGGTCAGGAAAGGCCTCTTTGGAGAGGGTCACATTTGTGTCCTATGAAATGAGAGGGAACTGACCACACAAAAGGCTTGAGGGAAGCATTTCAGGCAGAGGCAGAGCGGCTGCAAAGGCCCTGGAGTGGGGAAAGTGTGTATGCTTAGGGAGGTGGGATGAAGTTAGGATGGAAAGGGGCAGGTCCCCGATCACCGGGGTCTTATGGGCTTGAATACCACTGCTCTGCATAAAACTTGAAAATAGAAACAAAGCAATAAAAAACTCAAATTTCCATACAGATTAAACCATGCGAAATTGCTGGTATTCTGACCTATTTATATGATTCAGCCTAATCTTGTGTTTGTGGTTCTGGGGTTTGATTCTTTCCCTAGTGATGTACTTGTTTGGCTAGCAGAGAAGGCACTGCCTTGCTTTCTAATTATTTGCTAATTGGTGGGTACCCTAAAGACAGCACCCCCTCTTGCTGGCTTACATACCACTTTGCCTGACAACAAATTTGTGTTGAAACGGAAGGAAACCCAGCTGCTCACAAACTAAAACTGTCACAAGTAATAAAAAATCCTGAAGACAGTACCTTGAACATTTTCTATTTCATAAACTTTGTCTTTGTCAGCTTGGTGGCTTTTGGAACCCAGAGGGAGCAATAATAGTATCATTAGCGCCTTTGGATCCTGGCGCTGTGAAGTCACTGGGAGCATTTATTATTATTGCACAGGTAGACTTTTCTTTCTGGAAAGGTCTTGGCTCAGGACAAGTAAATTGAAGGGTTGGCTTTCTCAGTAGGGAAGGGTTGTTAGGAAGGTAAATTGGGGTTTGTTTATCCTTCTGTTAAAGGCCATCAGTGCTGGCTCAAGCAGTCTCGTGGAGGCTGCTGCCACCCTGTTTTTTTTCCCAAGTCCACCTTGGTGGCCTCATTGTGTGTTACTACTGCTTTTCCTGGAGCAGGGGGTCTGGGACAATGAGAGGCAACCCTACAGGAGGTGCTGCAGAATGAATTGTTTTCTTAGTGGTTTTTGACTCCAGAACCCCTGGTGGAAAATGTTTGTTCATATTAAAGGAGAAGATGGTTAATACCTAAAATCTTTCATCTTATGGAAAGTTTTTTTGGGCTTTGAAACATCTCTGGCCACCTGCTGAGGACCAGTGAGTCTGGCAAGTGGTAATGCCCACTGCCTGTGCACTGGTCTTTTGTGGAGGAGTTCTGTGCCACATTTGAACTCCCCAGTCAAATGGTTCTAGTGGTGTCTCAGGTGGTATGAAGCAGAGAGGTGCCTGCATTCGGTTCTCCAGGCTGGCCCAAGTTTAAAAGTTGACTGGGTACTTTGTGCTCCCTTGGGATGGCTAGATATTTCCTCATAACCTAGGTGCTGTGTAAGCTAATTTGTTAAAAAAAACAACAAAGGCCCCATGTTATGTAATTATTGATATCTGAACCACAAACCAGAAATCTGTGCCCAGAAACCATCCCACAATTTCTAGATTTCCACCCCTGCACATATCGTGGTCCATTTCTATAGGATCACTGTTGGTGTCATCTTTGTTTATTTACTGTCCAATTTTCAACTGCTATAAGTCATTAACTACATTAGTTGAATACTTTCTTACCCCAAGGAATTCCTTATTGCAGTAGGTTTATATGAAGGTGGGGTTAGCTTTAGACTTAGCTGCAGAGTCTTCATTTATTTTTCAGTCCTAATCAGCTTTATTTGTTTATTTTGTTTTGTTCATGTCAGGATTGGTCAGATTGTTGTGACCACCAGCTTAGTTATGACACGGACCAGGAAAACTGTGTGACCTCCCCAGAGCTGGCTTGAGCTACAGGAATAAGCACTTTCTTAATGTGGGGCCTTGCCTGCCTGAAAGATCAGATGCATCTGCATAAATATAAATAATTACTTGTATTCTTGTTTTTTGTTTTGTTGTTTACAGTTTACATGAACTATTTCACGTTTTTTCTCTTTAATCTTCATGTGAAATTTGGGAGATGGGCACAATTATTGTCTCATTTTATAGACAGAAAAACTCAACCTCAAAGTTTTAGTCCAGGTGTCTGACTTCAGGATGGATGCTCTTCGCAGACCTCCCAACAACAATGTTGCCTGACCTTCTGGCAAGTTTCCAAGAGTGCCAGGACCCCAAATTAGAAACCTGGGTGCTGTGCTTACACTTCATGTGTGGGTGATGAAGGGGAAACCATGGGATTGCTAAGGCTCAGGTTCCACCGTTGCAAAATGGGGCTAATACCTGCGGCGTTGGATGCTGGGAGGATTTTGAGGTCTTATCCATGTAAAGTGATAACAGCACCTGACACACAATTGCTCTACGAGGACAGCAGCGACTATTGTCATTTAAAGAAATAAATCATCATATCCTCTCACTTACCCTTCATTCAATAAGTTGGCAAGACCTGTAGATTTTACTTACTTTAATACCATTGACTCTGCCCTGGCTTTCTAATCCTTCTGGTTTGGCACTTCTTACACAATTCCCGCCATAATTGGATGGATCACACTGCCTCCAGTCAAGCCCCTCTAATCTGTCATCTGCACTACATCCAGCCTGATCTTTCCAAACACAGTTTTGACCTTCTCCTTGAACATCCCTCATTTGCTTACAGAAGAAATATAAATCTCCTAGTTTTTCACCAAAGATTCTTTATAATCTGACCCTCTTCTTAGTCTTATTTCACCTATCCCGAACACACACCCTACCCTTTATCACACAGAACTAAAACTCCTCTCTTTTCTCATCCTGTCTTGGTGCCCTAAATGCCCGCATTCCGTGTGCCTCATTTGACCCTATTCTCCCCCTGCCCTCTGCACCCCCTCCCCTCCACACCCCCTCCCCTCTGCATAGCTAGCACCAACTCACCTTCAGCTTTGGGATCTTAGCACCGTGCACACACCCTGCACGGTGCTCAGTGAATAAATGAATTAACTCTTGGTGTAAGTGGATACAGTAGCCAGCATCTTTAGCCTAGGGGGTCTCGCAAGTCTCTAGCCTTTCTAAGGGGTTGGCAAGGCTGGACACAGACTAGATCTTCATGGGGAAACCCTGGGATGGCAGCAGAGCCACCTGAAGACCTGGAGTGTGCACCTGGGATCTGAGGGGAAGAGAAAGAAGTGAGATCACAGTCACCAAAACATCTGCTTTATCAGCAGCAAAAAAGCCTACCTGTGGTTGATCTGAATTCAAATATATGCCAGCAGCAGCTGTCTCATCAGAAACTTATCTAGAGCTGTCATTTGGCTATTTAGAATTTAAACCACAATTGCTTCCTAAATATTCTCTGCAGAAGTAACTGCCCTTCCCCACCAAGCAACAACCAGGCAAGATCAGTTATCTGTGGTTACCAGGTACAAAATCTCCATTAGCTGAAATAACAGCCAGGCCTGCTATCTGTGTGGTCTGCAGGACCTTGTTCTCTGTGGTAGGAATTACACCTGTTCACAGTCATTTGACTGCTTTCTACTGAAGGTGTTAAAGTGCTAGGCTTGTCTTACTGTTGTTCTGTGAAAAAGACATTTAATGCCTCCTATCTTTATTTTATGTTTTATGTCTTTGGAAAAATGGAAGAACTATGGAAAATGTATTGCGTTACCTGTAGGTTCTAGACCAGTGGTCCCCAACCTGCTTGGCACTAGGGACTGGCTTTGTGAAAGACAGTTTTTCCACTGACCGAGGGCAGGGGTGGGGGATGGTTTCGGGATGATTCAAGCGCAGTACATTTATCATTAGATTCTCACAAGGAGCGTGCAACCTAGATCCCTCACATGTGCAGTTCACAATAGGGTTCGTGCTCCTATGAGAATCTAATGCCGCCACTGATCTGACAGGAGGCGGAGCTCAGGTGGTAATGCTCACTGGCGGCTCACCTCTGCTGTGCAGCCTGGTTCCTAACAGGCCACGGATCGGTATTGGTCTGTGGCCTGGGGGTTGGGAACCCCTGTTCTAGACAACCAGAAATCTAAGCCTTTCTCCTTCATGAAAACTGTAGAGATGCAGAGCCTTCTAAATATGTTTCCTGAGTGAGCACTGGCATCTCTTTGACTTCAGTGCTCAGATACACAGGTAACGAATGAAAAAACCTGAAAGAATTGTGAGATCCACCTGGTAGGTGTCTTGTAAATACCTGTAATTGCAAACCTGCGGGGTGGTGGGGGTAGGGTGGGGTAGGGTGGGGTGGTGGCGGGGAGAGTTTCTGAGATTCAGGTTACTCTCTTTATGTTTGTTTTAGTCAACTTTTCACTGAAGTATAACACAATCAGAAAAGTACACAGATCATAAGTGTACAGTTTGAATTTTCAAGTCATCCTTTTAATATATTAATATACAATACATGAATAATTTATGTATTCATGCCACGAACAATTTCTTTCTTTAATTAAATTAAGGGGTTGGTGAGGATGGCAGTAGGAGCCAAGTTCTGAGTTCTGTTCTGTTGACATAACTGTTGAATCACTTCCCCCCACTCACTTGTTCAAGGAGGCAAGGTTTTGTTTCCTGGGGGTAATATCTAAGCCATTCACAGCCTGAAATGTTTACCTCTAATTTTGTTTCTTTAGCTATCTGAATACGTGAATTCCATTAAAACCACACACATAGAAAAATGATTTCTGTTCTGCATGTCAGATTTTTTGTTTTCCCAATGAAAGTGCACCAAAGAGTTTGCAAGTAGCTCTGATAAGGAAGTTCCTTACTGTGACTGGATTTGTTTTCTGCCCTTATAAAGATGCCTCTCTTACCTGCTTTTCTGTCTTCCCCCTTACCGTTGTCAAAGAAACCTTTTCCCTTTAGGGCCCTAGCTTATCTGTCAAGTTCATAGCTGTCTTTTCTCCTAGAATATTATGTGGTTACCACCCTCCCCGATCCCCACACACAAATACATCATGCAGTCTTTTGTGGGCCCAATTTATTTAAGTCAGCTAACTACAGGCTAGTATAATTTTTAGCAGATTTCACCTCATTCTTGTACCTGGTATGAAGGCGGTACTTTCTGGTCCCATTAGTGATTAATACCAGCTCTGGTGTCACCTGAAGTTTTTTCAGCTGGAGTTACCCTACTGCCTTCCAACTTTTAAATTATGAATTTGCAGATACACAGAGAACTTGAAAGCATAGGACAATATTCTCCACATAAGTTCAATAATTGGTAGTTTGTTTTTGTTTTGTTTTGTTTTTTTTTACCAGATTTGCTTTATTATTCTCTTTTTTTTTTTTTTTTTTTTTGAGACGGAGTCTCGCTCTGTCGCCCAGGCTGGAGTGCAGTGGCGGGACCTCGGCTCACTGCAAGCTCCGCCTCCCGGATTCATGCCATTCTCCTGCCTCAGCCTCCCAAGTAGCTGGGACTACAGGCGCCCGCCACTACGCCCGGCTAATTTTTTGTATTTTTAGTAGAGACGGGGTTTCACCGTTTTAGCCGGGATGGTCTCGATCTCCTGACCTCGTGATCCGCCCGCCTCGGCCTCCCAAAGTGTTGGGATTACAGGCGTGAGCCACCGCGCCCGGCCTATTCTCTTTATATACAGCTTTTTTTTGTTGTTTGGTTGTACCATTGACAGTAAATTTCAGTGATCAGGATACTTGACCCCTGAGGATTCAGCATTTATCCCCTGGGAAAAAGGAGAAAACACAATCTCACCTAAGAAAGTTAATGGTGAATACATTTCTAATATTCAACCCATATTTACATTTCTCAGTTGTCCCAAGAATGTATTGAGATGTAGTAGACTTTTAATCCTCTGCAGTTTATTAATACATCAGAGAAATCCCAGTGATTGTGCTGGCTAGGTGGATGGAACGGTGGTGCAACTCATTATTTAATACTTGTACACAAATGAGCTATTTTCCTAGAGAAGACTGAACTTTCCATATCTGTTGCTGGCATCTTGCTTTCTTGCTTGATGGAACAGTGTAGGCAAGAATGAATGAATGAGAATGAATGTATAATACCCATTACAACTGTAAATGGGCTACTTATAACTTCCAGAAGTCCAGGAATGTGTCGTTTATTTGCTGAAGCTAATTGAGTCTGATACCAGAGAGATGAGGCAGCTAGGTACATACATCATTAACAAACAAGAACCATCTCTTGTGTGATTCATCTAAAACCTGGTTTCACTGTAGAAGGGATGGTTGGTCAGGGCAGAATATATGGACAGGCCTCAGGAGTTCTCCAGGTATTTGTCTTTTTGATCATGAATAGACTATTTTTTCGGTAGAGTCTTAGATTTATCAAATAATTGAGCAGATAGAACATTGTGTTCCATATACCCCCCATGCATTCCCCCATTTCACCTCTTACTGTATACTAACATATCTTGTATTAGTGTGGCACATTTATTGGGATTAATGAACCAACATTGATACATTATTACTAGCTGTAGTCCATAGTTTACATTAAGGTTTACACCTTGTATTATACACTTACATGAGTTTTGACAAATGCATAATGTCGTGTATCTACTATTATATTATCATACAGAATAATTTCACTGCCCTAAAAATACCCTGTGCTCCACCTATTTGCCCACCCCCTCTTCCCCTGAACCCCTGGCAACTGCTCATCTTTGTATTGTCTCTGTAGTTATGCCTTTCCAACATGTTGTGTATTTGGAATCATACAGTATGGAGCCTCTTCAGATTGGCTCCTTTCACTTAGCGATGTGCCTTTTAAGTTCCTTCATGTCTTTTTGATGGCTTGATAGCTCATATCTTTTTATCGCCAATAATATTCCATTGTGTGGCTGTACTCTAGTTTGTCTATCCATGCATGAAGCTTACTGTTTTACACAAATGATAGGACATTTCAGCACATAGCAGTTGTTTGATAAATAGTCATTAAATGACCTAGTTAGATGGACTGCTTAATTTTTCTGCCAGATATGTAGTGCCAAGGGAGAGTTGTGATGGAAAAGGCAATTATGTTGTTAGGCACTGACTTCTGTTAATGTACAGTTAATGTTTAAGTGGCTTAGCCCAGCAAAGGTAGGTGGCTTTGATGTGTCCAGGCTTCCAACAGCAGTTTCTTAAATTCTCTTTAGAGCTGCACTGTCCAGTATGGTAGCCACTAGAAAAGTCTGGAAAAATAGCCACATGTGTCTATTTGAACTTAAATTGATTGAAAAGTAAATAAGATGAAAAATTCAGTACCTTGGTTGTACTAGCCACATATCAGCGACTCAATAGCCATATGTGGCTATTTGCTGTTATTTCGGACAGTGCAGATGTAGAACATTTCCATCATCACAGATTTTATTAGACAGCCCTAATGCAAATAAAAGCATTCAGAGAGAAGGATGGGATTGAAATTAGTTGACCAGGCTGATTCTGGTTTCTCTTTAATGCTTAGCTCTTTTGTGCCACAATTTTACAATGGAAGAGATGAAGCTCAGAGGTCTGTTTGCTGAAGAACAGTTGCTTAAGATGACTTTGGGGATAAAAAGGCTGCCAGGCCAGTGAAGCTGTGAAATGCCCCCTGTGTGACAGCCCCAGGCGGCATGGCTTGACAATGGTTTAGGCCCTTGATCAGCTAGTGTTAAGGAGTTTTACAGAACTCTCAGCTCTTGCTTATTTAGTTTGGTGTTGAAAAAATAAAGAAAGAAAGAAAAGAAAAAGCAGGGGCCTTCTCTAATTTGAGGGGATGATGGGGTGGGTGTGGAAAGGGAATTAAACTTCCCAACTAATAAATTTGGAAATTGTACACCCATTTCCTCAGTAAACTCCTGCGGTTGTTGGATACCAGGAATGTGAAACCTGAATGCGTATCAGACACTTGCCACAGGAATTGTAGCTCAGTCCCTTGTAACTGCAATTGCTCTTATTTGGGAGCAAAGCAAATAGCAGTTAAGTTTTTTTGTGTTTTGTTTCTTTGCCAGCACTTCGGATTTGATCAGATCTAATTTCATTCACGTGGTAGGTGCCACGCTGACAATAAAGCATTATGGGCTGTCAGTCTACTTAGATTTCAATTCTGTATTCGTTTTATGTATGGCATTTTAATAAAGTCTTAATTTTTTTTCTTCTAAACAGATAACAGACTAGATTATGTTGTGCTTTCCTTTAATGTCTAATCTGGAAATTGGCTGTTGATGCTAGTGAGGGTTTTTAATATAAGTTTTAAATGAAAATGCCAAATTGCTTTGTCTGTGCATTGTAGCTTTTTAAATATTGACTTTGTGCCTTTTGAAATGCTTGAGTTTCTAAGAGGCCTAGCGTGAAAAGGCAAACTTGACAGAATAATATATCTACCATAATTCCTGTGAAAAGACTTAAAATATTCTGGTATTTGGAAGTTCAGTCAGGATGTGACCACTTGGAACCATGACTGTCTATAAACACAGGCTTAGAATTGATACTTTTCTCTAAGAATAGGCACAGAGAAAATAGTATATTATCTTGCAAATTAAAAATTGGAAATGCCAGATCTCAAATGAAGACAGAGTTTTCCTCAATCTTTAAGCTATTGTCATCTGCTAAAGAACTCTTATAAGAGTTGCAGAGTTTTAATCAGTATTTAACAATTATTGAATTTGTTCAACTGGCATTTGTTTTAAACAAACATGTTGTCTCTTACATGAAAGGCAGGATAACGTATGGCTTTCTTTTATCTGCTACAATTTTTCTGTAATTTTTGAATATAACATTTTAATTTAGATACTGTTTCATGTTAGCAAAGTCTAGAAAAATTGATTATAGTTTCTTAGCATGGGATTGTTTTCTTAAAAGCCGTGAAAGGGAAAAGAATCAATATTAGGGCTTTCCGAATGGCAGCTTTTTACAGAGCCCCCCCAGCACGATTGATTATAGCTGCTTTTGTAAAGGATTTAAAAAGAACAATCTGTATTAAAAACATCATTCTTTGGTATGAGCTTTAACAGCTCTAAATGGGTTACCATGGGGGCTGCGCTGCAATGTGACCACTTGAACGGATTGTGGTCATCACCGGTGGGCCAGGGCAGCGAGGCAGGGGAAAGGCTCTTAGGTGAGGCATTGCTGGCATGCATGCCAAAGAGGTTACCGTGGCAGCTGCAATCATTCAGCCGCATTCTTTAGCCTCCAAAGCAGGAGGGGCAAGAAGCGTGTCATTTTTCTACAGGCAGAGTGTAAGGTTAAGCAGCAGGAAGGGAGAGTCAGAGGATGTCTTTGTTCCAGAGCATTTGCCAAAGCCAGGTATGTCCAGTCAAAGGGATAATGCAACCGATAGCTCCCAAGCCTCCATATCCTCAGCTGTTGCTTGTTGCCACTGAGGGGTGGACATGTTTTCATTTGGCATCTTACATGTGAGCATCATGACTACAGACTCATCTTATACCAATTAAATAATAAACTCCACTCTGTGGGCAGAGGTTCTGTCTGGAGGTGAGTGTGCCTGAAGCAGTTAAATCTATTAAATATTAGAAACATTGGTCCCATCCTCACAGGGCATGGGACAGGGCCCAAGCAAGAGACCATTAATGTGGACTGGGCTTCCAGAGTTTAACTCAGTAAGACTCTGTGGGCTCTAGAAAATTCAAATGTAACAGGTAGTCCAGGTGCTTTCATTCTAAAAGAGGGAGCGGGGTGCTCATTGCCATTGGCTACTTTACAGAAGGCATTTATTTGCAGGAATGGGGTACCCTATTAATTTGGGAAGAATTGAATATCCTAGAGAGTATGGGGATTTTTATAAAATAGTGTTGAATTTAGCATCACTTTTCATTTAGCACCCCTGGGTGCCAAATCCCACAGGGGCCTCTGTAGTATGGCTTGCCTCAGAACTAGTAGAATCAGCTTTTTTTATTCCTGGACTAACTTGGAGAAAAAAAATTCCTGAGATGATCTATTTTTAATTCCTAACTGTTTTGCTTTTCTTCGTCTTCCATATTTTTAGAAAATGAAATGTTATATCTCTTATGAAATGGTACTTACACATGTGTGTTCCAACTGAGACTTTTAATTGTCACTAGTAAATTACTATAAATCAGCCTCATTCGGGGGCAAAAAATAATAATATGTGTTCTTGTTTTAAACGTATTCTCAAAAGTGCTTCTTAAGTAGTATTTTTTAATTAAGCATGTAATTTTATCATTTTGCAAATTCGCTTTTACCTTTCATCCTGTGCGACCCTGATATCATAAGAATAAGAGTACTATATGAGGGCTGGGCATGGTGGCTCACGCCTGTAATCCCAGCACTTTGAGAGGCTGAGGCGGGCAGATCACTTGAGGGTTAGGAGTTCGAGACCAACCTGGCCAACATGGTGAAACCCCGTCTCTACTAAAAATACAAAAATTAGCTGGGCATAGAGTTGCACATGCCTGTAATCCCAGCTACTTGAGAGGCTGAGACAGGAGAATCTCTTGAACCTGGGAGGCAGAGGTTGCAGTGAGCCGAGATTGCACCACTGCACTCCAGCCTGGGCGACAGAGCGAGACTCTGTCTCTTAAAAAAAAAAAAAGGTAAAAGAGTACTATATGATTCTGTCAGCAGGATGCTGGAATGTCTTCATATATAGATTCTGATGGAGGTAGATTAGAAAGACAGAAGGCAGCACGGGAGTGGATTAGGTTACCTTTTGGATTTTTGAGGGCTTTGGCCACGTGTCAGTTTGTACAGCTGATGAAGTATTTGTCATTGGTGAAAAAAAAATTACTGTCCACAGGTTTCCTTTCCCTCTTATTGGGCAAGAACCTGAATGTCTTCTTCAGAGAAAGTACTCATATACAGCACTTCAGCACACCAACAGGAGTCCTTTCTAAAATGCGTTTGCTTTGAGATGGCACAGGTCACGTGATCATCAGTATACTCTGCGTGAAGCATGTCAGTTTGACCGGGAGCTAATGCTTCTGCCCCAACTGCCATGGTGCAGCTCGGGGAAGGCTTCATTTCCTGGGGAATTTCATGCATTTTCTGTGATGGATTTCATAATGGGCTCTAATACCTTTAAATATTTTCCTGGTTCTTCTGTCAAGCAAACCATTTCTTTAAAAGTTGCTTGGTTGGCCATTATCATTTATTTTACTTGGTTAAAAATTTTGGCCAGGAACAGTTCCTTTATATACAAAAATAAATACAGAACCCAGGGCTATGAGTCTTGGGCAGAATCAGGCTGTTTTCCCAGTAGATATCAGGAATATGAATAATCTCTTTGACACACAGTGCAGCCACCCTGGTGACTTGGTGCTAGGTATTAAAAACCCTACCGTTCAGAACAGTTTCTTTTAACTTCAGCTTTGAAATTGGTGGTCTCGTCAGCTTTAGATTTATTCCTTCTTTTTTAGCTTTCTTGCTTTTGTTTAGATTTTTAAATTTTTAAGAGAGTCTTTGAAAGTGCTGACACATTTTCAGGCTCCCAGTATAAGGAACCAACTGCAAGTGTCATTTTCTTCATTTAAAAAGTCCTCCTAGATCAGGTCACTGTGTCCACTTATAGGCTTTCCTGTAATCAGCAGAAGGAGAGGCTGCCATTACAAACAGGTGAGTTAGGTGTAATAGATTGGACGCAGAAAACCAGGAGCAGTATGGAACATCTGCCCAGCTCACTGGCATGTCAGCCCTGCAGGTGTGTCGGAGGCACAGGGCTCAAGTGCAGGCATCTCCCTCCTCTGGTTGGGGCTAAGCTGGAAGGGAGCTTGTATGCTGGGAAACGGAGCAAGCTCACCTTGACATGGAGTGGCTTCCTCCACTTGAAATAACCCAGGAGCAAGGAGGCGCTAACAAGACGGGTTATTAGACCCAGGAATTTTTAAAACCTGAAATCTTGCAACTGAATATCCATTTTATTAGACCTTTTGCCTTTGTGACCACAGGTGAAATGGATCAGGAGTGGCCCAAGCACTGTTCTGTGAGTTGGCATTTTTCTGAAGTGTGATTTTTTTTTTTTTTTTTTTTTTAGTACTTACATACTTCCATAATATTTGCTTCTTTTCTTAAAAAAATCTTTTGTAGAGATGAGATCTTACTATGTTGCCCTGGCTGATCTTGAACTCCTGAGCTCAAGCAGTTCTCCAGCCTTGGCCTCCCAAAGTGCTGGGATTACAAGCATGAGTCACTGCACCCAGCTCATGACACTTGCTTTAGATTTATATATAATATATATATGTAATATACAATATATATGATATATGTAATATATATATTATATATCACATATAAAATATATATTATATATATTATATATCATATATAAAATATATATGACATATGTGTGTGTGTGTGTGTGTGTCTTGTGTTTGGATGTATTCGCTGTTAATTAATTTTCAAAAGTTTATTTGCACAGTTGATGTCTGAAAGCTGGTTCCAAGTCATTTGTGTCTATGACTTATCGGTCTTGTGCTTTCTGTGCTTTCAGCAACATTATAGTGCCAAAAATGTAGCTGTAATATCAATTAGGAAAAAAATTACACATAAATCCACCACCCTAACCAGTTATCTTTCTTCTTCATTTTCTATTCCCTTTCAGTGCTTGGCCAAATATATATATGTATTTGAAATATATGTGTGTGTGTGTGTGTGTGTGTGTGTGTGTGTATATATATATATGAGAAATTGCAATATAGTTGTAATATTAGAAAAAAATTAATGTATGCTTTTTAAATTTAATATGTCGTTACAAACACTTTTACTTATTACTATGTGGTATATGATTTTTAATGGCTATGTTGAGAAAACTAATATATCATGCATAATTATTTACCAGACATAGTACACCCCTGTAGTGGGCATTGAGATTGTCTCCCTGATTTGTCTTTAATGCAGTAGTAAACACCCTAACTTTTATTTCATTAGGATAATTCCTGGGAGAAGAAACATCTGGTCAAATAGTATAAAAGATTTCATAGCTTCTTAAAACACATTGCCAATGTGATTTCCAAAGGGTCTGTGCCAATTTCTGTTAGTTGGCATCTTTTAAATAGTCAAGGCTTCTTTTTACAGGCCAGCAGCAGAGTGTTCCATATTCCTATTGACATTCAGACTCAGTTCTAGCTCAGACCTCTGAAACACTTGGAAATTCTATCCATTGACTGTGGCAAGTCTCAGAACTCAGATTCTTTCTCCAGCCTGAGCTGAAGCCTGGAAAGGTGTGGTCTGCCCTTTGGCCCCAAGGTCTTTCCCATTTTTCTGTCCTGTAAGCTTTCTGTGGCATTCTGTCAGCCCTTGTATAGGGAGGAGAATATATGTGGTTATGCCTTGGGGCCTAGAATTGTAGCAGTTGAAAAACCCTTAAAGTGAATTATTAAATCTAAACCAGAGCCTGTTGGCTTCCTGTGCTTGACTTGGACTCTGTTCCATTATGGTAGTTTTTACAAACACTTCTGAATACGAAATAAATTCCAAATATTTTTCCCCCTTTCTCCTGCCAAACTCCGCCAGGAAACAGAATCTCATTACTTCAGTTAGAATTTATTAATGCTGACCCTCTCCAGCACTTGGAGCTTTTCAGGTTAGGCTCACACAGCTTCTGTTTTTACTCTAGTCTAAACTGTGGTCATATGGATAGCAAAATAAATACTAGAATATTCTAGTTTGGGAAGGGGAGAGGCAGCGATGCCTGTAATAACATGGCTGCAAACCTCTCGCTTCTCTCTGTTTGATATTCCAAAAAAGGAAGAAAGCTCAATGCGGAGCACATCTGTAAGTCATGAACATTTTCCTTTTGTGTGTCATGCATATTCAACATAATCCCACTCAAAGTCCCAGGCGTTGCTTTAGTATACATTGCCTCATACATCCCTACTGTTGTTGCCAGAAAATTTAATTCAAGACAAAGGTTGCTTCCCTTCTGTCTCTGGATCAGGAATCTGAACCCATTACCACAAACAGAAGTAAGAATTGTCAGTGTGTTCTGCTTTGCTTTTATTTTGTTTTTTTCCCCCAGTTGCCTTTTATCCTTGTGGCTGAGGAGGAAGATTTCTTGTTCGTTTATTTGTTTTTAGTGTAAGCAATACACCAGTTTCATGAAGTGTATTTTTAAAAAACGTATTGATGGGATTTTGTAATGCAAGTGTTTTGAAATTCAAAAGCAACAAAAGGGCATAATGTGAACATTCTCTCCAGGTGGGATATTTGGCTTTTAATTAGTTGTCTCTGTAATTATTTTGATTAAAAATGTACGAAATGTGTCAAGAGTTTGGGTGAAAAGGTTTAGTTTCCTTTTAGCTGGTTTTATTCAGTTAAGAGTTCATCATGAGATGATGGCTTGGAACACCTGAGGGTTCGGATGACATGAGTTTGTAGAATGATATGCCAGTGATACGATGACTGGGAGGTGAGCATAGACTCAGTGAGTGTGTGTACCCAGGGCTGCTCATTGTTGCCAAGCTTTAGATTGAAGAGAAATGAGAAGGATGGGGGCGGGTGCATCCTGTTTTATGTGTTGTGATGCTTGGGGACAGGGGAAGGGGACATCATTCAGTTAAATAAGCATATGAGATCTTTCTGGATCATCATATCTGAGATGCTGTTTTAAATTTACCCAACAAACCACTTACTGCACTAGGTACTGTTCTGTAGAATGAATAAGCAAACACTGTAGGAAGAAAAATTGTTTTACACCACCAGATGCCCCAACGTACATACAGCAAGGACCCTTTCTGAAAATGATATTGATTATATTGAATCATGACTACAAGTTTAGATGTGCCAAGTAATCCTCTGGCAAGAGGTTTTTTTTTTTTTTTTTTTTTTTTTGGTTGGTGGGGGTCGCAGTTAATGTACTGATTATTGCGCTGAGCATTTTATGAAACAGATTTTACTTGGAGCTTTGTTGGCTTAGGAAATCTAACTGCTCTGAAGCAAGTTTAGTTCTTTTTTCAAACAAAAGAGGAGAATTTCTGCAGTTAAGTACCCTAACTTGGTGTTACTTTTTAACACACTCCTCAGCCATTTAAATGTTTTCCAAAGACCAGAGCCATGCCTGGCTCATTGGAGGCCTTCTTCATGAGCCCAAGGTTTCTTCCAAGGTCACATTTACCTTTTCTGGCAGTTCCCCTCAGAATAAGGCCGAATTCCAGCTTTTTAAAAAAGAGACCATGTAAGAGAACATTGATCTGTTTTTCTCAGTTGTGGGGTAACCAGGTAGTTTCTTTAAAGGGCTTGGTTATTTCCTTTCACCAAATGGCGTAAAGCTTGGATTCAGCCCCTTAGAAAAAAGGGTTTCTTCTACTTTCTGTGGAGCCTTTACCATATATTGGTTCCTAGAACACAACGGCGGTCAAGGGAGAGGACGCAGAAAGATCAGGCTCAGGCCTGGGTCTTGGGCATCTTCAAGGAACTCGCTTTCTCAGTGGTATAAGAAGAGCCCCACTCTATAAGAGGCATCCAACAGGAACAGCCAACATCAGTGGCACCTTCCAAGTAAGTGGTTCAGACTTCAAGGACTGTGAATAATTACAGTAGGAATTCTGTCATCTCCCAGACCTTGGGTCATTTCAGAAGCTTCATGGAACTAGAGGAATTTCTCCAAAGTTGCCTATTACCTGACATCTTTATGACCAGCCCAGTCATCCTTGTGCCTCCCACTTTCCACCCAAATGTGATTCTACCTTCATGTAACCTGATTATTTTTTTGGCTTTGGGTTTGTTTTCCTAATACGCATGAGTAAATCATTTAAATTCATTCCCACTCTGTGGAAGGGATGTTGAAGTGTTTCTTAAAGAGACTTTAGCTTTCTATATAATGAATTAAGAACTATTTAAGATGTTTGAAGCAGTTTGGAACTGAAGACCCTTCTTTTTTTCTTTTTTGTTTTTGAGATGGAGTCTGGCTCTGTCACCTAGGCTGGAGTGCTGTGGCGCAATCTCGGCTCACTGCAACCTCCGTCTCCTGGGTTCAAGCGATTCTCCTGCCTCGGCCTCCCAAGTAGCTGGGATAACAGGCACCTGCTACCACGCCTGGCTAATTTTTTGTATTTTTAGTAGAGACGGGGTTTCACCGTCTTGGCCAGGCTGGTCTCAAACTCCTGACCTCAGGTGATCTGCCTGCCTTGGCCTCCCAAAGTGCTGAGGTTATAGGTGTGAGCCACTGTGTCCAGCCTAAAGACCTTTCTTAAGAATTTCTTATGTAGGGAGGGTTAAGAATTTTCTTTCATGTGTGACCTCACTTTTGATTTTGGCTTTTTTCCATGGATGGTTTGTATGTATATACAGGATAATAAGGTAAGCCTAGGAAATTGCTACATACTAGTTAGTTCTCTGTAAACAAACCCTTAAAGTAAGTGCTAGTAAAGACAACAGTATGTGCTTATAAGTCAGCCATATCTAACATATTCAAGGGCAAGATCATCTTTTTCCCACAGTAAACAAAGGGCTCTTTCCTTCTGTTACATTTTTAGTTTGCATGGGTCACCTGCTTGTTAGAATTGGCGTTACTAAAAATTAATGAATGACAATTGGTGTACATGGCTCCAGGCATCTTCCATGTAGGAAATTTGAGGGGCATTAGGCAGAGAAGTAACTGTTAAGCCAGAACTCAAAACTCTCAGTGCAATTTTTTCCCCATCTATGATGCCAAGAATACTAGTTCTGAAAGATGTTAAATCGATATTCTGGGGGGAGAATTTCCATGATCAAAGTTTGAAAATGCTGGATTAAGCCAAGTTCAACACAGCTCTTTATTGTAGTTCTTCCCCAGTCCTTTATTATTATTATGTGTGAATCACAGGAAAAGGGAGGGACGAGGTAGGCAGCATGTTGAACATGCTCAGTGACATACATTTTGAGGTCCCAAGTCCCTACTTTTGGAGCTGTATGATTTCAGGCAACAATCTCCTGGGTAGGCCCTGGAGATTGTTGAGATGATTAGATGAGCCAATGCTTAATAAAATGCTAAGCACAAAATGCCTGGCACGTAATAAACACCTAACAGCCACAGCTAATCCTTTTGAACCCGAGGCTGAATGGTCTGATGTCACTCATGTTGTGGGGCATGACAGTGCAGCAGAAAGAGCCCACACTTAGGTGTCAAGAGCTTCGGGCTCCAGTTTGGCCACCAGCTAGACCAGAGGACTTTTGAGCTACTTTGCTACTCTGGTGTTCTGTTTCTTCATTTGTGAAATAAATCAGTGATCTTGGTGACTATAGTGTCCAGTCAAGCTCTAAAATTGTATGTTCCTTTGGGCTAGACCTAAGCCAGAATTGACAAGTTTAGCTTAAGGACAGGTATATCATCTCTGAGTGACTGTGTGGGTGACATAAATTTTTAGCTAATTATTATTTCCTTTACAATGTGTGTTGCTAGTAATAAAATAGTTTACTGAGTCACCTATGGAAAGATAAGCTACAGTTATAGCCTTTTTGGCACTTTGTAATCATCATAAAAGTTAATATACATTTGAGTCATAATTGGAGTTGGACTGCCTTTACCGTAAAACAGGAGGCATCATCTAGATGTTTGTTGTCTGTGATGTGATACAGAAATGTATTATTAGGCCACATGGATATTTTATTTTTATGTTCAAAGGCTAATTTTCTGAAAGTTGGGTCTGGGAGTCTGAGTTATCCATAATTAAGTTTTCTACCTTCTGCTTTCGTTGTTAACCTGAGTTAAAACCATAAAGTAAATTCGACATTTACTAATTTGAGCTTTAATTATTTTGACCACTGTGTTGGTTGCACTGGTTGAAAGCATGTGCAGGACCTCTGCTTAGTAGGTAAGGCGTTGTGTTTTTTAAACAAGGCTTTGAATTTCTAAATAACAGATTTCCACACTGGCAGTTTGAAACATGGTATTTGTTCAGTGTAGGTTTTACCTACATGAGAAAAATCAAACAAATAGATTTGTTCAGTTGCTATCCTACAAATTGTCTTCGCTGAGAAAATGGACAGGTTTGTGATGTTTCTGACTACATCAAGACTCTACTACACTTGATCTTTTGTGTATTGAATTAACACTTGTTCTTGTCATTTTTATTACAACTACCGTATAAGTTTGGGCTGAATCATTTTATCAAACTCTAAATTTTTATCATCAAATGTGGAAGGCCTAAATCACCATCGCTGTCCTCAATTTTCCAACCTAAAGGTGTTTATTTCCTCTTAGGGGTATAATACGAAGGAAAGTAGTGTCACCAGATCTCTTCTTGGTGTTTTTGTATTGGTGCCTGGGGTTTGGGTAGAGGAAGCAGCAGCAGCAGCTGAGACTAGAACTGCAGCTGAGGCCACTTGGTAAAGAACTTTTTTCCAGGCTAAGGACTTTTGTTTTGTTTGTTTGTTTGTTTGTTTGTTTGTTGTTTGTTTTTTGAGACAGAGTCTCCTTGCTCTGTCTCCCAGGCTGGAGTACAGTGGCGCAGTCTTGGCTCACTGCAGCCTCTGCCTCCCAGGTTCAAGTGATTCTCCTGCCTCAGCCTTGCGAGTAGCTGGGATTACAGGCACCTGCCACCACACCCGCCTAATTTTTGTAATTTTTGGTAAAGGAGTTTCACCATGTTGGCCAGGCTGGTCTCAAACTCCTGACCTCAGGTGATCCGCCCGCCTTGGCCTCCCAAAGTGCTGGGATTACAGGCGTGAGCCACTGTGCTAGGCCCAACTAAGGAGTTTTTATGTCATCCTCTATGTGGCAGGGAGCCAATAAAGGCAGGAGAGTGATACGATGATGTTTGAGTTCAAGAACAGTCCCTCTGCATCGAATGGCTTCAAAGACACGGACGTGGGCAGTGACAAGGTCAGGAGGCCTTAGTCCAGGTCCAGGCCCAACATGATGAGTTAGCCAGAGCCGGGGGGCCAGAGGCAAAGGGGTGGAGATAGGAGACAAGTATGTATCTTGCCTTCCTTCTAGGCATTGTGGGTTTACACAACTGAATCAGATGCGCATTCTCCTCTGGGAATTTCATCTATGGAGGCAGTGTAGTGCTTCAGTTTCCCTGGCTGAATGTGGCATTACGCAGAACCCTCTATCTGTCTGCCGCACATTTTCCTCTTGGTCGTACCTTGTTGCTTTCCACAGCCTTCCTTTGCTCTCCTGTATTCACATCTTGCATCAGCCAAAAGGGAAAGGTCTGAAAGACCAGCTTTGTTTTTCTCCCAGCTTGTACTCTGGACCCTGTTAGCCAACAGTATTGGCACTGCCTCACAGCGATGGTCAGTCCCAAATTAAACAGCCTCGTTATGACACCCTACAGCCAGGCTGCAGCTCTGGACTTGTGCTTCTGCACGTTTCCTTCCAGTTGCTTTCGTCCAGCGTCTCGGTCCCATTGAGTAAGGGAGTGTGTGCAGAGTATGTCCCGAGGTTTTCTCCTCAGTCAAGCAGACTACATTTCGCCAGGTGTAAAATCGGTAGTTTCGAATTCACCCCTTTTCATGGCCTTGAGGAGATGCTTGTCTCCTTGTCCCAAGGGAATATTGGTGCATAAATCATTTCCCGTCCTAGGCATGTTCATTCCAGAAACCTTTCAGAACAGAGTGTGGAGTCTTCATAAAAGGAATTTGTCATGAGCGCAGGGGTTTTTTTTTATTTTTTATTTTTTAAAGGGGAAGGCAATAGAGGTATTCATTATCTGCTACAGAGTGAAAAGGGCCCTGCTTTATGTTAAATTGGACTTCATGGAAAGATATTGGTAATTTCTCCTATGTTCTTTGTGCTCCTGAAATCAGAGTGGGAGAGAACTTTGATTTCAAAATTATTTTCACCACCCTGGATCACAGAGAAACACACTTTTGGCTGCCTTTAAACACATTAAACATCTGGTCAGCCCAGAGACCACCCGGGAGCCCTGTAGACCCCAAGTAACTGAGTGGCTGAGGGTAAGCCAGCTTCTCTAGACACACCCTGACTTCCACCCCAAGTCTTGTTGAAATACAGGCCTGACGGCTGTCCCAGGAAGTCAGTTGGCTTGTCAGACTGCCAGTGTGGTTGAACGGTGAGGTGGCTAGAATTCTCTGGGAGGCATTTTTGGCCCATCTGCCTGGTAGCATGACAGATGTGTTAGTCCAGACAACTGGGTCATCGAATGAATTGAAATTCAATTTACACATAGGGATTAAGTATCTCAGTATTACCCTTGCCACATCAAACTTCATTGACAGAGCCAAGAGGAAAATGAAAGTCATTCAATGTTAAGAAAAGGGAAACAAGATTCTAACATGGAAAGGGAATATTTTGCTTACTTTTAAGACTGTAGGTTACTTAAATAGATGCAATGCAAGCTATAGGAGGTTTGGGGCAGATGGTCTCCTAGGCTTAAAATGGAGAGATTTTAAACTACGAGGATCCTGGAGGTCTTGTGACATGTAACTCTGAAACCTCAGTCCAAGGCCAATTTGGTTTAAGTAATCTCAGTCAAATATTTATTTTGTGGCCATGCATTTTGAGAGGGACAGAGAACACAGGTCATTCAAAACATGCCTTCAATGAGTTGTACTCTGCTGAGGGGCAAGAAAAATGCACATGAAACAATGAAAAGTAACAGTGAGGGTTTATGTCTTAAACTGTTCATATGCTACAAAATCCTAAAATAGTACTTTATAATTAGGAGGTGTATAAGGAGTGGAGAAGTCACAGCCTGTTTCATAGTAGCCAGGATTTGAGAGAAGAAACCAGGAGGTCCTCCAGGGGAAGTAAATGGGACAAAGTTTAAGACAAGCAGGACGGAGAATGGCTTTTTCATGGGAGCACGAATGGTGGTTCAACCCAAGCGGTGTTTACTGAGCATCTACTATATGCCAGGCACTGTGACTGGGGGAGGGAAGCCTTGCCTTTAAAGGAGCTGAGAGCCTAAGAGGAGGCAGTTGATGATAGAGCTGTAGAACACAGGGCTCCTGACACAGTTCACAAGCTTTGGGAATTACAATCTGGAATGGTGATAGCCTTGGAAACCAGTGAAACAGGGTGGCGTCAGATTGCAGAGTTAAGCTCTGACCATTCTACTAGAAAAGTTGCAGCACACTCTTGGCTCAGGGTGGTCCAGGCCACTGGAACACCAGTCCCTAAGGTTTCAGTTCTCAGAATCCACCAGTGTGATAGCTCAAACAAAATAGATTCCCATGCTTTGCTTTCAGTTGGCACTGAGGCCTGGTGGAGAATGTGGGCTCAGGTTTAAAGTGCTTTAGCCTTGCTAGCCAGCTGCTGAAACCTGAGAAAATAAAGTGGTACTGTTACAGAGGGTTGGACCTGTCCTCTTAGGAAGGTTCCAATCACAGCGACTGCTGGAAGAGAAAATTTTATTTTAAGATTAAATCTAATGAAAGCCAGTGTAGTAAGGGAAACATTATTTTATAATTTCTGTTAAGAGCAAACATTCTATATGATTTTTAAAAATAGAGCAATAATGAGTGTTGCCTGTTTCCAAACAAGCGTTGTTTAAAAGCTGCCTGTCTGCTTTATTATTTTTTTCCTGGGCTTTTGCGAGATAATGGTAGTAAAATATCAATTTACTAAAACCATTTTTTAAAGTCTTATACCTCTACTCTGTCTCCAGTTCATGCAAGTTCTTCTTTTGGCAGGATTAGGTTGAATTTTAATACTAAACTCTTACTGAAGAGTTAAGAAGCTGTGGAACTGGTATACTTAGTGACTGATCCCTCTCCATATTAAGCGTGTGATTTGCTATTACCAGTTGCCAGTAATAGAAAAAGAATGTGCTCGTGTGGGTTTATCTGTATTTGTCATTAAGGCTTTGCTAAGCCAATGAGCCCTAGAAGCAGGCGTGCAGTGGGCTTTCTCCCTGTCAGGTGAGCCTCACGGGCGCTGCTCCTCTCCGGGCACTGTGGCTGGCCTCAGCACAGGTCTGGGCTGGGGTAGAAAGGCCTGCATGGCCTGAGGACCCAGGTGACTGGGGATCTCTCATCTGTAGCGGTAAAGTTCTGAGTATTGCCAGGCCTGCAAGCACTGGTAGGATTTGATGGATCCCTGGGTGATTATTTAGCCTAAGCTAAGCCGTAATACCTTTGCATACATCCCCAAGAAAGTCCTAAGTGTTTTGTTCCCTTTCCAGTAAGGGAGTGACAAAGAGAATGCCCAAGATGGCTTATAACTAGCATTGGGATGGCTGAAAGTCAGGTAAGTTTAGTGGAATGCAACAAAATAAGCCCAAGATAGGAGTTTAGATCTCCGAAATGTTTTCATTCTACTGGTTTAAGCTGTGTAGGCTTCCCTTGCAGGTTATTAGTCCGTGCTCACCTCTCAAATTGCTGTTAAGTTGTCAGGGTGCCTGAGGAAGACTGTGGCCAGAGATGTGGATTCAGACTACTGTGGGAGTGGGAGGGGTAGTCACTGCAGTATGTACCTGAACAATCAGATATACAAGTGTGTTTCTTAATCTCTCAACATCCTGACTCCCTTGTCTTTCCTTTCTCAGAGAGCAGAGCTGACATCTGATAAAGACATGTACCTTGACAACAGCTCCATTGAAGAAGCTTCAGGAGTGTATCCTATTGATGACGATGACTACGCTTCTGCGTCTGGCTCGGGTAAGGTGGCTGCTTCTAAACACTGGACCTCATTCTCCAGGCATGCACGCACACACATTTTACTGTGCTTACTTCAAGGAGACAGGCAGGATGCACAGTGGTTAAGGGCACCGTCTTTGGAATCAAAGGGCCTGGGTGCTAATTCTAGCTCTCTCTGCCACTTACGCTGTGAGATCTTGAGAATTTATTTGCTGAGCCTCAGTTTCCTCCTTTATAAAATGGAAAGTAACAATAGTCCTTACCATAGAGTTGTTGTGAGGATTAAAAGGGAGTTGACACATCTAAAGCTCTTAGATTTGGGGGCTTGGCACATAGTGCTCTGTCAACATTAGCTTTTAATCGTATTAAGACTTTCAGAGTGATGTCATGGAAACCACCCTTCAAGAAATCCCTCAAACACTGGTTTCATAAAACCACCTACCCTATGTTAAAAATTGTAGATGAGACCAAGAAGTTAATACGTTTTTATTCCTAGGGTATTGTAGGAGGAAAATGCAGCAGCCAAGTAAAATGATTATGTAGTGACATGATCAGATTCCTTAGTATATTATTCCTTAATAGTTATCTGTTACCACTCTAAGGCTACATAATAAACCACCCCAAAACTTGGTGGCTTAAAGTAACAGTCATTCATTTAACTTATTATTCTGTAGGTTGGTGATGTAGGCTGGGCTGGCTGGGCTCCCTCACATGTCAGTGGTCAGCTGCCGGTTGAGTGTACAGCTTTAGGTTGGGTTTGCAGCTTTCGGGTACTCATATCCCTGGGGCAGCTGAGCAGACTTGGGTTCTGTTCGTGTGGTCTCTCATTCTCCAGTAGGCAAGCTATTTTTTCACAGTAACAGCAAGTAGAAGTGTGCAAAGCCTCTTGCAGCCAGGCCTTAGAACTGGGCACAGCATCACTTTTACTACATTTTACTGGTTGAAGCAAGTCAGAAGGCCAGAACAGACTCCACCTCTTAGTGAAAGGATTCATAAAGTCACATTTACAGAGGATATGTATACACGGAGGATTAAGGGATTCTGGTCACATTTACAATCTACCATAATTGATGAATATTTCCCCTGTTCTCAGAATGGCCCCTGTATGAGTTCATTCTCACCCTGCTAACAACACAGGGACTGGGTAATTTATAAAAGAAAAGAGGTTTAGTTGACTCACAGTTCAGCATGCCTGGGGAGGTCTCAGGAAACTTACAGTCATGGCAGAAGGGGAAACAAACATGTACTTCTTCACATGGTGGCAGCAGGGAGAAGTATGAGTGAAGAGGGGATAAGCCCCTTATGAAACCATCAGATCTCATGAGAACTCACTGTCATGAGAACAGCATGAGGGTAACTACTCCCATGAGTCAGTGATCTCCCACCAGCTCCCTCCCATGACATGTGGGGATTATGGGAACTACAATTTAAGATGAGATTTGGGTGGGGACACAGCCAAACCATATCAACCCCCAAGAAGCTCAAAAAAGGGAAGAGCTTTCCACATACTTAATTAATAGTCAAGTGAGAAATTTGTGGTCAGCAGCATGGTAGGCAAGACTTATCCAGACCTTTTTTGCTTTAGGGTTTTTATAACAGATTCAACAGATTGTTAGATATCTATGTTCGGTATAACTTTTGTGATCAGATTGAGCTGGGCTTCAGAATGACCCAGAACAGATTAAAATCAGTTGTGTCTTTGGTAGAAATCTAGCCATGTAAGAGTGAATGTTTTAAGTTGAAAAGCAGAAAGTCTGAGAAAGACAAGAGAGGTGGTTGCTGACCTAGTAACAATGAGCTTACAATGCAGTCCTAATGTAAAAATAACTCTAGTTATTCTTGGGAGAGTGATATATATCACACACACAAAATGGGTGTGAAAAGAGTTGTTCTTATTGCCCACAACTCTATAAATATCTTTCACTCATGGCACCTCTTTTTTTTTTTTAGCACCTTAAGAGTTCTTTGTAACTGTCATCTTCAATATGTCCCAGGAAATAATAACTATGGACATTTTTTGTTCCTACTTCGCAGATCTTAGAATCCAAGAGTTGTTAGTGGGGTGTACAGGTTGGCGAAGTCATTTTGCTGATTTGCTAAGGTTGACCTTAAGTCTAGTTTAAAGAAACCAGTATGCTTAAAGTAAGTTTTCTTTAAATTAAACTTAAGGACAGTCTTAGCAAATCAACACAATGACTTTGCCAACCTCTACAGACCCCCTGCCCCCATCCAGGTAAAAGAGAGTTAGGGAGGGTCATTTGAAGTCCTGAACCCACTGATCAGATAGATCAAGCTGAGGGTTAAACCTGGGCCCACACTGCTGGTGCCATGGCCCTAGCCTTAGGCAGATCACTGCTGTGAAGAAGTGAAAGAGCTTCGTTCTTGACTTTGGAAACCACCTTACACTGAGCTGGGAGTGTTGTTTTTCAGCATGAAGCAGCAGTACTTGTAACTAAAATTTGTGAAGCTTTTAACTGTGTCAGAAACTACTCTAACCCCTATAACATCTCTGAAACGATAGATTCTGTTAGTATTTCGATGATTCCCACGAGAAAACCTGAGGCACAGAGAGATTCACTTGCCTCAGGTCACACTATTAGAAGGTAATAGAACTGGGATAGTGAGAAAGTGAGGGAGTTGGGCGTGAGAGTGTGTTTTCTTTCATTCCTTTGCTGTGCTGCCTCCTTGTGTCATAAACCCCTTCTAGAATTACCCAGTTCCAGCTTAAAAACACCCCAGGGTTTGGCCAGTGTACCAGTTGTCCCTTCTTTCATCCAGCTATCCAGTAGAAAAGCAAATGGATTGGAAAAAATGGCTGAAGGCCCAGAGGGGACTTCCTGGGCAAGGAGATAGGACTATGTTCTATATGTGGGCTCAAGTATGGGCATAAGCAAACATGAAACCCTTCATAAGCATTTGCTGTGTGCCACACACTGTGCCATGCTCTTGGGGCACAGAGATAAGAAAGACTTGGTCTCTGTCTGTAGGGGACCAAGAGTCTAATGAAAGAAATACAAACATGAGAAATAATCATTGTGATACCCGGTGAGGGGTGACATAATATAGGAAAGGGCTGTATAACAAAAATGTAAGAGGTAAAATATAGACCTTTGGTTAAAGATGGCAGATCGAACACTACTACCTTTCAGTGTGCAACTAAATTGACGATAAAAGAATTGGGCATGAACTCATAAGGACAAACGAAACAGTAAAGGAAACAAAAGCCATGAAGTTTTGAAAGCTGGGAAGAAGATGAGCTAGTGGGGACAGACTTGGCAGGCTTCAGAAGGCCGAGTTAGTTCGCAGTGGGGAGAGCCAAAAAGCAACCCAGTTAACACAGCAGAATCTCTTGGGACCTAGGAATTGGTGGCATTCAGTGGAGGGTGAGAGTGATGTTAAACTCAGGATGATTGGCTGGAAGTCTGTTTAAGAAATAGATCCCCTGGTTCCTTTCCTCTGTCATGTAGCAAAGGGGCTCATGTTCCCTGCCCTCAGAGGGAAACCTGGAGATTTATTATCTGGAGAGGGTAAAACAGAACCCGGGGGTATTTCAGGAACAGATGGGGCTGGGGGTACCTTATGTAAGACAGAGAAAATAAGTTCTTAGATTAAGAATAATTTAATATGGTGTGATCCCAAGTTGTCTTGTCTTCTCCCAGTCAGTTCCCAGAACACTGGCAGTCTGTCCATTTACCCTCTGGGTAGGGGACTGGGAGGCTCCCCTCTGGGAAGCTGGACCAATTCAAAGAGAGTGGCATGGGAGCTCTCCAGTGAAACGTACAGCTCTGTATTACAAAGAATAAAACTTCAATGAGAAATGAAAAATTTCAGTCGAGGGGATGTTGCCTACATTTGACACACCTCTCCTGTGTGCTCAAAGCTTCTAGTCCTCTTTTCGGTGTTTCCCTCTTCAATATAAACAGGCAACCAAGGCTCCCCAGATATTTAGGAAAAACTTGTAACATGAGAGAAAGAGAAACCCCCAAATTGGGAGAGGACAGCCACTTACAGGAAGAAAAAAATTCACAGAAAAACATAGTAAATTCAGAGAGAAAAGCAGATGCTCGAACAATGGCACAAAAACAGGATACTATAAAACAGGAATGTTCTGAGACATAAGAGTTCTTAAGAGTGTGGGACTGTCGTGTCAAAAATGAAAAGCTCATTTGGAAGGTGAGAAGACACAGAGGATATTCATTCATTGAGGAAGTATTTCTTAATCACTTAGTACATGGGAGAACAGGCACCATTCTAGGTTCTAGGGACACTTCAGTAAATAAAATCTAACAATGTTTTCTCTGGCGATAGGCTAATTGTATTTATTCCTTCTGTGTTTCCAAATTCATACATGCAAATGTATTTTAAAAAGTATTATTTTTATAAGTTGTCTAAGTCCATTCAGGTTGCTATAGCAAAATACTTTAGACTGGGTAATTTATAAATTTATTGGTCTCAGTTCTGGAGGCTGGGAAGTCAAAGATCAAGGCACAGCAGATTTGGTGTCTGGTGAGGGCTTTCTGACTACTTTTTAGATGGTGCCTTCCTGCTGCATCCTCACATGGCAAAGGGGACAAACAGTGTCCCTCAAGCCTCTTTCCGAAGGGCACTAATTCCATTCCATGAGGGCCCTGCCCCCATGACCTGCTCATCTCCTGAAGTCCCTCTTCTTAATACTATTGCATTGGAGATTAGGTTTTAACACATGGATTTTGGGGAGACACATTCATACCATAAGTAAAAGAAAATGTTATTTTTAAAAAAGAAAATAAGGCTGGGTGTGGTGGGTTACGCCTGTAATCCCAGCAGTTTGGGAGGCTGAGGTAGGTGGATCACTCGAGGTCAGGAGTTCGAGAACAGCCTGACATGGCGAAACCCCATCTCTAATAAAAATACAAAAATCAGCCAGGCGTGGTGGCGCATGCCTGTAATCCCAGCTACTTGGGAGGCTGAGTCAGGAGAATCGCTTGAACTCGGGAGGCGGAGGTTGCAGTGAGCTGTGATTGCACTATTGCACTCCAGTCTGGGTGACGAGCAAAATTCCATCTCAAAATAAATAAATAAATAACAAAAAAAAATAAGAGAATGAGCATGGGAACATAGAGACAGAACCGGTGCCCTGGTGGAGAGATCAAGGAAGGCTTCAGAGAGGGGGTGATATTGATGCTGTACTTGATAGTGAGAGCAGGAGTTTCCCAGAGGGAAACAGGCCTTGGAGTAGTCTATTTCAGACAGGGAGAACAGTAGGACCTGAAGGAGGAGATATTCAGTGGGGCTTCGAGATTTCTGGTTTGAGCAAAAGAGTTAATGTTTTTAATAAAGATATTAAAAGCAGCAGAGCCATCTGAGACAGATTGCCCATCTGTCTCTATCTTTTTTTTTTTTTTTTTTTGAGACAGAGCCTCACTCTGTTGCCCAGGCTGGAGTGCAGTGGTGGTATCCCAGCTCACTGCAACCTCCTCCTCCCAGGTTCAAGTGATTCTCCTGCTTGAGCCTCCCAAGTAGCTGGGACTACAGGCGCCCACCACCACACCTGGCTAATTCTTTTTATTTTTAGTAGGGATGGGGTTTCACCATGTTAGCCAAGATGGTCTTGATCTCCTGACCTCGTGACCCACCGGCCTCGGCCTCCCAAAGTGCTAGGATTGCAGGCGCGAGCTACTGTGCTTGGCCCTGTCTTTAACTTTAAAAGTGCCAGCTTAAGGGGGATTTTCTACGTTACAAATCTCTTCCCTCATACAGATTCATCCCACTTCTAGGTTGATGACTCATATTGGTAACTCTTGTGAAACAAGAGGGTCTTTAAAAGCCCTAGACTGAAATTTTTCATTTCTCATTGAAGTTTTATTCTTTGTAAGAAAATGATTCATTGTAGGAACAAATTAAGCATATTATATGTAAAATGTTGATAGATAATTAGGTCACCTGATAAAACAGCATTATATTTCTGGACCCATCATTATTAATGACCTATATTTACGTAACAGTTTATATAGAATGCTTTAAATATGTATCATGTCTGTTAGATATGTATCTGTGATATATATGTACCTTCGTGGGTTAGTTATTATTAGCCCCATTTTACAAATGAAGAAACCAAGACTCAAGTATTACTTGCCTAAGAGTACAGAGCTAATAAATGCCAGAACCAGTACTAGGTTTGTTTGCTTTCTTAATACCAAACCCTGTATTTATTCCAACATGCCCTGCCATTTCTTCTGTATAATAATGAATATATATGTTTTGAAATTAAAGGAGACAGTTGATAAATTAAGAAATGAACCGGCCAGGAGCCGGGCACAGTGCCTCATACCTATAATCTCAACACTTTGGGAGACCCAGGCAGGAGGATCCCTTGAGCTCAGGAGCTCGAGACCAACCTGGCAACATAGTTGAGACCCCGTCTCAACAACAAAAAATAATAATAATTTTTTTTTTAATATTAGCTGGGCACAGTGGCACATATATTTAGTTCCAGCTACTCAGGAGGCTGAGGTGAGAGGATTGCTTGAGCCCGCAAGTTTGAAGCTACAGTGAGCCATGATCGCACCCCTGCACTCTGGCCTGGGTGACAGAGCAAGAAAAGAAAAAGAAAGAAGTGAACCATGGCCATTGCACATGTTTCCAGCATGTGTTGCTTTCCCACCTGCTTATTACATTGATGCGATTCTGTGGAAAATACCCATTTTCTTTTGTTTGAGGAATTTAGAGGTATTTATCAATGTGTTGTCCGAGGAAGCCTGGTTAGTTTGAGTTACAGAGTTGGAGTTTGTTTGAGTTGTTACAAATTTGACAAATGATCAACTTAAAAGGAATGTTGTATTTGAATGTCAGAAATTCTCAAATGCTATTCTAGTGAAAAGGCAACAACAACAAACAAAAATCATGCTCAGGTAGAAAGTCACTTGTTGAACAAATACCAGATCAGAGCCTGTTATGTCTTAGACACTATGTTAGGCACTCAGGGGCCTATTAGGAAGAAGGCAGGTACAGTGTTTCATGGAAAGGTCACAGTGGCTTGGATTGGAGTGGTGGCCCTGGAACTGTAGAACGGTGTTAAGAGTGGAGGGATAATAAGAAGATAAGATTGATAGGACTGGATAATGGATTCAAAAACAAGGTAAGGAAGAGGAAGTCAGAGTTCTGGTGTGTAGGAACAGAGGGCTTCAGTCACTGCAAGGTCACAGGAGGAGAAGACAAAGGGACCATGAGTTCTGGTTTGGACATGTTCAGAGGTGTGTTGTACCTTTGAGTCATTCAAGTGAAAATGCCAGGAAGGCCACTGGATATGTGACTTTGAGAGGGGTGGTAAAAGCCGATGATGTAAATTTAGGTATCATCTGTGCTTAACTCATCATTTATTGACATTGTGGACATGGATGAGGGAGAAAGTGTAGAGGAAGAAGAGGCCTAGGGACAGACCTTCAGATACTCTTTGATATTTGATGTTGAGGTAGAGGAGGATAAACCAGCAAAGGAAACTTAGAATAGCCAGAGAGGTGAGGGGGAAGCCAGGAACTCTTAGGAACCCAAAGAAATAGGGTTTGTCCGGAAGCAGATGGCACTTGACAGTGTGCAGTGGTGCTAGGAAGTTCTTCTACTAGAGGAAGGCGATTCTGAAGAGTGCCATTGGGTGCTGTGGATACTGGTGACCTTAACAAAACAGTATTAATAGTGATGACAGGGAAAATGCTCCTGGAGGGAGTAGAATGCAGAGTGGAGAAGATGATGAGGACAAGACCTAGTGAGTATCCACCCCCACTGGAAAAATCTGCCTGTAAAACCAGGAGAGGGCCAGGCACGGTGGCTCACGCCTGTAATCCCAGAACTTTGGGAGGCTGAAGCAGGTGGATCACAAGGTCAAGAGATCCAGACCATCCTGGCCAACATGGTGAAACCCCATCTCTACTAAAAATACAAAAAATTAGCTGGGTGTCGTAGCATGCGCCTGTAGTCCCAGCTACTCGGGAGGCTGAGGCAGGAGAATCACTTCAACCTGGAAGGCAGAGGTTGCAGTGAGCCCAGATTGTGCCATTGCACTCCAGCCTGGTGACAGGGCAAGACTCCATCTCCAAAAAAAAAAAAAAAAAAAGAAACAAAACAAAAACCCGGGAGAGAGGGCAAGGAACTCACATGAAATAAGGAGTCAGCCATAGGAGAGTTTTCCTGTTTGCATTTTGTTTTGTTGTGGGTTTTTTTAATTTTTATTTTTGGCAGAGTCTCACCCTGCCACCCAGGCTGGAATGCAATGGTGTGACCTCTGCTCACTGCAACCTCCACCTCCAGGTTCAAGTGATTCTCCTGCCTCAGCCTCCCGAGTAGCTGGGATTACAGGCGTGCGCCGCCACGCCCAGCTAAATTTTTGAATTTTTAGTAGAGATGAGGTTTCACCATATAGGCCAGGCTGGTCTCGATCTCCTGACCTCGTGATCCGCTCTCCTCGGCCTCCCAAAGTGCTGAAATTACAGGCGTGAGCCCCTGCACCTGGACTGTTGTGTTCTTAAAATGGAAATGGAGCACGTTTCAGTGTAGATGGGAAAAAATCTTGTCAAGCAGGGAGAAAAGGAACATGCAAGTGAAAGAAGGGCTACTTGAATGTTCAGGATAATACTATTAAGGAAAAACTTGCTAGACTACCCACAGACACCTTTGAAATCACTTCTTCATCATGGTGAAGACCACAGGAAGCTTTGTGCTGAAGTCTTAAAGAGCCAGCATTTTGAAAGAACATGATTCTGTCAGTGTCAACGTCAGGCAATAGTGCCTGATAATGGAGACATCTGTGTCATGATTGCCATGCTCAGTTCATCTTCACTTACTTTTCCAGGAGCTGATGAGGATGTAGAGAGTCCAGAGCTGACAACATCTCGACCACTTCCAAAGATACTGTTGACTAGTGCTGCTCCAAAAGTGGAAACCACGACGCTGAATATACAGAACAAGATACCTGCTCAGACAAAGGTGCGTTCTATTTTCCATTGCATTGCATTATCAGGTTATTACAAATGCTTCACTTTACTGACTGTACACAACAGTCCCTTTTGTATTATTTTCTTCTTTTTGGAGCTACCCATCATGAACTATGTACACAACAGTTCTTTTAAAAGACCCCACTTAAAATTGTGTAAGGACAAATGGTCTTCAGGTGGTGTTATAAATGGCTCTTCCTTACTCTTTTTGATCATTTTGGCATTTACCCACTTATAATCTCTGTCATCCAGGCTCAAATTATATACAACTATTTTTCACATGGCCCTCCTTCTTAAGGAACGTCTGAAGCCCAGTTAAGAAGTAAAGCCCTGTTTCTTTGGTTTCCTGGTTTGTAGGTTACGTAATTAGAAGACTCCAGGTCACGTCTTGAGGTGGTCCTAGTCTCACTAAGTCATTTCTCAGTCTTCCTAGGCCGACCATCAGTACTATGTAATCCTTGACCTCTCTCGATGATGATGAACCTGGGTACATCTGTATATATTCATTTTGAGAGCTGACTTATTAAGAATAAGGTCTTTGGCCTTAGACCTGAGTAAAGTGACCAGCTAATGAAAACTTGGAGCTTGTGATTTTGACCTCGTTAATATTGCAGTTAGCTGACCATCCACTAATAGGTAACCCACTGAAGTTAGAACATGCATATTAAAGTCTGGCAAAGACCTAAGTTTCAAATCCTGGATCCAGTCAGGTTTCTTAGCTTCTGAACCCATTTCCTATGGGCCTTGAAGAAGATGAAATGTGAGTGCATGTAGCATGGCACCTGAGACCTAGTCACCATTCTGTAAGCATTAATTGAATTGGTGGAGCAGAAGAGACCAAGCCAATTCACCAAATGAGCATGTGTAATAACTGTAGTGGTAGACTTTGCAATCAGTGCAGGGGTAACATATGGCTTAAGAAAACTCAGAAGCACAAGCATCCCCTTTTAGAGCTCACCCATCTGTTGATTAGAAATGAGATGCTGCCAAGCTTTAGCAGCAGACAGGGTATGGATATGGAAGGCTGTTTGATGAAGGTGGCGACAGGCCTTCCTTGGAGTAAGAATCATCCCGTCTTCAGGCCAGAATGCATGTGGGCTTTTCTTACCCTTGCCCCAGAGTACCTTTGTTCTTCCTCCTCCTCCATCCTCCCAGTGCCTGTGACTGGAATGGTGAATGGCACCGCTGGATGGGTTTCTGCAGATGTGGAACAGCCAGGAAGCCAGCCCTGTCCAAATTGAAGTGCTTTCTGTAGGACCAAGAAGGGTCAATTACTATTAGTGGTAGACTTCACAAGCCAGGCGGTAGGAAGGCAGGGAGAGCCCTATGAGAACTGAGACCGACTCACCTGGCATGTGCTGGATCCATGCATAAAAGCTACTGTATCAATGTTTCAGTTGAGTGAATGAAACAAAAAAAGAAAGGGAGAAATGAAAAGTGCAGGTGCAATTGGTGGTACGATGACTGCCTCAGAGTGTGTGTGGCACAATTAGCTACTATTTACTAAAGATGCATTTGGCTCTTACCACATTTTTATTTGACCACTTCTCTTGACTAAATCTGCTGAAGTCAGAGACAATTAGGACTCACTAGCTTGAGGGAAGCAACTCTCCTGGGTGAGTTTTGGCTTGTAGTGATAGAGAGTTCTATCCTAAGCAAGACTTAATTTGACATAGAGTTCTGTCTGGTTTGTTAACAGCAATGGATTGACCACTAATTTAAGTTTTTAAAAATTGGTTTTAAGGAAGTAATTGCATCAGATCGAGATAAAAAATGTAGAACTTTGGCAGGTGAATTTAAAAATTAAGGAGCCCAAAAGATTTTAATACATTTATATTCTTACTATCATTTGTGTTCAATATAGTAATAGTAGAAATTCATCCATTTATAGGAGATTTGTTGAGTGCTATTCATTATGTGTCGAACACTGTTTGCAGCACTGATAATGATAATATTGATCATGAATAACATGAATAATAATGATTAAATTTTTCATTTTGCTGTTTATGTGGTACAGCCGAATTGAACATTGCCTCTAGGATACCATTAGTGTAGATTTTGCTTTTCAATTGGTCTCACAGTGGCATTAATGTCACTGTTACGGATATCCTATCTAGTTTGTTGTAAATTTAAGTGACTAAAATGCACAAAAGGGAATCTCGTTATTTGTTTGAGAAGAGCATCACTCATAAGCTTTTACTTCTGTTGCATTTCCATGGCATCCAAACAACCAGACATGGATGTGGCAGATCTTTACTTGGCCTCATTTAATCATCCCTGCTGTCTTTTTGCGGATTCATTTTGCACATACATTCATACAAGAGTGAAGGTATTTCAGATTAGTTCCATATTACCAAATGGTATCTTCTTAGTCAAGCCTTTGCTTCCATACGATAAAACATTTTGACTTAAAAAATGAATTTTCCACCCAGAGCCGCTTGAGGCTTGTGCACCTCCAGCTGCAGGGCGGCTCCAGTTCTGTGGAGTCCTTCAGTTCCCACACTCTCAGATCCCTGGATTGCACGCTTTGTTCAGCCTGCCGGATCAGAGGCTGAGTCAGAGGAAACTGAAAAGATCAACTCTCTTAAATGACTTTAGGGACTCAATCACATGGTGAAACCATATGATTTGTAATAATAATGGGACAAAGATGATATGGATATGGATGAATTAAACTCAGTCTCTCATATTACAGTAACTACTTAGGTCCATTTCATTTCTCACCAGAACTTGTTTACCTCTCTCCCTAGTCACAAACCTGAGTATTCACCTATTTGAGATTTCTCTTCCCTTTTCTAACTTGTAATAGTAAAGCAGTACTAATGAGCAGTGAAAAGGTCTCTAGACTAGAACCCAGATAATCCATTCTCTGACCTGTTGTCTGTCTTTCCACAAGGCAGCCAATTAATGATGGGCTTTTCATGAGAAGAATAGAAAAATCTCAGCAAAAATACTGCCAATGAGCTGCTCTCTTCTGCTTTACTTTGGTACCTGAAGGCCTGGGAAGGCCTGTCGTATTTCCTTCTCTCATAGTAATAGAAAGGACGGTGACATTTTCAGTGCATATTGTGCACCAGTGAAATGAAATTTCTCTATGGCCTCTGCTTTTTGTAAGTCATGGCAGGTTGAAGTTTAGGTAGTACAGGGTTTCTTGCAATTTGGGAATGACAGTTACTCTTTATTATACTTTATTACATACCACCTTCAGTAGAAGTGTAGCGTTCTGCTCACTGAGACAGGGACCTATTGATCTTACATACCCTAGAGTACAAATGGATCCACCTGGTCTAGCTTATGGTCCTTCCTAGCAATGAGGGTGGCCTTAAGGTGCAGAAAAGAAGTATGATGTGGTCAGGGTCCCACAGGAGCTACTTGCACAGCCCAAGAAGGTGTGAGGTCTTTTCTTCTTACACTCTTTAAGCCTCTAGACTTAACTAGCAGGCCGCCATTTTGGATGAACTCTAGCCTTCAGAAAGCAATCATTTGCTTTGCTGAGCCATGGTATGTTAGACTCTGTGGAGTCCTAATGAAGATGGTAGGAAGCTCTCAGGAACTTAGGAAGAGTAGTAGAGCTGAGAAGGATTATTGTCTGCAGTATTTTTTTTGAGACAGGGTCTCACTCTGTTACCCAGGCTAGAATGCAGTGGCACAATTATAGCTCACCGCAGCCTCCAACTCCTGGGATCAAGAGATCCTCCACAGGTACACAGCACCATGCCTGGCTAATTTTAAAAATTTTTTTGTAGAGACAAGGTCTCAGTATGTTGCCCAGGTTGGTCTCGAATGATCCTCTCACCTTGGGCTCCCTACCCAGCCACCTTTAGCCTTTAAACCTCAATGAAGTTGACAGTGTTTTCATCAGTGATGCTGGCCGACAAGAACTTCAGACTGTTAGAGAATGAACAACTCCTTTGAATGGGACTTCTCTAATCCACTGGTTCTTAAACTATGGAATTGTCTGGAGAACTTAAATAGCAGTAAAAGTCAGTGCCAGCTACATAGTGCCCTGTATAGCTCAGAAGTGAAGGAGTAAGGAGAACTGGGGCAGTGCTGTTGGGTTGGAGCAGTCAGAGGGAGATGGTGACCTGAAGTCAGACCAATTGAAATGGAACCTCTAGTAGTAGGACTGTATTTTTTTTAATGCCTTTCAGGTGATGTGGATCAGCGTAACCTTGGGTGATTCACATAAGATGGCCAGTGATGGTGCTGAGAGTTAGAAAGGCAAGAGATAATTTCTGTGTAAATAATCCTGGGGGTTTAGTGAGGTAAAAGGTCAGAGAAGGCTTCATTAAGGACAAACAGATAGTAAAAGAAGTGCAACATTTGGACTGGGGATAGAACTGCATGAACTAGAGCAGAGTTCCCCACCCGCTTCTGGGGCCACGGACCAGTAGCGGTGGCCTGTTAGGAACCAGGCTGCACAGCAGGAAGTGAGTGAGCATTACCACCTGAGCTCCGCCTCCTGTCAGATCAGTGGAGGCGTGCCATTCCCATAGGATCTAGGAGCGCAAACGCGATTGTGAACTGTGCCTGTTGTGCTCCTTATGAGAGTCTGAGGTGGAATAGTTTCATCCCCCTCCATCCCCCCCACCCTCCCATTCATGGAAAGATTGGGGACCGCTAAACTACAGCACAGATACTAAGAACCATTTTTGATAATGAAGAGGTGGTGGAAATGACCTCACAGGGTTTTCTACTGGGAGTAAGTGGTGGGTTGGGTGAGGACTGGAAGCTACCCAACACCTGCAGTTCTGAGGTCGATGCGGGATGGGAGCTGGGCTGTGATGTGCTGGCCACCTGAACGAAGCTGTGGAAATGAGAACCCAAGGGAAGAAGTTAATGTGAGAGCAAGATGGGAGGCAAATTGACAGTGCTGTGACATGGAAAACATATGATAGAAAATGTGCCGTAATAGATAACTTGGTAACACCCCAAAATACAGTGCCATTAATGGGAATAGAAAAGGAGGTTGATCTGATTCAGCAGTGAATTAATTACTACTTAGACTTGACGAGTAGAGTTAAAGGTGGTACAGCCAACAGTTAATGTCCTGCAGGCTGCTGGCTTGTTGGGAATAATGCTGACTAGAGATGCGGCTGTGAGAGGTATTCCCATAGATTTCTGCTTGAGCATTGTGCAGTGTCCGAGACCCAGTGAGTGTCGTTCATTAGACAGGTGAGGAAATCAAGGTGGAGAAAAGAAGTATGATGTGATCAGGGAGGAGCTACTTGCGCAATCCAAGTCCCTGGAAGTCCTGGTCTAGGGTTTGCTGAAGGTAATATAACTAGGGGGAAGCATTAGGAGTAAGGCTTGGGGATTGCTCCCCACAGAGTGGGGACAGGAAAAGCCCAGTCAGGCGTGAGAGAATATCTGAAAGGGAACTGTTGTCCTAGTGCCCTGTGTAGTTCAGAAGTGAAGGAGCAGGGAGAATTGGGGCAGTGCTGTTGGGTTGGAGCAGTCAGAGGGAGATGGTGACCTGCAGTTAGAAGAGTGGTGAGAAAGTAGAAATCTTAGGAAATGTCCACTAAAACAACCTCACCATGTCCTTAGGATTATTATGAACTCACTAGCTCTCCGACTTGCCTGATCATGCGATGGGTGTTGTGCAAACCATGAACTACATGGGTCCATCATGACACTCACCCATTGCTATAAACATCACACAAGTGATTATTCCAGTTATTTCCTAAACTCATTCTTTGGGGGAAAAAAAAATTTTGGAATATACTCATCTATTATTTCTTCTTTCCAACACATTTCCTTAAATCAATGTAATCTTTCCCTGTTTCCCATACCAGTCACCTGAAGAAACTGATAAAGAGAAAGTTCACCTCTCTGACTCAGAAAGGAAAATGGACCCAGCCGAAGAGGATACAAATGTGTATACTGAGAAACACTCAGACAGTCTGTTTAAACGGACAGAAGTCCTAGCAGGTGAGTAGCCTGGTGGGCCTCAGGTGGGAGGGTGCCTACATAGGCCTCTGTTAGTCTAAGTGATATTCAAAAGTGCAGCAAAGCTTGCTGTCATCTTTCTGCTGAAAGCAGTCTTGTGGGTGCTTGATTCCAGAGCGAGAAGCAAGAGGCTCAGCAAACATTGTCTTTATTGTCTGCCAGCTCCCTCAACCTACCTCTTCGCCAGCCATCGGGCAGGGGATAGGAGGTAGCCTAAAAGAGGGAAAGTTAACATCTGAATTGATCCAGAACAACTGGATGTAGAGAGATGGCAGAGTGTGGAGATCCATCAGTCTTGCTCACAGGCATTCTACATTTCAAAATAAAGAGAACGAAAAGTTCTTTAGGGGAAGGCAGTTCATATAAGTACTGCCCAAAGTGTTAAGAACGTTGTTTCTATTTTAACTTAATTGGATGGAAGTGCAAATATTTTAAAGGGGAAAACTTTCAAGATTTAGGCACACTTGGTAGTCTCAAATCCAAGAATAGAAATAAATTTGCATGCTTTTTTTCATGTATACTCTTTAAAATTTTAAGTCAATTATACTATGTTCTCTGTTGAAAAAAAGCAGTTAGAAAATTAGAATATGAAATGTGAGTTCTGAAAAGACAAAAGTAGTTTTCAAGTATGGAATTAGTTAAGATCAAGGCCAGATTTTTCTTATCGAGGTTTTTGGGTGGTATTATTAACACTAACCAAAGAAATTACTGTACCTTCCTGAGGAGTTTCAGATTTGCATAGTTACCAGGTTGCTTCATTGAATCCAGCTTTTTTTTTATTGGGGTTTTCAAATTAAGCCTTTTATAAAAGTGTAAGTAGATTAGGCTTGACAATAAAGCTAATGTCTGCAACCCTTGAATCTCTTCTAAAGTAATCTTCCTTTTGGTTGTTTCAGCTGTCATTGCTGGTGGAGTTATTGGCTTTCTCTTTGCAATTTTTCTTATCCTGCTGTTGGTGTATCGCATGAGAAAGAAGGATGAAGGAAGCTATGACCTTGGAGAACGCAAACCATCCAGTGCTGCTTATCAGAAGGCACCTACTAAGGAGTTTTATGCGTAAAACTCCAACTTAGTGTCTCTATTTATGAGATCACTGAACTTTTCAAAATAAAGCTTTTGCATAGAATAATGAAGATCTTTGTTTTTTGTTTTCATTAAAGAGCCATTCTGGCACTTTAATGATAAAATCCCATTGTATTTAAAACATTTCATGTATTTCTTTAGAACAACATAAAATTAAAATTTAACATCTGCAGTGTTCTGTGAATAGCAGTGGCAAAATATTATGTTATGAAAACCCTCGATGTTCATGGAATTGGTTTAAACTTTTATGCGCAAATACAAAATGATTGTCTTTTTCCTATGACTCAAAGATGAAAGCTGTTTCATTTGTGTCAGCATGTCTCAGATTGACCTTACCAAGTTGGTCTTACTTTGTTAATTTATCTGTTGTCCCCTTCCTCTCCTCTGCCCTCCCTTCTTGTGCCCTTAAAACCAAACCCTATGCCTTTTGTAGCTGTCATGGTGCAATTTGTCTTTGGAAAATTCAGATAATGGTAATTTAGTGTATATGTGATTTTCAAATATGTAAACTTTAACTTCCACTTTGTATAAATTTTTAAGTGTCAGACTATCCATTTTACACTTGCTTTATTTTTCATTACCTGTAGCTTTGGGCAGATTTGCAACAGCAAATTAATGTGTAAAATTGGATTATTACTACAAAACCGTTTAGTCATATCTATCTAATCAGATCTTCTTTTGGGAGGATTTGATGTAAGTTACTGACAAGCCTCAGCAAACCCAAAGATGTTAACAGTATTTTAAGAAGTTGCTGCAGATTCCTTTGGCCACTGTATTTGTTAATTTCTTGCAATTTGAAGGTACGAGTAGAGGTTTAAAGAAAAATCAGTTTTTGTTCTTAAAAATGCATTTAAGTTGTAAACGTCTTTTTAAGCCTTTGAAGTGCCTCTGATTCTATGTAACTTGTTGCAGACTGGTGTTAATGAGTATATGTAACAGTTTAAAAAAAAAGTTGGTATTTTATAAGCACAGACAATTCTAATGGTAACTTTTGTAGTCTTATGAATAGACATAAATTGTAATTTGGGAACATAAAAACTACTGAATAAATCATGTGGCCTAATATTGAAAATGTCACTGTTATAAATTTTGTACATTTTTGATCAAATGTACATCTCCCCTTTGCTAACGGCCGTCTGCTCTCAAGGATGACGTGGGTTTGATTTCTAAGTGTTTCACAGTGTCTGTAAATCAAGACCAAAGAGCCTGTCGATGAGACTGTTTATTACCAGATTCACTTCTGAATTGGCCAGAGGAAATCTGAATGTATTATCCTGTGTGTGTCTAGGTAGAGATATTGGAAGGCTGCCAGGGGATTTCGAAGTTTGCAACCTTTATAGGATAACTGATGGCAATATTAAGACAGACGCCTGCTTTTGCAAATAACTTACAAGACTGTAAATTCCAAAGATCTGAATGGGGCTTTCCTGATGTTGGTATCTAAGGCTTAGGCCTATAGATTGATTTACCTTTGGAATTGTGCTCCAAATGTCTACTGAAGCTTAACCGAAGAACTAATAAATGGACTACAGTAGCTCACGTTACAGGGAAGGAGGGTAGGCAGGGAGGCTCTGTGTGTTAAAATGAGGGTCTCACTGCTTTAGGATTGAAGTGGCTGGAAAGAGTGATGCCTGGGGAAGGAGATGGAGTTATGAGGGTACTGTGGCTGGTACTTTCTGTACTAAACATTTCCTTTTTCTATTTTACCACTAATTTTGTTTTAAACTGTGAGCCGTCCAAGTCAGAAGAAGACAGCAAAAAAAGCAACTTTTCCAACATACAATTTACTTTTAATAAAGTATGAATATTTCATTTTGAGAACATTCCCTGGAATTGCCACATAATTCATTAAAAACATTTTTTTAAGCAACACTTGGAACAGTGTTTACTTTAAATCCTTAATGGCCTTAATTAATTCTCAGATTCCTGCCCCATCACTTACAGAACCAATTCACTTTAGAGTGACTAAAAGGAAACGATAGCCTAGCTTTCTAAAGCCACGCTGTGTCCCTCAATTACAGAGGGTAGGAATGGGTATACCTCTAACTGTGCAAAGCAGAGTGAAATTCAATTCATAGAATAACAACTGCTGGGAATATCCGTGCCAGGAAAAGAAAAATTTCTGGCAAATATTTTGTCACTGCTGTAAAGCAAAATATTTGTGAAAGTGCCAAAATAAAGTCTGTCATGCCAAAAGTAAATCATTGTATAGACTGACATCCAGTTTTCTTCAACTGTACACTTTCTGCTTAGTTTTTTTTTTTTAAGATGCAGTAAATAATACTATAAAAAGTGTTAGTAATGATTACTGAGTTCAGGAAAATTTTGGTAAAATGTAAATATTAAAGCCAATGTGAAAATTTCCTGTTTCCTTAACCACATGTAAACGATTTCTCTTGAGTGAATATGGCTTTGTGTTTGAGAGACTTGAGATAGTCACACTGTCCCATTTTCAGCCCGTAGGGGGAATAGGAAGCACTTGGGTTTTATTTTTGTTTTTCAGTTTTAGTTGCAGGTGCGTAGTACCTGAATTTCAGGATTAGGACCTGTTTAATAAAAGTGAACAAGATTATAAAAATTGCCATTTCTTAAGGGTTGATAGTTTCTCATCAAACGTTTACTGAATTTTTGTCCATGCACTTTTTTGCAAGTTAGACAAAATGTACTTGTTATGGATGTAGTCTGTTAGGTCTAGGAGAGTAAGCTAATTAAATAGAATATGATTACTTTCTTCAAGTGTCCCTAAAGAAACTACTGTGTCCTACTTCATAGTTCTAAGGAGCTTATTTCTTCAATATCTTAGACATTTTGAAACATCAAGGAAAGATGTTAGGTGAGCAAAAATATAAAACCTAGAAATATTGTGGGGTTAATTTTATAAGTGTGATCTTTATAGCATTACTATAATTTCATAAGGGGGTGGTAGAGAAAAAAATATTTTTAAACATACTTGGTAGTACCAAAAAAGGCAACAACTTTGAGCTACACTATCTCTAATGTGAACTTCTAAATTCTAAGCCCACACCAGACATCGGTGAGACCCTAAGAGGTTTCCAATTAAAATTAAGCCAGATGATAAATGGAGTAATCTGAAGTGAGTGATCACTAAGGTTTTTTTTGGTTCTAATATTTTATGACAATTGTGAAATTTGAGACTTGGCCATTTCTGGGGAATTACATTAAGTCAGCACAAAAAACTTTAAAAGGGTAAAACCACATCTTTCAGTGATAAAAACAGTTACCAAAATCACTTCTGTCCCACTCTGTCTCCAAACTCTGGGTGACTTCACTCTTACAGTTTATGGTTGTAAAGTTTCATTTATTTTTGTTTATCTGCTGTATATGGTCTTTAGCAGGGCCTTTTCTGACCATGGAATCGTGGCAACTCTGAGAGCAACTTGGTTTCCTGCGAATTAGCTGGAAGGGTGTAACCCAAGCCGTCAATCCAACCCGCAAATAGCAGAGTGAAATGTTAGGCTTTGGTGCTTCAGAGATGCTGAGTGCAAGATGCATTTATTCCAGTTTTGTTGGCAAAATAGCATTCAAAAAACAAATGCTTGTATGTGCAATCCATCAGAAGTTCAGTCAAATATTTGCCTGACTATGCACTGGAAACTTAAAGAAGCAGAAGGTATGGCGGTGAACTACACAGACAAGGACCCTGCTCACGTGGAGCTTTCATGAACTTGGTGTGGGTTGCAGAGTGGAAATAAAATCAATAAATGAAAGTGACAAATGGAAATTATCAGTTGGTAATTTCCACAATGGACACAATACAATATAAGCTAACGTGTTGGGACTGAAGGGCTGTAACAGTCCAGAGAGGCTAGGTATGCTATGGTAACAATCTGAAAGTCTCAGCAAATTAAAACAGCAAAGATTTCTTTCTTGCTCCACTCTGTGTCCCATTGGTTGGTTGATGGGGAGCTGTGCTCTGGATAATTGTCATCCCCTCTTCAGGGCTCAGGCTGATGGAGTAGCCATTATCTGAAACACTGGTGGTCACTGGTAGAAGGAAAAAGGGTGAAGCACACAGTGGGATCTTAAAGCTTCCACCCATACTTAATTTGCCAAAGCAAGTCATATGGCCACATCTCATGTCCAGGGTGCAGAGAAGTGCAGTCTTACTTTGTGCCCAGAAGGAGAGAGATGGAATATTTGTGAGCAGCCAACATTACTACTATAGCTGAGTCAGCAAAGATCTCTGAGAGGGGAAGGCCTGAATGATGTGTAGCCAGCTGTGCTAAAATCAGGACAAGCATGATTTTAGCTGTGAAAAGATTCTGAAGAGGGAACAAGCTTGGCATGTTGGAGTAACAGGGAGAAGACCAGTAGGTGGTGAGTGGGGAGACAGAGGTAGAAGAGGTGGAAGAAGAGGGCTGAGAAGTACAATCCCCCCTTGACTGGTCTTCTTCCTCTTTTGTTCCTTTGTACTTTATTTCCCACAAGGAAGCTAAACTGATCTCATTAAGGTAGAAATTAGTTTATGTTGCTTTCTCCAATGGCTCCTATAGCACTTAGCTAAGCCCCTGCTTCTTACCCTTGCCCTCAAGGTCTGCAGGAACTGCCCCCTGAACAATGCATTATAAGTGGACACAGTGGCGGTAGCATGGCTAGTTGGGAGGTCATTATAGTCACCTAGGGAAGAAATGGTGGTGGCTTGGCCTAAGGTGGTTATAGTGGAGATGGAAAGGAACTGTTCGGGGAGGAACAATCAGTAGGTCTTTCTAAAAGGTTGGAAGAAGTAGGAAGTAAAGAAAAGAATCAAAGAGGGCATTGCCATTTTTGCCTGAGTAGTGGGTGAATCATGTTCTGAGAAGGAATACCATGGGGAATTGGCTGCTAAACCAAGGTTTTCTATTGGGCCATGTTAAATTAGAGAGGACTATTAGACAACCAAGTGGAGGTGTCAAGTGAACGATTAAATGTCAGAATCGAACTCAGAGAAGAGGTCCTCTCTTGGAACTGGAGATACTAATTTAGGGGTAGTGTTAGTGTTCATTTGCCTGTTGGCACTCTGATTCATTTCCTGCTCTTTCATGCTCTACTCTGTATGGCTTGAGGATGAGGTGCTACCAGGAGAGTGGGGTGTGCAAGGTTGACCCACACAAACTACATCTCCCAAGCTTCCTTGCCAACTGGCCTCTGGGAAAGTTTGGCCAATGGAAGACACTGGCAAAAGACCGCAGTCAGTAGGAGAGGAAAAGCCAGAGTACTTTCCCCTGTCTTTGCTCTGGGCAACATCTCTAGCATGAATGCACTTCCTCTGTAGTTAAGTCACCACCAGGCAAGCCCTCCTGCATGGCCCTAGCTCCCACTATTCCTAAACTCTTATAACTCCACTTTCCTCCTTGGTTTCTCTACTCCTAGGGAGGCATCAACTTCCTGATGTTGGTATTCTCTGAGTTATTTCCCTGTCTCCAGTTTGCCCTTACAACTTTGTCAACATCTTTGCAACTGACTGGTATTAAATTCTCTCTATTGCACTACCAGGTGTGGGTTCTGTTTTCCTTCCTGGACCCCTGGTGATGACACAGGAGTGAACAGCATATAGATGGTATTAAAAGCCATGGGATTAGATGAGATTATTTACACAGGTAAGTACAGTAGCACCCTCGCTTATCCAAAGGGGATACATTCCAAGGCCCCCAGTGGATGCCTAAAACCATGGAGATACCTAGCCCTACACTGTGTGAAAGTTGCTCATACAAACTGGGTCATTTTTTTCATACCCAACCAATTCAGAGTCAAGGAGCCAGAGAGAAAAAGAACGTACGGCATACAACTTTGCTCTGAGAATGTAATTCTCTGCAAGGCTGGCTGCTGAAACTGCCTGTTGTAACCTGAAACTAGTTTTATCAACAGCTACCAAAACAAGCTGCTGTGTCTCTAAGACTAGTTTTACCTACCACAGTCACTCACCAATCAAAGCTTGCCAGCTCCCCAGAACCTTACTGGTGCCAATGAACTTTCTTGAAAAGAAGTAGGTAACATTTCTTCTTTTTATAAAACCTCCAACCTTCTCTTGTTCTTTGGACATACGGAAGACCACCCAGTCTGTGTGCATTCCTTGAATTTCAATTCTTGCTTCCCATATAAAACATTTTATTTTATTTTATTTATTTTATTTTATTTATTTGAGATGGAGTCTCACTCTGTTGCCCAGGCTGGAGTGCCATGGCGAGATCTCGGCTCACTGCAACCTTCGCCTCCTGGGTTCAAGCGATTCTCCTGCCTCAGCCTCTCAAGTAGGTGGGACTACAGGCATGCAGCACCAGGCCTGGCTATTTTTGTGTTTTTAGTAGAGACAAGGTTTCACCATGCTGCCCAGCCTGGTCTCAAACTCCTGACCTCAAGTAATCTGCCCATCTCGACCTCCAAAGTGCTGGGATTACAGGAGTGAGCCACCGAGCCTGGACTAAAACATTTTAAATTTAGAGATTCATCTCTATGTTTTATTTGACTTTGACAACTGTAAAAACTATGTTTTTTCCTACACTTACATACCTATGATAAAGTTTGATTTACAAATTAGACACAGTAAGATATCAGCAACAACAATAATAAAACAGAACAGTCATAACAATATAGTGTTCATGATTTCACAGAAGACTCATTTTGACCTTAGATCTCAGCAACCTCAGTATACAATATTTTTCTTTCCTTATAAAGTTGGCAACTTTCACCTTTTCACTTAAAGGAAGCACTTTATGGCTCTTCTTTGCATCTCTAAATTATCAGCATCACTACTCTTGCACTTTAGGGCCATTATTAACCAAAATAAGAGTTACTTGAGCACAAGCACTGTGATACTGTGTCCGTTGATCTGATAACCAAGATGGCTACTCAGTGACTACGCAGTGGAGAGTGTCTACAGCATGGGGACATGAGACAAAGGGAGGATTCATGTCCCGGGTGGGATGCAGCAAAATGGCAGATTTCATCACACTACTCAGAACTACACATAGTTCAAAACTTATGAATTGTTTATTTCCAGAATCTTGCATTTAATTTTTTTTTTTGAGACAGGGTCTTGCTCTGTTGCCCAGGCTGGAATGCAGTGGTACAATCTCAGCTCACTGCATCCTCTGCCCCCACCAGGTTCAAGCGATTCTCCTGTCTTTGCCTCCCGAGTAGCTGGGATTACAGGCACCCACCACCATGCCGAGCTAATTTTTGTATTTTTAGTAGAGGTGGTGTTTCACCATGTTGGTCAGGCTGGTGTCTAACTCCTGACCTCAGGTGATCCACCCGCCGTGGCCTCCCAAAGTGCTGGGAATACAGGCATGAGCCACCACGCTTGGCCTATTTAATATTTTTGGACAGCAGTTGGCCTCAGGTAACTGAAACTGTGGAAAGTGAAATTGCAGGTGGGGGGACTACTGCAAATAGAGAAGGATGGTCCTGGGTCTGCCTTCTAGCAGTGTGACTATCTTTTTAGGTGAACCAGTACCTGATTCACTGTTGAGCACTGGTTTGCCATGTTGGCAGATGCTTTGCAGATAACACAATCTTTCATTGCAAGGGAGGAAAGTCCCCATAATGCACCACTGACACATTTTTGAGAAAATTAATAGGTAGGTAAAGTATCCTCTTCTACCTGGTCATTAATAACATAAAATCTGAACTGTTTTTAAAATAGAACATAGTAGTTGGGTGGAGGAGTAAGAAGTATTTGAATATCAGGAAGTGCCACTATTATCTGTGTTTACAATGGGAACATATCAGCAAATAAAGCAGTGAGTAATTCTCCCACTTGTAGCTTTGTCCTAAAGTCATTGAAAGCATGATTTTTGCCAACCTTAATTACATTCTGCTTCAGTAAATGCCAGAGTATGCTTGAATTCCTCTGTCGAGATCAATTACAGGGACGAGCAGTAAAGAGGGTAAAAACGTAGACAACTTGGCTCTATGTCAGATCCAGGACTTAGAGATCATGAAGTTTCCTTTTCTGATAACCCCACATCTTAGTCCTTTATGCTTTTAGTATCTGTTACCCGTTTTTTTCACTTAGCTCATTTTTTTCATGTGTAAAATAAAGATAATAATATCCACCACATTGGCTTCTTGGGAATTCAATGAGGCAATGGAAGTGATGCACTTAGCGCTATATCTGGCCTCTGGGAGATGCTCAATACCCACACCTGTAATCCTAGCACTTTGGGAGGCCGAGGTGGGAAGATTGCTTGAGCCCAGAGTTGAGACCAGCCTGGCAACATAGTGAGACCCTGTCTCTACAAAAAACTTTAAAAAAAAATTAGCTGGGCATGGTGTCATGAGCCTATTGTCCTAGCTACTTGGGAGGCTGAGGTGGGACAATCACTGAAGCTTAGGAGATGGAGGCTGCAGTGAGCCATGATGGCACCACTGGACTCCAGCCTGGGCAACAGAGCGAGATTATGTCTAAAAAAAAACGATAATTTATTCTTCTCCCAAATACTTCCTGAGCACTTTGCTGGGCACAATTTCAGTCCCTGGGAAGAGACAGACAATAACAAATAAGTTATATAGTCATGTGCTATGTAACATTGTTTGTGTCAATGATGGATGGCATATATGATGGTGGTCTTATAAGATTATATTACCATATTTTTGCTGTACTCTTTCTAAGTTTATATATCTTTACATACATTAATACGTAATGTTGTGTTACAGTTGCCTACAGTATTCAGTATGGTAACATGCTGTACAGGTTTGTAGCCTAGGAGTCATAGGCTATACCATATAGCTTAGGCATGTAGCAGGCGATGTCATCTAGGTTTATTTAAGTTCACTCTATGCTGTTTGTACAACAACAGAATTGCCCAATTATGCATTTCTCAGACCATATCCTCATCATTAAGTAATGCATGAGTGACTGTGTGTCAGTGAAAAGGTGACATTTGCGCAGAGTTGAAGGTTGGTGAGGGATTGAGCCATGGTGTGTGGGGAAGGGGAACCAGGGCCTTGGGGGATCTGGGAAGCATTGCAGGCAGAAGGAACAGCAATTGCCAAGGCCTAGAGTGTAGCCAAGGAGCAAGTGAGCTAGAGAGTAGAGTGGTGGGTAGTCAGGGCTGTATCCATGAGCCAGACCGCATATGTATGGCCTTGTAGTCATTGTGATGACTTTGAGGAGCAGGATTTTGAGCCAAGATGTGACATGATCTGACCTATGCTTAAAATTGGTTCTCAAACCTCAGCAGGGATCAGAATCATCAGGAGGTCTTGTTAAAATACAGATTTCTGGGCCCCAGCCCTGGAGATTCTGATTCTGAGAAACTCGTGGGTGGAACCTGAGAATGTGCATTTCCAACAAGTTTCTCAGGTGCAGCGGCTGCTGCTCGAGCAGGGACTTCTTTTTGAGAAGCAGTGCGTCAAAGGGATCACTGTGATTTTACTTGGATTACCATGTTGACAATAGGCTAATTGGAGGTGGCAGAGGTGAGCAAAAACACAACAGGGAGACTAGTAAAGCTATTGCAGGACTCAAGGAGAGAGACAATCATGGTGATAGAAGTGGTCAGATTCTAGAGAGCCAGGGTAGCCTCAAAGTCAGGAAATCCAGATGAATACATAATAAATGGTCTGTTGATGTTACATTACAATATCTGATAACATAATATAATCTGTGTTTTCAGGCTTTATGGTCATTCCATTTTTTGAAGATCTAACCAACCAGATTTGCTAACAAATCCTGGGTGACCCTCTCTTCTTCTTCCAGATGGCCACACATTCCATTATCCTCTCCTCTTCTCAGGATATCGGGAACTACTGTCATTATCCATTCCCTCAATCAACCTCACTCCTTTTCCTTCACTCCTTTAGCTTTTAACATTATACCTTGTCTGGCTTTGTGTTGATGGATGATATAGATATAGATGTAGATATAGATGTAGATATAGATATCTACTTTTGCCTTCAGTTCTAATTATACTGAGGACCTAGATTATGTTTGATTCACTTTGCCATCCCCACCCCACATACCCCCAAACCTCCTCACCCCCTTCTGCTTCCCATCCTCACTACCACTACCATTCTTAGTACTAGCCAAGTTCCAAACATTGCATGCATCATCAGATCTCCTCCATTTCTCTGTGAAATTTGGTGGGATCCCATATATTTGGGACATTCAGCCAAGCAAAACAAAACAAACAAATGACCGATGTCCTGTCAAGTCTAAAGAGAGTTGAAGGAACTAGGTGTCCACAGATACTTGTTAAACCCTGGGCTTGTACTTCACCTCCTTAAGGCACAGAAAGTGCTCTGATGAATTTACAGTTTTCTTCCAGATACATTTTAGCATTTGGCAGATAAATATTTAGCATTTAAACAGGGAGCTGATTAGTGTTTTTTTCCCTTTGTTCTTTCAATATTTCCGCCATTGTGCCACATAATCACCACGCTGGATCCAGGCTGTCCCTGAGATCAAAAACTACCCTTTTTATGACCCGTTCTCCCATTTATGTGAAGGAGGCTGGGCTGTAAACATGGTATGAAAAAAATTCTTATATGCCATCTTGATTGCTAACATCTGTTCAAATTTCCATTCATAAATTTAAAATTCAGGCTTCTGTAGCCATCTGTTTTCTCACAACAATCTGAAAAGAAGAAAAGCCCAAGGCAGATGTGCGGTTGGGAGAAGAGCTTCTGCCCGGCTTGGCCAACTTTTGAGAGTTTTTACTTTGTTTTTGTTTTTCCTCCCTAGCAGGGTAGGCATGACTTTTCTCCCTTCAGGGAGATTTCAGTCCCCGTGTCTCAGTTTCCTGTTAGACAGTGGGGTTAGAAAATGGCTTTTATCTCTCTGTCCTTCCTAATTCCCTCTGTCTCCCTCTTCCCCCACTCTCTGTCTTTCTGTCTCTTTCCCACGTGTATGTGCACATGTGTGTGTGCACATACACTCACAAAAATGCCCATCTATGAACAAGAGGTAGGAACTGAAAACTTTCTGCTGACTTTCTTAAAGTTGCCCAACAATCTCAGCACACGCTGGTGAGCTAGAACCCACTGCTTGCCTGGATCATAGGCAATTTTCTGGCTTGGTGGGCCTCTCATTGGGAATTTCTCCACGGATTACTTCGGCATAGCTAATGGATATGATTTGGCAGCTGCAGGATCCAGATGCCAAGCCAGGCAATGGCCCTTTTTTATTTTGCTCTTGGCAGTGTCATCTATGTCTAAGGGACTGGGCTTCTTCTAAAGCCACCTGGCTTTGTTCCAGCAGTGCTGTTGCAACAACTGTGAAATGCCTTCGAAAGCTGACATGACATTTTGGAGGCCTGCTGGGCTACAGTACTCTCCTAAATGGGACCTAGCTTGGGACTCACTTTTAGCATCAAATACTTTTTTTTCCCCCAGTTTATGTTGAGAAACAAGTTCTCAGCAAACCACATTCAAAGTCTATTTTGCATCCTAATGTCCACTCTGAAAACCTCAGCACTATGGATCAAGGCTCCACCCATCCCAAACTTGAGTTTAACAGTTCTGCACGCAAGCTGGTGGTTTGTGGGATCATCTTGCTGGGTTATATGTGCTCATTTTCACTTTACTCTGACATTGCATTTATATATAACTCATGACTGATGTCCTGGGCCTCACTGTGTGACAAGTCGTTTAACCATTCTGAGCCTGACTTTCTAAAATGTCAGTGGAATAGAAGATATTGATACCTTACCTCCCCTTGCTTGCTAATGAGTGGATCACTGGGGTGTAAGGAAGGGCCTGACAGGCATTGATGATGTGGGAATACTTGACTTATAAATTACCCATACTTCTGAACAGCTGTTATCCCCACATCAGAGCTGCCCCAGCCATTGATTTCATCAGGGCCTCCCACACTGTCGCTGAAGCCTCTCTAGTATCTACTTCCCCTCTCTGCTCTCTGTATCGTTCTCCTGTCCTCTTCCCCTACTCCCTAGACTCCTCAGCGCTCAAGATTGAGGAGTACTCAGAGACAGAGACAAGGTCACTGGAGCAGAGATGACAAATATCTGGTTTTTGGTCTTCTTTTCCTATTTCTTCAGACATCATTAATTGATTCTAGTATGCACTCCTTCTAAGGCCAACCTCAGAATTCTTCTCCAGACAGGGATCCCTGCAGCCACAAGTAATCAGTTGGAATTGGGTTGGGAGATTAAACTTATCTACCATCTTCTATCTAGAGGGACACTGGTATTGGGGCCACAGTGGCTCTGAATCAGCCATGTTGTGAGTTAAATAGTTTTGGTCTACTTAGATAGGTTGACCTAAGGAACCAAACCTAACCTTAATACTGTAATACTGTTTTGGGGGGAAACACATTTGGAACTTGAAACATTATCTTAGAAGGGAGCTTTTGGAAAGCCACTGGCACCTAAATCAGAGTTCACCTGTACTTGGTTATGGCATGATGAGAGTGGCACGTGGGTAGAGGCTGAGAGCATGGACTGCTTGGTTGTAATCCTGGCTGTGCCTCTTAACTGGCTGGCTGACTGGGCAAAGTTAAAGTTAACTAACGTCTCTGTGGCTTACTTCTTTTGTCTGTAAAATAGAGATGTTAATAGGATCATCCTCCTCATAGGATTACTGTGATGATTAAAAATACATTATTTGTAAAGCACTTAGAACAATGCCTGGCATACAGAAGGTTTTTTTTAATTTTTATTTTTATTTATTTATTTTTTTTTGAGACAGTCTCGCTCTGTTGCCAAGGCTGGAGTACAGTAGTATGATCTTGGCTCACTGCAACCTCGGCCTCCCAGGTTCAAGGAATTCTCCTGCCTCAGCCTCCTGAGTAGCCGGGCCTACAGGCGCATGCCACCACGGCCGGCTATTTTTTGTACTTTTGGTAGAGATGGGGTTTCTCCATGTTGGTCAGGCAGGTCTTGAACTCCTGACCTCAGGTGATCCACCCGCCTCAGCCTCCTAAAGTGCTGGGATTATAGGCATGAGCCACCGCGCCCAGCCAGACGTTTCTTATATATATTCTTATTTTAAACCCAGAATTTAGCAGCTTATTTTTGACCTCATATATATTCTTATATTGTAGTATAAGAAATTGTGAATAAAAAAACCAAATTCTAATCTGAACTGGAAGGCTATATCTGTTTTCATCTTCTTTATGAAACAAGAAAAACAGAGATGATCACAAATTTTGTATTTGTAGAACATACATGCTGTTGGCATCTATTAAATCATTTATTCCACACTTTCCAGATATATTAACTCATTTAATCCTCCCAATTGCCTTTTGAGGCAGGATATTCATCCTCACTTTACAGGTGAGATTACTGAGGCATTTCTACATGGTATTACAATTTACCAATACAGTCATACAAACGCCTTAGACATCTCTCCAACACCTGTAGCAGAATCGGCAACCCTATGTCAGAGGCAAGGAGATGCTTTTCAGGGACTTTGCCTGAATGTCTTCAGTAACATCCATGTGTCCCAGTTGATAACAATGTAAGTTATTGAAGGTTGTGAATACCCACGCTATGGACTCTTTTTCCCTAATTGTGTTATTTAAATTTTACTTTAAAAGGTATCTTTTACTAGTACAGAAACAGGGCATGTACATTGTCACACATTTGAAAATAAAACAAGCAAAAATAAGAGAATAAAAAAGTATTCCCATTGCTCAGTGAGGACTAGCACTAGGTTACTATGCTAGTACATTGTTTGTGTTTCTTTTTTTTTCCCACAAAATGAGAGCACCTGATACTACTGCTGTTCTATTCTCTGCTTTTTTTTTCAGTCACTGATCCACATTTTTCCATTTCAACACGTTTCATCTCATGTAATAATAAGTCATATATAAATTTCCCAGTTATCTCTAAACTGTGTGTTATAATTGGTTTATGCAAATTTGAATCCCACCCAGGACCACATTTGCACCTGCTTGGTATGCCCCAGATGCCTCTTTTAATCTGTCCCTTTGATATGACACAGATGTGTTGAAGAGACTGGACCAGTTATCCTTCATTCTTGACTTTTTAAAGAAAATTGGAAACAGTCCCAGATTTACAGAAAAGTTGCAGTACAAATAATAATTTTTCTTTCCTGAAGCATGTGAGAGTGTGTTGCTGACATGAAGCCCCATCACTCCTAGATTTTTAAGTATGTATTTCCTACAAAAAGGACATTCTCCTATACAACCACAATACAAGCATGAAATCAGGAAATTAACACTGGTACATCACTACCATCTACTCTTTAGACTTTGTTCAAGTTTCTTTTTTTTTTTTTTTGAGATGGAGTCTCACTCTGTTGCCCAGGCTAGAGTTCAGCGGTGCAATCTCGACTCACTGCAAGCCCTGCCGCCAGAGTTCAAGTGATTCTCCTGCCTCAGCCTCTCGAGTAGCTGGAACTACAGGTGCATGCCACCATGCCCAGCTAATTTTTGTATTTTTAGTAGAGACGGGATTTCACCATGTTGGTCAGGCAGGTCTCGAACTCCTGACCTCATGATCCGCCTGCCTCGGCCTCCCGAAGTGCTGGGATTACAGGTGTGAGCCGCTGCACCCAGCCTGTTCAAGTTTCTTAAGTCGCCCCAGTAATGTCCTTTAGGAGAAGAATCCAGTCTAGAATAGTGTGTTGAGTATTGTTGTCAGGTTTCTTTAGTCTCCTTCAGTATGAAACATTCTTCAGTCTTTCCTTTACTTTCGTGGTCTTGACACCTGTAGAGATAAAAGGCTAAAGGGGGGGTAAAAACATGTCCTTCAATTTCGGTTTGTCTAATGTGTCTTTATGATTAGAATCAGGCTATGCATCTGCCAGAAATGTCACAGAACTGATGCTGTATTCCCATTGCATCCCATTAGGTGGCATAGGATTTAGATTTGTCCCATTACTGATGACGTTAACATTGATCATTGATTAAGGCGGCATTTGTCAGGCATCTTGCCCTTAATAGTTATTATCTTGTGGAAAGATACTTTGAGCCTATGTCCATAACCTGTTTCTTATCGTACTTTCAGTTTGTTATTTGTTTATATCAGTTTGGACTCGTATGCAAACTATTCTATTTTATTTCATGGATCATAACCTATTACTAGCATTATTTATTTTCATGCTTATATTGGTCCATTTTTGGCTAGTGGGAGTCCCTTCAGTCTGGTTTCTATGTCCTTTTGATGTGATATGTCTCTAAATTCTTTGAGCACTTTCTTACTTTCTGGTACAAAAAGAACTTTCAGGTTTGTATTGCAAGTTAACTAGCCCAGCTTTGGAATCAGCCATTTATCCAAGGATCTCTTGTGTCTTTTGGAATGGTGTGTAGAAACCAAAATCTAGACACTCATTATGTTCCTTGGTATTGGAGTGTCACTGCTTCCAGACCCTCTTAGTGCGCAGACCTGGGAAATGTGTATATGTCTCTCTGTGTATACTTTTATATTTATTTTTTATCTATATATATCTATCTACTTAAATCTTGAAAACTATGCATTCACATCCTTAACTCCAATTCTAATGCAACACCACGGGATTCGTTCTAGTTTTCCTTTTGCCATATTTGTAAACCCCTCTCCAACAATAGGACACCTAGCTCTCCTTGTCCTTAATATATTTACTTACTCGTATGTAACAAATCCACCTGTATGTAACAAATCTCTCATCTTCTCTCTTTACATCACTTGGGCTCTAACATGCCCTACTTGGCCAACCTACCATGTAGATGTCCTGTTCACTCTGCCCAAGCACTGCCGTCTCATACCAGGCAGGCCTGTCTGCATGGATGTCCTCCTCAACTGATTGAGGCTCTGATGCTCCATGCCAGCCCCAGCTCACCCCAGTGTGAATGCCTTCCTCACTCCTCTTGTCCTCTGACACAATGCTGAGCCACTCTGCCTGCTGTGTGGGTGTCCTCCTTACGCTGCTCAGGCTGCCACACCCTATACTGGGCTACACTCCTGTGGGGGGAGGGATACCCTCCTCAATCCATTCTGGCTCTGACACCCCACACAGAGCCCTCCTCCCTCACAGAGACCCGTCTCACCCCACTCAGCCCTCAACACCTCACAAGAGGCAGCCCATCCACATAAATGTCCTTCTTACCATTTTTGGATAAGGCTACCTCATGCCAGGCCACCCCCTGTGGACACCCTCTAGGTCCCTGCCCTGGGCCATCATGGCTTACTACCCACTCCCAGCCCAACACACACACACACACACACACACACACACACACACACACACACCCTTGCTCGATCAGCTTCATCTAATGACTTTTGCACAAATTATTCAGGAAGGATAGAGGAAGGGAAAGAAGAAGAGAAGGGAACAGCATTGGCTCTTGAGGAAGGGAACACTGGCTCTTTACCACTAGGCCCCCTCTTCTTTTCAATGACTGAAACCCCAGACCCTTCCCTTAGCCATTGGCCGAATAAGATAATGCTTAGTGATTACCCCACAAATACCATGGGTTTGCTTTCTGTGGGTATTTGAGTAGGGGGAGGTGAGAGGAAGGGAGCCAGAAAAAGATTTCTATTATTCTTTCCCAAAGGATCTGGTGAGAAGAGATGCCAGTTTGCTAATAATTAGTGGGAGACATTATTAATTTTCTAGGGATACCATAAAGAAGTGCCATAGACTGGGTGGCTTGAAAACAGAAATTTATTTCCTTAGAGTTCTGGAAGTTAGAATTCTGAGATCAAGCTGTCAGCAGGGTTGGTTTCTTCTGAGGCCTCTCTCGTTGGCTTGTAGATGGCTGTCTTCTCCCTGTGTCTCCACAGTCTTCCCTCTGTGTATGTCTGTGGCCAGATCTTCTCTTCTAGTAAGGACACCAGTCATATTGGGTTAGCGTCCACCCTAATGACTTCAGTTTAACTTAGTTACTTCCTTAAAGACTATCTCCAAATACAGTCATGTGCTGAGATACTGGGGTTTAGGACCTCAGTGACGGAATCTGTAGTGGGAACATAATTCAGCCCAGAGAAGGGACATCCTCCCCGAGGACACGTTTTACATTCTTTTTTGTGTGGCAAGAGTGCCTTATGCACTGTATATTTTCAGGACTTCCTTATTTGAATGATTAATCTTCTCATAAAATCTTATTCTTTCTTATCCCTTCCTAGCAAAAATTCCTATTACCAAACATGGGAAAAGTCCTGAATAATTTATTGAGATACATAGGAGGTTTTTATCATTGGGTTTCCAAGTCATATGCATTAAAGCTAAGAGAGATGACATCAAAAGAAGGTCTGTATCTATTAAGGGGACCTGGAAGGTTTGCTGCAGGGCCCACTTGAGGAGACAAAATGACTCACTTGTTCTTGCTTATGGAAAGACATCTGACTCAGGGATCCTTGGCTGTGTGCAGAAGTCAGAGATGCTGCCTAGTGGAATAGCAAGTGTGCTGCCCAGGGTTCTTGGAAACACTACAATCAGGGTGAGACTGAAAGAGAAAGCCAGGCTCAAGGTACCATGAAGTGTCAATCTAAAGAGATCCAGTTACCAGGACACAAGACAGAAGTAGAGATAAGGCACCAGAGCAAGAGGGTTTAGCATGGAAAGTACAAAGTGGAACCTGAACCAATTTTCTAAACCAATGGGACATAACTGTAGGAGCTGTTTACAGGACTTCAGCAGCTTTAGCCATGGGTGATGAGGGAGTTGTTAGACTGACCAAATCAATTCTGATTGATACGATTTGGCTTTGTCCCCCCCAAATCTTATCCTGAACTGCAGTTCCCATAATCCCCACATATTGTGGGAGAGACTTTGTGCAAGGTGATTGAATCATGGAGGTGGTTACCCCCATGCTGTTCTCATGATAGTGAGTGAGTTCTCATGAGATCTGCTGATTTTATAAGGGGATTTTCCCTCTTTGCTCAGCACTTCTTCCTGCCTCCATGTGAAGAAGGACGTGTTTGCTCCCCTTTCGGCCATGACTGTAAGTTTCCTGAGGCTTCCCCAGCCGTGCAGAAGTGTGAGTCAATTAAACCTCTTTCCTTTATAAATTATCCAGTCTTGGGCAGTTCTTTATAGCAGGATGAGAACAGACTAATACACCAATACAATAAAAATCAAGACTCTTTTGAAAGCAAATGACAGAAATGCTAACTCAAATAAACCTAAATATAAAATGAATTTATTGGTGCATGTAGCTGAAAAGGAGCAAATTTAGCTTCAGGCACAGCTGGATCTTGGGGTTCAGACGGTAGCAGCACTTTCTATCTGCTCTCTGCTTACCTCTACCTCCCTCCTTGGTTTGGCTACATTTTTTTCACTACGTATGGCTTTTCTGGTGTTGGGAAAGATGTTTGCAAATACAACAACTTCACTTTCCTCACCTGTCTAGAAGAATACACCCTCACTCTTCCAGCATCTATATTAATTTTTTTTGAGACAGAGTCTTACTCTATCACCTAGTTTGGAGTGCAGTGGCCTGATCACTGCTCACTGCAACCTCCACCTCCCAGGCCCAGGTGATCCTCCCCCCTCAGCCTCCTGAGTAGCTGGGGATACAAATGCACACCACCATACCCAGCTATTTTTTTGTGTGTATTTTTTGCAGAGAGGGGGTTTTGCCATGTTGCCCAGGCTGGTCTCCAACTCCTGGACTCAAGTGATCCACCCATCTTGGCCTCCCCAGATCCTGGGATTACAGATGTGAGCCACTGCTCCCAGCCATGTATTAAATTTTAAGGAAGAATCTGGCCCACTTTGGGTCACATACCTATTTGAAACTAATCACATGGTCTGCAAGATGGGCTATTCTGAGTGGTCATTCTGGGTCTGGGGCTGGGGAGGGATGGTATCAGAATCATATGGAAAGAGAGCAGAGGAGCTCTAGAAAGGTACCAAAGTGCTGTTACTAGAAAAATGGAGAATGAGTTCATGGTAGGCAAATGCATTATCCATCACAGACAACTATATCCAAACCAGGGAGTACACACATTTTCCATGCCCAGGACACCTATCCTGACTTATTTTGTGTGCTACCTCATCCCTAACATGTAGGAGAATGACCCTAAAAGAATAACTCTGAAGGCTCCATAAGACATCCTGGAATTTCTTGCTAAGGCACTGGCATCCTTTTAAGTCAGGCCCTGTCTCTACCTGCTACACCAATGTCCACTCTGACCCATGTTTGCTTGTCATTTTAGTATACCTGAAGAAGCCAGTGAGCAGTTAGCTTGACTGCCGCACATGTAGTAGGCAAAGTGCATCCAGGCTCAGCCACACAAAGAAATAAATCTTTGGGTCTCTGGTGAGATGGCTCCTGCCATACATGCCTACTGACTGTTTTTGCCTCTGGTAGAAAATGTTATAATCTACTCATGAATAAGGGGAGAAAATGTCAACTTGTCTTTCATTGCCCTTCCTTCCTTCCTTCCTTCTTTCCTTCCCCCTTCCTTCCCTCCCTCCCTGCCTTCCTCCCTCCTCCCTTCAAACTATCCATCCATTCATGCGTATGTATCTACCCATCTATCTTCCTTCTAAAGTCTTTGACACTTACATAGCATTCACTGTGTGCCAGGCACCATTCTAAGTGCTTTTTTTAAAAAAAAATTATTTTTGCCAGGTGCAGTGGCTCACACCTGTAATCCCAGCACTTTGGGAGATTAAGGCGGGTAGATCACTTGAGATCAGGAGTTTGAGACCAGCCTGGCCAACATGGTGAAAACTTGTCTCTACTAAGAATACAAAAATTAGCCGAGTGTGGTGGTGGGCACCTATAATCCCAGCTACTAGGGAGGCTGAGGCATGAGAATCGCTTGAACCCGGGAGGCAGATGTTGCAGCGAGCCGAGATCATACCACTGCACTCCAGCCTGGATGACAGAACAAGACCCTGTCTCAAAAAAATTTTTTTTTTTACAAATATCAACTATTTTTTCTACATAATCTTCATATCCTAACAGTTCCCTTTGTGTCCCAGTTGAGGACAGGAGTTTTCTTCTGCAGGTTTATGAAAGTCCACAGGTTGATCTTGAAGATTTGAAGAGTCAACGTAATCAACAATTAAAACTAACAAGGAGAAACTTAGCTTAGAAAAAATCAAGACTACCGTAGAAGAAGAAGGGGTTGGGGGGAAGAAGGAGGAGGAGGAAAAGAGGAAAAAGAGAAAATGTTACGTACATACTCACTGAAGTGTTTAGCCTCTGAGTCTTTTGAAAATCGTAATTCAAGACACTCTTCTGGATTACTTGAATTGGATATAAATAGATTGAATTCAATCAATGTTATTAAGGGTCTTCTATGTGATAAATACTGTGCTAAAAAATGTACCCAACTTATTTGTGCTTAGTGAATGACACAGTTCCTGCTATTATAAAATATACTGTCTAGTGAGGCTGGGCATGGTGGCTTATGCCTGTAATCCCAGCACTTTGGGAGGCCAAGGCAGGAGGATTTCTTGGGCCCATAAGTTCAAGACCAGCCTGGGCAACATAATGAGACCTCGTTGTTACAAATAATAATAATAATAATAGCCAGGCATGATGGTGCACGCCTGTAGTCCCAGCTACTTATAGGGAGCTGAGGTGGGAGGATGATTTCAGCCCAGGAGGCAGAGGCTGCAATGAGACATGGTTGCACCACTGTACTCTAGCCTGGGCAACAGAGTGAGACCCTGTCTAAAAAGGAAAAAAAAGTACTGTCTGGTGAATAATAGTCATATGTGACAGACTGATAAATATCTTCTGTTTATTCCATCTTTCTTCCTGTTAGTAATAAAATATCTAAAAGTTTTAGCTGGGTATATGGTTGTCAAGATAGAAATGACTTTTTCAAGTATCCTTTGTGACTAGGTTTTGCTATGAAATTATGTTTTGGCCAATCAGGTTTAAGTAGAAGTAATGCATGCAATTCTCAGGTCATTTTTTTTAAAGAGTCTCCCTGATTTCACTTCTTCTCTCCCCCATACCATATATTGTGGGTATATGGTGCTGGGGTCCATCTTCCACCACGTGATAAGAACCACACTCTAGCAGCCTTTCTCAACTGGGGTTCCTGTAAGAGAATTAAACCTTCCAGAGAATGATTTCAGTAATTCTTATCTACACTATTCCAAGGAACCATCCTTGGAATATAGTAAAGCTATACTATTCTAGATGCATAGAGGGAAAGTTAATTTATAATTATAATGGAAGCCTTAAAGCATTAAAGCTTAATTCTCTCAAGAAAATTCCACTGGAAAAGGCTTATTGAGAACATACGAGCAAGAAGATGGGAGGAAAGTGGAATTGTGCAGCAACATAGGACTCAAGAGGCTTGAGATTCAAAGAGCTGTGAGATGTTGGGCAGGTTGGGTTCAATCTGAAAAGATAAATAAGAATGCTCTGGTTATTGTCTCTGGCACAATTTTTCTGCTAAGAGAGGCCATTTGGACGGAGCAGCAGCTGCAGACCCGGGGAGAACACACTCTCAAGCAATGCCAGGGGGCGCTTCTCCCATGTGCCTCCTGCCCAGTGTTGGCCCTGACCCTTCTGGATTAAATACCCCTCTTATCCGTGAACCAAAAATTCAGACTGCCATGGAATCAAGTGTATGTAGAAAAGAACTGCCAGATCAAATACATATTAGCAAATGACTGGCCTTTCTTATGGGAGACACATCTTTTCCCCAAAGACAAATAGCTGTAGTTACCAGCAGAGTGAGTGTTGATAGATATCTTGGGAAAATGCTGTATCTGGGTCCTATTGGATTTTTGTTTCTTTCCAGTATGGTAATTTTACAGCACCACAGTCCAACCGCTGATCTCCCTTCCATAGTTCTTACTAATAGAGACAGGACACACTAGATGTAGCTAGCAGTCAGAGGGTCTTAATTAGCATTGGTGCCTGAAGTACAAAGCCCCAATATCACATGCAGTTCTTATAATCTCTTATAAGGTGAGGAGGTATCAAAACAGATTTTTATGGATGAGAAAAGTGATGGCCAGAAAATTTTAAATAACTTGGAGAGAGGCACAGAGCTATTAAGTGATAGTCCGTGTGACTCCACAGCTAGTACTCCTTCTATTACACCATGCAGTCTCTAAGTACTGAATAAAAATGGTCTCTATGGTAGATTAAATTCTTGTCCCCAAGTTTTCACCACTCCTTCTATCCACACTCTTTACAAGTGAGTTTATAGTTTGTCCCACTAAAGGCATAATGGACTTCCCTGCCTATTGACTCTGAACTCAGCTACATGACTTGCTTTAACCAATGAATGTGGGTGGAAGTTACTATGCACCTACTCTGAGCCTAGGACTTAAGGTGAACCCCAATTTCTGCTGCCCTCTGGGGCCTCGGCCATTGCCATGAGAAGAGCATGCCCTGGATAGTCACTTGCTCAAAAACGATGAGAATGCCCCTTAGGCATCTGCTTTCCCTTTAGCTTGGGCCCCTGAATGAACCTACACGGAAAAGACCCAAGCCCAGCCTACAGGAAGGAACTGAGACCAGACAGTCCTGCAGATTGAAGCAGAGCAGCCCAGCCAAGTCCAGTCTAGATCAATCCTGGCCAACATACAGACATGTAAGCAAGAATAAATAAGTATAGTTTTAAGACACTGAGTTTTTGGGGTGGTTTGTTATATACCAACAGCTGGTTGAGATCATCTCTGAAAAAATTTTAGCCACTGTGGAAATATATTGGACTGTCCTGAAATTGGAGGAGAGATAATACTATTCTGCTTATAATTCTTAAGTGGCTCCCTATATGACTCCTTTGTGATAGTCTGTACCCTAATTGATCTCCAATAAACTTTCTTGGACCTGATCCCTGCCTGACTGTCCACTTCATCTCCTCCTCTATATATCCATTACTTTAAGCCCCACATGGGTCATGCTGTTTTACACCTCCAGGTCTTTGTGTACTCAGTTCTGTCTTCCTAGAATGTCTTGTCACCTTCTCTGTCTAATTAATTCTAATCTTTCCTCAAGATGAAGCTGAAACATCCCCTCCTCCAGGAAACTTTCTCTGCCCTCCATTGTGACTTAGATGTCCCCTTAGATGTGCTTCCCTATACTGTAGCCCTTATCACACCATATTAAAACCAAATACTTGAAATTCTGGATTTATTTTGAAGGTACAGCCAGCATTATTGGTTGATGCCTTGGATGTAGGTGTGAGAGAAAGAGAGGAGTCAAAATGTTACCATAGTTTTTGGCCTGGGCATCTAGAAGGTTGGAGTTGCCAACAGATATGAAGAAGGCTGCAGGTGAGACATATTTGGACATGATAAGTTGGAGGAGATGCCTATTAGATATCTGTTTTAATTTGTTTAGTGTTACTATCACAGAATACCTGAGGCTAACTTACGAAGAGCTTTACTTGGCTCGTAATTCTGGTAGTTGGAAGATTCAAGATTGGGCAACTGCATCTGGTGAGGGCCTCAGGCTGTTCCAACTCAGGGCAGAAAGCATAAGGGGAGCAAATGTGTGCAAAAAGATCACATGGTGAGAGACGAAGCAAGAGCACTGAACTGAGGAAGCTCTTTTTAATAACCGGCTGTCTCAGGAACTAATCCATTCCTAAGAGCAAGAACTCACTCGCCCCAGATGGCGGGCGTTAATCTATCCATGGGAGATCTGTCCCCATGACCCAAACACCTCCCACTAGTCCCCACCTCCCAACACTGCCATGTTGGGGATCAAATTTCAACATGAGTTCCAGAGGAGACAAACTATATTCAAACCACAGCAATATCCAAATGGAGAAGTGAAGTCAGCAGTTGGATATACAAGCCTGGAGATGGGATGGAGAAGAATACATGAACTTGTTCAAGGTATTAATACATCATAAATGCTCTGTGAATGCCTTCCAAACCCTAAAAATCTGGTGGATTTTTATTTTCCTCATTTTAAAATGCAAACTAGATACTTCCCAAATGCCCATCAACAGTAGAATGGATAAATAAATGGTGGTATATGTGTACAATGTAGTAATACTGTATAGCAATGAGAATGAATGAACCACAGGTGTGCACGATAATATGAGTGAATCTCCCAAACATATTTTTAAAATGATAAAATTTTTATAGCCAATCACAGTGGCATCAGCCTGTAATTCCAGCTACTTGGAGGCTGAAGTAGCATGATCACTTTAGTCCAGGAGTTTGAAACCAACCTGGGCAACAGAGTGAGACCCTGTCTCAAAAAAATTAAAAAAAATTTGTTTTTCTTTTTTTTTTTTTTTTGAGAGACAGAGTCTTTCTCTGATGCCAAGGCTAGAATACAGTGGCATGATCATAGCTCACTGCAGCCTCCAACTCCTGGAATCAAGGGCTCCTCCTGTCTCAGCCTTCCAAGTAGCTAGGACTACAGGTGTGCAGCACCATGCACAGCTAACTTTTTTTTTTTTTTTTTTTTTTTTGGTAGAGATGGGATTTCACTATGTTGCCCAGGCTGGTCTCAAACTCCTGGCTTCAAATGATTCTCCTGCTTTGGCCCCCCAAAGTGCTGAAATTACAGGCATGAGCTACTGTGCTTGGCTTAATTTTTTAAAATTGTAGTAAAAAACCATGTAACAAAATTTACCATCTTAACCATTTTTAGGCGTATAGTTTAGTAAAGCATATTCACATTGTTGTAAAGTGGAACTCCAAATCTTTTTCATCTTGTAAAACTGAAACTCTATATCCATTACATAAGAACTCTTCATTTCCTACTTCCTCCAACCCTAGGCAACCATCATTTTGTTTCTATGAATTTAACTACTTTAGATAGCTCATACAAGTGGAATTATACAGTATTTGTCTTTTTGTGACTGGCTTATTTTACTTCCCATAATGTCTTCAATGTTTAGTGCCATCCCCTTGAGAGTGTCCTCCTGATAGTGAGTGAGTTCTCATGAGATCTGGTCATGTAAAAGTGTGTGGTACCTTCCTCCCACTCTCTTGCTCCTGATTTTGCCACGTGATGTGCCTGCTCGCTCTTTGACTTCTGCCTTGATTGGAACCTTCCTGAGGCCTCCCCAGAAGCAGAAGCTGCTATGCTTTCTGTATAGCCTGCAGAACCATGAGCCAATTAAACCCGTTTTCTTTGTAAATTACCCAATCTCAGGTATTTTTCTTTATAGCAATGTGAGAACAAACTAATACATGTAGCATGTGACAGGATTTCCTTCCTTTTCAAGGTTGAATAATATTGAGATATAATATGTATATGCTACAACTTGTTTATTCATTCATCTATAAGTGAAATGTCCATTTGGGTTGCTTCCTTCTGCTGGCTATTGTGAACCATGTTATTATGAACACAGGTGTGAAAATCTCTCTGAGATCCTGCTTTCAATTATTTTGCATATACACCCAGAAATGGGGTTGCTGGATCATATGGTAATTATATTTTTCACATTATGAGGAATTGCCATACTGTTTTCCATAGTGCTGTACCATTTCCTTGCCAACACTTGTTATTTTCTGTTGTTTTTTTAATGTAGCCATCATAACGAGTGTGAGGTGGCATCTTATTGTGGTTTTGATTTGCATTTCTCTAATGATTAGTGATGTTGAACATCTTTTCATATGCTTGTTATCCATTTGCATATCATTTTTGGAGAAATGTCCATTCCAGTCTTTTGCCCATTTTTTGTTTTTAATTTTTAAAAATTTTAATTTTAAAAAGATAGGGTCTTGCTATTTTTCCTAGGGTGGACACAAACTCCTAGGCTCAAGTGATTCTCCTACCTCAGCCTTTCTCCCAAGTAGCTGGGACTAGCAGCGTGAGCCACTTTTTGTGTTATTATTTATTTATTTATTTATTTATTTATTTATTTTGCTGTTGCATTGTAGTTCTTTATATATTCTGGCCATTAACCACTTATTGGATATAGAATTTACACATACCTTCTCTCACTCTGCAGGGAGAAATTTTTACTCTGTTGGTTGTATCCTTTGATGCATAGAAGTTTTTAAGTTTGATATAGTCCCATAGGTCTATTATTGCTTTTGTTGCCTATGCCTTTAGTGTAATATTCAAGAAATTATTGCCAAGCCCAATGTCATGAAGGTTTTCTTCAATGTTTTTTTCCCTAGGAGTTTTATGGTTTTAGCTCTATATTTAGGTCTTTAATCCATTTTGAGTTAATTTTCATATATGGTATAATAATGTCAGAGTCTGACCTCATTATTTTACATGTGGACATCTAGTTTTCTCACATCATTTGTTGAAGACATTGTCCTTTCCCCATTGAGTGGTCTTGGTATCCTTGTCGAAGATCATTTGACCATATATGTGAGGGTTTATTTCAGAGCTCTCTATTCTATTCTGTTGGTCTATATTTCTGTCATTATGCCATCGAACATATTTTTGAATAAACGAATCCAGACACAAAATGACACTGTATGATTCAATTTATATAACATTTAAAAATATTTAAATCTAATCGATGGTATTAGAAGTCAGGCTGAGGGATAGCCTTGTGGGTGTAGGTGATGACTAATAGGCAGTATGAGGGAGACTTTGGGGGGCACTGGTACTATTCTGTTTCTTGATCTGCATGCTAATTATATGAGTGTGTTAACTTCGTGAAAATACACAGATATAGTCATGTACTGCATAATGCTATTTCAGTCAGCAACAGACCTCATATGGATGGTCAACTTCTAAGATTATAATGGAGCTGGAAAATTTCTAATTCCTAGAGACACTGCAGTCATCATATTACTCAAATGTTTGTGGTGATCCAGGTGTAAGCAAACCTATTGCACTGCCAGTCATATAAAAGCATGGCACACAATTATGTACAATACATAATTTTGATAGCAATAGTAAAAGAGTATGTTACTGGTTTATGTATTTACTATACTATACTTTTTATCATTATTTTAGAGTGTACTCCTTCTACTTACAAAAAAAACAGCTTTAGGCAAGTCCTTCAGGAGGCATTACAGAAGAAGGCATTGTTATCATAGGTCCATGCATGTTATTGCCCCTGAGGACCTTCCAGTGGGACAATATGTAGAGGTAGAAGGCAGTGATATGGATGATCCTGAACCTGCATAGGTAAAAAAAGTTAGCTATTATTAACATTTATTGAGTAACTAGCATGTGCCAAGCTTGCTAGTAACTTTTATAAGGTTAATTAAATCTAATCCTTGAAGTAGGTTTTGTTATTTCCCATTTTATAGATAAGAAAATGAATGCTCAGAGAGGTTAAGTGATTTGCCCGTGGCAACACAGCTAATAAATGGCAGAGCCAGAGTTTAACTTCCAAGTTGTCTATTGTAAAGCCCTGGTTTTCAAAATGCTTTGGCTAATATACTCCTTGGCACATTTTTGTAACATTAAAAAAAATAAAATTTCCAACATCTTATAAATATTGACATTTCAACATAAAACTGTTACATCTCTCTTCTAAATGTATCTAATGGAATTTAGATTCTGCAATAACCAGATACTCCCCATGGTACACTTAAAAAATACCTGAAAAAAGCTCTTTAATTGTCAGAAATTTTATGCTGTTCCTTTTCTTCCATAAAGTTGTTTTTCTATTCCAGTGCTCTCCATTCTGGGTTTTATCTCCCCAGTTTTTATGCTTCACAATATTTTGTTGATTTCCCTATCATAGTTCTCCACAACAAAAAAATACACATTAAAATATAATTTAAAAATTTTTTGTCCAGGTCCTGAATGTTAAAAATTTTGCTGAATTGAATTATCATTACGATTACTAGTATTATATGATTTATTACAACAATATAAATACATTACATATTTAATAAATACGTATTGAATACAAGAAGTAAGATATTGGAAGTGAATCTTCCTGAGGCAGATGAGGGTCACGGGTACTGATGGAACTTAGATTAATGGAATTATCGAAGTGTCCCTTGGCTTGACACATCTTTTCTTCCACCAGACAATGCACCTCAGAGAGATAGAGGATGTGTGAGAAGAATTCTTTCTTTTGAGAAGTGGAAGAAAGGTAATCATGAAAGGTACCTTGTAGGCAAATTTGTTTTGGAAAGAGGTAATATGGTGTTCGAGGTTCTGGATCTTGAAACTGATTCTTTACAACTGTCTCTGCCTGGCTGCTCCTTGGGAAGTTCTTAAGCACTACCACGACCACACATCCCTCTTTCATGCCTCTCGTCTCTCTGTTACTCTCTGTCTCAGTTTCAGTGGTAAATTATTGGTCATCCCAGTGAGTACCCCTTGTCATTCCCCTTCTCATTCCCAAGGTGAACATATATTTAGATTTGAAGATGACGCTTGAAAACCAAGGAGTGCCTATGTCCTATTTCTTTTTTTCCTATTAAGATTTTAAAATATTCATTGCATACCTACTATGTGCCACACACTATATTAGGTACTTCGATATATATCTCATTATCAAAATTATCATGTGAGATATTTTTATTATACCCTCCCCCTTTTAAAACATTTTTAAAAATCCTGAAAACCTAGAAGGTTTAATTGACTAGTGATGGCTAATAAGTGGCTGAACCAGAGCCCAAACCTGGGTCTCCCTGTTTCTAAAGCCTTTTTTTTTTTTTTTTGAGACAGAGTCTTGCTCTGTCGCCCAGGCTGGAGTGCAGTGGCGCGATCTCCACTCACTGCAAGCTCCGCCTCCCAGGTTCACAACATTCTCCTGCCTCAGCCTCCCAAGTAGCTGGAACTACAGGTGCCCACCACCACGCCCGACTAGTTTTTTGTATTTTTTAGTAGAGACGCGGTTTCACCGTGTTTGCCAGGATGGTCTCCATCTCCTGACCTCGTGATCTGCCCGCCTTGGCCTCCCAAAGTGATGAAATTACAGGCGTGAGCCACCACGCACCGCCTAATTTATTTTTTTAGATGGAGTCTCGCTCTGTCGCCCAGGCTAGAGTGCATGGTGTGATCTCGGCTCACACCAACCTCTGCCTCCCAGGTTCAAGCGATTCTCCTGCCTCAGCCTCCCAACCAGCTGGGACTACAGGCACACACCACCATGCCCAGCTAATTTTTTTTTGTATTTTTAGCAGAGATAGGGTTTCACCATGTTGGCCAGGATGGTCTCGATCTCTTGACCTCATGATCTGCCCACCTTGGCCTCCAAAAGTGCTAGGATTACATGCATGAGCCACTGCACCCGGTTTTTTTTTTTTTTTTTTTTTTTTTTTGAGACAGGATCTCACTCTCTCATCCAAGTTGGAGTGCAGTGGTGTGATCTCAGGTCACGGCAGCGTTGACTTCCTGGGCTCAGGTGATCCTCCCACCTCAGCCTTTCAAGTAGCTGGGATTACAGGCATACATCACTGTGCCCTGGAGACCCAGGGACTAGACCTGGATTTCAAGAAAAGCCTATTGTTGAAATCCAGATCTAGTCCCTGGGTCTCCAGGGCAGGCAATGCCTTGCATTGGTGTCCTTTCCTGGGGCAGGAGGTCTTACCTCATGAAACTTGGGTTGTGGCTCAGTCCTCCTCACTGCCAGACTGCTCTTTTGCCTATCAGGCTCCCTTTAACAAATGTTTGTACTTTCTCGTAATCCTGGTTCTGTTCACCAGCATCTCTTTCCTGGGTGACAGCACAGTGCCAAACTATTCAGTGATGGCAGCCAGAGCAATTTCTCCAAATGCTAAATTAAATGCACTGGATGTAAGCCAGTCCAGTGTTTTCTATAAGGATAAAGCCTTAACCTCGAAACAAGATTGATACGGCCCTTTTTTCAAATGCACACTTCAGCCCTACTAAACTTTCTTCTCCTTCCTTGTCCACACCCCGACTCCTCTCATCTTGCCTATTGTTGCCCCACACACGTCTCCACCTTCCGGAATCATTTTTGATTCATGCTTCAGATCTTAGATCTCTGAAAAGTTCCCTGGGTTTTGTGCACCACTCTCTGCCCCACTAACTTTGATGCCCTTCCAGTGGTGTGCTGAAGCCGGCTGGTACAGGCTCTCGAAGCCGACTGTGCATATCACTTCCCAGCTCCAGTGTTGCATGACATCACTTTGGCATCTGGAAATTGGCCATGATGGAAGTATTGATAGCATGGAAATCAACAAATGGTACAAATGAGGGTTTTATTAAAAAAAAAAACAACTTGTTGGTAAGCATTTACAAGCACACCACCATGCCCCTCTTATATTTTCATAACACTCTGAGCACTGTGTATTTCTTCATTTGTTCAGTGAATATTTACTGACTGTGTATTATGTGCCAGGCACTGCCCTCTATACTGAGGATATAAATGTGGGTAAATAATATCGTTCTTGCCATAAAGGAGCTTAGAGTTAAAAGGCGGAGACTGCCCTTAGTCAAGTAAGTAAGTAAATAAATAAATATTCAGTGATAATTACGTTAAGAACTAAAAATGCTTTCAAAATATATAATAGGGTATTTGACCTCATCTAGGAAGGTTTTCCTGAGCTAAAATCTGAAGGACAATTTTGAGTTGAGGAAGGAACAAGGTGAGGGAACAGCATTCCAGGCCAAGGGAACCGCATGTGCTATGGTTGGAGGGAGCATGCCTCCTAGGAGCAAGGAGATAAGACAAGTTTGGCTAGAAGGGAGTCAGAGAGTTTCGTGTGAGATGCAGCTGAAGAGTTAACCAGGAAGCAAGCCATGCAGAGTTTTGTAGGCCCTACTAAGGAGTTTTGTCCTATCCTAAAAGCAGTGAAGTGTTTTTTGTTTTCTTTTCTTCAACTTTTAAGTTCAGGGGTACCCATTACTGGGTATATACCCAAAAGAATATAAACCATTCTATTATAAAGATACATGCACGCATATGTTCATTGCAGCAGTATTCACAATAGCAAAGACATGGAATCAACCCAAATGTCCATCAATGATAGACCAGATAAAGAATATGTGGTACATATACACCATGGAGTACTATGCAGCCATAAAAGGGAATGAGATCATGTCCTTTGCAGGGACATGGAGCTCCTTTAGGAGCTCTTGAAAGGCAGGCCTGGTGGTGATGAATTCCCTTAGCATATGCTTGTCTGAAAAGGATCTTATTTCTCCTTCACTTATGAAGCTTAGTTTGGCTGGATATAAAATTCTGTATTGAGAATTCTTTTCTTTAAGAATGTTGAATATTGGCCCCCAATCTCTTCTGGCTTGTAGGGTTTCCACTGATAGGTCCACCGTTAGTCTGATGGGTTTCACTTTGTAAGTAACTTGGCCCTTCTTTCTGAGTGCCTTTAACATTTTTTCTTTCATTTAGGCCTTGGAGAATCTGATGATTAGGTGTCTTTGGATTGATCTTCTTGTGGAGTATCTTACTGCAGTTCTCTGGATTTCCTGAATTTGAATGTTGGCCTGTCTTGCTAGGTTGGAGAAGTTCTCCTGGATGATATCCTGAACTATGTTTTTCAACTTGGTTTCATCCTCTTTGTCTCTTTCAGGTACCCCAATCAGTTGTAGGTTGTCTTTTTACATAATCCCATATTCTTGGATGTTTTGTTCATTCTTTTTTATTCTTTTTTGCTCTATTCTTGTCTGCTGGTCTTATTTCAGAAAGATAGTCTTCAAGCTCTGAGATTCTTTCCGCCACTTGGTCTATTCTGCTATTGATACTTGTGATTGCATTGTGAAGCTCTTGTGTTGTGTTTTTCAGCTCCATCAGGTCAGTTATATTCCTTTCTCACCTATTCTTGTTATCTGGCTATCAGCTCCAGTATTGTTTTATTATGTTTCTTAGCTTCTTTGCATTGGGTTACAACATGCTTCTTTAGCTCAGGAAAGTTCGTTGTTACCCACCTTCTGAAGCATACTTCTGTCAGTTCAGCCATCTCAGCCTCAGTCCAGTTCTGTGCCCTTGCTGGGGAGGGGTTGTGGTCATTTGCAGGAGAAAACGCACTCTGGCTTTTTGGGTTTTCAGCATTTTTGCGTTGATTCTTTCTCATCTTTGTGGGCTTATCTACCTTTAATCTTTGAGGTTGTTGACTTTGAATGAGGTTTTTGTGGGGTCTTTTTTGTTGATGGTGTTGTTGTTGTTTTGTTTGTTTTTCTCTTAACAGTCAGGCCACTTGACTGCTGCAGTTTGCTGGAGATCCGCTCCAGACCCCAGTTGCCTCACTTTTTCCTGTATCTGGAGGTATCACTAGTGAAGGCCACAAAACAGCAAAGATGGCAGCCAGCTTCTTCCTCTGGAAGCTTCATCTTGGGTGGTTTCTGATCTGTTGCCAGCCCTCATACACCTGCAGCAGGTGGTTAGAGACCCCCATTGGGAGGTTTCACCCAGTCAGGAGGAACGGGATTAGGGACCCACCCAAAGAAGTAGTCTGGCTGCTTTTTGTAGAGCAGGTGTGCTGTACTGGGAGTGGGGGTGGGTGGGGCCCTCATAGTCTGGACCACCTGTATTCTCCACAGCTGGTAGGCTGGATCAGCTGAGTCCACTGAACCATAAAGATGGTGGTTGTCCCTCTCCAAGGCAACCTGTCCCAGGGAGATATCAGAGCTCTCTCCATAGCGCCCTGGCTGGAGTGACTGAAGCTCCTGCAGGGAGGACCCACCCATGAGGAGGAATGGATTGGGGTCCCACTTAAAGAAGCAGTCTGGCTGCAATTTGGCAAGGCAGCTGTGCTACATTGTGGGGGACCCTTCCTTGTATGGTCCATCTGTATTATCCACAGCTGGCAGGCTTGAATGGCTGAGTCTACTGAACTGCAGAGATGATGGCCTCCCCTCCCTCCAGGAGCTCTGTCCCAGGGAGAGATCAGAGCTCTGTTCATAAAACAGTTGCTGGAGGGGCTTAAGGAGGTCCTCTCTAGCGAGGAGGAATGACTTGGGGTCCCGCTTACAGAAGCAGTCTGGCTGCTTTTTGGTAGGGCAGGTGTGCTGCATTGTAGCAGAGGGAACCCTTCCTAGTTTAGACCGTCTGTATTCTCCACATCCAGGAGGCTGCAGCAGCTGAGTCGGCTGAATCACAGAGACGGCAGCTGCCCCACCTGCTGGGAACTCAAACCTGTCTCAGGCAGACTCCTATCCACTGCCATTGGCTGGCTGGGATTCCAAGCTGGTGGGTCTTAACTTGTGGGGTGTCATGTAAGTGGGGCCTGAAGAATGGTATTGCTTGGCTCCCTGGATTCAGCCCCCTTCCTACAGATGGATTTCCTGCCTTGCTGATGATTGTGGCCAGAGTATGTAAAACTTCTGGGCCTCTTTGTATGTGCCTGAGTGGCTGCTCTGTCAAGACAACACACAGCTCTGTGTATCAGACTCAAGGCCCTGGTGGTGTGGAGTCATGAGGGGGTCTCTTGATCCACAGGTTGCAAAGATTCATGGGAGAAGCATGGTTTCCTGGGTTGCACAATCACTCACCACTTCCCTTGGCTGAGGGTGGAGGTTCCTTTGGCTCTGTGCTGCTCCGAGGTGGGCTCCCCACCCTGCCCAACTTTTCTTCATTCTCCATGGGCCGGTGGTTTGCCTAGTCAGTCCCAATGAGAGAACCTGGATATTTCAGTTGAAGGTACTGAATTCACTTGCCCCTTCTCATTCCTCCCTGAGTGCTGCGGGCAGGGGCTTCTAATTGGCCATTATGGATTGATCTCCCTGCAGTGAAGTGTTCTAAGTAGGAAGAACACATGGTATTGTGGAAAATCAACATAGCATGGTGGCTCAGAAATAGATTCTGGAGCCAGGCAGGTTGCTTGGTTTGGAATTCTGGTCCTGCAACTTACTGCAACCTCTCTATGCCTTAGTTTCCTCACAGTTTAAAGAGGGATAAAATAATATCTATAGGTCTATTTGCGAGGTTTTAAAATTCTTGGAATAGTACCTGGCTCATTATACATGCTATAGAAATGCTTATTCAATTAAATAAATAAAAGCATCTTTGGTAAGATAACTCTGAACATTGTATGGTTTAGTAGAGGATGCTGACAAGAATAAATAATTAAAACATATCATGAAGTAAGCATAAAAGATAGTGGTAATGCAAAGATGCGAATGAGCTCTGCTTCCTGTGATTAGTGTGAGCAGACAAATTCACTGTACTCAGAAGCTTAAAGCCTAGCGTGGGAAGCTGACATGAATGAAAACCAACGGGAAAAAATGTTAGAGTAGAGGTGTAAGCAAGAGTGATTAATTTCAACTTGAAAGCAAATGGGGGAGGTTTCACAGAGAGGGGCCCAGCATGTTGGTTGATTGCTTGGGCTCCAGAATCAGGCCAGCTCAGTTTAATGCTGACTTTGTACCTCACTGGTTTTGTGACTTGACCTCTCTAATCCTCCATCTCCTTATCTGTACAGTGGGGGGAAATAATAATGATAATAATAGGTAGCTCATAGGACAAATAAGAATTCACAGTTAATGCATCAAAAATCTTAGCACAAGGCACTCAATAAATGTGAAGCTTTTATTGTTATTACGAGTTGAAACTTGAGTGGGAAAGAACTTCGTTCACATTAAACATGAGAAAAGGCCCAGAAGTTGAAAAGCATTTGACATAATTAAAGAACAGCAAGTCAGTGCCACTTAAACGGTAATCCAACCACCGCCAGTCAGTGAACAGCTTTTTACTGCTCCATGAACAGGTAAGTATAGAAATTGTGAGTAAGCATTTAGAAATAAAAACAACAACAACAACCAATAATTGAAAAACTAATTTTATACTTTTTGGCATACTCATTGTACACTTGTAATAAAAACTGGGCTTGTAGTTTTTGTCTCTTTTCTTATTTGCTAGCAGGTTTTGATTTGTATTTTACAGAAATAATGGTCCATGTCAGATTGGAAATAATAAAAACTTGTCTTTTACCCTTGATAGTTTGAGAAAAAAGTAATTCAGTGGGGTTAGATATGGCATCCGAGAGATGATTCGGGAAAGGTGGGCCAGGGCCATGTTTATGTGGACCCTCCAATGCCTCAGAGTTCACACTTGTTTCAGTGGGCAACAGGACTAGTAAGGTTTAGAGGGACTGTTAACCGAAGGTGAGTGGACTTTGCACATTTTATGGTATTTTTTTTTTCCCAGTAGGCATGTGCTTATTCTTTCTTTTCTTTTCTAATTAAAAGTTCTGTTTGGTTTTTTTAGTTAAGAGGAGAGACTGGAACTGCTCAGTGTTTCACAAAGATAACTGTTTGTATTTGATAAGAGTTTCGTTAAACAAAGGAATTTGCACTTATCAAAACATAAAGCATTGAAAACACTGAGCACATACTCTGTGACCAGAATGCGTGTGACTTGTTGAGATAAGCCACACCGGGTAATCAGATGAGTCTCCTTTCTTCTTGGGCACCCTCATATAATTCAGGCACAAACGAAAGAGAAAACGCTTTTTCTGATCTCTCAGTTCGGGTCATCTCTGCCTTCCATCATCACCGCCTAACAATCCTACACCTGGCAGGGTGGGAAAACGGTTTAATAATCTCTTCCCTTTGGGAGGCGTTTGACAGCTCAGAAAGCATGGCCTTTACTCAGGCTCAGAGACACACAAAAACCTTTCACGTTTTCCTTTCAGCTTCGCAGCCCCGTCCTTCTCCACCTGCACGGGCACCCACTGAAGCACAGGACCCTTCTGCCAAGCCATGAGCCTTCTCAGGCCCCTGCCGCCCGCCTCGCCTGAGGCTGCGCTTCTGAAAAGCACGCGGCCCTGGCCTGCGCACCACCCAGTCTGAAGGCGACGCCCCTGCACGAAGGAGTCAGGCCTAGGGGCTCGGGACCCAGGGCGACACTCAATTTTCTAACAGGAGCCACAGCCCAGAAGCTGAGAAGCCTTCCGGCCGATCTGTGGCCCTGAGGTCGCCCTTGGAGGGCGAGTGAGAACCCCCCAGGCGTTCCGGAGGTGGCCCCCAGCCCGAACCCGGCGCCCGCCCCGGCTTCCCGAGTCAGGTCTTTGCCCCGCCTCTCGGCCCCGCGGCCTGGCCGGCAAGCAGGGCTGCAGTCACGGGGCGGCGCGGAGGGCCCCAGCCCAGTCAGGGGTGTGGCCGCCGCCACCGTAAGGCTAGGCCGCGAGCTTAGTCCTGGGAGCCGCCTCCGTCGCCGCCGTCAGAGCCGCCCTATCAGGTGTGTTTGCAGCCGAACTGGCAGTGCCCGCGGGCGGCTGGGCCGAGGCCTTGGCTCCTACCCGCGGGGGTCGGGCGGGCTGAGGCTGGAGCAGGCCAGGGGCGGGGGCAGAGGGGGACGGACTTCCAGCATCGCTCATTCGGGGGCGTGACGGGAGGACCTGGCTGGGGAGCGGCGGGTTGGGAGCCTGTGGCTGCCCCTTCGGTGACAGTGGAGTCACCGAGCCTAGAAATGGGGAAGCTGTGACGTGGGGGTGGTGGAGGGTGCTGCGGGACAGCAGCGAGCACGGCCCTCAGCCGTCCTTCCCAACACGGTTTCACTTCCCCTCAGCTCCAGGGCTCAGCCCCAAGCCGCCCCCTTCATCCCCCATCTGCAAACAATCCTGGTCCCCCTGAGCCTCCAATATGCCTTATGCAGTTCTTTTGGGGTTCCTTTCGCATTTTACCGTGTACTTTCGCTTTTGATGCGTCTAGTTTCTGCTACTGGACTCTCCTAGAATCGAAGTTCCATGAGGGCAAAGTCCCATCTGACTTAGGACTCAGAGCTACTCAATAAGTAATTGAATGAGTACCTATGCCGTAGAACTGAGTGAATTAACAAATGAGTAAGTGAATAAATGAGTGCATACGAGATACAGCTGAATCAATCAGTGCATGAGTGAAAATAAAGATGTATGAAGTGGAAGCAGTGGAGACGCAGGCTTACAACTCCTGTTTTTTGATAGCTTTCCAAAAAGTTGTGTGAATGTCGCACTTTTGCAAATGGAGGCATTCTGATTGGGACCACTTAAAAAGAGTTCTATGCTGTTCAAATGGTCTCTGGAAACGCCCCCTGGTATTTCCATTTTTGTTGGACTTGGCTATATGTGTTTGCTTAAAACAAAATATGCCTAGGTTTTTTCTTGCTTGTGTTTTGTTCACTTCTACTTTGGACGTTTAAAGAATCATTGTCACTATAATATTATTTCATGTATTTCTTAAAGATAAGGGTGACTCTGAAGGCAGAACCATATGACTCTGACTTGTTTGTAAAACCAGGCTTTTCTTTTGAATTCAGAGTTGTTAAGAATCTTGTCTGTTTTCCTGAGACAGGTGCTGGCTGATTTGCAGGTGACTGAAGAAGGCTACATAAGGCCCAGAAAGACGCTTATCTGTTTGTAAACAAATAGGCTTAGCACATAGCTTTAATACAGTTGGTCACTGCAGCCGTTCTTACTTGCCAGGTCCAGGTTCCAGAAGAGCTGGATGACCTTGGACTTGCCACTTGATCTCTTTAGGTTTTAATTTCTTAATCTCCAAAATGAAGATGTTTAGCTAGGAACCCTGCCTGAGTTAAACCTCTGGGATTCTTTTGTATCAGGGTTAGAAGGTGAAATTACAGATGATTTCATGGAGTTCTGCTTACTTCACCTCCCATAGCATTTTGTCTCTGCTCTCTTCTTTGCTGTTTACAGCTCATTTCCTTTCTTCTCCACATCTGCAACAAGAAAGCCTGGGAGCTCAAGATAAGTGTAATAAACCCTAGGCTGGTGGGGAGAAAGGAGGGTAAGATTTTCTTCTACATTGTCACAGGCTCCTGGTCCTGGGTCTGACTTTTTTCCAGTGCAACCCAGTCTGACAATGCCATATATTCCCAGTATATCTGGGGAACTGCATCACTATTTCTTCGCATGCATTTGAGATTAGTTATCATAGATCACATTTTGGAGCTGGAAGGACCTTGGAGATTTTTTAAAGGCACTTCAAAAGTCATTATACATACATATTTAAATATTTTTGCATGCTACATTTAACAAACACAAAGTTCCAAATGTGTTAAGTAAAATGAAATTAATGTTACCTACTTCAGTGAATTCAAGTTTATAAGGAGAAGTGGAATACACATGTTGCTTGGTGAAAAGGGCCAACTTTCTCACACTGTTTTCCCAATGAGGTCATGTGTCATACAGGCATGGAATGTTACAAAGCTGATATTTATGGGGCACTGACCATACACCAGGCACTGTTATATTTAACCTTTTTACTTATATTGCCCCATTTAATCATCACTATATATCTAAGAGCTAGATACTATGGTAAGTCCTATTTGATCTTCTTAACTAGAAACAGTACATGGAAAATGGGAGAGTTAGGACTCAAAACTCAAGCAGATGGAAACAGGGTTTCTCCCAGAAACAAGACAATCCTGCCAGGAAAAACTGTGTGACTTTGAAGAATGTGGTCTCTGTGTGTGTTCAAGCATATATACAAACCCTGGGTTATTTGGGTAAATGAATTTAGAATGAGAGCACAGGGTGAAATGATGAAGACTGAATTATAGGGGAGTTGGTTGTTTTATCATTTTGAAAATTATTGAATTCCATTGAGATTCCAGGAGACTCTGATACTTTGACCTAGGTGCCCATGCATCTTAATTTTAAATGTGTTCAGACTTACCAATTTAGGGAATATAAAATGAGTGACATCGACAGCTGCCATCAGTGAATGGCACTTAAGGGCTTTGAACCATGAGTGCTAAGCAGTGTTGTTTCTTGGACTAGCTTTGTGCCCTTGGTAAGGCACTGCCTCCCAACCTCTTTCTTTATAAGACCAACAACCCCTAGTATAGACAAAGAACAATGCCTACATCTGTGTAATCCAGAGACAAGAATGCAGGATGGGTTTCCAGAACCCTTATAATTAATTGAAGAGAGCAAAAGACGAAAAGAGAGGCCCATAAAATAAATGGGAAATTATTTTGTTTCTTTTTCGTCAGCCAAGTTTAGCCCCATGGAAAGCAGAGACCAGTTGTGGCCGCCTGAAAAACTAAGAGCTGATGCCAGTTTGATTTAGCTCAGGAGGCTGAAACTTTCTGCCCCGAAGGCTGGTGTGATGGAATAGACCTTCCCATTGCTCACAATATTATGAAAAAAACATTAAAGCAACAATTTTTATTACTTGCCCTGCAGCTAGAGCTTTAAAATGTACTTTCTTCTCCCCTACCCTCCCTAAACCACTTAGCTTTTAAAAACAAACAACCCATTCATGTGTTTGTTACAGTCACATTATTAGTTCTTTCTCTTTATTCCTGGGCCCTTTTCTTTAATGCAGCAAAGTATTTGGAGGGATGTACTTGTGGATCTGTGGAATTTTACTTTATTTTATTCAGAAAATATTAATTTCAATAACCATTTATTGAGTGTATACTATGTGACAGGTAAAGATGAATGAGAACAAATCTAAATAGGAGAGTGACCCATCTGCAAACAATTGCACCACAGGGTAATGTGGAAGTAGTGGCCACTCACTCTTCCAGGAAAGAGGTATGATTGGAACTCAGGAAGACTTTGCAGAGAAGGTGAATTTTGAACTGTGTTTTAAAGCCTAAAGACCAAGCAGAGGGAGAAGGGTATTCCAAGAATGGAGAACAACAAGAGCAAGGAAAAGGAGGCAAGTATGAACATGGCATTCTTCAGGAGATGGGAGTTCAGTGTGGCTGTGGTAGGGAGGTGTGGTAAGGTTAGGGCCAGACAGTGATGGTCCTTGAATGTCATGTTATTTAAACTTTATCACAGTCTAGATAATCCTTTTCAGCATTATTTTTGTTTTGTTTTGTTTTGAGGCAAGGCCTCTCTCTGTCACCCAGGCTGGAGTGCCGTGGCAAGATCTCACTGCGACTTCCGCCTCCCGGTTCAAGTGATTCTCCTGCCTCAGCCTCCCAAGTAGCTGGGACTACAGGCACACACCACTACAGCCTGGCTAATTTTTTTATTTTTAGTAGAGACGGGACTTTGCCATGTGGGCCAGGTTGATCTCGACCTTCTGGCTTCAAGCTATCTGCCTGCCTTGGCCTCCCAAAGTGTTGGGATTACAGGCATGAGCCACTGTGCCTGGCTCTTTTCAGCATTTTTAAGCTGAATTTTAAACAGAGGAATGATATGATTGGATTTTCCTTAGAAAATAGCTACAGTAATAATGTTTCAGAAGAATTGGGGAAGGAAGAGCCAGAAGGCCACAGGAAAATGAAGATGCTATTGCCATAGGTCTAATGAAATAGGATAAGGATCTAAACTAAGATAGGTTTGAGAGACTATTTGAAGACAGAGCAGGATTAATGACTAGCTGGAGCTGGATATGGGAAATATGTTTGAAAATAATCTGAGGTTTTGGAATTGCTTAACTGGGTGAGTGGAGATGCCACTAATGAGGGTAAGAAATATAAGGTGAGGAAGAAGTTTCGGGAGAAAGACGGTGAGTGAGCAGAGGTAGCTGTGGAACATCTGGGTGGAGATCCCAGGATATAGCCTTTTCTGTAGCTGTGCTGTGATGTCACACAGTCAAGACCTTGGCCAAACATTACAATAGGGCCTCAGTCTAAAAAGACACATCAATTTAATAACTCACTTAAAAAATACATCATACTTATCTAATGACCATTACATTATATTTCAGGCAAGTTATTAGAGAACTCTGATTCTTATGTAAGTGCCAGTGAAGGAAAAAAGATTGGAGACTCAAACAATGAGGAGTTATTATAAGCTGCCAGGAGAAACTGAAAAAGAGAAATACAGACCAGAGTCATTCAAAGGAACAAAGATAAGGAAATGGCAGGAGTGTTGCAGAAAGCAGTGGTTTCTGAAGACACAGGTATAGGCAGATATGAAATACAGAGAAGAAATTTGAGCTGGCGCTTCCAAATAACTGTACTTCTTTAATGGTAAGATATCCCAAGCTTTGATTTCTCATCTTATTCAGTTTGTCAGGAAGAGACAAACAGGTGTGGGTGCTGGGCAGAGGGCTTGATCTCATTTTGCAGAGAAAGTGTTTGGAGACTTTGAACTAAGCAAAGAGTAACAGGGAAAATAAGATAAAAATGAAAAGGGTAATGATTCGGAGAAATTTTTCAGAGAATTTAAGGAATTCTATGACAAACAGGTGTTAAAGAAAAAGGCAGATCAACGCAGTGTTCTCTTGATATAGTGGTATTAGACTTCCTTGGAAAAAAGATTCGCATAGCGCCTTATATTTAAAAAGCAATTTTATATTTGATTGTTACAAGAACCTAGGAAGCAGGTGCAGCCAGGCATTATTATCTTTCTTTTATAAACTTAAAATCTGGCATGAAGGAGGCTGCAGTTTGTTTCATGGCTCAGACGGCTCAGATCCCATGGCTGGCAGGGACTCAGAGCCTTCTGACTTTGGGTCCATTGCTTTGTCCATTGTATCAACGCCTTGCCTTACCTTGGAACCTTGGCCTTCTGCAGTGTGCCTCCTTCCCTTATCATATCATATCACATAAATGTAAAAGTAAAGCAGATGGTATTTGAAGACCAAAAGAGCCAAGATCTCTGGGGAGACAGGCAGTGATGTGAAAGGATCCTTAGCACTGATTATGCTATATACAATAGGGATGTTCATGAAGAGTTGTGCATAGAGTGTTATCTACGTAAATCAAATGACACTTTCAGTGCAGTAGGGGAGTCCACAATATCCAAAGTGTTATGATTAAATTTTTTATGAGGCAAATAATCCCTTTATAAAATGAACAATCAGTCACTCCTTGATATATTATCTGAATAAATCCAGATTTTCAAATATGGGGTTGACTTAAAGCAAGATACATCTCTAGTAGCCTACATCTATATTTATCATATATGAAGATTTTTCTGACTTGGGTATTGAATATGAAGATGGGGATCTGGAGCTGGATCCTCTAATTGTTAGAGACCATTTAAAATACAATGGACATCATGACTTGCAGCTAAATCCATTCAGCTACCTTTACTGTTTACCAAGCACCTAACAGGTATGCCATTGGATGGGGCAAAACTCAGCTGGGAAATGGAGAGAGAAGCCCAGCACTGGCACTGCCTTGAGTCTGACAGTTAGACCACAAGAAAGTCATAAATGTAAATTCACCAATATAGTGAGCCAGGGTAAGAAAACTAGAAACTCTTATGGTCCTTGAATTCTACATCAGTATTAAAATGAAACCAAGTATATTTCAAAGCAAAGACTGTTATATTAGACCCAGAGTTATTCTGTACTGACAAAAGATAATCTTTGTAAGGAAGAAGAGGTAGTTGTGACTCTTTATGCATCAAACATTTAAAAATGCATATCTTTAAAACATGTAAAACTAATGATTAGATCTATGAGAAATAAGCGAAGCTATTTGTAGGACACTTTAGATCTGTTGTTTTACATGACAAATCAAGTAGACAAAGTCAAATGGTAATACACAAGATTTGAATAATATAACTAATGAGGTTGAATAATATAATTTATGAGTGAATAGGGATATGGAACATTTAATAGTATATTTTATTATTAATCAAAAAATTATGTTATGTATGAATATATATGTACATGATATATATTGGGATATATATGGGGTATATGTATGTATATATGTCTCCTTTTTTGCATTAATAAGTTCTTTTTTATTTTACTGTAAATTGGCAAATTATGGTTGTATATATTTATGAAATACAAAGTAATGTTGATATATGTCATAATACAACCTTCCATACAATGTGGAATGATTAAATCAAGCTAATAAACATACCCATCACCTTAAATACTTATCATTTTTGTGGTGAAAATATTTGAAATTTGCTCTCTTAGCAATTTTGAAATATACAACACAGTATAATTAACTATAGTCATCATGCTGACAATATAATCTCAAAAAATTTATTCCTCTTGTTTAATTGAAACTTTGAACCCTTTGGCATTCCCCATTTTCCCCAACCCCTCAGACTTTGGTAAGCACCATTCTACTCTACGCTTCTTAGTTCTGTTGTTTAGATTCCACGTAGAAGTGAGATCATGTGGTATTTGTCTTTCTGTGCCTATGTCTGGCTTATTGCATTTAGCATAATGTCCTGCAGCTTCATCCATGTTGTCACAAATGACAGAATTTCCTCATTTTTAAAGGCAGAATAGTATTTCATTGTGCATATGTGCCACCTATTCTTTAGCCATTTATCTGTTGATGGACACTTCGGTTGATTCTATAATTTGGCTATTGTGAATAGTGCTGCAGTGAACATGGGATTGCATATGTCTCTTTAATATAATTATTTCAAATCTTTGGCTATGTACTTAGAAGTGGGATTGGTGGATCATATGATAGTTCTATCTTTAGTTTTTTTGAGGACCCTCCATGAAGTTTTCTGTAATGGCTATACTAATTTACATTCCCATCAACAATGTATAAGAGTTTCCTTTACTTCACATTGTCACCAGAATTTTTTTTTGTTTGTTTGAGACGGAGTCTTGCTCTATCGCCCAAGCTGGAGTGCAGTGGCGCCATCTCTGCTCACTGCAAGCTCCGCCTCCCGGGTTCACGCCATTCTCCTGCCTCAGCCTCCTGAGTAGCTGGGACTACCGGCGCCCGCCACCATGCCCGGCTAATTTTTTTTGTATTTTTACTAGAGACGGGGTTTCACTTTGTTAGCCAGGATTGTCTCGATCTCCTGACCTCGTGATCCGCCCGCCTCAGCCTCCCAAAGTACTGGGATTACAGGCGTGAGCCACCGCACCCGGCCCCAGAATTTTGTTTTTGAGGCAGGATCTGGTTCTTTTGCTCAGGCTGGAGTACAGGGGCGTGATCTTGGCTCACTGCAACCTCTGCCTCCCAGGCTCAAGCCATCCTCCCTCCTCAGCCTCCTAGGTGACTGGGACTACAGGTGTGCCACTGGGCCTGGCTAATTTTTGTATATTTGTAGAGAAGGAGTTTCGCCATGTTGCCCAGACTGGTCTCAAACTCCTGAGCTCAAGCAATCTACTCTCCTTGGCCTCCCAAAGTGCTGGATTACAGGAGTGAGCCACAGTGCCTAGTACATTTGTCATTTTCTGTCTTTTTCATAATAGCCATTCTAACTGGGGTGAGATAGTCTCATTGCAGTTTTGATTTGCATTTCTTTGATAATTAATGATGTTGAGCATTTTTTAATATATCTGTTGGCCATTTATATGTCTTTTGAGAATTGTCTGTTCAGGCTCTTTGTCCATTTTTTAATCAGGTTGCTTGTTTTCTTGCTATTGAGTTGTTTGAGTTCCTTATACAGTTCATCCTTGAGCAATGCGGGGCTTAGCGGTGCTGACTCCCTCTACAGTTGAAAATTCTAGTATAACTTTTGATTCCCCCAGAACTTAACTACTAATAGCCAACTGTTGACTGGAAGCCTTACCAGTAACATAAATAGCCAATTAACACATATTTTGTATGTTACATGTAATATATACTATCTGCTTACAATAGAGTAAGGTAGAGAAAAGAAAATTTTATTGAGAAAATCCTAAGGGAGAGAAAATATATTTACTATTTATTAAGTGGAAGTGAATCACCATAAAGGTCTTCACTCTTGTCATCTTTATGTTGAGTAGGCGGAGGAGGAGGAGGAAGAGAAGGGATTGGTCTTGCTGTCTTAGGGGTGGCAGAGGTGGAAGAAGCGAGGAGGTGAAAGGCGAGGGAGGAGAGGCAGGCCCACTTGGTGTAACTGTCTGGAAATACATAATAATTTCTGTATGGCTACTTTTCTCTTTCTAAAAATGTTGTAAAGTTTATCTTAAAATGTTTCTATACAGTATCAGTCTTTCTTCTGCTATTTGCATTAGCTTCAGTGCCCATATCATAGAAGCGTTCATGTCATAAAAGAAGTCAAATGCAGTCTTAAATAATCAGAACGCTTCTGCCAGATTGTCTGATGTTAATTTGCTTTTTGGTACTTTTATATCCTCCTCATCATCATAAGGCACTGGTTCAGAAGCACTCCGTCAAGTTGTCTTCTGTCAATTCCTCTGGTGTGTAGTGTCTATTAGCTCTTGAATTTCTCCAAGATTCATATCTTGACACCTTCATTCACCACCTTTTTTCCCACTATATTTACAATCGCTTTCATTATTTCCTTGAATTGGCTTTGTCATAAACCCTGTGAAGTCATACACAACAGCTGGGCACAGTTTTCTCCTGCAGGAACTTATTGTTGGCTTGATGGCTTTCACAGCTTTTTCTATAACAATGATGGTGTCTTCAATGGGGTAATCCTTCTAGGCTTTCATGATGTTCTCTCTATCGGGGTTCTCTAACATAGCACTGACATCCTTTCCATAGAGTACTGTGTATAATGAGCCTTCAAGGTCCTTATGATCCCCTAATCTAGAGGATGATTAGAGATGTTGCGTTTGGGGGCAAGTAGGACACTTGGATGTCTTTGATGTTGAACTCATGGGGTTCTAGGTGGCCAGGGGCATTGTCTAATATGAAAATAATTTTAAAAGGCATTCCCTTACCAGCAAGATACTTTCTGACTTCAGAGAAAAAGCATCAGTGGAACCAATCCAGAAAAATAGTTCTTGTTTAAGCCAAAAGACTGGTAGCTGATGTTTATCTTTTTCCATCAAGGCTTGGAGGTTAGCAGCTTTATAGATGACAGTCCTGACCATAAACCTGACTGCATTTGCATGAAACAGTAGTTAGCCTATGCCTTCCTACCTTAAATCTTGGTGCTCACTTCTCTTCCTTACTAATAAATGTCCTTTGTGGCTTTTTTTTTTTTTCCAGAATACAGCATGTTCAGCTGCATTAAAACCCTGTTTAGGCAGGTATCCTTTCTCCTCAATGATTTTTTAATGGCTTTGCAATATAGTTTGATATCAGGCAGTGTGATGCCTCCAGTTTTGTTTGTTTTATTTAAGATCATCTTGGTGATTTTTTTTAATTCCCTATGAATTTTAGGGTTATTTTTTCTGTTTCCTTTTAAAATATACTTTCTGGCCATTTTTCTCTCTCTTCGTCTTCTGAAATTATGTGAAGATTAGTTCCCTTGACTGTGATTGTGTCACATAATTCTTGTAGGTTTTCTTCATCTTTTCCATTCTTTTTTCTTTTTGCTCCTCTGATGAATAATTTCAAATATTCTGTATTTAGCTCATTGATTGTGCTGCTTAATTGAGTCTGCTGTTGAAGATTTCTATTGCATTTTTCAATTAAGTCATTGTATTCTTTATCTCTTGGGTTTCTTTTTTATTGTTTCTACTTCTTCTATATTCTCATTTTGTGTATTGTTTCTCAAATTTCATTTAATTTTATATCCATATATTCTTGTAGTTCACTGAACTGCTTTACAAGGATTTTTCTGAATCTTTTTTCTGCCACTTTATAGATCTTCATTTTTTAGTCTGTTATTGGAACTTTGTTAGTTTCTTTTGATGATTACAGATGCTCTTTGACTTACAATGGGCTTATGTCCTATTAAACCCATAGTAATTTCAAAACTTTGTAAGTAAGAAATGTGTTTAATACCCCAGTAAACCAATTGTAATGTCAAAAAATTATGAGTTGAACCATCATAAGTGCAGATGCTCCTTGACTTACAATGGGGTTATATCCTGATAAGTCCGTTGTAAAGTTGTATAGTTGTAAGTTGAACCATCATAAATTGGGGACCGTCTATATTTGTAATCCTTGTGTTCTAGCATTGGTGTCTGCACATTTGAAGAGACAGCTTCCTCCTGAGTGCAGTGGTATAATGACAGCTCACTGCAGCCTTGACCTCCTGGGCTCATAAGATTCTCCCACCTCAGCCTCTTGAGTAGTTGGGACCACAGGTGTTTGCCACCATGCCTGGCTACTTTTTGTATTTTTTGTAGAGAGGGGTTTCACCATGTTGTCCAGGCTGGTCTTGAACTCCTGGGCTCAAGTGATCTACTTACCTTGGCCTCCCAAAATGCTGGAATAACAGGCATAAGCCACTGCATCCAGCCCCAACAGCTTGCTCTTCTGGTCTTTACAGGTATTCTTTGTCAGGGATTGACCTTTACTTCTTAGTCTAGGCTGTGATTCTAGTTGGGTCAGGTGGTAATGACCCCATGCAGGCAGAGCTCGCTATAGTTGGCTGGGTGCTGCCTTTGCTCTGAGGTCTGATGGGGCTGCTGGCTCGGCTCCCATGCTTCGGGGAGACCACTGGCTGAGCTCTGCTATAATTTCTGATTGGACAAGGTTGTAGGGTGTACTTCCTGGCTGGGTGGTACTACTTTTTTGGTTCAACAGTTGAGCAGGGCTGCAGGCTGGACTCTGAGTTTAGGTGGAGTTGCTGCTCAGGATGGATGGGGTCTGGAGTATATGCTGCATAGAACTGCACAGTTGAGGATTGCCTGTCTCTGGGCAGGGCCTTAGAGTGGGCTCTGAGTCTGGATTGAGTCACTCTTTGGATTTCTGCGTCAGGCAATTCCAACCCCTATGATCCACAGAAATGCCCTGTGATGGTCATCTCCACATCTCCCGCCTGGGTAAGGCATTGAGGTCGCCTCTGAGGCTGGCCGTCTAAAGACTCAAAGCAGGCTGACCTTCTCATCATGTTTCTGTGAACAGTGAACTTGGCTTTGCAAGTGAGCCATACCATTGGCTGGTATCTCTGATTGTGCACCACCACTGGGAGGAACATAGAGCCATCACCAAAATTTGCACACTGGTCCCTGTGAGCTCTGCCTCCTTTCTTTGTTTATACCTAACCCAGGAGGTCTAGCCATGTCATTACTGCCAGTATTCCCCATGAGGTCAGATGGGAGTGGGCTTTCTGGGAAGTGTCTCAGAATGCTAGGGAGCTGGATGTCTAGAAACTCTGGTTACCTTTTTTTTTTTTTTACTGTATGGGCCCAGTTAAAAAGATCCTCTTGGCTGGGCACAGTGGCTCACGCCTGTAATCCCAGCACTTTGGGAGGCCGAGGTGGGTGGATCACGAGGTCAGGAGATTGAGACCATCCTGGCAAACATGGTGAAACCCCGTCTCTACTAAAAATACAAAAATTAGCTGGACGTGGTGGTGTGCGTCTGTAATCCCAGCTACTCAGGAGGCTGAGGCAGGAGAATCACTTGAACCCAGGAGGCAGAGGTTGCAGTGAGCTGAGATTGTGCCACTGCACTTCAGCTGGGGCAACAGAGTGGGACTCTGTCTCAAAAAAAAATCCTCTCTCTGTGTGTCACCATGCTGATCTGGGGGAGCAGGAGGGGCAGTGTAGTCAACGTGAGATTGTTCCTCTTCTAATGTGGTTTTTATTTGATTCAGTGGCCTATTCATTCAGCTGTCTCCGTTTCTTTCTCAAGTTTGTAAGTTTTCACAAAAGTGTTCTTGTCTTTGGATTGTTGCTTGTTGGACTTTCTGTAGAGGGAAGTGAAGCCAAGTGAAGCCTGGGACTTCCTATTCTGCCATCTTGCTGATGTCATGCCTACATGTTTACAGAAAATTCACATCCTCTTATAACATTTATGAGACATTGTAAAAAACAAAACAAAACAACAACGACAACAAAACCCAAAAGCCTTAAATGAAGACTTTAGTGAATTCCAGAGTCCTTCTTACTCTTACTGGCCTTGTGCCTTAGCCCTCTGGTTTAGCCCCTGTTTCCAGCTAGCTTTTAACAGGTTGAGATGATGAAAAGAAAACATACCTCTCTCCTTTCATAATGCTGTGAAGTAGCTCATATAATTCATCTTCCACGTTTATATACGTATGTCTCTTTTGTGCCCAGAGCATCATTTTGAGATTCTTTTTTCATTATCAAAATACATTGGATCTATGTTATTCATAACTAATCTGAGGCTGTATTTGTTACATTTGAGTATTTTAAATCATTAATGCCATATGTATTGTATACCAAAATTTACCATCTAAAACACCTGGCTATTCTTTTGTAGGGTTTTTCTTTTCATTAGCTTTTTTGAGCTAAAGCTTAAAGAAAATCAGGGACCAAAGGAAGGTTAGAAAGTGGCTGGAGGTATCATAAACACCAACTAAGTTCTTTGAGAAGCAGAAGGTGCATCATGGAAATCAGCATTATTCTGACTTCATTTCATTGCCTACTCAGTCCAAATTTTAGGGTTTACAACTTAAACTAATAACTCACTGGCACCTTGCATTTCCTGTGGCTTAATGGTTAAGAACATGGGCTTTGAAGTCATTGTCCTGAGTTCAAATTTGAGGTCTACCACCATCACCTATGTGACTTTGGGCCAAACACATATACTCTTTATACCTCCATTTCTTCATCCATAAAATTGGGATAAAAATTATAACTGTCTGCAGTGGGCAGAATACTGTCTTCCCTACCACCCCCTACGGTGTCCATATCTTAATCCCTGAAACTGTGCATGTTAGATTACATTGCAAAGGGGAATTAAGGTTGCAGATAGAATTAACATTATTAATCATCTGGCCTTAAAATAGGAAATTATGCTGGATTATCCTGGTGGGCCCAATGTAATCACAAAGGTCTTTAAAAGTGGAAGAGTGAAGCAGAAGAAGTCAGAGAGTTAGGAAGATGTGATTATGGAAGAATGTTCAAAGAGAGACAGTGCCACTGGCTTTGAAGATGGAGGAAGGGGGCCATGAGCCAAGGAATGTGGGTGGCCACGAGCCAAGGAATGTGGGTGGCCACTAGAAACTGAGGAAAGCAAGGAAATAGATTCTCTCCTAAAGCTTCCAGAAAGGGATGCAGTCCTGCCGATACCTTGCTTTTACGTGATGCATACAGTGTCAGACTTCTGACCTAAAGAACTGCAAAATAATAAATTTGTATTCAGATACCAAATTTGTGGTATTTTGTTACAGCAGAAATAGGAAATAAATGCACCGCCATATGGGGTTGTTGTAAGGGTTAGGAAATGTAAACCTTTAAGATAGACCTGCCACATGGTAAATGCTCAGTTAGTATTAGCCACTATTATTATCCATTGGTACTTTAGTTTCCCTTCTGTCTTTGCTCTTTTGTGGTAGTTGTCTTGTAATTACCCAAATTTGTGGTTATCTTCCCTACAAAGACTATGGCCCTAGGTGTTTTTCACTCTCATTTTAGTCTATACTCAGCCTCCAGTAATTTGTCAAAATTACCATTTCAGAGTTCCTACCATTTTGTGGTTCCAGCAGCTTCTGTTCCAGGTGAGTAGATCTTGGCTGTGACTCTCTGGATTTGCCTGTCTCTCCAGATTTTAGGGTGGTAGTTTGCCCTGCAACTTCAGTTCTGTGGGGCATCCAAGGAAAGTCGCTGGTTTTCACTTTGTTTTGTTTCATTATTGTAAGGACATGAGTGCTGACTTCCGAGTTCTTTACATGTTGGTACTGAAATTGGAAGTGTGGGCAGTGCTCTTTACCCTACGGCTTTAATAATCTTTCTATACACATGAGATCTTCATCTCTACACTTTACTTCTTTCTGATTTCCATTATCTGGTTTTCACTTCATTCATTTCATTTCCAAACATGCTTTTTCTGTATTTTCTATTTAGGTTAGTGGCATCTCAATCCAAGGGATAGTAGTTAATTTGATGTGTCTGAAATACAGGGTACAAAACAGGCTCATAGTCGGGGAGATTGCCCTTAACTCTCCACCTTTCCTGAATCCTTTTCTTCAGAATTAGTAAGTCGCCAAGGGCTGTTGTGTCTATGAATTTTGCCCACATCCTTGCTGTCATTACGCTAGTCCTAACTCTTGACTCGGCCATGCAGAATATTTTAAACCACTTTATCCTCTACACTGCCTCAGAGTTAGATCATAAGTTGGATCATGTTACTTCCTCTCTCAGAAGACCTACATTTTGAAAAATTGCTTGTGGAATAAATCCCAAACTCCTAATTTGGCATTTAAGGTTCTTAAAGATCTGTAATTAAGGTATATTTCTAGGTGGATTCATAGTGCATGTACCTACTGTATTTGCTAGTGCTACCACAACAAAATCCTGCAGACTGGGTAGGTTAAACAACAGAAATGAATTTTCTCATGGTTGTGGGGGCTGGAAGTCCAAGATCAAAGTGTCTGCATGTTTGGTTTCTTCTGAGGCCTCTCTTTTTGGCTTGCACGTGGCCATCTTTTCTCGAGGTACTTACATAGTCTTCTCTCTGTGCATGCACACCCCTGATATCGCTCTGTGTATTCCAGTTTCCTCTTCTTATATGGACACCAGTCAGATTCTTTTAGGGCCCACCCTGATAGTCTCATTTTACCTTAACACCTCTTTCAAAGCCCCATTTTCAAATAGTCACAGTCCAAAGCCCTGGGGGTTAGGGCTTTAACGTATGAATTTTGGGGAACACAATTTAGCCCATAACACCGACTGTATCCCTCTATGTATTCTGTACTCATGAATGTATAATGGATCACCTAGGAAGATTTAGAAAATACTGATTTGGGGGTCTCACCCAACTTCTTGTAGGTTCTGAATCAGTAGGTCTGAAATGGGGCTGAGAATACATTTGGTGTGTGTGTGTGTGTGTGTGTGTGTGTTTATACTTCTCCCTAGTGCTTTCCCAGCTTTCCTAGACTCTTTAACATTATTGGTGAACATACTATAAATGTTCATACCTTTGCTCATATTTGTTTTTTAACTGAAAATTCTCTTCCTACCATACCTATGAAATTTAATATCTATGAAAATTAATTCAGCCTTCTAGGCTGATCTGAAATATCATCTTTTCTGTTATCTTTTTCTTATTCTCTCCAGAGATAATCCTGCAATACTTTGTTGTGATTTTATTTTACTTTATATAAGTACTGAAGAATTTATTTTGTTTTATATGATAGTCATTTGCCTTCTTCTTTCACTAGCTTTCTGAGACCAAAGAGGACATATTCTTTATTTCTGTATATATGAAACAGTGGCAGTTGCTCTGAACATAGTAGATAATTAATCAATCTTTGCAGTGTGAAAAATGAACTAGTTAAGAAATGCTAATATTTTTATTGTGACTTTTTATAAAATGGAGATCATTGGGTAAAAAATGAACATATCAAATGTAAAACAAGTGGCAGACTTTTTTTTAAAAAAGACTTTACTTTTTTTTGAAAAGCAGTTTTAGATTGAGAAGGTGTAGAAATATCCCATACACTACCTGCCCCTCACATGTGCATTCCCTACCAGAGTGGTACATTCGTTGCAATTGATGAACCCATATAGACATATCATCATCGCCCAAAGCCCATGGTTTGTATTAGCGTTCACTCTTGGTGGTGTGCTTTCTATGGGTTTGGATTGCCCTAAAAATCCCCTGTACTCTACTTGTTCATCCCTCCCTTCCCCTCACTCCTGGCAACTACTGATCTTTTCTCTGTGTTCGTAGTTTTGCCCTTTCCAAGATGTCATATAGTTGGAATCATACAGTATGTAGTCTTTTCAGATTCGCTTCTTTCACTGAGTAATATGCATTTACTTCTCCTCCCTGTCTCTTTATGGCTTGATAGCACATTTCTTTTTAGCTCTGAATAATATTCCATTGTCTGGGTGTGCTACAGTTTATTTATCCGTTCACCTACTGAAGATCATCTTGGTTGCTTCCAAATTTTGGCAATTATGAATAAAGCTGCTCTTTACATCCATGTGCAGGTTTTTGTGTTTACATGTTTTCAATCCTTTTGGGAAAATATTAAAGAATGCCATTGCTGGATTGTATGTTAAGAGTATGTTTAGTTTTTTAAGAAACTGTCAAACTATTTTCCAAAGTGGGTGCACCATTTTACATTCTCACCAGCAATGAGTGAGCATTCCTGTTGCTCCACATCCTCACCAGCATTTGGTGTTGTCAGTATTATGGTTTTGGGCCATTCTGCTAGGTCTGTAGTGGTATCTTGTTTTCTTTTCCATTTCCCTGCTTACATATGATGTGAAGTATCTTTTCACATGTTTATTTTCCACTTTATATCTTCTTTGGTAAGGTGTCTGTTAAGGTCTTTGGGTCATTTTTTAATTGGGTTGTTTGTTTTCTTGTTGCTGAGTTTTTAAGAGTTCTTTGTATATTTTGGATAATAGTCCTTATATTTAATATGTCTTTTGCAAGAGTGGCAGAATTTTTGTTCATTATTTTTTTCTTGAATTAAATATCCTTAACATTACACATAAACAGTATTTTTAATGTGTATTTTCAATTTGGAACTTTTAACATTTAAAAATTTCTCTTGATGAAGATATGTGATAATAAAATGGGGGGCAAAGTGAAGACATTGTAACAATTTTTGATAATCGCATCTTCTTCTGCATTGCATTTTTCAGGGCAGAGTATTAATGGTCCAGTTCTTAAAGATAAATGGATTCCTCAATGTTTATTTGTAGTATATCCTTGTTTATTCTCCTAATGAAGAACTGCATCCTTAAAGCTGGCATAATTAGGTAGACTTGTCTATTAGCTGAGCTACTAAGCTTTATTTTCCTGGGCCAATGAATAACAGAAACAATTCTCAAAATAATTAAATCTGTTAAGACCCAGTTTTGGGGTAAGGAGCTGGGGTCTGGCATTTCCTTTTTGTTGGTTTTTCAAAAATTATTAAAACTTCAATGCTTGGCCAGGTGTGGTGGCTCATGCATACAATCCCAGCACTTTGAGTGGCAGGCAGATCGCTTGAGCCCGGGAGTTCAACACTAACCTGGGCAACATGGCAAAACCTCAACTGTACAAAAAATATGAGAATTAGTTGGGTGTGGTGTGGCACTCCTGTGGTCCCAGCTACTTGAGAGGCTGAGGCGGCAGGATTACCTGAGCCCTGTAAGGGTGAGGCTGCAGTGAGCCAAGATCGCACCAGCACTCCAGCCTGAGCTACAGAGCAAAGCCCTGTCTCAAACAAAACAAAACAAAATCTCAACGTTAAACTTTCTAGAGAATGGGTAATCACCTTTCAAGTCATTTTTCCAAACCCATTTCTGAACCAGGACAGGCAATAACAGAGATTGGCAGGGGAAGGACTGATGTCTCCTCACAAGGGAAAAAGGACTCTGCATTGAAAACACAGATGAGCCTTTGGATGTGGAAATTTACAAGGCTCAGAGAGCCCCGAAACATCTTCAGAAGTGGAGCCCAGCAGAATAATGGGAGGCTGTGTGCTGGCTTGGCACTGGAGACTGTCTGGCACAAACTACACTGTAAACAACTCCTCAAACATTTTCATCTGCATACATGACATTAGATTCTCCAAATGTCCAATTAAACACTTGTCAATGGAAGAAATGTTTGTTTCCTCAGCTGACCTGTTGTCAGCCTTGGCCTTCCTGATGGGGAAGCAGTTTCAGCTGATACTGTTGTATGCTCTTCCTTTCTGGGCCTGATCTTGTCCCTGTTGAGAACTGTGGAGACTGTGCCAAGCTGTGGACCATGGGATTAGGTTAGGTAACTAAAGAAAATATCCAGGCTGTGAGCACTTTTCAAACCTAAGAAAATCTTTAGTTTCTTTTGCACAGTTGTAAACCGTTTGTGCTTAAAAAATTATAAAAGTGATTGCAGTTGAGATAGAGAAAAGAGCAGTGCTGATATGTGTTTATATACTTCTAAGGGCTGACTTCATTTTTTTCAACATCTTAAACTTCTATTGAACAAATATTGTGTGTGTAGGTGTGTGTTTGTGTGTGTGTGTGTCATCATCTCTGTTGACAGAAATGCTCAATGATAAGTCTCTGTGACTGGAAGAGCAGTGAAGGACTTGGACACATGCTGTAGAAACATAAAGGAAGTGAGGAAGGCAATATTGGAGAAGAATCAAAGGAGTTTAAATTATTCTTTGGAAAAGTTGGAGTTTATAAATTAAAAAAAAACTGTATGACCTTGAGCAAATTTCTATTTTTACTAGTGTCAGTTTCCTAATCCATAAAATAGGGAATATAATGTCAAGAACATCGAAGGTTATTATTAAAATTAAATAAAATGATCTATGTAAAATGCAGCAACACTTGCCACATTGTAAATTCTCAAGAAATGCTAGCTAATATTGAAATATGAAATAATACTTCTTTGGTCCAAAGATGTTTAAGCATTCCTATTTGGTAAAGAGAAGGAGCAAAAGAACAAGAGAAAAATTAGATAATTGGTACAGTATGAACAGAGTATTTGGCTTTGGAAAGGAGGGTGGGCAGTTCTTTCACTGGGACAGGAGCTCAGAATGACTCTATAGGTAAAGGGATAGAAGAACTTTAAGGTGAGGATGAAGAAAGACAAAGCATGTCATGGTCATTCTATTGTCTCTTCAGTTACGTAGAAGAGGAGAGCTTTTTCTGAGCATGAGGGGGAATAGGAGTGAAATTTGAGGCTTAAAGAGAATGGAAAAGTTTCATAGCAGCTGCTGTGGAGAATTTGATACGTGTCAACTGAAGATAAATATAAGGGTTGTGCAGCAATGCAGAGGATATGGCTGAGGTCAGACAGCCTTAGTTTATAGTGGCATGATTTTGGGAATGTAGATGATGGCATTATGTACCCTGGAGCAAACACAGAGAAAATTCAAAATTACCTTTGAGGAATAAGAAAGGAGGTGAGGAGTAAGGGTAAAGGCGTCCTAAGGTGCTAATGAAAATGCTGTTGAAATCATTAACCACCAAGTAAAGTTGTGAGCCAAGATTAATCTGAAATGGTGATTTGTGTGGATAGAAGTACAAATAGACTGGAGGTGGGGAGGCCCTTCACTGGACAGGCAACATTAATCTAGCTGCCATTGTACCGCACACATGCTGAATGATGATGATACAGGAATGAAGGAAACATAATTCACTTGGGCAGCTCAAGAGCATTTTTTTAAGCTCTTAGTATATACTGGCTAGATCATCCATATGACAGCAATGCTTCCCTTGAAAAGCTTTAAGTCTAGTGATATGCTCTGGATAATTTAAACTCAGACTGTGGGGTACTTTGAAGGAGGTAAGCAGAGGGTCCGAGGAAACAATAGAAGAGGACATTCAACATGACCTGTGAAAAGAAAGGGCAGGTCAGTAAAAGTATCCTGGAAAATATCTTGCTTGAGCTGAATCGATTGTAGAGAGCCAGGGTAAAGAATGGCAGAAAGGGAGAGGCAAAAGCAAGGGAGAAAAAGCAAGGAAAAAACAGAGCAAGGGAGTGATTTGGCTAGGGCAGACAAAAGATTTCAGAGAAGGGATAATTAAGATGAGTTACATATGATACTATTACTAAGTGAGAGAAATAAGGAAGACATGAATGAAAGTGATAAACAATGTGTTGGTAGGAACAGAAGAAAGAATGTCAAGAGAACAGAATGATGAGATTTAATGACTGATTGAATACGTGGGGAATGAATGGGTGATTTTACACTCTTGATCCTGAATTATAGGGACAATTATGGTTTCCTTAACAGAAAGAGGGAAATCCCGAGTTAGGGAAGATTTAGGGGAAGGTGATGAGTTTGGAGATGTTGAATCAGAACATATGGTTTCAAGTGAAAGTAATTCAACCAAGATGGGATTAAACCAAATGAGAGAATTTGTGATGTTCATAATTAGTAAGTTCATAGGTGCTTCTGGATTTAGGCATACCTGGCTCTCCAGGGTTCAAATATGATATGGGCTTATCTCTATTCCTATGATCTCTGTCTCTTAGATTAGCTTGTCTTGCTTGTTTTCATTCCAAAGACAGGCTCTCAGTATATGGTAGGCAAATGGGTACCTCCAGGTTCACATTCCAGCGATCCCGGTGGAAATAACTTTTATTTGCAACATCCATATATTTTAAATGTAGGTTTTATTATTATTCAGATATGGTGAGGCCAGGAGATTAGGAGAAAATTGCCAATGGAAAATATAATTTGTTACTCATATCTCCTATGATATGGGGGCACACAATGACATGCAGACCACACAGGGAAGCACCAGGGTCAGTTAGGAAGCAGAAGGAGTGAGGGAAAGAGCCTTTATTGTGGGGTTTGTGGGAAGGAATGGATGAGTCAAAGCAAGTAGGCTTAGGTTTGGCTAGTTTGAATGATTTTCGTGGGCTCTGGGTTGTAGAGTTCTTTAGCAAGACGTCTGGTACCTAGCCCTGTGGTTATAAAGGCAGGAGAATATTGGCTAGGTGTATGAGGATTTGATAAGGGAGGTCATGCTGGTGGGATGGGCTTTGGATTGGCTAGTTTCTGTATGAAAGGCATGCTTACAGGGGTGTTATTTGCTATCACTAGCAATTAGCTAATGCTGTGAGGGACAGTCCCTCCTGGTCCATTGAGTCCCTGGATGCCAGAACATTAAGAATACAGAAAATAAGAGAATATAGTTAATACATTGTATACCAACGCCAGGAAAGATTCTGATTTGCCTTACTTGAGTCATTCCAGCTCTGTAGTTTAGGTGCAGAGTACAGGGTGAGGAATGGTATTGTGATTGACAGTCAACCTAGACCAGAGTGTAGGGATCAGGGAGGACTACCCTAAAGAAAATAAAGCCAGAACATGGGAAAGTATGCTGGTAAATCAAAAACTGTATCGACTGGTCTATCACAAGGTGGCTAGAGCCGTCTTGGTTGAGATGACCAGGTGGCCATTCAAATATGGCTCTTGGCCTCTAGACTTCGAAGAGGCTAAGGATTTTTATTTTTGTTTTAGCAGCTCTCGTACACCATGTATTGCTCCCGGGCTTGATGGCCCTCTTCTGTCCTGCTTTTCTAAAGCCTATATAGTTCCTGAGCTCAGTGTTAAAAACCAAACTGGAGTTTTAGGCATCATTTAGGTTTTCTGATTCTCTTGGTGAGGTACCAGTGTTTTCCTCAATGCCTACCTCAGAAACCTTAGCTTTGACTCCCTTCCTTTCCCTTCTATCAAGTCATTTATCTTCTTCTGAAATAGCTCCCAGATTTACTTCTTCCTTACTCATATTAGCTGTTGCCTTTCTAGTCTCTCTTTTTTAATACGGCTTTCTGAATATTGCCAGAGTTATCTCACTGGGGAAACATCATCCCCACTTCTCCCACAAAAAAATCTACCCCGCCATTTGGACATTACAGAGAGTAAATGGTGTGTACATATTACATGGGTGAGTGTCTGAAGACCTAGATTCAAGTCACTTCACGTTCCTCCTCTGCATTTTATTAAAGATATTTGGTAGCTTACATAAGAAAATGCATGTTTTAAAACTTTTTATAAATCATAATGTAGTTCAGATGATGGTGATTTTTTGATTTCTCTAATTTTGAAATTCTAATTTTCAGGCTTATCTTTTTCTTTTTTTTTTTTTTTTTGAGAAAGTCTCACACTGTCACCTGGGCTGAAGTGCAGTGGCACGATCTCGGCTCACTGCAACCTCCGCCTCCCGGGTTCAAGCAATTCTGCTGCCTCAGCCTCCCATGTAGCTGGGATTACAGGTGTGTGCCACCACGCCTGGCTAATTTTTTTATATTTCTAGTAGAGACAGGGTTTCACTATGTTGGCCAGGCTGATCTCAAACTCCTGACCTCGTGATCTGCCCGCCTCGGCTTCCCAAAGTGCTAGGATTACAGGTGTGAGCCACCGCACCTGGCCTTATCTCCTTTTCTAAATGAACCTCTCCGTCGCCACACTTAGGCCAAGTTTGTTTCTATCTTTATATCTTTCTATATTGTTCCCAACCCGAAATCCCCTTCTTTGCTCTACTGTCTGCCAACTAAATATTAGCTATCCTTCAAAGTGTGTCTGAAGTCCTGTCTCTTATATGAAGTCTTGTCTAATTATCTAGATCACCTGTATTCTCTATTTTTCTTACACTTCAATTTCACTACTGATTATTTACCTTTAATTATTATATATCTTTTATTCTCCACAATATGTTTGATGCTTCTGAGGGCAGGGATCCTGACTTTTACTTATTTTGTATCATGGACAGTTCTGGGCATAAATTTAAAAAAAAGTTGCTAATGATTAATTATTAATTGGGGAAAAGTACTAATTTGCAATAATCACACTTTGGATATAGTTTGTGAGCTTCCCTTTTCCTCATGGGGAGAAATAAGTTTGGATTGATTGGACTGACAGATGTTGAAACAATTTGGTTCAGTTAGACAAATTCTTATTGAGTTCTAGGACATATGGGTAACTGCTGAATAAATATTCATTTGTTCATTTATTCAGTCAACAAATATTTATTGGATATCCATTGTCTGCCCCACACTGTGCAAGTTACCATAATATATGTCTGCAATCAGACATTTAGATATTGAAAATCTAAACATGAATCTTACATGGTTCTCATCTTCAATTTGCTTTATTACATGACCAAGGATGAGATCATTGGGTGATTATAAAGCATTGCAGAAAAGTAAATGATATGCTTGTGGACATTTGAAGAAGGGAGTAATTTATTCTGACTCGGGTAGCTCAGAAGAGGATTCAAAGAGACCATATTCAGGAAAAAATGAAACATGTAGAAAGGAAATATTAACACTCATGTTTGCTTTGTGAAAATTTTGCATTTTACACAGTGTGTTGTTAAAAATTAACGTGTTGGAGAGTTTCCATTTCCAGGAAGATGGAGTAAATGTAGTTTTTCCTATTTGTCTCCTAAGTGCAACTAAAAACCCTTGACATTATATATATAAAACAAATATAAGAAGACTCTGAAAGGTGGAGAGAATAAGGCAAACCAGCTGGAGACCTCAGGACCTGAGGAATGACACATTACTGAGTTCCCTGGGTTTTTCTTTTTGCCTTGTATATCTCAGACTTAGAGCTGAACAAATGGGTAACTTGGAGATGCCAATGGTGCAGACAAAAAAAAAAAATCTCCAGCAAAAGCCTGTTTTCTCTAACAAAGGACCCAAAAAGGGATAATCCAGCAAAACAAAACTTTTAAAAAGTAACCACTCTATTGCAAACAAACAGAAAAAATTGTGGCCCCACCCTTATGTATTCAGCAAAGACTGAGTGGATATCTTAGATGTCTACTCTAATAAGGCTGTGATGAGGTATCTGAATATCCCTGCCAGGGTAGGGTCAGAGAAGACCAAGTAGAGGTACTTTCCTTCCCATCAACCAGTAATGAGCCTCCTGCTGCCCCCACCACATCCCCACTTGTGATGTCAGCGGGGATCTTGGACTTGTGGCCTAATTGACAATAATGCACCTCTCCCTTGCCCTGCTGGCATGATGTCAGAGGAGATCTAGTGGACTTTTACCGTTTCCCAGAAGTATTGAGGCCATCTTACCACAGTGTCAGTGGATACCACATGGAGGATCTACAACTCTCACTTTCACTCAGAATGTATGAGGAGACCCTGCCCCTCCTTGAGTGTCAATGGAACCTGGACTTGTACCTCTATCTGGCATTGATGAGGCAGTGACACCTCCCACTCTCCATTGCCCCTGCAGTAGTGTCAGAGAAATCCAACTAAAATGGATGTGGAGTCTCATAACATAATATAAATATCTGGGTTTCAATTGAAAATTACTTGTCACAGAAAGACAGGAGGAAAAAAAACCTAGAGAAACAAAAAACAGAGAAGAAAAATAGAAAATAAGAAATAAAATTGTGGACAAGTTCTAATATATCAACAATTACATTAAATGTTAATGGCGTAAATGTAACAATTTAAAACAGATTGCCAGAATGGATTGAAAAACATGATCAACTCTATGCTATGTACAAGAAACTTACTTCATATGTAAACATATAGGCAATTTGGAAAGGAGAGAAAAACATATGTAATTGATTCTTGTTAATCATGGTAGTTATGTTCTGTAAAACTGCTGTGAATGCTGAATTTGTAAATACTAAACTGCTGTTCCTAGGGGAAATACAGAGCTAGATTCCTGCAAGCCTCTGGTCACATTTTTCTCAACTGGTCAATGAATAATTTTATTTTATGTGTTCTGTTTAAAGACACCTTACTGAGTATATATTATCGATTCATTAACTTTGAACTCATTGCCAAGAGCTCTAGAACTCATATCTGAACAAAGCTTATCGCACACACATGTTTTCTCTGTAAGGTACATCAGAGCTTTCATTTGCTTAGGAACAATAGGGCTTTAGTACTATGCTTGAGGCCATTTTAAACAGTAAAATCACCAACAAAAAGTACAAACATATCAAAACCGTGGCACTAAATAAACTGTGAGAACAGTTGTTTACAGCATGAGAGCTAAAACAAGAAGGCAAAGTATTTACTTGTTTGACCTAGGCTAGGAACATGTGTATGGAGTGACTCAATTTTTTTTTTTTTTTTTTTTTTTTTTTGGCTGTACTGCACTTGTGCACAAATGACTGCAAAAGCAATGCAAGTATGATTTTGGGGTTACAAATAAATTTTAGTGAGTAGGCAAATTAGCAAATATGGAATCCACAAATAATGAGGATAGATGGTGTCATGCAAAGATCAATCAAAGGAAAGCAGATATATTAATATCAGATAAAGTAGACTTCAGATGAAAGAAAATTAACAGAGACAGACATTATCTAATGATAAAAGCCTTATGCTAATGTTTATAACAGCTTTATTTGTAATAGCCAAAATGGAAAGAATCCAGTTGTCCTTAAATTGATGAATGGTTAAACAAACTGTGATATATCCATACTATGGAATACTACTCAGCAATAAAGAGGAAAAGATTATTTATATAGGCAATGACCTGGAAGAATCTTTAGGGAATTCTGCTGAGAAAAAAATCAATCATAAAGGTTATATACACGTTTCTATTTATATAACAATCTTTAAATGACAGAATTATAGAAATGAACAACAAATTAGTGGTTGCCAGGATTTAAGGAGTTTGGGTGGGGGTGGGAGTAGAGGGATGCGTGGGTGTAGCTGTAAAAGAGCAACAGGACGGACGGATCCTTGTGGTGATAGACATGCTCTATGTCTGGACTGTCTCAATGGCAGTATCCTGCTTCTGATAAAGTACTGTAGTTTTGTAGGATGCTGCACTGGGGAAACTGGGGAAAGTTTACATAGGATCTCTCTGTATTCTTTCTTATAACTCAATGTGAATCTACAGTGATCCCAACATAAAAACTGTAATTTAAAAAACTTAGCGTACTTTACTGTATGTAGCTCCTTTCCTTGTACTTGATAACCTTAAGTCTTTTTGTCAACCAGTGATACACTGGTCTACAAATATTTATTTTGAATTCCTGCTTCGTTCTCAGCATTATGGTGGCTGGAACTATTAGGAATACAATTACAGAAGCATAAGATTTAGAGTACATATAAAAAAGCGTGTGTGTGTGTAAAGCATATGCAAGTATGTCTGAGAGAGTAAACATAATTCTCATCTTTCAAAATTTTAGTGTTCCACTGTAAATTGTAAAAGCTATAGTGTAAAGTAGCATTTGTAATCCTATTCAGCTCTTAACTTGCCAAGAATATCCTCTCAGGATGTGTTGCTTCACTACAGTACCAACCATTGTGTTGTCAAATCCATGTGAATTATGCAAAACAAAAGAAAAACAAATGGCCTACCTAAGGTTTGGCAGCTGCAACAAGGAAACTATCAATTTGAGGTTTATTGTAATACATTAAATTTGAAAGAATATTCTTCCAAGTAATTCTAGGGCTTGGAATGAATGAAGGATCATTTGAAAAATCTGCAACTCATTTCTAAAAGATTAGGAAAAAAGAGAAAAGAACATAGTTGCCAACTTCTCCTTGGTTTGTATTTATGGAATATATGAAGGTTTAGCATTTTAGATTCTTTCCTAATTCTCAGTTAATTTACCTGTAGAATCTCTTTGAAGAACTACTTTTACATTTCTTTCATTTTGATGAGAAAATTGAAAACTTGGGGCAACTAAAAAGAAGTGTTTAGCTTGAGTGATAGTTCATTAATATGATTTTTAGGGGCCTGGCAGAAACAAATAGATCCTAGCAGGTCTTGTGATTTAGAGGATTATTAGAGATTTGGGTGAAATAGATAAGTATTTCTCCTTTGATAGAATCAGATAATTGTCTCTCTGTGCAATGTCCAACACCAGCTTTCTATGTAATAAAAATAAACTATGAAAACAAACAGGAGGCAAAAATAAAGCTTCATGGGCTTCTTAAACTGTTTGTGAAAGTTGTTGTTCTAGAGATCATAAGGTAGGGAGTTAATAAATACTTTGTTCCTTGACAGGGCTACCCCATTGTACCACTCCAAAACCATGGGAATGGTGTCCTGTGAGGTTGTATAGTACACAGTCAGCCTTGTTCTGTGCAGCATCCCTGGGACCTGCCATGTACTAGACACTGTTCTAGGTACTGGGGATATAGCAGTGAACAAAACAGATGAGAAATATCCCTGCCTTGATGGAATTTCCATTCTAGACTGGAAATTGAGACAATGAGCCAAATGGATAAATTAATTTTATAGCATGCTTGGAGGTGGCATATTCTATGCCAAAAAATAAAGCAAAGGAGTTGGAAAACAATTGCTAGGATTGGGGAGTTGTTTCAGTTTTAAATAGGGTGGTCAGATCACTTGAGTGCAGGAGTTCGAGACCAGCCTGGCCAAGATGGCGAAACCCCATCTCTACTAAAAATACAAAAATTAGCTGGGCTTGGTGGTGCGTGCCTGTAATCCTAGATACTCTGGAGGCTGAGGCATGAAAATTCCTTTAACTTGGGAGGCAGAGGCTGCAGTGAGCTGAGCTTGCATCACTTTACTCCAGCCTGGGAGACAGAGCAAGACTCTGTCTCAATTTAAAAAAAATGGGGTGGTCAAGGAGTGCTTCTTTGAGAAGTGAATGTTGTTTCTTTAAAATTTTTTTTTAAAATGTTAGATTCAGGGGGTACATGTGTGGGTTTGTTACATGCATATAGTGTTTAATGGTGAGGTTTGGGCTTCAAGCATAGCCATCACCCAAATAGCAAACATTTTCAACCAAGATGAAGGTGTACTGTTCACTCTGGGTAAGAGTGTGCCAGGCAGAAGGAACAGTTACTACCAAGGTACTGAGGTGGGAATATTGCCCTTCAGCAAAGAGGCTAGAGTGACTGGAGCAGAGAAGGGGAATGGTAGATGTTACCAGTGGAGTCTTGACTAGGAGTCATCCAGGTTCTTGGCAGTTTGAACAAAGAATTGGACAAAACACACACAAAGCAATGAAAGAATGCAGCAACGGAAGTACAGATTTATTGACGTGAAAGTACACTCCACAGAATGAGAGTGGACTTGGGCAAGCAGCTCAGGAGCAGTGGTTACAGAATTTTCTGGGGTTTAAATACCATCTAGAGGTTTCCCATTGGTTACTTGGTTACATCCTACATAAATGAGGTAGTGGGCCATGACCAGTCTGATTAGTCGCCTTTCATGATCAGTCAGAGACTGAAGTGGTTACAAAGTTACACCCCTATGCAAATGAAGACTAGGCCTGTGACCAGCCTGATTGGTGGTGGGAGGGGACAAATCAGAGGTACTTTCCATTTTTCATCTGATACCGGAAGGGGTGTGTTGTAAAGGGAGTAGCCTCTGATACTTTTGTTACATGGGCTTGGAAAGTTGGGGTTTTCCTTATGATTTAGTTCTAGGAAGTCAGTGTGAATTGGCCTTAGGGTCCCTGCCTCCTGGCGCTATTCTCCTGCCTCAGTAGAGATGAGATCTGAACATAAGATGGGACTTGTGGGACATCCATAAGACTTCAGCTTTTATTCTGAGCAAGATAGGGTGCAATCTGAGGGCTCTAAGCTGGGAGGTGACATTAGCTGACTAGATAGCTGTGGGTAGTGTGAACACTATATTGTCTGGCTAGTTGGGAAGTGGCTCAAATATCATATTGAATAAATCGCAATAAAATGCTAAAGTTGGAGCTGTAACTGAGGAAAATGGTGGTTAGAAAAGAGAAATGAAAAACAAATAAACCCGTGACAAGACTTTTCTATTACTTGTAAGAAAGTGGAAGTGGAGGAGGGGGGATACTGTCTTGTAATAAAAACTTAGTCTTATTTCTAAAAAGTAATTGTTCAACTAGAAGCAACAAAACTAATCATAGGGAATCTGTTTTAGTAGGTAATGCAGTATGTCAACCATTTTTAGAGTATCTCAAAATTTTCAACATTGGCAAAATACCCAAAGCTGGCATTACAGCTTGGATTCTTCCCAGTGGAAAACCAAGTTGGACACAAAGTTCTGAAGAGGAAAGGAGTCTGAGAAATAGAAAGAACTGAGATGCGTGTATTTCCTGAACCTTTTTTCCCCCTGTCCTTAATGATGTTGTGGTTAAAACACTTTTGTGGGTTTATTGAGACTGATAAATACGCTCATTTACATCTCATTAATGTCAAATTGATGTGGCTGAATAGCATAGTTTGGTAGTCTCTAATGTGTGAGACTTCATGACTTAAGTAAACTTTTCTATTACTCTGAATTAGTGTCACCAAGGGCATAGGTTTTTTAAAGAAATGCTTGTAGAGACTTTAAAATAATGAAAAATATTCAACACACCTGGCTAAGAGTGATTGTATTACATTCCTGTTTCTTTAGATAAAGGTCTGTCAGCACATCCATTACAGGCACATCTTTTCAGGTTGAAACTTGGCATAGCAGTTCTAAAGAGGAAAGAGATTCAAACAAAATGTGAACAAAATGTTTCTTTTGCTTGAAGAAGACATTCCCTTCATACCCTGATGCAGCTACATCCCATAAAACTTTGAGAATCTTATTTTCGTTTTGTTTTTGGTAAAATAAGAAGCGCCTTTGAAAAACAGTTTATCTTTGGACACGAAGGTAAAGAAAAACCTTTTGATGTTTGGCAACAGATTTGCTTAAGAACAAAAATGATTTAAAGGACTTTTTGAAAAGAGTTAGTGTTGTCTATTTTTATTTTCTCAGACAGACCATAATCACAATGACTATTGAAACACCGATACCCTTAAGGGCTAAATTTATCCCGCCTGTCCCTGGAACAAAACAAGAATATCCACAAACATGACACCCTCTTTGGCAGAATAGACACTAAGTGCATATTTGTTGAGAATTGAGAAGATGCATAAGTCAGAGAAAAGAAATTATATTTAAAAAGGCTTTACAAATTTTTAGTTTTTGAGGTAATATATACAAGTGGAACACAACTCAAAAAGAGTATGTAGTGAAATGTAAGTTTCCTTCTTCCTCCTTGCTCTAAGCCACCACTGGGTTACCCTCCACAGAGACAAGCACTGTTATCAGTGTCTTATGTGTCATTTAAGAGAGCATATTCTTTTTTCTTTTTAGTTAATTGGTAGCTTTACATTTTATTCTGCACCTTGCTTTGTTCTCCTGACATTTCATTTTGGAGGCTGTTCAATATATGTATGTAGAGAGCTACTTCTACTGCATTCTTTTTAATTAGCTTCATGTTCTAATTGGTACGTTACATGTACCAATACACATAGATGTACCATGATTTACTTAGTCTATACATAAACATTTAAACTATTCCTAACTTTTCCTATTACAAACAGTGTAACACAACATCCTCGTGCACAGATCATTTTGTGTGAGTGTATCTGCAGGATAATTTCTAGAAGAGGAATATTTATGTTAAAAGTATATGCATGTATGTAGACTCTTCTCCATAGAAATTGTACACGCCCAGCAGCAATATGGAAGTGTGCCTATTTCTCCATTCCCTTTCCATCACAATGTATATCAAAAACTTAGTAATGTGATGGAGGGGAACAGCACTCTGTTTTAGTTTGTGTTTTTATCATGAGTAATGTTGAGCATCTTTTTATAAGTTTAAGAATCATTTGTATTTTCTATGAACTGTTTATATATTTTCTTGCTTTTAGAAAATATTATTGATCCTTTTCTTATTGATATGTGAAAACTCTTTTTTAAAATAAGTGTTTTCTCAACACACACTAGTGCATTTTTGGTGTATGTAAGTTCCAATTGGCTTTTTATCATACCAAAAATGTTTATTTTTTCCTATTTTTATAGATTAATAATAATTGTACATACTTATGGAGTATGTGTGATATTTTGATACATGCATACAATGTGTAACAATCAAATTGGGATATTTAGGATATCTATTACCTCAAACATTTATCATTTCTTTGCTTTGGGAACATTTCAATTCTTTTAGCAATTTTGAAATAATAAATTATTATTACTATGTCACCTTACTATGCTGTCCAACACTAGGACTTATTCCTTCTACGTTTCTGTATATAACCAATCTCTCTTCATCCCTCCCACTGCCTCACACCCTTCCCAGTTTCTGGTAACCATCATTCTACTCTCTATCTCCATGAGATAAACTTTTTTAGCTACCACATGTAAGTAAGAGCGTGCAATATTTTTTCTTTATGTGAATTTATTCCTGGGTTTTCTATTCTATTCCATTGGTCTATGTGCCTGACTTATTTCACTTAACATAACGACCTCCATTTCCATCCATGTTGCTGCAAATGACAGTATATCATTCTTTTTTATGGCTGAGTAGTATTCCATTGTGTATATATATGCCACATTTTCTTTATCCAGTCTTCTGTTGATAGACACTTGGGATGATTGCATATCTTGGTTATTGTGAATAGTGCTACAATAAACATGAAAATGTAGGTATCCCTTCGATATACTGATTTCTTTGTTTTGTATTTGCTTTTTTAAAAGTAATTTTTATTTCAATAGTTTTTGGGGTGCAGTTGGTGTTTGGCTACATGGATAGGCTGTTTAGTGGTGATTTCTGAGATTTTGGTGTACCCATCACCCAAGTAGTGTTCACTGTACCCAATATGAAGTCTTTTATCCCTCATCCCCTTTCCAACCTTCCCTACTGAGTCCCCAAAGTCCAGTATATCATTCTTATGCCTTTGCATCCTCATAGCTTAGCTCCCACTTATAAATGAGGACATACAATACTGGTTTTCCATTCCTGAGTTATTTTACTTAGAATAATGGCCTCCAGCTCCATCTAACTTGCTGCAAAGACCTGATTTTGTTCATTTTTATGGCTGAGTAGTATTCCATGGTCTGTATCTACCACATTTTCTTTATTTACTTGTTGTTTGATGGGCACTTTGGTTGGTTCCATATCTTTGCAATTGCAAATTGTGCTGCTGTAAAAATGCATATGCATGTGTCTTTTTCCTACGTGACTTCTTTTCCTCTTGGTAGATATTCAGTAGCGGGATTGCTGGATCAAATGGTAGTTCTACTTTTTGTTCTTTAAGGAATCTCCATACTGTTTTCCACAGTGGTTGTACCAGTTTACATTCCCACCAACAGTTCTAAAAATGTTCCCTTTTCACCACATACACACCAACATTTATTGTTCTTTGAATTTTTAATTATGGTCATTCTTGCAGGAGTAAGGTGGTATCTCATTGTGGTTTTGATTTGCATTTCCCTGATCATTAGTGATGTTGAGCATCTTTGCATGTGTTTGGTGGCTGTTTGTATGTCTTCTTTTGAAAATTGTCTATATGTCCTTTGTGCACTTTTTGATGGGATTTGGATTTTTTTTGATGGTTTGTTTGAGTTCCTTTTAGATTCTGTATATTAGTCCTTTGTCAGATGCATAGTTTGTGAATATTTTCTCCCATTCTGTGGGTTGTCTGTTTGCTCTGCTGATTATTTCTTTTGCTGTGCAGAAGCTTTTTAGTTTAATTGGGTCCCATTTATTTATTTTTGTTTTTGTTACATTTGCTTTTGCAGTCTTATTCATGAATTCTTTGCCTAAGCCAATGTCTAGAATAAGTTTTCCAATGTTATCTTCTAGAATATTTATGGTTTCAGGTCTTAGGTTTAAGTTTTTGATCCATTTGAGGTGATTTTTATATAATGTGAGAAATGAGGATCCAGTTTCATTCTTCTACATGTGACTTGCCAGTTTTCTCAGCACCATTTGTTGAATAGGGTGCCCTTTCCTCAATTTATGTTTTTGTATGCTTTGTTGCGGATCAGCACTTACTTAATATATTTGGCTTTCTTTCTGGGTTCTCTATTCTGTTCCGTCGGTCTACATGCCTATTTTTATACCCCTACCCTGCTGTTTTAGTAACTATAGCCTTGTAGGATAATTTGAAGTTGGGTAATGGGATGCTTCCAGATTTGTTCTTTTTGCTTATCTTGCGTTAGCTGTGAGGCCCCTTTTTTGGTTCCATGTGAATTTTAGGATTATTTTTTCTAATTCTGTGAAGAATGATGATGGTATTTTGATGGGAATTGCATTGAATCCGTATATTGCTTTGGGCAGTATGGTCGTTTTCACAATATTGGTTCCACCTATCCATGAGCATGGGATGTGTTTTTATTTGTTTGTGTCATCTATGATTTCTTTCATCAGTGTTTTGCAGTTTTCCTTGTAGAGATCTTTTACCTCTTTGGTTGATATACTGATTTCCTTTCCTTTGGATAAACACCCAATAGTGGGATTGCTGGAGTGTATAGTAGTTATATTTTTAGCTTTTTGAGAAACCTCCATGATGTGTTTCATCATGGCTGCACTAATTTAGATTCCCACCAACAGTATATAAGCGTTCCCTTTTCTTTGCATCCTTGCCAGCATTTGTTATTTTATGTCCTTTTGAAAATAGCCATTCCAACTAGGGTGAGCTATCTTTTATTTGCATTTCCTTCATGATTAGTGATGCAAAGCATTTTTTCATATACATGTTTTCCACTTGTGTATCTTATTTTAAGAAATGTCTCTTCAGACCCTTTGCCCACTTTTTAATGGGATTATTTGGGCTTTTTTTTTTTTTTTTAGCTGTTGAGTTGTTTGATTTCCTGTTATGTTCTGGATATTAGTTCCTTGTTGGATAAATAGTCCGCAAATATTTTCTCTCATACTGCAGGTTGTCTCTTCACTCTGTTGATTGTTTTCTTTGTTCTGCAGAAGATGTTTAGTTTACTGTGACCCCGTTTGTCTATTTTTGTTTTTGTTGCCTGTTTTTGAAGTCTTAGCCATAAAAATCTAATGTCCTGAATTGCTTCTCCTATGTATTCTTCTAGTAGTTTTATACTTTTGGGTCTTATGTTTTAGTATTTAATCCGTTTTGAGTTTATTTTTGTATATGTAGTAGGGGTCTACTCTCATTCTTCTGCATGGATATTCAGTTTTCCCATTTGTTGAAGAACTGAATGCTTTTTCTATGTCTACTGAGATGATTCATATGGTCTTTGTCCCTCATTCTGTTGATGTGATGTATCATATTTATTGTTGGTGTTGAACAATCCTTGCATCCCTGGGATAAATTCCACTTGATTGTGGTGTATTGTCTTTTTAATGTGTTGTTGGATTTGGTTAGCTAGTATTTTGTTGAGAATTTTTGCATCTGTGTTCATCAGGGATATTGGCTTTTAGTTTTCTTTTTATTTTTTAGTGTGTCCTTGTCTTGTTTTGATTTCAGGGTAATTTTGGCCTCATAGAATGAATTAGGAATAATTCCCTCTTCTCCAATTTTTTTGAATAGTTTGAGAAGAATTTTTGTTAGTTCTTCTTCATGAGTTTAGTAGAATTCAGCAGTAAAGCCATCTGCTCCTGGTCTTTTCTTAACTTGAGACATTTTATTAATGATTATTACTAATTTTTATTCTGCTCAGGCTTTCTGTTTCTTCCTGGCTCATTCTTTGTAGGTTTTATGTGACCAGGAGTTATCCATTTTCTCTAAGTTTTTCCATTTGTTAAAATATAGCTGTTTATAATAGTCTCCAGTGATTCTTTGTATTTCTGTGGTACCAGTTGCAATGTCTCCTTTTTTTTTTTGTTTCTGATTTTATTTACTTGAATCTTTTCTTTCTTTTTCTTGGTTACTATAGCTAGCAGTTTGTCAATTTTACTTATATTTTCAAAAACCAACTTTTCATTTCATCGATCCTTTGTACTTTTTCAAGTCTTGATTTCCTTTAGTTTTGTTCTAATGTTATTACTTCTTTCCTTCTGTTAATATTAGGTTTGATTTGTTCTTGCTTTTCTAGTTCCCTGAAATACATCATTAAGTTGTTTATTTGAAATCTTTCTACTTTTTTGAGGTAAGCATTTATTGCTATAAACTTCCCTCTTGGCACTGCTTTTGCTGTATCGAATAGGTTCTGGTATGTTGTATTCACATCTTCATTTGTTTCCAGAAATATTTTAATTTCCTTCTTTATTTCCTCATTGATGCAATAGTCATTCAGGGGCATGTGGTTTAACCTTCATATATTTGTACAGTTTCCAAAGTTCCTCTTGTTACTGATATATAGTTTTAGTTCATTGTTGAAATTCCCAACTGATATGGTTTGGCTGTGTCCCCACCCAAATCTCATCTTGAATTCACACGTGTTGTGGGAGGGACTCAGTGGGAGGTAATTGAATCATGGGGGCTTGTCTTTCTCATGCTATTCTCATGATAGTGAATAAGTCTCATGGGATCTTATGGTTTTAAAAACAGGAGTTTCCCTACACAAGCTCTTTGCCTGCTGCCATCCATGTAAGACATGACTTGCTCCTCCTTCCTTTCCACCATTATTATGAGGCCTCCCAGCCCTGTGTAACTGTAAGTCCATTAAACCTCTTTATTTTGTAAATTTTCCAGTCTTGGGTATATCCTTATCAGCAGCGTGAAAACAGACTAATTACAGTAAATTGGTACCAGGAGTGGGGTGCTGCTGAAAAGATACCCCAAAATGTGGAAGTGGCTTTGGGACTGGGTAACATGCAGAGGTTGGAACAGTTTAGAGGGCTCAGAAGAAGATAGGAAAGTGTGGGAAAGTGTGGAACTCCCTAGAGACTTGTTGAATAGCCTTGACCAAAATGCTGATAATGATATGGACAATGAAATCCAGACTGAGGTGGTCTTGGATGGAGATGAGGAACTTGTTGGGAACTGAAGCAAAGGTTATGTTTTAGAAAAGAGACTGGTGGCATTTTGCCCCTGCCCGAGAGATCTGTGGAACTTTGAACTTGAAAGAGATGATTTAGGGTATCTAGTAGAAGAAATTTCTAAGCAGCAAAACATTCAAGAAGTGACTTCAGTGCTGTTAAAGGCATTCAGTTTTAAAAGGGAAACAGAGCATAAAAGTTTGGAAATTTTGCAGCCTGACAATGCAATAGAAAAGATAATCTCATTTTCTGAGGAGAAATTCAAGCTGGCTGTAGAAATTTACATAAATAATGAGGATCCTAATGTTAATCCCCAAAACAATGGAGAAAATGACTCCAGGGCAGGTCAGAAGTCTTCATGGTAGCCCCTCCCATCACAGGACCAGAGGCCTAGGAGGAAAAGGTGTTTTTTTTGGCCAGGCCCAGGTCCCTCTGCTCTGTGCAGCCTAGGGACTTGGTACCCTGCATTTCAGCAGCTCCAGCCATGGCTAAAAGGGGCCAAGGTACAGCTTGGGCTGTTGCTTCGCAGGGTGAAAGCCCCAAGCCTTGGCATCTTCCACATAGTGTTGAGTCTGTAGGTACACAGAAGTCAAGAACTGAGGTTTGGGAACCTCTTCCTAGATTTCAGAGGATGTATAGAAATGCCTGGCTGCACAGGCAGAAGTTTGCTACAGGGGTGAGGCTGTCATAGAGAACTTCTGCCATGGCAGTGTGGAAAAAAATGTGGGGTTGGAACCCAACACAGAAACCCTACTTCAGCATTGTCTAGTTTAGCTGTGAGAAGAGGACCACCATCCTCCAGACTGATAGATCCACTGATAGCTTGCACCATGCACCTGGAAAAGCTGCAGACACTCAATGCCAGCCCATGAAAGCAGCCAGGAGGGGGGCTATACCCTGCAAAGCCACAGAGGCAGAGCTGCCCAAGGCCATGGGAGCCCACTTCTTACATCAGCATGACCTGGATGTGAGACATGGAGTCAAAGGGCACCATTTTGGAATGCCCTGCTGGATTTCGGACTTGCATGGGGCCTGCAGCTTCTTTGTTTTGGCCAATGTCTCCCATTTGGAATGACTGTATTTACCCAATGCTTGTACCCCCATTGTATCTAGGAAGTAACTAACTTGCTTTTGATTTTACAGGCTCATAGGTGAAAAGGACTTGCCTTCACTAAGATGAAACTTTGGACTATGGAATTTTGGGTAAATGCTGAAATGAGTTAAGATTTTGGGGGACTGTTGGGAAGGCATGATTTGTTTTGAAATATGAGGACATGAGATTTGGGAGGGGCCAGGGCAGAATGATATGGTTTGGCTGTGTTCCCCACCCAAATCTCATGTTGAATTCTCATGTGTTGTGGGGGGGACCCAGTGGGAGGTAATTGAATCACGAGAGTGGATTTTTCTTGTGCTATTCTTGTGATAGTAAGTCTCACTTACTCACTCGTGATAGTGAGTAAGATCTGATGGTTTTAAAAAGAGAAGTTTCCCTATACAAGCTCTCTCTCTTGGCCTGCTGCCATCCACGTAAAACGTGACTTGCTTCTCCTTGCCTTCTGCCATGATGGTGAGGCCTCCCAGCCATGTGGAACTGTAAGGCCATTAAGCATCTTTCTTTTGTAAGTTGCCTAGTCTTGGGTATGTCTTTATCAGCAGCATGAAAATGGGCTAATACACCAACTATTGTTGTACTGGAGTCTGTCTCTCCCTTTATATCTGATAATATTTGTTTTATATATCTAGGTGCTCTGCTGTTGGGTGCTTGTATGTTTGGAATTGTTATATTCTCTTTCTGAATTGATCCCTTCATCATTATATAATGACTTTCTTTGTCTCTTTTTACAGGTTTTAACTTAAAGTCTGTTTTATCTGATATAACTATCACTATTCCTGCTTGCTTTTGGTTTCATTTGCATGGAATATATTTTTCCATCCCTTTACTTTCATTCTATATGTGTCCTTACAGATGAGATGAGTTTCTTGGAGACAGCATAAAATTGGGTCATGCTTTTTATCCATTCAGCTTGATTATATCTTTTAAGTGAAGACTTTAATCTGTTTACATTCAAGGTTATTATTGATAAATGAGGAAATATTCCTGTCACTTTGTAATATGATTTTTGGTTGTTTTATATATCATTTGTCTCTTTCTTCCTTTTTTATTTTTTATCATTGTGGTTTAGTGGTTTTCTTTAGCGGTAATGTTTCACTTCTTTGTCTTTCTCATTTGTGTATCTTACTTTTATACTTTCATGTGTTTTTATGATGGTAGAGATTATCCATTTGCTTTCAGATGTAGGATTCCGTTAAGTATTTCCTGCAGGGCTGATCTAGTGGTGATGAATTCCCTGTTTTTGATTGTCTGGGAAATACTTTATTTCTTTCATTTCTGAAGGACAGATTTGCTAGGTATGGTATTCTTAGATGGCAGGGTTTTTTCTTTTGGCACTTTGAATATATCATTCCATTCTCTTCTGGACTGTAATTTTTTGCTGAGAAATTTACTGTTAGTCCTAATCAGACTTGTATATGATAATCCCCTTGTATATGACTTGGCACTTTTTCTGTTTTTAGAATTCTCTCTTTGTCTTTGGCTTTTGGCAGTTTGCTTATAATGTAATTTAGAGAAGACCTTTTTGGATTATGTCTATTTGTGAGTTTTTGTGCTTCTTGTACCTGGATGCCTAAATCTCTTGCAAGATTTGGGAAGTTTTTAAGTATTATTCTGTTAAACAGGTTTTCTATGTTGTTATCTATCTCTTGCCCTTCTGGAACTGCCAGAATTAGAATTTTTTTCTTTTTATGGTGTCCCATATATTATCTAGGCTTCCTTCATTCTTTTAAATCCATTTTTTCTATTTTTTTCTTTTCTCTTTTGTCTGACTGAGTTATTAAAAAAAAAAAACCTGTCTTCATGTTCAGCAGTTCTTTTCTGTGCTTGGTATACTCTATTGTAGAAGCTCTTGATTGTATTTTTTATTTCATTTATTGAATTCATCAGTTCCAGGCCTTTGGTTTTGTTCTCTTTGGATATCTGTCTCTGGTATTTATCATTCAGCTCATGAATTATTTTTGATTTCTCTGTATTATTTATCTGTGTTTTCTTGTATCTCACTGTGTTTCTGTAATATTATTCTCTGGAATTCTTTTTTAGGCATTTTATAAATTTCCTTTACTTTGGGATCTCTTACTGGATAATTATTGTGTTTCTTTTGAAGTGTCATGTTTCTTTGCTTTTTTGTGTTTTTTGTATCCTTACATTGATTTCAGTGCATCTGACATAACAATTGCTTCTGATTTTATGCATTGGCTTTCATGGAGAAAGACTTTTTCCTGTAGATAATCTATAGTGTTGGTTGGGTAAAGTGCTTTGGTTTTGATTCTGGTTGGGCACGGTAGTATAGTCTGCATGATTTCTTTGGCTGTAATTAGCATCAGTGTTTTCTCTGAGTTCCTCAGTGGCTTAGACTGCAGTTGTTAATGGATGTTGTGGTGAGGCTTTGCTGGAGATGGGCATGCCATGCAGGCTGGTCCTTGGGTACCAGTGGTGTTGGTGAGGCATGCCTGTCCTCAAGTCCCTGATGGTGGATGCAGGTGTTAGCTGTGGCAGGTACGGTTAGGACTGATCCTTAGACCCCCACACAGTATGCTCGGGTGCAAGCAATCATGGTGGTGGGTGGGATCGGCTTGTCTTTAGGCCCCAGATGATGTACTTGGGTGCCATCAGTGGTGGCAGTGGATAGGGTAGCCCTGTCTTCAGGCCCCTGGATGGAACATGTGGGTGCCAGTGGCAGCAAGAGGGATGGGTTGATTTCCAGGTTCTTGGATTATGTGCACAGATACCAGCAGCAGGGAAAGTGAGCCTGTCCTCAGGCCCCCTGATAGTGTGGGGAGGTACGAGCAACAGCAGGTGGAGCAGATTGATTTAAGAGTTAGCTCAGTGTTGGCCAGACTTGGTGGCTCACGCCTGTCTCCCAGCACTTTGGGAGGCTGAGGTGGGTGTATCACGAGGTCTGGAGTTCGAGACCAGCCTGGTCAACATGGTAAAACTCCATCTCTACTAAAAAAAAAAATACAAAAATTAGCCAGGCATGGTGGCGCTTGCCTGTAGTCCTAGCTACTTGGGAGGCTGAGGCAGGAGAATCACTTGAACCTGGGAGGCGGAGGTTGCAGTGAGCTGAGCTCGTGCCACTGCATTCCAGCCTGGGGTGATAGAGTGAAACTCCATCTCAAAAACAAACAAACAACAAAAAAACAAAAAACAAAAAACAGAGTTAGCTCAGTGTTTTATGATTTATAAATATTTTCTTAATTTTCTAGGCATTTGTGTTTTGATTTTTTGTTATGAAATACTTTTTATTTCTATTTTTATTAGTCAAATTTATCAATTTTAATGGGTTCTGAGTTTTTTGACAGAATTAGAAAATCTTTATTGCTCTGAGATCTTTTTTATAAACCATCTCATTTTTTAATGGTACTTTAAGGGTTCTTATGTTTAAATCTTTAATCTGTCTCAGATTTATTTTGGTGTAAGGTGTGTTATATATATCTAGCTTAATTTTTCTTCGATTAGTTATCAAGGTTTTTTTGTTTTTATATCACTTTTTGAAGTTCATTTTTTCCGATGGGATTCAAATATACTTATGACATTAAAATTTTCTAACTATATTTGTGTCTATTTCTGGGTTCTCTGTTCTGTTTCATTGATCTATTTTTCTGTTTACAAACCAGCAACTCACCATTTTAAATAATAGCTTTACAACAGGTTTTTATATCTTGCATTGCTAATCCCGATCATTTGTGTTCTTTTTCAGAATGTTTCTTGTTATTCTTATTTTTCCTGTGAACTTCAGAATCAAATCAATTTCTTTTGTTTCAAATAGTGTTAATTGTGTGTGTGTGAATATGTGTGAACATATTAAATTTATAGAATAAGTCAGGTAGAACTGACATCTTTAACATTTAGAGTTTTCTTATCCATCAATATCCCTCACTTTTCCATTTGTTTAATTCTTGTGGGTCCATCAGTAACATTAAAAGTTTTATTCACATATTTCTTGTTATACATTTTTCTAGTTACTCTATAATTTTGGTTGCTACTTTTAATGCAATCTATTCTTACTTTGGATCTCCTATTTGCGTTGTTTGTATGTATGAAAAGTAGTGGTGTCACAATATTATTTTTGTATTCATTCACTTAACTGAATTCTGTCATTATTTATAGTTTTCCAGTTGATTCTCTTGTGCTGTCCAGGTAAATAATCATATAGTTTCCAAATAATGATATTTTAGTTTTATCTCTTAAAATTTTACCTGCATTTTACTGTCTAGTTATGTTATTCAGGACCTCCAAAAAATTAATGGTGGTCATAGTAGACACTCTTGTCTTCAACTTATTGTTAATAAGAATACTAATAATAGAGTTTTCATTAAGCATGACATGCTGGCTTTTGAGATGCAACAGAGATATTTTGTCATATTAAGAGAGGAAACCCTTTTTTCTTGGTATAGTACATGATAAGGATTTTTGTCAAAAATAACGTTGAATTTTATCAAAAGCCTTTTCATAATTTATTGAGATGGTATTTTAGTTTTCTCTTTTTATTATTAACATGGTAAATTATATTAATAGATTTATTGTTATACATTATTCTTTTATTTGGTGCATAAACACCACTTAGTAATGGTATATTATACTTTAATGTGATCCTGGATTCTATTTGCAAATACTCACTTAGGGTCTTTTTTCATGATATTCACAAGTGAGTTTAGGCTATATTTTTATTTTTTTTCTGTGCTTTTTATTGTGGATTTATATGTTATAAATATACATTTGAAGATTTTCTTTTTTTTTCCTATGCTCTACAACACTTTGAATGGCATTAAAGTTAGGTGTTTCTTAAAAATTTGTCAGTATTCCGCTAGTGAAACCAACTATGTGTTGAACTATTTTGTTGGGAGTAAATTGACAATTTGTCCTCCTTTTAAAACAGATAGTGATATGTTAGATTTTCAAATTTATCTGGGATGTGATTTCTTAGAAAAGCATCTTAATTCTCAAATTTACTCACACTGAATTGATCAAACTGGTGTTATAGGAGTCTTTTAATTTTTTTTGTTTCTGGGATCTTCCTCATTGTTTCTTGTTCTTTGTATTTGTATTTTCTATCCTTATAATTAAAAATGTTTTGGCGAGTTAAAGGTTTTGTTTCGTGTTATTTCTCCTCCTCCACCCATGAAACATCTGTTGGGTTTACTTATTCTTTCACATTCCATTTTTCTTTTCTTTTCTTTTCTTTTCTTTCTCTTCTCTTCTCTTCTCTTCTTTTCTTTTTTTCTTTTTCTTTTTCTTTTTTTGAGACAGAGTCTTGCTTTGTCACCCAGGCTGGAGTGCAATGGTGCAATCTTAGCTCATCGCAACCTCCGCCTCATAGATTAAAGTGATTCTCCTGCCTCAGTCTCCTGAGTAGCTGGGATTACAGACGCACACCACCACTCCTGGCTAATTTTTGTATTTTTAGTAGAGATGGGGTTTCACCATATTGACCAGGCTGGTCTCGAACTTCGCCTCATGATCTGCCTGCCTCGGCCTCCCAAAGTGCTGGGATTACAGGTGTGAGCCACTGCACCTGGCCACATGCCATTTTTCTAATTCATTATTTCACTTTTTATGTTTATTAATTTCTTTTTTTCTATTTTCCTGTTTTTCATTTTATTCTAACTTCTTGAGTGCTTATATTATCTCTTTCATTCTTTCTTGTTTATTAATATTTCAGCTATATCACCTAGATAATTGTATATTGTTCTTTCTTCGATTGTTATTTCCCAGATATCCTATAATTTCAGTTTTGATTTTATATTTGATGCAAAACTTAACAGAATTTTAAAATATCCTGATAGTAGATTATTTTCATTTTCTGGGTTTGTTATTTTTAAGTTTTATTACATTATGAGCACAGATGTATACATTGTTTTTCCTTTTTGAAAACTGTCAAAGTTTTTTTTTGTTTGCAAATGGGCAGTTTTGTGAATGTTCCATGGAAACTTGGAAAGAAGGTGTAGTCTCTATTTTTAGAGTAATGTATATCACTTAATTTTATTTAGGTTTTCCATATTCTGAAAAAAATTTTTTTTTGCTTATTCTGTCATGTCCTGAGAGAAAAGAAAGTTTCCTATTGCTGAGATTTTATTTTCTAATTTAAGACTTCTGTTTTCTGTAGGTTTTTCTTTATTGATATTGCTTCTGTATTACTGGGTAATTAGATAGTCATAACATTTAATCTACATTTTGTATTGTGCCCTTTAGCATTACAAGGTGTTTATCTTTTTTCATTGAACATATACTATGCTGCATTAAAACCCATCTGATATTAATACCATGAACGTTATTTTCTTTTTACTTGCTCTTGCCTGTTGTAATCTTTGCCTTTCCTTTTATTTTCAACCCTTCTTGGTTACTTATTGATTTGTCGTATTCTTGTGTGCAGCAGATATTTGGATTTTGCTTTGAGGCCCACCTCATTTTTCTTTTAATGAGTATGTTTAGGCCATGTGTAGTTGTAGAAATAAGTGTTTACTTTTAATTCTGTCATTATATCTTATCACACTTTGTTCACAGTATGGACTATTTCTGCTTTGTGGGGCGTGTGTGTATTTTCTGATTTGGAAGATTTGTAATTTTATGCTACCAGTTACTTTATAATTATATCTTTATGTGACTCTCTATTTCCTACTATTAGCATAGATGAACTTGGCAATTTCCATTTTCTTCCTTCTACTCCTACTGCAAAATTGACGGTACTATATTTCTTCATGTATGCCTCTTTATATTTCAATGTACTGTAATTCTGTTGCTTGACTTACCAGTTTTAAATGATCTCTTTTGATTGCTAGTATATCAATTAGAATATTTTCATTGATAAGTAACTGAAAAGCCATCTAGTGGTTGCTTAATCAATTAAGACAATTGCTACCTTAATAATAATGTTAATAAGTCCAGAAGTAGGATAGTTCTAGTATCTCAACAATGTTTTTAGAATCCAGTTTTTCCATATTTTTCTTGACCATTCTCAGCATGTAGGCTCTTAACCTCATTGTTGTTTCTTCTTGGTTACATTTATAGGCATGAATTTATCCTATAGCAGCATAAGAGACAGAGAAAAATGCTGTTTATCTTCTCAAATTTCTTCATAAGAACTGAGAAACAAATGTCTGCTCATGACTCATTGGACAGAATTGAATCACATGTTCATGCTAAAACCAGCCAACGTTAAGAGAAATAGATTTCCCAAGACTAGCTTATGCTAATCACAAATCATTCTGTGGAGCTGGGGAGAACCTCCTAGTTCTACAATACAGAAGCAGAAAAGGATAAATTTGTGTAGGTCTCCAGTGGTGTCTGCTACCTCTGTCTCTATAAAATGAAGAAATCAGCAGAAATATACTGCCACCAATTTTCTTGCCCCCTTGCTGTGTCAAGTTTTGTTAATTACACATTGTTACATGTCAAGGCTTCTAACCTATTCATTCTATCCTGTAACCATAATGTATTTGTTTTGGTCTTCGTTATAGAGAATTCAGTACAACTATTAGTCATTTTGCCAGAGATTTATCATGCATTTCTTGATTGACTGAAGTTAATGCACTAGCAATTTCTTCCAGAAATGGAAAAAGGGAAGAAGGGAACCAAATTCTGTGGATTATTGCATGTTAAAAAAAGTTTGTCAGCAGTCATTGTACTTCAGCAACAGTTCGATTGGATATAAAATTTTTTCTTATTTCCTTGAGGACTTTTCTCTAGATGGGAAAAATTATGTATTGAAACCTGTTCCTTCCATTGTTTTGATTACACTTTTTGGGGACACTAGTTGTACATATGCTTGATTTCCATTTTCTCTCTCTTCCTGGCCTTTTGGCTAACATCAAGTGTAATTGATTTCCATTTTCTGTATATATCCTTTTTTCTATAATCATTAAAAAATTTTACTTTTGCTATAATCCTTTTTAACTTGGTTATTTACATTTTATTCTGATCACTTTTTAAATTTGTGTCCTTCATAATTCTTACTTTGTTTTCAGCAGCATTTACTCTGTTTGGATTGTCTCCAATATGACCTTCATTTCTCTGATGGTTTTATTTTTCTCTCCTGTTTATGAGCTCTGCCAGTCCAATCATCATCTCCTTGTATTGCCTTGCCTTATTTTACTTGGGCTCTTGTATACTTAGTTTGCATTTTTAATTTATAGAGGTATGTGCTTATTTTTTTGTTTATATCATTATATTTGGTCACAATTTTTATCTGTTCTGTGGCAATATTTTTTGGATGCCACTTTCCTCTGTTCCCTATTTTCTCCTTTTGTGGCTCTTATGCAAGTTATTCCTTTTAAAAAATAATCATCTCTAACTGAGGCACATTTTTTCTGGATCAGCTACCTGTAAAAGGTTTGTGTGAGAGGGGCACCCCATTGTGTTCTAGGCTAATAACAATTGTCCTTATGATTTAATGAGTATTTTTTTTAATTTAGCTTTTACTCTCTTCCCCATTGCCTTGCCTTCAGACAGATTTCTGAAAATATAGCTTATACATGTGATTTGTTATTCAGTCTCAGTTACTTGCTTTCTTTAGTGCCAAGTTGTGTCCAGGAAATCTATTGCCAAGTTATGCAACTACTATCATTATTCCTAACAAGGGATTGTTAGTTTTTCTGTTAGGATGTGATGCTTACTTTGGAAGATTGTTTTCTGCTGTAGCCATATGTAGTTTCTTTTGACATCTTCTTGCAACTCCGTTTGAGCTGTGATACAAAGTTTACATGCCCAGTGCAGGGGAAATGATGTGTGTCTGCCACTTTTGAGTGCTATGATTGTTCACTTCTTTAGATTCTCATAGTCTGTCCTGATAATTGCAGGAATTAGAAAAGGCTGGCCTAGAGTCCTTTCCTCACCTATGACTTTAGGGCCACATTATGGCTTCCTTTTCCCATTTCATGAAAATATGACTACATCTATGGTCTTTTATGAAAAACAAAGTAAAATGCCCTGCTAGCAACTGGCAACCCAAATCCAAGAGGTAACCAGATTTTCTTTAGGAATATAAGTTTTTCCAAGGCAATATCCATGTGTGAGACATCTTTGGAAGAATAAATGTACAGAAATTGGTTGTATTAGTTTCCTAGGGCTGCTTTAACAATTTACCATAAAACCAGTGGCTTAAAAGAACAGATATTTATTCTTTCACAGTTCTGAAAAGCTGAAGTTCTAAATGAAGGTAACAGCAGGGATGCTGTTCCTTCAGAGGTTCTAGGGGAAGAATTCTTCCTTGCCTCTTCCAGGTTCTAGTGGCTCCAGATGTTTCTTGGCTTGTTGCTGCATAACTCTAATCTCTGCCTCAGTCTTTATATGGCTTTCTTCCTTATGTTCTGTCTTCTCTTCTGTCTCTTATAAGGATACTTATCATTGAATTTAGGGCCCATCCAGGATGATCTCATCTCAAGATCTTTAACTTAATTATATCTGTAAAGTCCCTTTTTTTGAATAAGGTTATACTCATCAAAAGTACTAGGGGTTAGGACATGGATGTATATTTTGGGGGACCATTACTCAACCCACTCCACTAGTGTTTCTGTGTCATCTCTCTTCATACATTTAACAGTTATATATATAGCAATGTCTTTGTGAGTAACACTGTTCTGGGGGTTTCAGAGTATTGACTATCTTTTCCTTAAAATGTTTATAATTTACTTGAGGACTCAAGATCTACATTTGGACAATAATATAAGTTAAAACAAAAAATAAAGCGGAGTCATTTTGGTAACTGGTGTGAGAATTCCATTGCTGGGAAATATGTTCTTGATATGATACTTTGATAAGCTTGGGTAGAAGTTAGCCTCCAAAGCCCAGCTAGTCCTCAGGTTTCTTTGATGCTGGTATGAGAAGTGGCTTTTCGGTAGAGGCAAGCCTAATGGGGATTTCCATGTAAAATGCTGTTCTGTGCACTCTGACCCTTCCTTATTACTCCAAAATATGTCCAAAACCATATAAATAACAGTGAAAATAGGTTGAGTGTATTTCTTTTGGAAATCACTGAACACCCTGGGCATTATCAAAACATACAATTACATATAATTAAATAAGACAATAATACTATTAATAAGTCATACAGTTCTGGAAAACAGTAAGGTCTCTCTGGTTGGAGTTGTCTCTGGAAAATGAATCTTGAGTTGAATGTTAAAATTGGGTGGAATATGATTGAGAAAGGGTATTCTAGAAAGGAGAATGATATTGGTAAGTGCAGGAGTGTACCTAAGACAAGCTTGAGACACCAAGTGAGTGGTCTGATCCTGCTGAATTACAGTAGGCTTTCAGTAGAAGTGCAAGATTGTACCTTGCTTGTAGGTGTGTAATAGAACTATTGTGAATAAAGTTGTGGTTCATAATAATTATTGAACCCTAGGGCATTAAGCAAACATAGGCAGTGGTCAGGTAGTTACAGCAGGCCTTGGGTGAGACCCAGTGCTATGCTGGCTTCAGGTCTGACCCAGCACAGTCCCAGTGTTGGTGACTGCAGGGTTGCTTGTGCCACCCCTCTCCCAGCTCCAGGCAGCTCAGCATAGACAGACTCTGTTTGTTTGAGAGAAAGTAAGGAAACAGAGCAAGAGTCTTCCTGGTAATCCAGAGAATTCTTCCGGATCTTATCCAAGACCATGAAGGCGATAACTCTACAAGTCCACAGGAGCCACAGTTTTACTAAGCTTTAGGTGTCCCCTAATGCAGATACAGCTGCAATGACCAAAAACTTAGACCACAACACCCAAGTCCTTTCAAATATTTGAAAAGCCTTCCTAAGAAGGACAGGTACAAATAAGTCCAGGCTGCAAAGACAACAATAAATATTCAATTCTTCAACAGCCAGAGACCAATGAACATTCACAAGGATCAAGACCGTCCAGAAAACATAATCTCACCAAATGAACTCAATAAGGTGCCAGGGACCAATTCTGGAGATACAGAGATAGGTGACCTTTCAGAAAATTCAAAATAGCTGTGTTGAGGAAACTCAAAGAAATTCATTGATAAGGAATTCAGAATCCTATCAGATAAACTTAACAAAGAGATTGAAATAATTAAAAAGAATCAAGCAGAAATTCTGGAGTCCAAAAAGGCAATTGACACTCTGAAGAATGCATTAGAGTATCTTAACAGCAAGAATAGATCAAGCAGAAGAAAGAATTAGTGAGCTTGAAGACAGGCATTTTGAAAATACGCAAAGTAGACAAAAGAAGAAAGAATAAAAAAGATTGAAGCATGCCTACAGGATCTAGAAAATGGCCTCAGAAGTGCAAATCCAAGAGTTATTAGCCTTAGAAAGGAGGAAGGGTAGGGAGGGGGGAGAGAGGGAGAGAGAGAGAGTAGGGTAGAAAGTTCATTGAAAGAGATAATAACAGAGAACTTTCCAAACCTAGAGAAAGATATCAATATTCAAGTACAAGAAGGTTATAGAACACCAAGATTTAACCCAAAGAAGACTACCTCAAGGCATTTAATAGTCAATCTCCCAAAGGTCAAGTATAAAGAAAGGATCCTAAAAGCAAGAAAAAAGAAACAAATAACATACAATGGATCTCCAATACATCTGGCAGCAGACTTCAGTGAAAACTTTACAGGCCAGGAGAGAGTGGCATGACATATTAAAAGTGCCAAAAGAAAAAATCTTTTACCATGGAATAGTATATCCAGCAAAAATATTCTTTGATCATGAAGGAGACATAAAGACTTTTCCAGACCAAAAAAAAGGCTGAGGGATTTCATCAACATCAGACCTGTCCTACAAGAAATGTTAAAGGGAATTCTTCAATCAGAAAGAAAAGGATGTTAATGAGGAATAAGAAATCATCTGAAGGCAAAGGACTCAGTGGTTATAGTAAGTACACAGAAAAAAATGGAATATTATAACACTGTAATTGTGGTTTGTAAATTACCCATATCTTAAGTAGAAAGATGAAAACATGAGGTGATGAAAAATAATAAACTGCAACTCTTCAAGATGTAGGCAATACAATAAGATATAAATAGAACAATAAAAAGTTAAGAAGCAGGGAGACGAAGTAAAAGTGTAGAGTTCTCTTTTTGCTTGCTTGTTAGTTTGTTAATGCAGTGTTAAGTCACCAGTTTAAAATAATGGGTTATAAGATGGTATTTGCAAGCCTCATGGTAACCTCAAATCAAGAAACATAAACAAATACACTAAAATTAAAAAGCAAAAAATTAAAACATAGCACCAGATAAAATGACCTTCACAAAAAGGAAGACAGAAAGGAAAGAAGGGAGGAAGGAAGAGAAGACCACAAAACAACCAGAAAACAAATAATAAAATGGCAGGCATAAGACCTTACTTATCAGTAATAACGTTTAATGTAAATGGACAGAACTCTCCAATCAAAGGACATGGAGTAACTGAATGGTTTAAAAAAAAAAAAGACCCAATTATCTGTTACCTGCTGGAAACACAATAAAGAAATATCAGACTTAATCTGCACAGTAGATCAAATGGACCTAATAGAAATTTACAGAACATTTTATCCAATGGCTGGATAAGACACATTCTTCTCCTCAGCATATGGCTCATTCATAAGGATAGACTATATGTTAGGCCACAAGACAAGTCTTAAAACCTTTGAAAGAACAGAAATTATGTCAAATATCTTCTCTGACTACAGTGGAATAAAACTAGAAGTCAATAACAAGAGGAACTTTGGAAACAACAAACACACAGAAGTTAAACAATGTGCTCCTGAATGACCAGTGGGTCATTGAAAAAATTAGGAAATTAAAAAAAAATTGAAGCAAATAATAATGGAAACACAACATACCAAAACCTATAGGATACAGTGAAAGCAGTACTAAGAGGAAATTTATGTGTATAAGCAGCTACATAAAAAAGAGGAAAAACTTCAAATAAACAAACTAATGGTGTATCTTAAAGAACTAGAAAAGCAGTTTTTTCCAATTCTGTGAAGAAAGTCATTGGTAGCTTGATGAGGATGGCATTGAATCTGTAAATTACTACTTTACAGTGCATATGGAACCAAAAAAGAGCCCGCATTGCCAAGTCAATCCTGAGCCAAAAGAACAAAGCTGGAGGCATCACACTACCTGACTTCAAACTATACTACAAGGCTACAGTAACCAAAACAGCATGGTACTGGTACCAAAACAGAGATATAGATCAATGGAACAGAACAGAGCCCTCAGAAATAATGCCACATATCTACAACTATCTGATCTTTGACAAACCTGAGAAAAACAAGCAATGGGGAAAGGATTCCCTATTTAATATATGGTGCTGGGAAAACTGGCTAGCCATATGTAGAAAGCTGAAACTGGATCCCTTCCTTACACCTTATACAAAAATCAATTCAAGATGGATTAAAGACTTAAACGTTAGACCTAAAACCATAAAAACCCTAGAAGAAAACCTAGGCATTACCATTCAGGACATAGGCATGGGCAAGGACTTCATGTCTAAAACACCAAAAGCAATGGCAACAAAAGCCAAAATTGACAAATGGGATCTAATTAAACTAAAGAGCTTCTGCACAGCAAAAGAAACTACCATCAGAGTGAACAGGCAACCTACAAAATGAGAGAAAATTTTCGCAACCTACTCTTCTGACAAAGGGCTAACATCCAGAATCTACAATGAACTCAAACAAATTTACAAGAAAAAAACAAACAACCCCATCAAAAAGTGGGCAAAGGACATGAACAGACACTTCTCAAAGGAAGACATTTATGCAGCCAAAAAACACATGAAAAAATGCTCATCATCACTGGCCATCAGAGAAATGCAAATTAAAACCACAATGAGATACCATTTCACACCAGTTAGAATGGCGATCATTAAAAAGTCAGGGAACAACAGGTGCTGGAGAGGATGTGGAGAAATAGGAACACTTTTACACTGTTGATGGGACTGTAAACTAGTTCAACCATTGTGGAAGTCAGTGTGGCGATTCCTCAGGGATCTAGAACTAGAAATATCATTTGACCCAGCCATCCCATTACTGGGTATATACCCAAAGGACTATAAATCATGCTGCTATAAAGACACATGCACACGTATGTTTATTGTGGCATTATTCACAATAGCAAAGACTTGGAACCAACCCAAATGTCCAACAATGATAGACTGGATTAAGAAAATGTGGCACATATACATCATGGAATACTATGCAGCCATAAAAAATGATGAGTTTATGTCCTTTGTAGGGACATGGATGAAATTGGAAATCATCATTCTCAGTAAACTATCGCAAGAACAAAAAACCAAACACCGCATATTCTCACTCATAGGTGGGAATTGAACAATGAGAACACATGGACACAGGAAGGGGAACATCACACTCTGGGGACTGTTGTGGGGTGGGGGGAGTGGGGAGGGATAGCATTGGGAGATATACCTAATGGTAGATGACGAGTTAGTGGGTGCAGTGCACCAGCATGGCACATGTGTACGTATGTAACTAACCTGCACATTGTGCACATGTACCCTAAAACTTGAAGTATAATAATAATAAATTAAAAAAAAAGAACTAGAAAAGCAAGAGCAAACTGAACCCAAAATTAGTAGAAGAAAATAAATAATAAAGATCAGAGCAGAAATAAATAAAATTAAAATTAAAAAATAGTACAAAAGATCAATGAAGTGAAAAGTTGGTTTTGTGAAAAGATAAACAAAATTTACAAACTTTAGTCAGGCTAAGAAAAAAAGAGAGACTACCCAAATAAATAAAATAAGAGATGAAAAGGAGACATTACAACCAATACCACAGAAATTCAAAGGATCATTAGAGGCTGTGATGAGCAAATATGTGCCAATAAACTTGAAAACCTAGGAGAAATGGATCTCATTCTAGATACAAACAACCACAAGATTGAACTATGGAGGAATCCAAAACTTAATCAGATCAATAACAAGTAACGAGATGGAAGCCATAATGGAAAGTCTCCCAGCAAACCAAAGCCTGGGACTTGATGGTTCCATGGCTGAATTCTAACAAATGTTTAAGGAAAAACTAATACCAGTGCTACTCAAACTAGTCCAAAAAATAGAGGAGGAAAGAATACTTCCAAACTGGCCTTCTATGAGACCAATATTACCCTGATACAAAAACCAAACAATGACACATTGAAAGACAAAAACAAAAAATTACAGGCCAATCTCCCTAATGAACACTGATGCCAAAATTCTTAACAAAACATTAGCAAACTAAATTCAATGATACACTAAAAAGATTCATCATGACCAAGGGGAATTTATCCCAGGGATGCAAGTATCCTCAACATATGCAAACCAATTCATGTGATACATCATATAAACAGATTGAAAAACAAAAAATCATATGGTTATTTCAACTGATGCTGAAAATGTATTTGATAAAATTCAGCATCCCTTCATGATAAAAACTCTGAAAAACTGGATATAGAATGAACATAGTTCAATGTAATAAAAGCCATATATGACAGATCTATAGCTAGTATCTTACTGATGAGGAAAATCTGAAAGCCTTTTCTCTAAGATCTAGAACATGACAAGGATGCCCACCTTCACTACTGTTATTCAACAGTCCTAGCAAGAGCAATTAGACAAGAGAAAGAAATAAAGGGCATCCAGATTGGAATGGAAGAAGTCAAATTATCTTTGTTTGGAAATGATGTGATCTTATATTTGGAAAAACCTGAAGACTCCACCAAAAAAGTATGAGAACTGTTCAACAAATTCAGTAAGGTGGCAGGATACAAAATCAACATATAAAAATGAGTAGTATTTCTATATGCCAACAACAAACAATCTAAAAAGAAATTTAAAAAGTAATCCCACTTACAGTAGCTACAAATAAAATTAAATACCTAGGAATTAACCAAACAAGTGAAAGATCTCTACAATGAAAATGATAAAATGCTGATGAAGGAAATTGAAGAGGACACAAAAAATGGAAAGATATTCCATGTCCATGGATTGGAAGAATCAATACTGTTAAAATTTCCATACTGTCCAAAGCAATCTGCAGAATTAATGCAATCCCTATCATGATACCAATGACTTTCTTCACAGAAATAGAAAAAACAATCCTAAAATTAATATGGAACCACTAAAGGCCCAGAATAGCCAAAGCTATCCTGAACAAAAGGAAAAAAATGAGGAATCACATTATCTGACTTCAAATTATACTACTGAGCCATAGTAACCAAAACAGTATGGCACTGGCATAAAAACAGTTAGACCAATGGAACAAAATAGAGAACCTAGAAATAAATCTATACATCTATGGTGAATTTATTTTTAGCAGAGGAACCAAGAACATATATTGGGGAAAGAACAGTCTCTTCAATAAGTGGTGCTGGGAAAACTGGATGTCCATATGCAAAAGAATGAAACTAGACCCCCATCTTTCATGATATACAAAAATCAAATCAAAATGGATTAAAGACTTAAATCTAAGACCTAAAACCATGAAACTACTATAAGAAAATATTGGGTGAAACTCTCTAGGACATTGGACTGGGCAAATATTTCTTCAGTAATACCCCACAAGCACAGGCAACCACCGCAAAAATTGACAGATGGAATCACAGTAAGTCAAAATGCTTGTGCATAGCAAAGGATACAACAAAGTGAAGAGACAATCCACAGAATGGGAGAAAATATTTGGAAACTATCCATCTGACAAGGGATTAATAGCCATAATATGTAAGCAGCTCAAACAGCTCTATAGGAAAAAATATAATAATATTATGAAAAATGGGCAAAAGATGAATAGATATTTCTCAAAAGAAGGCAAACAAGTGTTGCAAAGGTGCTCAACATCACTGATCATCACAATATGCAAATAAAAACTACAGTGAGATATCATCTCACCCCAGTTACAATGGCTTTTATCCAAATGACAGGCAATAACAAATGCTGGCAAGGATGTGGAGAAAAGGGAACCCTTGTACACTATTGGTGGGAATGTAAATTAGTACAACCACTATGGACAACAGTTTGGAGTTTTCTCAAAAACCTAAAAATAGAGCTACCATAAGATCCAGCAATCCCACTGCCAGCTATATACCCAAAAGGAAGGAACTCAGTATATTGAAGAGATATCTATGCTCCCATGTTTGTTGCAGCAGTTTTTCACAATAAGCAATATTTGGGAGCAAACTAAGTGTCCATCAACAGATGAATGGATAAAGAAAATGTGGTACATGTACACAATGGAGTACTATTCAACCACAAAAAGAATGAGATCCTCTCATTTGCAACATGGATGGAAGTGGAGGTCATTTATGTTGAGTGAAACAAGCCAGGTACAGAAAGACAAACATCACATATTTCCACTTATTTGTGGGAGTTAAAAAGTAAGACAATTGAATTCATGGACATAGAGAGTGGGATGAAGGTTACCAGAGGCTGAGAAAGGTAGTAGGGGGCTGGTGGGAAGTGAGAATGGTTAATTGCTACAAAAATATGTTTAGAAAGCATGAATAAGACCTAGCATTTGATCGTACAACAGGGTGACTATAGTCAATAATAATTTAATTATACATTTAAAAATAACTAAAAGAGTATAATTGGATTACTTGTTACACAAAGGATAAATGCTTGAGGTGATAGATACTCCACTTACCCTGAAGTGATTATACACATTGTATGCCTTTATCAAAATATTTTATGTAACGCATATATATATATACCTACTATGTACCCACAAAAATTAAAACTAAAATCCCAAAATAATATAAACCACAGTGTCATATTTGTGCTTCACTGCATTCAAACAAATTTTGAAACATATGGTACTGAGGGCCCAAGCTGAGGACAAAGAGACATCAAGCACACCTATTCTAAAGTGAACTATAAATAACTGGGGTCAGACACCTCCCCCAGAGATCAGTGAGAGGTGGCCAAACTGTCCTTATCACTCTAAACTGTCACCCAAGGCCTTTCCTATCATTTCCCAATTGATAAAAGAAGATGTGGGGTAGAGAGGAGAAAGAAGATGACATTGTTACATTTGTGAGTTTCTTGCCAAATGTTGTGTTTCCCTCCCTTTCCCGTGGGGGCTTCCTGCCTACTTCAAAGCCCTGTGAAAAGTGGACTACTAGACAAGAGCCTGGGAGTGTCAACAGGAGACTGGCTTCTCACTCCTGGCTAGATGTTGCATGAGGTGAGGCAGCAGAGGCTTAGCTTGGTGAGGTTGTTAGCATGAAGTGAAGTATGGTGAAGGAAGAAAAGGACCTACCATGGGTCCTTGATGTGTGGGGGCATGTATGTACTTGGAAATTGATGCCTTCTGCTTGCGTGGCTGCACTACTCTGCCAAGGCTGATAGACAATGGACCGCAGGTAAGATGTCTAAGAAGAAGACAGAGAAAATCCCCCAGCTCACTTAGAAGGTCTGGAGGAGGATTTTCATGGTTCCTATGGCTTGTCAGAATAAGTCTAGCAGGTAGAATGCAAGGCATGAGTTTGGGAACTGATCAAGTGGCATCTAGTTATGAGATACCCCATTTGGTGAGAGGGTTGAGTGCGTGGACCAGTGACTGAGACACAAAATGGAGATGCAGTTGTCTCTTGTTTTGAGGGCATTCTCAGTCATGTATAGTGCTGGCTTGAAGCAGAACATCTCTCCAAGTAAACTGCATGCACCTTCTGGGTAGATAGCACCACATTGGTAAAGACCACCAGCATCAGAAAGAACCAGACCTAGCTAGAAGGGAACTCGAAACAGCTGCCCACTTCTTCCAGACAGCCAGTCTCATATGTCAACCTCTGCCACATCTGAAATTTCTCTCCCACTGCTCTAATGCGTGGGTGGACTTACAGCCTGGAAGCTGGAGGAGGGAGGAGGTACAGAGGACACAGAGAACATCTCTTTCCTTCCTGAAGGATGGAGGGAGAAGAACTTTCCCCCTGTCTGCTCCAGGCCTGACCTGAAGCTTGGCTGGCCCCAGGGAGAGCAAAGAAGAGCTTTATACTAGCTATGAAACTGGAATTTAAAATATATTTGAGTCTTAAATACTGGAATTAGACTCTTCTAATAACTGAAAGTGATTGGAATTTTGTGGAATATTCCCAGATGTTACTAAGGGATAGTGAAATATGATTCAATGTAGGACAGCTGTCAGCAGGGATTGGGAAAATGAAACCATTTTAAGTTTATTTTACATCAAATACAGACTGTACAATAACCTGGTTATATACAATATAGTGGAAAGAAAATAGATTAAGTCAGACTGACTTGGGTTTGAATCCTTGCTCAGCAACTTACTTTCCACATGATTTTTGGCAAATTACTTTCAATAGTTTTCTTAACTGTGAAATGGGGATAGGCAGTAACATCATTCTTCCAAGGATTTGGGAGAAGATTAAATGAAATAAATTCTAGGAAGCGTCTAGTGTGATGCCTGAGACATATAGACCTCTGAAATGGGGATTGATTATTACAGCTGGAGACAAATCTGGTAAATCAAGGACTAATGGCTGATGTAGCTATCAAATGTAATTTGAAGTAGTTAGATGGGTGGGATCTGATGAGTATTTGATGTTTTCTAAATCCCAAACTATCTTTTTCAATGAAGTCAATGCATTTTCAAAGCATTTTTCTGCTTAATTTGGAAGATTAAATGTATCTAACTGGAAGCGCATACTAGAAAAGCATGAGAAAGGGCTTCTTGTCCTGATCAGAAAGATGAGGAGGCTCCGAAGAGATCTGAGGTAGGACTTCTGCCAGCCTCAAAATGTGCCACACACATTTAACTGGGAAGATGCTCTGAATAACATACTCTTGGCCATGTGAATGCGTTCCTTGGCAGCCCTGGCCCTGCAAAGTTTGGCAGGAGGGGATTTTCGGGTTGCCAGCTAAAGCCCTGACACTCAGAGCAGGCCTCAGTGTCTCTGTTCCCAACCCTGTCCCCATCCCTAACTGAAGGAACTTTTGTTTGTGCAATAGCTGTTGTATCTCACTCATCCCTTCTACTAATTGGCTCTGACCCTAACTTTCCATATTCTCCAGCTTGGAGATGCCTGTGGGAGGTTTGCTTTGAGAAGGCCCCAGCTTTGGCATTGTCAGTTTTTCATCTGGCTCCTAATCTATTTCACTTTGTCTCAAGCTTCCCTTCTTTGGTGACCCACTAAAAACTGAAGTTGTGCTGGCAAGATGGTGCTTTGTTGTCATGGAAAGAGGCTGTTTGCAGAACTGCGGGGTTAACAAGAAGGCTTCTTTGGCCTGTGGACGGTTGGTTTGTCTTTGGCAGTAGCCAGTTGGAGTACAGCAGGGAGGCATGTTCATTCCAGAAGCCGTCTAGTCTTCAGTTGAAGGAAGTGCCATCTTAATTTTGAAGTGAGAGCAACTTACATCTAGAGCAAACTCTTTGAAGGAGGGGGATCTTCCAATATCCCGTGTGGGCCTCCCGAAGGCCCGAGGCATAGACAACAAGGAAGCAAGGAAGATGAGGAAGAAAAGGGGTGGGTAGAGAAAGGGAGAATAAGAGAGAGAAAGGTGAACGAAAGCTACAGCTGCTGAATCCTCTTCTGTATCCATCACATGTTTTTACTGAAAGTTTAAGATAATATCCCATTGCCTTATGTTTATTTGTTTATTTTGATAGCTAACACTTAAATAGTGCTTACTACCTACCAGGTGCTGCATTAACACTATATATATTAAGTCTTTTAAGCTTCACCACAAACTCATGAGGTAGGCGATGGTACTATGTTTATTTCAAGATGGTAAACTGAGACATGGAGCCATTAAGTAACTTTTCTAAGATCACACAGCTAGTAAGTGGTAGAGCCAGGTTTCAAATGCAGGATTTATATTTTCTCTTCCCTTTCCTTCCTGTCCCTCCCTCCCCTTTCTCCTTCTGTAAACAAGTGTCTTCTTTGAGGTGTATTTAGTGTCACATATTTTGCATTTTTGTGCTTTTTTTGGGGGGGTTGTGATTTTGCTGTTTAAAATGGCCCCCAAGTGTAGTGCTGAAGTGTTGTCTAGTGCTTCTACATGCAGGAAGATTGTGATGTGCCTTATAGAAAAAATGTGTGTGTTAGATAACCTTCATTCAGGCTTTAGTTGCAGTTCTGTTGGTTGTGAGTACAATGTTAATGAATCAATAGATAGATATTAAATATGATATTTAAAAGAAGCATACATAAAACAAGGTTATGTCTTCATAAGTTGATGAAAGTGTTATGACCAGAGGCTCACAAGAACCTAACTCTGTATTTCCCAAGAAGCCATGATTCAATAATCTCTAATTCAGTGTTTGTGACAACTTTATAGAACATAACTCCATGAATAATGAGACTTTGCCATATTTTTTTTGGCAAAGATTATAATAAATATGTCTTGCCACCTAAGTTTAGCTTGATGCACAGTCTTCTAAGCTATGTGGCCATTTGCTAAGAAATACCACTATATATGTTTTGTTTCTTCAGTTCATAAAATCTCATGCACAATATCTTATGTGGTGCCTGAGAAATAGTCAGTGCTCCATAAATGCTTATTGAATGAATGATTAAATGAATGAAAAAAGTAACACTCAAAATTTACAAGATAATCTAGTCTAGTACTTTACATTTTAAGAAATACATGAATGGACCTGGAACTAATGTGTGTGTGTGTTTTTCTTTTTAAGTAAGCCATATAACCTATGAGGCAAGCAAGTTGTTCTAATTGCCTTCTGGTTGATTACATACTATTTGTTGAGTACTAGCTACTGGGATTTTCAAAATGGAATTTTGCATAGTTTATTTCCCTCAATCCTACCTAATAAGATTAAGGTCCATCTGTTTTGTATAAGAGTCCACTGTTTACTTATCAAGAGTGCTTTGATAAACGAAGAGGTTATCAGCCACTTGTATGGGTATCCTATACTCTGTTTGGCTATAGTGAGGTTAAAAGGTCAAGAATCTGTAAGGGGATTCTTATCCATGAGGATATTATGTATGCCTAGGGACCATGGAAGTGAAGTTTTGTTTCATTTATTCATCTATTCAACAAATATTTTGAAGACGTGCTGGTGATATAATTTGGAATACAAAAATATGATGTCCCTGAGATTGTTCTTTGGCATCTTGGAAAATAGTCCTATGTAGAAAGCAACATCCTTCATACTTTCAGTTCTTAAGTATTCATCAAGCACCTATTATGTCCCAGGCACTGGGGATATAGCAGTAAGACAAAGCCCCTACCCTTTGAAACTTATATTCCTTCAGGAAGACCAAGCACTGAACAACCCATTTGAGGTAATACTCTCCCCTTTGGCCCGGATTCTGATTCAGCTGCTCTTTATTTATTATCTCCATATTATGTGAAATTATCTTGCCTTTTTGCTCATTTGCTTATTGTCTGTCTCCCCTCATGACAAATGTAGCTCTAAAAGAGCAGAAACTTCGTCTTTCCTATTGCTGAATGTCCATCACTGAGAATAGTGTTTGATCCAACAGTAGATGCTTAATAAATGTTCGTTCTTATTTAATTATAGTTATGGTAATGCTAGGAAGTGTATTTCTGGAGATTTTGAATTAGTATGGACAATCAGGAATACTCCTTTAAGGAAATATGGATTGAGTTGAACTTTGAAGGAGTAAGCAGCAACTAAATGGAGCAAAGAGTATATATTCTAGGCAGAGGGATCAGGTCAAAGAATGGAACATTAGAATGTGTGATATAAAATTGATATATCTGGAGTTCAAGAGTAGGAGAGTATATTAGGTGAGTCTAGAGAGGTAGGAGAGGGCAGGATAGTCAGGGATTAGGAGGCTATATAGGGATTTGGAGTTTTATCCTAAGAGCATTGGGAAGTTATTAAAGAACTACAAACAGGAAATCAATCTGTTGTTCTGTGGATGGGAGAGAGACTACTGAGTGGATAGTGCAACCATTCATGGTCTTGAAGATTAGGTGTTCAGTCTGGGAAATCTTTGATTCAAAGTACCTGTGAAACATCCATTTGGAGGTATTAAGTAGACAATTGGCTATACATATTTTTGGGTTCAGAGAAGGAGGTCTGAAATGAATACACTCATTTGAGTGACAACACTGTGAATGGTGTTTGAAGTCAAGAGGACTGATGAAATTGTCTAGGGGGAGAGTGTAGAGTAACAAAAACAGAGGGCTTCATTCAGGCTAATCTTTGAGGAACTTCCTCTTTTAAAGATGATAAAGAAGGGTGAACAGGAAAGAATCTTAAAAGCAGAAAAGTTTAAACTAAACTATCTATGCTTATTTATATGGCCTTTCTGAGTGGTTTTATTGTCAATTGCCCAAGCATATCTCTCTAATAAGACTCTATTTAATTTACCATATTTTAATCACTTATTTTCTTGTCTTTTTCTTCTATTGTCCTTGAGAGTAGAGATTTTGTTCTTTAAAATCATGCTTGAAACCCTAGTGCCTAGCATGCTTCCAGCTTAATAGGCATGAAATATATCTGTTATTGAGTGGGAATACAGAGCTTTCTTAGGAAAGATGAGCAAGAGCGGAAAGCAGATTTTTCCTCACAGCCTCTTCTATGTGGGACACCATAAACATTTTATTTTAAGCCTTTTGTCTATAACTGTGAAATGGTGATTTAGGTATCAGGAAGCAGATGGGAAACTTTTTGAGGGGTAGAGGCATTTAAATTCTGCATCTGTGGTTTCTTTGCATGGATTTGCTCCTACCCCTAGACCTGTGGCTGCTAAAAGTTATTTCCAGAAGCTGTTGCAGCCAAGAGTCTGGTGTCTACTTCATCACTTTGGAGGTTGGCCTGCCTAGGTCTCCCAATAGTCCCTTTCCTTCTATTCCCTCTCTCTTGACTATCTGTTTCCCATTTCCTCTAACTTTATCCCAATTCCTCTTTGTCCAAAGAATCCCAGGGCATGTTTCATAATTATAGGCATTATTTTACTCAGGATTTATTAACATTTTGTACAGTTATCACCTTTCCCCATTTTTCCATTATGAAATACATTTTTTTATCTCATATAATTTTTACCTTTGATAATGAAGTGTGTATATTCTCTTTGATAATGGATCTAATGATAATGTGACCAGTGTGTGAAGATCAGTGGGCCTTCCTCTCCTCCCAGTTACTCCACATTCTGGCTAGGTGCCTCTGCTACTAATAGCTTAGCCTGCTGTTCCCATGTTTGAGGATTGATTCTTTTTCCTAGGCTGAGGCAAACAGTTGTAATGTTAAAGGCTTGCTGACAGCCTGTCTTTGTTGCCTGGACCGTGTTTTAATACGTGATCTTTGCTGCCTGAATTTTCTTTTTTCTAGACTACTTGATTTTTCTTGACCTGTGGAATTTTATGATTACTTGATTTGTGAATTTATCTCAAGCCCCTGGTTTTGAACCAATGACTCTATTATTTTAAGCCAGGTGTATTGTTTTTTTAGCCTGTGTCTATTATACTGTGTGTTGCTTCTTATATTCCCTATATCTAAGTAACTTGGCTGACTGGGCATTTTGTTAACTTTGGGGAGGAAAAGCATCAACATGACCTGCATAGGGCTGGAGAAGAGTGCAGTTAGCCCTTGAGGGTTGGGGGTGAATGTGTTAAGGGTATTAAGGGTGGGGAGATACTGCTAAGTTGGAGAAAAACTTTCAGCGAATTTCACTGATTTCAAATCAAGCTGAATTTGAAGTTCTTGTCTACATGAGTGAACAATTTTTAAAACATTTGAAGGCATGCATTTAAAGTGACAGCTTAATGTTAAAATGGGAAGTTATGATTCATAAGCAGTAGTAAAATTTTGAATAACATGACTTTATTCATTGACAGTAACTGCTTTACATTTTCCGGTTTCATTATATCAGTACTGTGAATAAAATCCAGAAAAGTTATAGAGGAGGAAATGACTTTGAGTTTTTATTCAATAGTCATTACTTACGTCTTTCCACATTTTTTTGCAAATTTTAAGTTTCAGTAATGATCTTGCTATTCAAATTTTCTATTTCTTACAACCATAATCTTCTAGAATAGCCACAAAGGTAGGAGTAAGCTGAAGTAAAAAGCCTGTAGGTCAGTGTAAATGCCTTTCATAAAGCCCACAGCTTGATTCAGTAAAACCCAGATTGACGTCTCTTTTCTTATGATAGGCCCAGAATTTATTTGATTTAGTTATATCTATGACATTTTATTTATTTTCTCCTGGCAACATATAGTTTCCACTTTTGATCTAGGGGAAAAAAAGGAGGCTTATAGCTGTAAAAATAGCCCTGTACAAAGTAATAGACCCTAAAGTATAACTGTGCAGAGACAATGAAGAAACAGATCACTGTTGCTTAGTAGGAATTTCTGCAATGACAGAAGTTTTTCTATGCACTGCCCAATACAGTGGTCACTAGCCACAAGGAGCTGATGAGCACTGGAAATGTGGCTATTGAACCTAAGATACTGAAATTTAATTTTAATTTCAATTTAACTAACTTAGTCACATGTGGATAGGAGCTACTACACTGGCCTAGTGCAAGTATCTACTTCAAGCTTGTCCAACCTGTGGCCCAGGACAGCTTTGAATGCCCACACAAATTCGTTAACTTTCTTAAAACATTATGAGATTTTTTTTTTCCTAACTCATCAGCTATCCTTAGTGTTAGCATATTTTATGTGTGGCCCAAGACAATTCTTCTTCCAGTGTGGCCCAGGGAAGCCGAAAGTTGAGGCACCCCTGATCTAGATCATTGTATTAACTTTCTACTGGTATTACAAAAAAATTACCATGGACTTACTGGCTTAAACAACACAATTTCATTTTAATGAATGAATGAATGAATGAATGAATGATTTTTTTTTTTGGCTTAGGACAACACAGATTTATTATTTTGTAGTTCTGGGAGTCAGAAGTCCAAAATGGGTTTTACTTGGCAAAAAATAAAGTGCCAGTAGAGCTGCATTCCTTCTGGAGGCTCTAGGGGAGAATCTGTGTCCTTGCCCCTTCCAGCTTCTGAATGCTGTCTATGTTTTTGGCTTGTGGCTCTTTCCTCCATATTTAAAGGCAGCAATGACCAGTCAAGTATTGTCATATTGTGTCACTCTGACACTCAAGTTAGAAATCTAGCACTGTTCTCACTGGGCTAAAATCAAGGTGCCCTCAGGGCTGCTTTATTTTCTGGAGGATTTAGGAGAGAGTCCATTTTCTTTTCCTTTCTAGCATTTAATGGCTGCCCATATTCCTTAGTTCATGGCCCCCTTCCTCCATCTTCCAAGCCATCAATGTTGCATCTCTCTGTCCCCTTCTTCTATAGTTCCATCTTCCTTTGCCTCTCTTCTTCTGCCTCTCCCTTACACTTATAAGGATTCTTGTGATTACACTGAGCACACCTTGATAATCCAAGATAGTCTCCTTATTTTAAAGTCAGCTGACTAGCAATCTTAAATCCCTTTTGCTATAGAACCTAATATATCCGTAGGTTCCAAGAATTAAGACTGGATATTTTTGTGTGGGCCATTATTCTGCCTACCACAGCTTCTAAATTTGGAGCCATTTAATGAAAAGACAAGGTAAGCCATATGTGTGTGTGTGTGTGTGTATATATATATATATATATATACATTGTTTGTTGGGCCTATACCTATATTTCATCCAACACAGTATAGGGTCTCAAAATAATTTAAGAACAATAGAAACTTAATTTTAAAAGAGGACTGATATGATATCTGCTCCAATCTTCTATCCCTTGTAGTTTTATTCTCTTCTATAATAGAATCTCTAGTTTATTAATTTTCTGTCATTAGTTTCCTGTGAAGGATACTCCCTACTTAACAACAAAATCAGCTGCATTGTTGTATAGCTATGGTTGTTCTAGATCATCCTATCACCTAGCCTTTACAATCACCACAGAGTAGCACGTTGGTTTCTGACTTTTGGAACAATGTTAACCTGCTTTTTCGCAGAGTTACGTATCTCAATAAATGGAATTACTACCTACATAGTTGTCTCGGCAAAATCTTGGGAATTCTTCTTTATCACCCACCATTCACCACTGTTGAATATTCTTAATATATAACTCCTAAAATATCTTTCAGATCTGTCTACTTCTTTTAAGTATTTTACTTTTCAGTTTTAGAATTTAATTTTTTTATAGTTTCAATTTATTTGCTGAGATTCTCATTTGTTTATGAATCAAGACCATGTTTTCTTTTTCTGTCATTGTTCTTTATGTATGTTCATTTTTTAGTTTTTAAATTTATCTATATTTAACTCATTTCCATAGCTTTTGAGGTACAAGTGGTTTTGTTTACATGAATAAATTGTACAGTAGTAAAGCCTACGATTCTAGTGTACCTGTCCCTGGACATTGTACCCAATATGTGGTTTTTTTAATCCCTCACCCCTCTCCCACCCTCTCCGCTTCTGAGTCTCCAAAATCCATTATACCAAGCTGTATGCCTTTGCATACCTACAGCTTAGCTCCCACTTATAAGTGAGATCATACAGTATTTGGTTTTCTATTCCTGAGTTACTTTACTTGGAATAATGGCCTCCAGCTCTGTCCATGTTGCTTCAAAGTACATTAGTTCATTCCTTTTTATGGCTGAGTTGTATTCCATGGTGTATAAATACCACATTTTCTTTATCCGCTTATCTGTTGATGAACACTTAGGTTGGTTTTATACCTTTACAATTTTGAACCGTGCTGCGATAAACATATGCATGCAAGTGTCTTTTTGATATAATGACTTCTTTTCCTTTGGGTAGATACCTAGTAGTGGGATTGCTGGGTATCTACTTTACTGCATACTCATTTATTCTGAGTACACATAAATGTGGTTGTGTATTAACTTGTGAATGCAAAACCATCTCTGCATCCTTGGGATAAAACCCACTTGATCATGGTGAATTATCTTTTTGATGTGCTGTTGGATTCGATTTGCTAGTACTTTGTTGAGGATTTTTGCATTAATGTTCATCAGGAATATTGGTCTGTAGTTTTCTTTTTTTGTTCTGTTCTTTCCCGGTTTGGGTATCATGGTGACACTGGCTTCATAGAATGAGTTAGGGAGGATTCCTTCTTTCTCAATCTTTTGGAATAGTTTCAGTAGAATTGGTACCAATTTTTCTTAGAATGTCTGATGGATTTCCCCTATGAATCTCTCTGGCCCTGGGCTTTTTCTTTTGTTGTTGGCAATTTTTAAAAATTACTGATTCGATGTTACTGCTTGTTATTTGTTTATTCAGGGTTTCTATTTCTTACTTATTCAAGCTAGGAGGGTTGTATATTTCTAAGAACTTATCCATTTCCTCTAGATTTTCTAGTTTATGTGCATAGAAGTGTTCATAGTAGTCTCGAAATTTTTTTTGTATTTCCGTGCTATTGGTTGTAATGTCTCCATTTTTATTTCTAATTGAGCTTATTTGAATCTTCTCTCTTCTGTTTTGTTTATATTTTTAAAGAACCAACTTTTTGGTTTATTGGTTTTTTGGTTTCAATTTCATTTAGTTATGTTCTGATCTTTGTTATTTCTTTTCTTCTGCTAGCTTTGGGTTTGGTTTGTTCTTGTTTCTCTAGTTCCTTCAGATGTGACATTAGGTTATTAATTTGTAATCTTTCAGGCTATTTGATGCAAGCATTTAGACCTATAATTTTCCTCTTAGCACTGCTCTTGCTGTATTCTGAGGTTTTGAAACCTTGTGTCACTATTATTATTCATTTTGAATCATTTTTATATTTCCATTTTGATTTCATTGCTACCGCAAAAATCATTCAGGAGCTGATTGCTTAATTTCCATGTATTTGTGTAGTTTTGAGGGTTCCATTTGAAGTTGATTTCTAGTTTTATTCCATTGTGGTCTGAGAAGATACTTGATTTGATTTCAGTTTTAAAAAACTTAATGAGATTTGTTTTGTGGCATGTCATATGGTCTATCTTGGAGAATGTTCCATGTGTTAATGAGAAGAATGTATATTCTGCAATTCTTGGGTAGAATATTCTGTAAATATTATTAGGTCAATTTTTTTTATAGTGTAGATTAAGTCCGGTGTTTCTTTGTTGACTTTCTGCCTCTATGATCTGTCTAGTGCTGTCAGTGGAGCATTGAAGTTCCCCACTATTATTGTGTTGCTATCTATCTGTTTTCTTAGGTCTAGTGGTAACTGTTTTATGAATGTGGGAGCGCCAGAGTTAGGTGCACATATATTTAGGATTATAATGTCTTCTTGTGACCTTTTTTGCCCCCCCTTTTTTTCTTACTATTATTGCTTTAGTCTGTTTTATCTGACATCAGAATAGCTACTCCTGCTTGCATTTAGCTTCCATTTGCATGGATTAACTTTTTCCACCCCTTTACCTTGAGTTTATTAGAACCCTTACATTTAAGGTGATCTCTTGAAGACAGCAGATATTTGGCTGTGATTTTTTTAAAATCCATTCTGCCAATCTGTATCTTTTAAGTGGAGCGTTTAGACAATTTACATTCAATGTTAATACTGAGATGTGTGTACTGTTCAGTCATCATGTTGATGTTGCCCAGATGCTTTGCTTTCTCCACTGTGCGGTTGTTTTATAGGTCTGTATTAGTCTGTTCTCACACTGCTAATAAAGACATACCTGTGACTGGGTAGTTTATAAAGGAAAGAGGTTTAATTGACTCACAGTTCAGCATGGCTGGGGAGGCCTCAGGAAGCTTACAGTCATGGGAGAAGGAAAAGAAAACATGTCCTTCCTCACATGGTGGCAACAAGGAGAAGTGCTGAGGATAATAGGGAAAAACACCTTATAAAACCATCAGATCTGGTAAGAACTGACTCACTATCATAAGAACAGCAGCATGGGGGTAACTGCCCCCATGATTCAATTACTTCCCACTGGGTCCCTCCCATGACACATAGGGATTATGGGAACTATAACTCGGGATTTGTGTGGAGACACAGCCAAACCATATCATTCTGCCTCTAGCCCCTCCCAAATCTCATGTCCACATATTTCAAAACACAATCATGCCATCCTAACAGTCCCCCAAAGTCTTAACTCATTCCAACATTAACCCAAAAGTCCAAGTCCAAAGTCTCATCTGACAAGGCAAGTCCCTTCTGCCTATTAGCCTGTAAAATTGAAAGCAAGTTAATTACTTACTAGATACAATGGGGATACAGACATTGGGTAAATACAACTATTCCAGATGGGAGAAATTGACCAAAACAAAGGGGATACAACCCCTTTCAAGTCTGAAATCTAATAGGGCAGTCATTAAACCTTAAAGTTACAAAATGATCTCCTTTGACTCCATGTCTCACATCCAGGTCATGCTGATGCAGAAGGTGGACATCCATGGTCTTGGGCATCTCCACCCCTGTGACTTTGCAGGGTACAGCCCCTCTCCCAGCTGCTTTCACAGCTGGTGATGAGTGTCTGTGGTTTTCTAGGCGCATGGTGTAAGCTGTTGGTGAATCTAGCATTCTGGTATCTGGAGGACAGTGGCCCTCTTCTCACAGCTCCACTAGGCAGTGCTCCAGTGGGGCCTCTGTGTGGGGGCTATGACACCACATTTCCCTTCCACATCACCCTAGCAGAGGTTCTCCATGAGGGCTCCATTCAAGCAGCAAACGTCTGCCTGGATATCCAGGTGTTTCCATACATCCTCTGAAATCTAGGCAGAGCTTCCCAAACCCCAGTTCTTGACTTCTGTGCACCCGCAGGCCCAACACCACATGTAAGCCACCAGGGCTTTGTGCTTGCACTCTCTGAAGCAACAGCCTGAGCTGTACTTAGCCTCCTTTTAGCCATAGCTGGAGCTGAAGCAGCTGGGATGCAGGGCATCATGTCTTGAGGCTGCATAGAGCATGGGGGCCCTGTACATGGCCCACAGAATCATTTTTCCCTCCTAGGCCTCTGGGCTTGTAATAGTAGGGGCTGCCATGAAGGTCTCTGACATGCCCTGGAGACATTTTTCCCGTTGTCTTGATGGTTGACATTTGGCCCCTTGTTACTTTTGCAAGTTTCTGCAGCTGGCTTGAATTTCTCCCACAAATTTTTTTTTCTATTGCATCATTAGGCTGTAAATTTTCCAAACTTTTATGCTCTGCTTCCTCTTGATCGCTTTGCCCCTTAGGAGTTTTTTCTGCCAAGTACGCTAGATCATCTCTCTCAAGTTCAAAGTTACACAGATCTCTGGGGCAGGGGCAAAATGCCACCAGTCTCTTTGTGTACCAAGAGCCACCATTACTCCAGTTCCCAACAAGTTCTTCATCTCCATCTGAGACCACCTCAGCCTGCACTTCATTGTTTATATCAGCATTTTGGTCAAAGCCATTCAACAAGTCCTAAAATATTCCAAACTTCTCCACATCTTCCTGTCTTCTAAGCCCTCCAAATCTCTAGGAAGTTTTAAACTTTTCCACATTTTCCTGTCTTCTTCTGAGCTCTCAAAACTGTTCCAACCTCTGCCTGTTACCTAGTTCCAAAGTCGCTTCCACATTTTCAGGTATCTTTACAGCAGCGCCCCATTCCCGTTACCAATTTACTGTATTAGTCCATTCTTGTGCTGCTAATAAAGACATACCCAAGACTGGGTAATTTATAAAGGAAAGAGATTTAATTGAGTCACAGTTCAGTGTGGCTGGGGAGGCCTCAGGAAACTGACAGTAAGCAAACACATCCTTCTTCACATGGTGCCAGCAAGAAGTGCAGAGTGAAGTGGGGAAAACCTCCCTAGAAAACCATCAGATCTTGTGAGAACTCACTCACTATCATGAGAATAGAAGCATGGGGGTAACTGCCCCCATGATTCAAATACCTCCCACTGGGTTCCTTCCACAGTGCATGGGGATTATGGGAACTACAACTCAAGATGAGATTTGGATGGGGACACAGCCAAACCATACCAAGGTCCTTGAGTTTTATGCTTTCAAGAGGTCTATTATGGAGCATATTGACCTATTGTTTCAAGATTTAGAACTCCTTTTATCATTTGTTGTAGGGCTGGTGTGGTAGTGACAAACTCCTTCAGAATTTGGTTGTTTGAAAAAGACTATTTCTCCTTAATTTATGAAACTTAGTTTTGCTGGATACAAAATTCTTGGTTGATAGTTATTCTTTTTAAGAGGCTAAAGCGGACACCAACTCCTTCTGGCTTGTAAGGTTTCTGCTGAGAAGTCTCCTATTAGTCTGATAGGTTTTCCTTTATAAGTTTTCTGATACTGTTGTCTCACTGCTCTTAGAATTCTTTCCTTCATGTCTACTTCTGAAGCCTGTTGGCCATATGCCTTGGTCATGCCCTTTTTTCAGTGACTCTCTTAGGAGTTCTTTGAGATTCTTGTATTTGGATACCTAAATCTCTAGCAAGGCCAAGGAACTTTTCCGCAATTATTCCATCAAATAAGTTTTCCAAACTTTTTGCTTTCTCTTCTCCCTCAGGAACACCAGTGATTCTTAGGTTTGGCCATTTTACATAATCCCATATTTCCTAGAGACTTTGTTCATTTCTTTTAATTCTTTTTTATTTCTATTTTTGTCTGATTGGGTTAATTCAAAAGCCTTGTCTTCAAGCTCTAAAATTCTTCTACTTGGTCTATTCTACTTTTTAAACTTTCCTCTGCATTTTGTAATTCCCCAAATGTGTCTTTAATTTCCAGAAGTTTTGATTGGTTTTCCTTTAAAATATCTATTTCTTTAGAGAATTTTTCATTCACATCCTGATTTTTTAAATAAAAAAATTATGTTGGTTTTTATCTTTCTCTTATATCTCCTCAAGTAGCTTAATAATCAACCTTTTGATTTTTTTTATCTGGTATTTCAAAGATTACTTCTTGGTTTGGATTCATTGCTGGAGAGCTACTGTGACCTTTTGGGGGTTGTTATAGAACCCTGTTTCGTATTTCCAGAATCATTTTCTGGTTTCTTCTCTTTTGGATAGATAATTTTTTCTAATTATTCTTGAATTTATTTTTGATTCTACTGTGTTTTCTTTTTTTTCCCTCTTGATGATGCGACTTTAGTATTTACAGTTTATTCTAGCCTAATGAAGCTCTTGGTGCTTTCAGGGGTGAAGACTCTGTATGAAATTCGTTGATTATAGATAGTCTTTGTATTATGGCTTTCTCAGATGTTGATTGTAGTAGCAATGTGTTCAGTGTGTGAGCAGGTTCATAGTCTCTTGTGGGGTTGAAATGGCAGAGGTCTCTTGAAGCTTATCTTATTCCCCAGTGATGTGCACATTTTAATTTATTTTTTTCCCCAGTATTTTACTTACTGGGTTGAAGAATTCAGGCTTCAGGCCAGTAGGGGAGGTGTCTGTGGGTAAAAAACCAGTGTGGCCAAAGCAGGTGGGTAAATGCAATACCCAGTGGTGGGCAGAGGTCCTAGCCTTGATAGAGGAGGCTGGGGGAGCTCTCAGTGAAACACAGTGAGTTCTCTGCAGGGGAAATTTAGGCAGCCACATTAGCTTCCCAGCCAGGCCAGCAGGAAAGCAATCTACCTCCCAGTCATACTCCTGACCCAGTGTTCTAGCTATTCACATCAGACAGGTGCCTCTTTCCATCTCCAAGAATGTTGATTCTCTAAGTAGATAGGGATTGTGACTCTACTCCTTGTGCAAGCCTGAACCTGGAGGGCACTCCTCCTGTGAGGAAGGAGTTACTCTGAACCATTTCAGAAAGGCTGTCTATAGGTGTACCCACACGAAGCTCCCATGAAAGAATCCCCAGCTGTATCTGCAATGGTGGATGAGGGGGAGAAGAAGTCCCCTTCTCCAAGACCCTTCATGAGTACCAGGGCTGCCCAAGTATTGGATAGAGCTGCAGACTTTCCCTGTGGAGTGCAGCACTTCACTTTTGCCTCTGCTGAAAGAAACTTCCCACAAGCAGAAAGTTCTGGGACTCAAGACCTGCCATCTGGATTCTTTTGTCCCATGGGGTGCTCCCTTGATGTGGTGCAGTCCCCCTTTCTGCAGGAATAGGAGTCCCTGAGGGCCAGATTACTGTGAATGATGCTGCTCCTCTTAGTTTAGCCACCCAGTGGGGCTGTCACACTCCAAGCTGGTGCTAGGGAATGTCTGCAAGGGTTCCAGTGATGTGAACTGTCCTCAAGTCTCTGAGCAGCAGGTACCAGCACTAGCTCTGATGCAGGTGGCAGGGGAGTGACATAGACTCTGTGAGATCCTTTGGGTATACATAGCCTTAGTGTGTTGGCTTTCTCAAATGTTGGCTGTAGTAGTAATGAACTGGTCATGTGGACAGACCAGGACCTTCTCATTAGCTAGGGTGATGCAGGCAATGGTGAAAGCTGAGGTCATGCACAAGTTTTCTCTGGCCTGGGCGCTGTGTCATTTTAACTGCAGATGGTGTAATGGACTGTGTTGGTTGGCTTCTAGTAGGTGGTGGCACTTGCAAAAGAGTGCCAGCTGTGGTGGTAGCAGTGGATTTTTTGTTGTTGTTGTTTCCATGAGCAAATATACAGATTTATTTTTTATTTATTTTTAAATTTTAAATTTTTATTTTAATAGATTTTAAGGGAACAGGTGGTGTTTTGTTACATGGATATGTTCTTTAGTGGTGATATCTGAGATTTTGGTGCATCCATCACCCAAGCAGTATACACTACTACACTGAATGTGTATTCTTATTTCTCATCCCACTTCCACCCTTTCCTTGGAGTTCCCAAAGTCCACTATATCACTCTTAGGCCTTTGCATCCTCATAGCTTTGCTCCCACTTATGAGTGAGAACGTACGATGTTTGCTTTTTTATTCCTGAGTTACTTAACTTAGAATAATGATCTCCAGCTAGGTGCAGTGGCTCATGCTTGTAATCCTAGCACTTTGGGAGGCTGAGATGGGCAGATCACCTGAGGTCAGGAGTTTGAGACCAGCCTGGCCAACATGGTGAAACCCCGTCTCTACTAAAAATACAACATTAGCTGGGTGTGTTGGCGTGGGCCTGTAATCCCAGCTACTTGGGAGGCTGAGGGAAAAGAATTGCTTGAACCTGGGAGGCAGAAGTTGCAGTGAGCTGAGATCACACCATTGTAGTCCAGCCTGGGCAAAAAAGAGCAAAACTCCGTCACACACACACACATACACACACACACACGCAAGAATAATAATCTTCAATTCCATCCATGTTGCTGTGAATGTCATTATTCCGTTCCTTTTTATGGCTGAGCAGTATTCCATGATATAAATATATATATATATATATATATATATATATATATATATATATATATATATATACGTATATATACACACACACACACACCACATTTTCTTTATCCACTCATTGATTAATGGGCGTTGGGGCTGTTACATATTTTTGCAATTGTGAGTTGTGCTGCCATAAACATGTGTGTGCATGTATCTTTTTCATATAATGACTTCTTTTTCTTTGGGTAGATAGCCAGTAATGGGATTGCTAGATCAAATGGTAGATCTACTTTTAGTTCTTTAAGGAATCTCCACACTGTTTTCCATAGTGGTTTTACTAGTTTACATTCCCACCAGCAGTGTAAAATTGCTCCTTTTTCACCACATCCATGCCAACATCTATTATTGGCACATAGCCACTGGTCTATGTGCCTATTTTTATACCAGTACCGTGCTGTTTTGGTGACTATGGCCTTATAGTATAGTCTGAAGCTGGGTAATTTGATGCCTCAAGAACAATATGATTTATTCTTTTCGCTTAGCCTTGCTTTGGCTATGTAGGCTCTTTTTTGGTCCCATATAAATTTTAGGATTTTTTTTTCTAGTTTTGTGAAGAATGATGATAGTATTTTTCTTTGCTTTATGTTACCCAGGGGAGGTACTCAGACAATGGATTGGGACATAGAGCTCCCCAAAAGTTCCATCATTTGTGTTAAGCTACTAGGACACATGGAGGGGCAAAGCCAAGTCGTGGGCGCTGGGTCAGGCAAGTATGTGTTCTGGCTCTCCACGTGTGGGCACAAGCAGTGGCTCCAGAGGGGATTGTAGGGCAGTTCTCTAGCTGCTGGGGTAATGTTCCAGGGAGGAGCACAACTGCCTCTGTTGTACAGAAGAGTCTTCATGGGGAGTGGGGAGTAGCAGGTGACAGTAAGCCCTACTTAGCTCCTATGCACTTGGCAAGGCTGTTTTCACACTTGCAGTGTTCCACTAGCAGCAGCTAGCTAGTTTCCAGGCAGTCTGCATCAGGACTCAAAACTTCCCCAGGCCATAAGCTTTCTCCATGGAGACAGAAACCACTGTGCCCAGGCCATGCCCCTCCCAGCCTGCCCTAGAAGCAGGGGCACACTGCTTCTGTGCTTGTGGCTTCAGCCCACTTCCCACTCACCCCTCAGTTCTGGCCAAGGGAGTTCATCCGTACTTGAGATTATATTGTGAATCTTAACTGGGGGCTTCTCCCAACCTGTTGTGTCCGGAATTGGTGGGTTCTTGGTCTCACTGACTTCAAGAATGAAGCCGCGGACCCTCACAGTGAGTGTTACAGCTCTTAAGGTGGTGTGTCTGGAGTTTTTTCCTTCTGATGTTCGGAGTTTCTTCCTTCTGGTGGGTTCGTGGTCTCACTGGCTCAGGAGTGAAGCTGCAGACCTTCGCGGTGAGTGTTACAGCTCTTAAGGCAGCGCGTCTGGAGTTGTTCGTTCCCCCCAGTGGGCTTGTGGTCTCGCTGGCTTCAGGAGTGAAGCTGCAGACCTTCGTGGTGAGTGTTACAGCTCATAAAAGCAGTGTGGACCCAAAGAGTGAGCAGTGGCAAGATTTATTGCAAAGAGCGAAAGAACAAAGCTTCCACAGCGTGGAAGGGGACCCAAGTGGGTTGCCACTGCTGGCTCGGGCAGCCTGCTTTTATTCTCTTATCTGGCCCCACCCACATCCTGCTGATTGGTAGAGCCGAGTGGTCTGTTTTGACAGGGCGCTGATTGGTGCGTTTACAATCCCTGAGCTAGACACAAAGGTTCTCCATGTCCCCACTAGATTAACTAGATACAGAGTGTCAATACAAAGGTTCTCCAAGGCCCCACCAGAGTAGCTAGATACAGAGTGTCAATTGGTGCATTCACAAACCCTGAGCTAGACACGGGTGCTGATTGGTGTGTTTACAAACCTTGAGCTAGATACAGAGTGCCGATTGCTGTATTTACAATCCCTGAGCTAGACATAAAGGTTCTCCATGTCCCCACCAGACTCAGAAGCCCAGCTGGCTTCACCCAGTAGATCCCGCACCGGGGCTGCAGGTGGAGCTGCCTGCCAGTCCTGTGCTGTGCGCTCGCACTCCTCAGCCCTTGGGTGGTCGATAGGACTGGGTGCCGTGGAGCAAGGGGTGGCACTCATTGGGGAGGCTCAGGCCACACAGGAGCCCATGGAGGGGGTGGGAGGCTCAGGCATGGCGGGCTGCAGGTCCCGAGCCCTGCCCCGCAGGAAGGCAGCTAAGGCTTGGTGAGAAATCGAGCGCAGCGCTGGTGGGCTGGCACTTTTGGGGGACCAAGTACACCCTCCGCAGCCACTGGCCTGGGTGCTAAGTTCCTCATTGCCCAGGGCTGGCAGGGCTGGCCGGCTGCTCCAAGTGCGGGCCCGCCAAGCCCACGCCCACCCGGAACTCCAGCTGTTCCGCAAGCACCGCACGCAGTCCCGGTTGCCACTCGCGCCTCTCCCTCCACACCTCCCTGCAAGCTGAGGGAGTGGGCTCTGGCCTTGGCCAGCCCAGAAAGGGGCTCCCACAGTGCAGCGGTGGGCTGAAGGGCTCCTCAAGTGCCGCCAAAGTGGGAGCCCAGGCAGAGGAGGCACTGAGAGCGAGTGAGGGCTGTGAAGACTGCCAACATGCTGTCACCTCTCACTGTGACCACTGCCTGTGTCAGCTGGCAGACTTCTGTGAGGTCCCTCCCCTGTGAGGTAGGATCAGGAATGGCTTCCCTCTATCTCTCCTGGAGACTGGGAATGCACACAAAGCATGTCTCAATGTTACTCTTTCTCATATACTCCCTACTGCTCCCTATAACAGCTCCAGTGCTGTATAGGGTTAAGGCCTTCCCCTGTGCTTGGGTTGCCAGGTTCCCCAGTAGGAGTGTATATCCTGGAGGTAGTTTATCCCTCTCTCACATTCAGGGGACTTACGGTTTTCTGCCTGGCTCATGGTGTAGGCTGAAGCCTGCCACTTCATTCAAAGGGTCTGTGGTTTCTTTTAGTTTTCCTGTTAAGTTCCTGTATTGCTTCTTGGAGAAAAGTTCACAGTGTGAATCTCTGTGCACTATTTTGTCTTTCCAAATGGAAGAAGCATGCCACCAATAACTCCAATCTGCCATCTTGGAAAAAAATGTACATATATCAAGACGATATTTTCATTTCATTCTTTGAACATATTTTCTCTTAATTCCTTGAACATATTTAAAATAGCTGTCTGAAAGTCTTCTGTAAATCCAACACTTGCGGCATCTTGGGATTGGTTTCTATTGATTACTTTTTTAAAAAAAACTGTGGATCACGTGTTCCTTTTTTCTTTGTGGATCTAGTCATTTTTTTATTGTATGAGGGACATTGTAGACAATATATTGCAGACACTCAAATCTGTTATTTTTCTCTGAAGAGTTTCATGTGTGTGTGTTTTGTTTGTTTAGAAGGCAGTAGAATTATTGGCTGATCACATTGAACTTAGATAGGCATGGTTTTATGCTTTGCTGGAATGGTTCTGTGGAAAGCTCTAGGTGCTGCCTAAGCCCCTATAAATTACTAGGACTTAACTTACAAATTACTTCCTCTGAAGATCTTGTCAAGACTTAGTTCTAGGCTTTTCTTGGACTAGTTTAGTCTGTATTCATAGGGCAGTGTTTCTCTATCTTTTTTTTCATTACTATAAAAGAGATTTTTAAGACATTTTTTTCCCAGTTTTGCTCCCCCCTCCTCCATGAAGTTTTAATACCACAGATATAACTCTATATCTGTTTATGTACTGTGGTTCTTTGAAGAGGTACAAAGCATTGTAATATCTAAGATTCTTTTTGCTCCCCGCCTCCCTGCCAAGAACTAATTTTCATCCGTTGGGGATGATATTCCCCTTGTTGCGAATGCATTTTCTATGGTGTGGTCCTAAGGTAAAGCCTTTCTGATATCTCTGCTGGATGCTCCAAAGATTAATAAGGTGTTCATGGGTTTTTTTTTTTTCTTCCCTGGCTGTGCCAGAATGCCAGTATCTTCCAACAATGCTCAAAATCTCATACATCTTTTATGTTTTTAATCCTATAGCAGCCACTCTATAAGCTTTGGGTAGTGCTGTCCTGCCCACGTACAGCCCATCTCTCAGCAATGTACTTGCAGGGGGCTCCTACACGGACTTTGAGGACCCCATGTTGCATGGTTTCTTCCTCTCTGGTGCCCTGCCCTGCATGTTTTAACTTTTAGCACTTTGAATTCTGCCTTCTTATCTCAGTAAGACTGCTGTCCTCTGCTTGGACTCTAGCTCACTTTACTGTGGTTGGGAGTTGTCCTGGCACAAAGAGATGGGAAATTGGGATTACTTTGTGAGTTTTTATTCTCTCAGAGATTGCAGTCTTACACTGCCCCCTTCCCAATGCCTGAAAATAGTTGCCTGTTTTGCCCAGTTTTATGGTTCTGTGGTCATTTATGGAGGGACAGTACACCTATACCAATAACTACAGTTTCTCTGACTTCTTTTGGAAGCAGAAGTCCTCCTTCTACTACTTTCAATTCTCATCTGCACCTAGTACAGGTGATAAGCATTCTATCAGAATTAGGACAATAATTTTCTAACAGGTCTTCTGATCTCCTTACTTTCAGCCTCCATACTACCTCCAGAGTGAACTTTTTGAAACACAAAAACACAAATCTCCTGTCATTCTCCTGTTTGGAACCCTTATTAGGCACTCCTTTATCCTTAGGATAAAGTTCAGTCCTTTAAAGTAGCTCACAGGTCCCCCTCTATGATCTTTCTTCCAGCTCTCTCTCCAGCCTTGGCTTTCACTCTCGACCTTGAACCTTTGTGCATGTCATACTACTTTTTTCAGTTTGTCATATGTGCAGTGGTTTTACTTGCCTCCTTGCCTTTGCACATTTATTTTTCTTTTTCCGGAATTCCTACTCTGTCTCCCCACTTTACTTGGCTAACTCTTGCTAATCCTTTAGGTTGCAGCACAGATTTAACTTCTTCTGGTAGTCCTATACCAGGATAGAGGCCCTGTTTTATGTTTCATACACTACCCTGGTGTCATTATTAACAGTTCTTTTTTTCTTTTCCTTACTTCCACAAGAAATAAGCTCTATAAAGGCAGGGATTTTATTTGTCTTGTCCAGTGCTATATCCATAGTGCTTAGTACAATGCATGGTTCACAAGTAGGTATTCCATTAATATTTATTTATTGAATGAATAAATAGAGATAGTGTTTATTCCCTTTTTCATATGATTGCTCTTTAAATATATAGGATAACTCTTGTGGGTTCCTTATGTCTTTACTTTTTGAGGCTACATATTCAGAGATCATAAAGGAAAGGTTTAAATATCTATAGCAGGAGTTGGCAAACTATGGCCCTGGGACCAGATCTGGCCTGCTCTCTGCTTTTGTAAATAAGGTTTTATTGAAATATAACCATACCAGTTTTTTTTTTCACATATTATCTATCTATGGCTGCTTTTGAACTACCATGGCAGAATTGCGTAGTTAGGATAGAGACATATGACCTAAAATATTTACTTTCTAGTCCTTTACAGAGAAAGTTTGCTGACCACTGGTCTACATGAAGTTTCCTATGCATCCTCAATTTATTTAAATGAAGAAGCATAGGAAAGTATGCTAGAGTATATGTTGTAAGTGATATACTAGGCTAGTCTGAGGTCAGCAACTAACCTTAAAATCTTAGTGGCTTAACACAACACAGATTTATTTCTCTCTCATGCAAATTTCTTTGATGCTTGGACAATTTTCCAGTGTACTCCTCTCCGTATAGTGACTTAGAGATCCAGGCAGCTTCCATTTTGTGTTCCATCAAATCATCTATTTTCTTGATTTCCCTGGCGCAGGAAGAGGAAGCTAGAGGGCCTGCAATTCTTGGGACTGAAAGTGACACATAGAGCTTCTTCTCATAGCTCATTGGCCAGAAGTAGTCATATGGCCCTGCTTAGTGAAAGTTGGTTGGAAAGTAAGGAAAGACATATAAATATTTAATGAGCGATGAGCATCTCTGCCATAGAAAGATTGCCTTAAAATGATTAAATGCTTGTTTTTTGGGGAAAGTTTTCAACTTAACATTTTCAGCTTCAGTTATCTTGAACATGCAATCCTTCCAAGTAACACATTATAATTATGTTTTTATTTTACAGATACCATACCCCGAATAGTAAAATATTATCAAAAGTAAATAGGACAAGGATTTTTTTCTTAAAAAATTGGGTCTACTGGTTTTTAAAAATTGGATTTTATTTAAAAAAATTCACTGACATAATTTTCTAAGAATATATCAATTAAGCAAATTAAATAAAATACAGTAATGGTTGAAATGGCCTGAAGGATCTCCCTGACACAAGGGGATCCTTTTATAAACACTTACATGGAGACTGAAAATTTATCCTGCTAATGGAGTATTGTTATTTAGAGTGGTGGTTTTTCACTACTCCCTCCACCCCTTTGGTTTGTTTTATGTGATAGAACCCTCTTAGGAGAGAGCCCAATTTATAAAACATACAAAAAGGAGCTATTGTGTCTGAAGAAGGCTTGCGTTGGATTCTGTCTACTCAATCTCTCTTTTATTACCCCCATCTCTCCCTCCCTAAATGAGTACCTTTTTAGTATCCTTGAGGACTGAAAAACACTGCTTTAAGCATCTATAGGACATAATTTCGAGCTGTAGAACCACAGATTTTAGAACTCAAAGGGAATTTAGAGACCATGTACTCTAATTTTACTATGATTTAGTAGATGTTGGTTAGCAACTGTGGAGCTGCAGGACAACAACCAACTTGTGTGCCTGATTTTCTAAAAAACTAGGGGCATCTCAAACAAAACTAACTCTAAAGTGATTATTTATTCCCAAGAGACCTCTTATATTAGGGGAAGACTACCAATTTACATCAAACTAGATTCCGAAGGGCATTTTCAGGATCTGTACTTTTCATTTTAATATAATATAATTTTTAATATATAAGTACCCAAGAACCTACCCTAAACAAAATCTGGGATCTTGACAGTAATCTGTCTTTATACCTCACCAACCTATCTCTCTGCCTACCCCTATTTGAACTAATCATCATTCTGGACCCTATGTTTCTATTTGCTTGCTTTTCTTTTTATATAGTTTTATTGCATCTGTATGCATTCTCTCTCTCTCTCTCCCTGCCCCCTTGCTGTTTTTAACTAAAAAATAGGGGATTGTGTTGTTTATAATCTTTTGAAGTACATTTTTAAAATTCAGTATTATACTGCTCAGAATCATCCATATTGTTGCATATTATAGTCATTCATACCTTTTGACTGCTCTGTAATATTCAATGTGTGAATATAACAGCTTGCTATGGCTTGAATATTTGTTCTTTCCAAAACTCATATTGAAATTTAATCCCCAATGTGGTGGTATTTAGAGGTGGGGCCTTTAGGAGGTGATTTGCAGTAGTATTTCTGTGCATAACATTCAAGCTGAGAGCCAAGTCAAGAATGCAGTCCCATTTAGAGTAGACACACACACACACACACACACACACACACACACACCCCTAGGAATACATCTAACAAAGGAGGTGAAAGATCTCTATAAGGAGAACCACAAAACACTGCTGAAAGAAATCATAGATAACATAAGCATATGAAAAAGCATTCCATGCTCATGAATTGGAAGAATCAATATCTTTAAAATGTCCACACTGGCCCCAAGAAACTTATGGATTCAACATTATTCCTATCAAACTACCAGTGTCATTTCTCACAGAATTAGATAAAAACAATTCTAAAATTCATATGGAACCAGAAAGGAGCCTGAATAAACAAAGCAATCTTAAGTAAAAAGAATGAAGCTAGAGGCATCACATTATCCAACTTGTTTATACTATAAGGTAGTGGTACAAAAACAGACACATACACCAATGAAACAGAATAGAGATCCCAGAAATAAAGCTGCACAACTACAACCATCTGATCTTTGAGAAAGTCAACAGAAATAAACAACGGGGAAAGAACTTCCTATTCGATAAGTGGTGCTGAGATAACTGGTTAGCCATATGCAGAGAATGAAACTGGATCCCTGCCTTTCACCACATACAAAAATTAACCAAAAATGGATTAAAGACTTAAATATAAGGCCTCAAACTGTAAAAGTCTTAGAAGAAAACCTAGGATGTACCATTCTGGACATTGGCTTTGGCAAATAATTTTTGGCTAAGTCCTCAAAAACAATTGCAACAAAAACAAAAATTGACAAGTGGTACCTAGTTAAACTAAAGAGCTTCTGCATAGCCAAAGAAACTATCAACAGATTAAATAGACAACCTACAGAAAGGGAGAAAGTATTCATAAACTATGTATCCAACAAAAGTCTAATATCCAGACTCTATAAGGAACTTAAGCAATTCAACAAACCAAAAACTAATAACCTCATTAAAACGTGGGCAAAGGACGTGAACAGACACTTATCAAAAGAAGACAGACAAGTAGCCAATAAACATATGAAAGAAATGCTCAACATCATTAATCATCAGAGAAATGCAAATCAAAAGCACGATGAAATACCATCTCACACTAGTCAGAATTGCCATTATTAAAAGACAAAAAATAACAGATGCTGGTGAGGCTGAGGAGAAAAGGGAATGCTTATATGCTGGTGGTGGAAATGTAAATTGGTTCAGCCACTGTGGAAAGCAGTTTGGAAATTTCCCAAGAAACTTAAAACAGAACTGCCATTCAACCCAGCAATCCCATTATTTGGTATATACCCAAAAGAAAATAAATCATTTTACCAAAAAAGACACATGCACTCATATGTTTACCATAGCACTATTCACAATAGCAAAGACATGGAATCAACCTAGGTGCCCATCATTGGTGGATTGTATAAAGAAAATGTGGTACATAAACATCATGGAATACTACACAGCCATAAAAAATAAATAATGAAATTGTGTTATTTGGAGCAACATGGATGCAGCTGGAGGCCATTATCCTAAGTGAATTGACACAGGAACAGAAAACCAAATACCACATGTTCTCACTTATAAGTAGGAACTAACCATTTGGTACACATGGACATAAAGATGGGAAAAATAGACACTGGGGACTAGTAAAGTGGGTAGAGAGGCAGGGGGTCAAGGGGTGAAAAATTACCTGTTGGGTACTCTGCTCACTACCTGGATAATGGGATCATTCGTACCCCAAACCCATGTAACAAACCCACACATATGCCCTCTGAATCTAAAATAAAAGAAGAAATTATAGAAAAAGAAGTGATTGGGTCATGAGGGTTCTGTGCTCATTATGGATTAATTCATTCATGAATTAATGGATTAATGGTATAACAGATTGATTGCTTATCATGCATATTAGTCTATTCTTGCATTGCTATAAAGAAATAACTGAAACTGGGTAATTTATAAAGAAAAGAGGTTTAATTTGCTCATGGTTCTGAAGGCTCTACAGGAGGCATGATGCTAATATCTGCTTGGCTTCTGAGGAGGCCTCAGGAAACATACAATCATAGTGGAAGGCAAACAGCGAGCAGGCATCTTACATGGCAGGAACAGGAGCAAGAGGGCGAGGGGTAGGTGCTACACACTCTTAAATGACCCATGAGAACTCACTCACTATCTTAAGGACAGTGCCAAGAGGGATAGTGCTAAACCATTCACGAGAAATCCACCTCCATAATCCAATCACCTCCCACCAGGCCCCACCTCCAACAATAGCGATTACAACTGAACATGAGATTGGGTGTGGACATAGATCCAAACCACATCATCATGGGAGTGGGACTGGTGGCTTTTTGAGAAGAGAAAGGGAGACCTGAGCAAACACTTTTGACCTCCTTACCAAGTGATGCCCTTTGCTGCCTTGGGACTATGCAGAGAGTCCACACCAGATGTGACCTCTTGACTTTGGACTTCTCAGCCTCCAGAACTATAAGAAATACATTTATTTTCTTTATAAATTACCCAGTTTCAGGTTTTCTGTTATAAGCATCAGCAAATGGACTAGTACATAGTTTATTCATCCTCTTTTCTGTTGATGGGAAATTGGGTTATTTCTAGGTTATTGCTGTTGAGTACAGTGATGGCTATGAACATTCTTGTGCATATCTCTTTTTGTACATGTGCAAGAGGTTCTTTTGGGTATACACTTAGTGACTAAATTACTGGGTCATAGAGTATGTGAGTTTTCCACTTTAGGGAGTAATACCAAATCATTTTCTAGCCCTTTAGCCAATATATAATGGAAGCAACAGCATTTTTTTTCTTTTCTTATGAAAGAGCAAGCAGCTATTTAGTCCTGTCCCTACAGTTCCCATTTCGTTTTCACTGGGACCTGCATTAAAACACATCTGAGGGTGTCTCACTTTGAAAACAGGTGTGTTCAATCATCTACTTTCACCTTAGGTCATCCTCAGTCTAGTTAGCAGTCCTTGCTCCTGACATAAGGTATAAAAACACTCTCAGGACCACTTCAGGTTTTATCTCATCTCACTGCTATGTTCTGTGGCAGTACCACCTTGATTTTCCTAGCTGCTTTAGTCCTTATGGTTCTTTTACATCTCACCTAGCTTTCTGGCTTTAAAATCCCTAGCTTGCACCTACATGTTGAGGAAAGATAACTCTTAGGCCTCCCTGACTTCCAGATTCCGGATTTTTTTTCTCACCTTTGACAGCTGAGAGCTCCTTAAACGATGGGTGACACATTCAAATGCTTATATAGGCCAGGGTGGGAGCACTAATGAGTGACTCAGGATTCCAGGATTAATATAACACTATCAGGAGCAGTGGGACTGTGGTGGCCTGATGATGGGGGTAGCTTCTCCTTATGGGGTTGCTCCCAGGACTTCTGATTTTTCCAGAGAAAAATAGTTATCTAGATTTTTAACTGAAATCTCTTGACCTTTGAGTGTCAACAATAGATTTAATATTTAGAAACACTATGCAGGCCAAATGAAATATTTCTGACCTGGATTCAACCCATAGGTCGCCCGTTGGTGAACTTTGCCTCAAACTTTGGCTTATCTGCCTTTTGCTTTGGCCATTGCCTCACCTGCCTGTTCCTGCCAAGGTGTGCCCCTCTCTCTGGAGGAGACCTCATTGTGACATCTCTCAGGTTTACCTTGACTTCCAAGTGACCTGATACTGACAGCAGGCAGGGCAATGTCTGATTACTTACCCTTTCCTTTCTCTCACTGCTTGCCTTAAATGCTTCTATCAAATTCTGGTTCTTGGAGGCCTGACTTGTTTTGATAATTTTTAGAAGAGAAATGTTATATGGAATGATATTTTTTTAACTTGAAAAAAGTATGACAAGAGGCCAGGATTTTATTATTTAATGGCTCTCAAACTTATTTGCAGTTTTAGGGCTTCTCTGCTTGATCTTGCTCTGGTGTTGATCAGGTGGCCCTGACTTCACTGGATGCTGGATTTGTCCCTACTCTTGTCCTAATGGATTGGTGAACTAAAACAGCAGTTTTTTGATTTAGGAAAATAAGGTCTTTGACTTTCCCCCGTCTTAGAAACGGTCACAATATTTTGATTTGAGATTCTAGGCTTTTGAGCATTTGAGAATATCCTTCTCAAAACAGAAAACCTTTGCTTTCTTTGCAATTATTTGGCACATTCTAAGGGTGGATATGGTCAGTATCCAGTTGGGAAATAAAGAAAGTGCTTCATAAATCACACAACTTTTTCTGTTGCTGAGTCAGTATCAGACACAGATATTTTCTGAGTCAAGCCTGCTGTTCTGTCAGGTGGGAGATTATGGGTAAGGTCTGAGATTGAGTGGAGTTCGTTAGAGCAAGATGCTAATGAGCACAGGGTCATGGGTTTGATCCCCATACAAGTCGATTAGCTTAAACCATAAAGGGACTCCTGGCTCATCCATCCTGGCAAATATGTGGTCACAGGCCTAAGGAAGACTAGGTTAGAGAGTGAGAAAAATCCTTCATCATCAAGAGGAAAAAAAACAAACAAACCTCAAAGCCCATGTCCTATTGGATGTAGTAAGTGATATCATCTGTGGTTGTAGTCAGTGCCTATATTACTTATATGTAGGGAGAAGATTTGCATCCCATTAAATCTCCCAAAATATGTAATATAGCATGCATGAGGTTAAATAACCAATGGGAACTATAGTGACATCCAAAAACTCTCGCAAGAGAAGTCTTATAGCTAACTGAGATGGGGTGGAACCTCCATGGCCATGGTGGAACTCTGTGACTGTGCTGAAGACCTCTTGTGCAATTAATTCCTTGTTGGGCATGAAGCCATGCACATATACCCTAAGACAATGCTGTCTTCTCCTGGAGGATGGATAAAAGGGCAGAGAGGATTGTGTGAGGGCCTAGGATTGTAGCCACTTGTCCTATGGCTGTCTTATTCACTCTGTATATTTGCACACCCTGGTTTCACATTATCTGAGTGTTTTCCTATGGAAAGAGGTTTTCCTATCTTCATTATAAGAAGGACAGTATTTTCTAGCCATACCCATTTTTCAAGGATGATCTATTTAAAAATTATTTTTCCCAATGAAAAATTTCAAATGAAGTAATCAGAATAGAATAATGAATGTCCATATACACATCATCTGGATTTAACAATTGTCAACATTTTGCCATATTTGCTTCATTATTTTGTGTTTTTTTGCTAGTGTTATCTCACCTTTACATATTTTTCTTAAAAATGACAATTTTCTGCATAACTGTAATACTATTATCACTCCCATTAAAATTAACTATATAATTTCTTAATGTCCTGTAGTACTGCAAATTCAAATTGCTCAATTGTCCCCAAATTGTCTTTTGCAGCCAGTTTGTTCAGTCAGGATCTAATCAAGGATAGTGAATTTCTTATGTGTGTGTGTTTGTGTGTGTGTGTATGGGCATGTGACATGGAGCTGTGGAAGAGACAAGCCAGTTGGTCTGTACAATGTCTCATCTTTTGGATTTGTCTGAGTTTTCAGGATGAGTTTTGAAGATTTGTATTTAGTGTTGAAAATGGGCTTGGGTCTGGAGATTGGCAGTGGCCAGGACACCCTGTACAGGGAGGACCTTCGAAAATGAGGGAGGTAAACACAAAGGCAGTAGGAATGTTCCATATTTTTGTGTCTTGCTTCCCAGCAGGGCTGACAGACACAAACTCATGTGAACACACAGGGACATAGACCTTTATAAAAGAACTGGGTAATGTTTTTCTCTTTGCCAGGCCATAGATAGCACAGAACTTGAGGATATGATAATCCTATTGGCTGTATATTTTGAATAGTGTATCCTGAATAAACAAGATAAAACCAAGAGGCAGAAAAATGAATAGAAATTAAAGCTATGAGAAAGTCATAGAAAATTCTTAGTGGTCTGACATTTTGAGTTTGTTCTTCTTTGGTTAAGTTCACTCATCTCTCTTGGGAGTAGAGAGAACCCATATTTGGGATAAACAACTGCAGAGGACCAAGAGTCTTGGGAGAAGCTGATGACAGGCATTCAGAGGTAAGACTTGGGAAGAAAATAGCCACAGAAGGAAAGTACAGGGAGGCAAACAGTGGGAGGGGCCAGCTCATCTCTTTTCTCCTTCCCCCCAAAGACTGCTGGTTGTCAGTGGGCCTATAAAATCTTTTATGATCTTAAAGGTATTTTGGAAGACTAAGTCAATCTTTAGCATTCTTAACCTGGAGCAGGGGTTCTGAAACTTGAACTGGCACATTGGCATCACCTGGGAACTCTAAAACACACTGATGTCTGGGTACCACCCTCAGAAATTCTGATAGAATTTGTCTCAGGTGTGGCCAGGGCAACGGGCTTTTTAAAAGACTTTCCAAGTAATTCTAATGAGTATCTAAGTTTGAGGACCACTGATCTAGATCAATTAACCATACATACATATATATATATATATATATATATATGCATTTTTTTTTAAAAAGATACATTTAACACCTCCCCCCACCCAATAAACCTTATGGAAACCCAATGCATAAAAAAGATTAAAGTGGAGGTGCTTTACATAAGGTGCTCTTGAAACCTGGCTGAGTAGGCACCATTTGCTACACCCACTCCCCGTTTCTTTCAAACCCTCTCATCTTCCTACAGCAGTGTCTTCAAAGAATTAGGGTCTGAAGAGTAGGACTATTTGAAAAATAACTGGTCCAGAGTTTAAAGGGTTTTAACCATCTACATCTAGAACTCTGGCTCTTTCAATTAACTTATTAACTGTATGACTTTGGACAACTATAAACTCTCTGAACCTCAGTTCTCTTATATCTTAATTAGAGATGATACCTATCTCACAGGTTGTAATGAAGACTAAAGTTGGATATATGCTAGTGTACTGTCAGTAGAGATTAGTTCCTTCAGTAGTTCAGGCTTTCCTCCAGGCTACTGCAAGCTTTCAGGTCTGTCCTGGGATGGGACTGATGGTTTGGTTTAATCTGGGAACTTCAGTTACCTTCATATTATACTCATATGGTAGGGTGTACACAGATTCCCTTTACTCATGAGGGGTCTAAAATTCCTGATTGACTTGCAGCATCATAGGAATAAATGGAGGTGGGATGGGGGTGGAGTTTGTTCACTGCTGAATGCTAAGGGAGAAGCCAGGAGCTTCCATGAAATGACTCAGGAAATGCTCTATAATTCAGATAAACTGTTAATCAATGGGGAGGGAACCAGGCAAAGTCCATTTTAAAATGAAAAAGGTATTAAGATCCATAATAGGCATAGTGGAAGGGCTGGGGGTGTTGAGGTGGGAAGGAGTTCTCTATGGACCAGAGGAGCAGGTTCATGACTGAGGGAGGAGTTATTGATTTTTTTTGTAAACAATAGATTTTTAAGCAGGAATGAAGAAACATGAACATATTCTTCCCTATTTTTTTGTTCCAATATGGTTAAACAAAACTCCCAGATAATATAGAAACCTTGCTTATTCCCCTTATGAATATTTTACCAGTATTGCTAAGAAGTGAAATTGATTGATATTAATTTAACTTCCTCCTCTTCCCACCCAGACATTAGTAAATAGTGAAATGGTTGTAAGTGTTCAGGGAGATGACAAAAGAGAAGTCTGAGGCTTGAGGAATTACGAAGTCAGATGATCTGTAATTGAATAATATTGAGTAGAATACACAAATCAAAAGTGGTGTAAAATCTATTACAGGAAAAACTCATTTGAGTCTGGCCCTGTCACAGTCATTGAACTAGTGATTCAAGTCTGAACATGGCCAGCAGTGGTATTTCCTGTTTATCTTTCACAAAGCTGGCAACAATTTCCACATTATGTTCTCTGCACATCTCCAACCTCTACGGAATGAAAAATGCATTTTAGTTTCCTCAGCATTCACAATGTAGAACCTTCCAGAGAAGCTTTCTTTTCTTTCTGGCATCTGGATAAATGGAGGAATAGCACGAAGCGGTAGGTGCTTAGGCCAATTAAGATGTTTGGTGGGCTCAGTGGGGATGACCCTTAGTCTTTAAAACATTTTTTTGTAATTATCTTATTCACATATTATTATCCAAAATACCATGACTGTGGTTTTGGTTGCTACTGCACTTTAATATAGTAGATGTATTTTTACTTTCTATTTTTCTTTTTTTTTCTTTAAAGATTTCCATTCTTAATAGATGAGAAAAAAAATTCCTAAGAAGTAAAATGTTAAAGATGCTTATTTGGGATCATAGGATCTCTTTTAGCAATTTGCAATCTGAAGCGGAGACCACACAATTTCTGGCCACATTGGGATACTGTCTATACTGCTGCCTCTTTCTCACATTATCTTCCTGCTATCTGACATACCTATGCTCACATCCAGGTACTGAACAGGGGCCCTACATGGCTCTGAGGTAATCAGAGTTCACTTGTCCACAACTTGCCATTGAAAGGCTATGCCCTTTAGAATTTCGTATTCTGAAGAAAATTTCTATTTTTTTTAAATGTTTCAATGTTAGTGAGTTGCCTGAGGAAAGAATGTGATAAAGGTAGTTCTAATCAAGGTATATGTGAGAGACTAATTAATGGTAGGACTCAATGTTTTATCCTGATATGAGTATACTCATTTCAAAAGGAGTCTCCTGTAAACTCCAGCTAAACAAACACAAAGGCATTTTCAGGATTTCAGGTATACATTTGATGGCTGGGGCAGAGTGGTGTATAGAGTTTTTCATGTAGACCCTCCTCAAATCTCAACACATGACTTCTATTTCAAATCTATTTTAAAGACCAGAACTATTTAAATTTTACCCTAACATGACTAAATTTACTTTCCTTTATACCTCCACATTGCCAGGACATTTAAAAGCCTCTTCCAATCCTACCAAAGATAAGACACTGATGACATCTCATCTCCTGCCTAACTTGTGACTATTCTCAGTATTGGTGAAGAGGTGAAATTTGTAGATGAGGGATTTTAATCCTTCACTTTGTATTTGATACATGACTTTATGTATTATGGTGCTGATTTTTCAGCACATCTTTATTTTCCCTTTTCCAGTTTTAACAATGAACTTTTCCAATCTATCGTTACTTAGTGAAGACGGTTAATAGTGAATACATGGTTCAGGTATTTCTTTTAACAGCCCTGCAAATAGAAATACAGTGTAAGTCCCATATATGATTATATATTTTCCTATAATCACATTAAGAAAAGAAACAGGTAAAGTAAAATTTTAATAATACATTTAATCCAATATGTCAGAAACATTATCATTTTAACATGTAATCGTGTAAATAATGAGGTATCTCATTTTTTTCCTGAAAAAAAATCTTTGAAATCTGGGATTTCTTTGAAATCTAGGAGGTATTTTACAATTACAGCCTATCTCAATTTGCAGGCCATATTGAAGTGCTCAATAGCTGAGTGTGGCTACCATATTCACAGCCTTAGAAAATTTTGAGTAAGATGAATATAAGCTGTGAACCCGTACTTAGTTTCAGTTAGACTATCTTCTTTATGAAAATGTTTAAATCTAAACTAATTTTTCTCCCCACATATGCTTCTCTGCTAGTGTTCTCCAATTCAGTAGTTGGCCCTGACATGCCTGTCATATGTGGTTTTAAAGGCAGAACATGGTAGACCTCTAAGAGGCATTAATTACAGTGCGCACAGCTGTATGTAGCAGTATGGGCTCAATAACACTACTTAGTTGTCCATGCCAGAAAAAGAGTTATTTGAGACACATCATCTTCCTCATTTCTACACTCCATCTTCCAAAATTGTCTTTCACTAAGTCCTTTCAGTTCCACCTCCAGAGTACATCTGGGACCGGATCACATTACTCCATCTCTACAATCTTCTCTTTAAGTAGGCTGCTACCTCCTAGATGGCTGCAATAGCCTCTAACAGGCTTCCCACATCCTCTTTGGATATTCTCCAGTCCATTCTCCATGTTGCAACCTGTTTTGTGAAAGGCAAATCTGAGCATGCCACACTCCCACTTAAAATCCTCTGACAGGCTGGGCGCGGTGGGTCACGCCTGTAATCCCAGCACTTTGGGAGGCCCAGGCGGACGGATCACAAGGTCAGGAGATCGAGACCATCCTGGCTAAAACGGTGAAACTCCATCTCTACTAAAAATACAAAAAATTAGCTGGGCGTGGTGGCAGGCGCATGGAGTCCCAGCTACTCGGGAGGCTGAGGCAGGGGAATGGCATGAAGCTGGGAGGCGGAGGTTGCAGTGAGCCGAGATCGCCCCACTGCACTCCAGCCTGGATGACAGAGCGAGACTCCATCTCAAAAATAAAATAAAATAAAATAAAATAAATAAAATAAAATAAAATAAAATAAAAAAATAAAATATCCTCTGACAACTTCCCAGGCTTTTATACTTGAGTCCAAAATCCTATGGTGACCTACAAGGTCTTTGTGATCTGGCTCTATTTATCTACTACTCCTTCCTTCTTTATTTTGCTATGCTACTCGCTCTTCCTGTGTGAGGATTTTCACATACTCTCTTACTTTTATCTGCAGTGCTTGTTTGCATGCTCTCTCTCTTTCTCTCTCTTTCTGTTTCTCTCTCTCTGCCTGGCTAACCTCTTTTTGCTGTTCTGCTTAAATGTGACTTTTTCAGGAACACCTTCTCTAACTTCCTTGACTTTTGGGCCCCATCCTGTATGTTTTTATATCAAACAGGACCACTATGTTTTTTTCAGGACACTTATCACAATTTTATCTATATGATTATTTGTGTAATTTTAGTATATTATCTGTCTCCACTGATGTAAGCTTCATACAAATAGAGAACCAAATCTCCCTTGTTTATTCCTTTTATGTCTGTAGTACTAGCCTAGGGCCTGGCATATATTAAGCCTTCAATAACTTCCAGCTGAATCTGCGAATGCATGTGCTCAGCCCATTGTCTGTAGCAGCTTGGTAGTTTTAAGAGGCTTCTCAAGCTTGCAGAAACCCTTGTGGGTATGACTAAGTGTTCCAGCTTCTGTTTCATTGTGAAGATTTTAGAAGTGTAGCCTTTAAGAGGCATACTACAATCCTTCCAAAAACAAAGAAAGTCTGAAAATAAATTTGGGAGAGGATGTGGAACAAAGTAATTTCTACACTAATAGGAAAAATGCAAATTGGTGTAACTTCTTTGGACTGTGTCCCCAAACAAAAGCTGGGTCATGTCAACTGGCTGTTATTCTGTCTTCTTGGTTATTGGGTGTTTCTTTGTGGGGGTATTCCTTCTAGTGGGTCATAACATATGCCATAAAAATCCACATTGTGGCCACTTCCATAGACCCATCTGCAGACAGGCCTTTACTCAGATCTTCTTGTCCCAGATCTTTCAATCTTTCTTCTTTCAGGTGCCTGCCCAATTAGCCAGGGTATTCTTCACTGTTTATTAATCCTTATATCTTCTAACAGCAAGTCACTTCTTGTCCACACAAAGAGGATGATTTAGTATACTGCCTTCGTCCATTGGGAAGATTTTCCCCTCTTCGCTGTCTTTCGAGGCCATCCCTAAGGGAGGGTTGTTATGCAACAGCAGTCCATTTTTGGGTCACACCGAGATACTGAGCTGATTCATTTATGAGCTAGTTTTCCCTCTTTCAGCTGGCCATTAGGGACTCAACACAGGGCTACAGGTATCGTTTGAAGAGAAATGGATGATATGGGTTTGACAGTCATGCAATTTGCTTGTGCCCCCTGGCCCTGCCTTTGTCCAATCCTGGAAGTATCATTTCCATCTTATGATGGAGTACTACCAGACCTGCCTAATCATATGAATTATTGCATTTGTTAGAACTCAGCTTAATGTGGTTATTTCTTATTGTAGGGTAACTTGAGGTTCTATGGTCAGATGCTCAGTCTCTACTAGGGCTCAGTAGTATTCCAAGAGCTGCTGTTTGAATGTTATATAGTTCCTGGCTGAAGATGGCATGCTTTGTTTTAGAATCCTGGGGAACTGCTTATGTTATGATTCTACTATTTCTTTCTATAAAATCCACATGGTGTCTTTTCAAACCACAGAAACCCCAAGAACCAAAAGTTTTGCCGTATCATATTGCATAAGTCATAGGGTCACTTTTATGACAACCTGAACCTGCTGGAGAGCCCTTTGGTGTTTTGAGCTCCACTCACAGCTGGTAAATGTGTATTGTTGCCTAACCTATGTAAATGGGTACTGCTTCTGATCTTCTTACTGATAGGGATGGAAAAGAATGCATTTGCCAGATAAATGGCTGCATACTACATGTCATATATTGTGTTAATCTGCTGTAATGAAGCTATCATATCTGGCCCAGCAATTGCAACTGTGGCTACTACTTGGTTATTATAGAATGTTGTAGATTTTATTTCTTTAATAATTAATGGACATTAGAGATTTTCTAAATCTTTAATTTCTAAATTAGAGATTTTCTGAATCTCTCTGAGCCCATATTGGTAGTTCATACTTTCCTAGGAATATGTCTATTTCACCTAAGGAATTTAGTAAATTTCTCTTATTACCTTTTTAATATCTGCTACATCTGTAGTTGTGTCCCTTTTTGATTCATAATATTATTTGTGCCCTCTTTCTGTATTTCTCATTCACTTTTGCCAGAGGTATGCCAATTTTATTAGTTTTTGCAAAGAACCAATATTTGGCTCTGTTGTTTCCTTCTAGTCTATCTTTGCTTTCTGTTTTATTAATTTCTTCCTCTTGTCTTTATCTTCTCAATTTTTATATTATTCCTATTTGCTCTTTTCTTAACTTTTCTAAGTTGAAGGTTGTATTAGTCAGGGTTCTCTTAGAGGGACAGAACTAATAAGATACACACACACACACACACACACACAAAAAAAAACTAATAGGATATATATATGTATATATACACATACAAAACTAATAGGATATATATATATATATATACACACACTCACACAGAACTAATAGGAGATATATATATATATGAGTTTATTAAGTATTAACTTACATGATTACAAGGTCCCACAATAGGCTGTCTGCAAGGGGAGGAGAAAGGAGACCCTGTCCAAGTCCCAAAACTGAAGAACTTGTAGTCCATTGTTTGAGGGCAGGAAGCATCCAGCTCGAGAAAAAGATGTAGGCTGGGAGACTAGGCATGTCTCACCTTTTTCACGTTTTTCTGCCTGCTTTATATTTGCTGGAAGCTCATTAGATAGTGCCCACCAGATTAAGGGTGGATCTGCCTTCCCCAGCCCACTGACTCAAATGTTAATCACTTTTGGCAACACCCACACAGACACACTCAGGATTAATACTTTGTATCCCTCAGTCCAATCAAGTTGACACTCATTATTAACCATCACAGAGGTTTAGCACATTAATTTTTCACCCTTTCTTGTTTCTTATTATAAGTATTTAAGGCTATAAATCTTCTTTTACTTTGGATTTAAAAATTATGTATATTTAAGTTGTAAATGGCTCTAAATCTGTCTCTATCTGCATCTCACAATTCTTGATTTGTAGTTCTTTTGTTATCTTTCAGTTGTATGTATTTTCTATTTTTTAGTATTTTCTAATTTTTATTCTTCTATAGCCCATGAGTAATTTAGAAGTATGTTTTTGAATTTTCTAATGTGTAATTTTGTTTGATAGTTCGTTTTGCTGCTGATTGTTAATTTAACTTTTTTGTCAGATATTGCAATGTATGAGATATAGATTCTCTGAAATTTGTCAATATCTATTTTATGGCCTGAAATGTGGTTAATTTTTATAAACCGTGTGTGCTTGAAAAGAATGTGTATTCTCAAGTTGTTGGATGCATTGTTTCATAGACACACATTAAATTAACCTTGTGCTGTTCAAATTTTTATATCATTATTGATTTGTTGCTGTTTGACATATCAGTTAGTGAGGAGGTATGTTAAAATCTTCCATTTATGTGGATTTGTCCATTTCTCTGTAGTCCAGATATTTTTTGCCTTATACTTTGAAATGTGTTATTAAGTGCATATATATGTAAATTGTTTTTTTTTCCAGGTAGTTATTCATTTTTATTTTTTATTTTTTTATTTTTTATTTATTTATTTTTATTATACTTTAAGTTTTAGGGTACATGTGCACAATGTGCAGGTTAGTTACATATGTATACATGTGCCATGCTGGTGCACTGCACCCACAAACTTGTCATCTAGCATTAGGTATATCTCCCAATGCTATCCCTCCCCACTCCCCCCAACCCACAACAGTCCCCAGAGTGTGATGTTCCCCTTCCTGTGTCCATGTGTTCTTATTGTTCAATTCCCACCTATGAGTGAGAATATGCAGTGTTTGGTTTTTTGTTCTTGTGATAGTTTACTGAGAATGATGATTTCCAATTTCATCCGTGTCCCTACAAAGGACATGAACTCACCATTTTTTATGGCTGCATAGTATTCCATGGTGTATATGTGCCACATTTTCTTAATCCAGTCTATCATTGTTGGACATTTGGGTTGGTTCCAAGTCTTTGCTATTGTGAATAATGCCGCAATAAACATAGGTGTGCATGTGTCTTTATAGCAGCATGATTTATAGTCCTTTGGGTATATACCCAGTAATGGGATGGCTGGGTCAAATGGTATTTCTAGTTCTAGATCCCTGAGGAATCGCCACACTGACTTCCACAATGGTTGAACTAGTCTACAGTCCCACCAACAGTGTAAAAGTGTTCCTATTTCTCCACATCCTCTCCAGCACCTGTTGTTTCCTGACTTTTTAATGATTGCCATTCTAACTGGTGTGAGATGGTATCTCATTGTGGTTTTGATTTGCATTTCTCTGATGGCCAGTGATGGTGAGCATTTTTTCATGTGTTTTTTGGCTGCATAAATGTCTTCCTTTGAGAAGTGTCTGTTCATGTCCTTTGCCCACTTTTTGATGGGGTTGTTTGTTTTTTTCTTGTAAATTTGTTTGAGTTCATTGTAGATTCTGGATATTAGCCCTTTGTCAGATGAGTAGGTTGTGAAAATTTTCTCCCATTTTGTAGGTTGCCTGTTCACTCTGATGGTAGTTTCTTTTGCTGTGCAGAAGCTCTTTAGTTTAATTAGATCCCATTTGTCAATTTTGGCTTTTGTTGCCATTGCTTTTGGTGTTTTAGACATGAAGTCCTTGCCCATGCCTATGTCCTGAATGGTAATGCCTAGGTTTTCTTCTAGGGTTTTTATGGTTTTAGGTCTAACGTTTAAGTCTTTAATCCATCTTGAATTGATTTTTGTATAAGGTGTAAGGAAGGGATCCAGTTTCAGCTTTCTACATATGGCTAGCCAGTTTTCCCAGCACCATGTATTAAATAGGGAATCCTTTCCCCATTGCTTGTTTTTCTCAGGTTTGTCAAAGATCAGATAGTTGTAGATATGTGGCATTATTTCTGAGGGCTCTGTTCTGTTCCATTGATCTATATCTCTGTTTTGGTACCAGTACCATGCTGTTTTGGTTACTGTAGCCTAGTAGTATAGTTTGAAGTCAGGTAGTGTGATGCCTCCAGCTTTGTTCTTTTGGCTCAGGATTGACTTGATGATGCGGGCTCTTTTTTGGTTCCATATGAACTTTAAAGTAGTTTTTTCCAATTCTGTGAAGAAAGTCATTGGTAGCTTCATGGGGATGGCATTGAATCTATAAATTACCTTGGGCAGTATGGCCATTTTCATGATATTGATTCTTCCTACCCATGAGCATGGAATGTTCTTCCATTTGTTTGTATCCTCTTTTATTTCCTTGAGCAGTGGTTTGTAGTTCTCCTTGAAGAGGTCCTTCACATCCCTTGTAAGTTGGATTCCTAGGTATTTTATTCTTTTTAAAGCAATTGTGAATGGGAGTTCACTCATGATTTGGCTCTCTGTTTGTCTGTTGTTGGTGTATAAGAATGCTTGTGATTTTTGTACCTTGATTTTTTATCCTGAGACTTTGCTGAAGTTGCTTATCAGCTTAAGGAGGTTTTGGGCTGAGAAGATGGGGTTTTCTAGATATACAATCATGTCATCTGCAAACAGGGACAATTTGACTTCCTCTTTTCCTAATTGAATACCCTTTATTTCCTTCTCCTGCCTAATTGCCCTGGCCAGAACTTCCAACACTATGTTGAATAGGAGTGGTGAGAGAGGGCATCCCTGTCTTATGCCAGTTTTCAAAGGGAATGCTTCCAGTTTTTGCCCATTCAGTATGATATTGGCTGTGGGTTTGTCATAGATAGCTCTTATTATTTTGAGATACGTCCCATCAATACCTAATTTATTGAGAGTTTTTAGCATGAAGGGTTGTTGAATTTTGTCAAAGGCCTTTTATGCATCTATTGAGATAATCATGTGGTTTTTGTCTTTGGTTCTGTTTATATGCTGGATTACATTTATAGATTTATGTATATTGAACCAGTCTTGCATCCCAGGGATGAAGCCCACTTGATCATGGTGGATAAGCTTTTTGAGGTGCTGCTGGATTCGGTTTGCTAGTATTTTATTGAGGATTTTTGCATCAATGTTCATCAAGGATATTGGTCTAAAATTCTCTTTTTTGGTTGTGTCTCTGCCCATCTTTGGTATCAGGATGATGTCAGGATGATGCTGGCCTCATAAAATGAGTTAGGAAGGATTCCCTCTTTTTCTATTGATTGGAATAGTTTCAGAAGGAATGGTACCAGTTCCTCCTTGTACCTCTGGTAGAATTCGGCTGTGAATCCATCTGGTCCTGGACTCTTTTTCGTTGGTAAGCTATTGATTATTGCCACAATTTCAGCTCCTGTTATTGGTCTATTCAGAGATTCAGCTTCTTCCTGGTTTAGTCTTGGGAAGGTGTATGTGTCAAGGAATTTATACATTTCTTCTAGATTTTCTAGTTTATTTGCATAGAGGTGTTTGTAGTATTCTCTGATGGTAGTTTGCATTTCTGTGGGATGGGTGGTGATATCCCCTTTAACATTTTTTATTGCGTCTGTTTGATTCTTCTCTCTTTTTTTCTTTATTAGTCTTGCTAGCGGTCTATCAATTTTGTTGATCCTTTCAAAAAACTAGCTCCCGGATTCGTTAATTTTTTGAAGGGTTTTTTGTGTCTCTATTTCCTTCAGTTCTGCTCTGATTTTAGTTATTTCTTGCCTTCTGCTAGCTTTTGAATGTGTTTGTTGTTGCTTTTCTAATTCTTTTAATTGTGATGTTAGGGTGTCAATTTTGGATCTTTCCTGCTTTCTCTTGTGGGCGTTTAGTGCTATAAATTTCCCTCTACACACTGCTTTGGATGCGTCCCAGAGATTCTGGTATGTTGTGTCTTTGTTCTCGTTGGTTTCAAACAACATCTTTATTTCTGCCTTCATTTCGTTATGTACCCAGTAGTCATTCAGGAGCAGGTTGTTCAGTTTTCATGTAGTTGAGCGGTTTTGAGTGAGATTCTTAATCCTGAGTTCTAGTTTGATTGCACTGTGGTCTGAGAGATAGTTTGTTATAATTTCTGTTCTTTTACATTTGCTGAGGAGAGCTTTACTTCCAACTATGTGGTCAATTTTGGAATAGGTGTGGTGTGGTGCTGAAAAAAATGTATATTCTGTTGATTTGGGGTGGAGAGTTCTGTAGATGTCTATTAGGTCCGCTTGGTGCAGAGCTGAGTTCAATTCCTGGGTATCCTTGTTGACTTTCTGTCTCATTGATCTGTCTAATGTTGACAGTGGGGTGTTAAAGTCTCCCATTATTAATGTGTGGGAGTCTAAGTCTCTTTGTAGGTCACTCAGGACTTGCTTTATGAATCTGGGTGCTCCTGTATTGGGTGCATATATATTTAGGATAGTTAGCTCTTCTTGTTGAATTGATCCCTTTACCATTAAGTAATGTCCTTCTTTGTCTCTTTTGATCTTTGTTGGTTTAAAGTCTGTTTTATTAGAGACTAGGATTGCAACCCCTGCCTTTTTTTGTTTTCCATTTGCTTGGTAGATCTTTCTCCATCCTTTTATTTTGAGCCTATGTGTGTCTCTGTCCATGAGATGGGTTTCCTGAATACAGCACACTGATGGGTCTTGACTCTTTATCCAATTTGCCAGTCTGTGTCTTTTAATTGGAGCATTTAGTGCATTTACATTTAAAGTTAATATTGTTATGTGTGAGTTTGATCCTGTCATTATGATGTTAGCTGGTTATTTTGCTCCTTAGTTGATGCAGTTTCTTCCTAGTCTCGATGGTCTTTACATTTTGGCATGATTTTGCAGTGGCTGGTACCGGTTGTTCCTTTCCATATTTAGCACTTCCTTCAGGAGCTCTTTTAGGGCAGGCCTGGTGGTGACAAAATCTCTCAGCATTTGCTTGTCTGTAAAGTATTTTATTTCTCCTTAACTTATGAAGCTTAGTTTGGCTGGATATGAAATTCTGGGTTGAAAATTCTTTTCTTTAAGAATGTTGAATATTGGCCCTCACTCTCTTCTGGCTTGTAGAGTTTCTGCCGAGAGATCTGCTGTTAGTCTGATGGGCTTCCCTTTGAGGGTAACCCGACCTTTCTCTCTGGCTGCCCTTAACATTTTTTCCTTCATTTCAACTTTGGTGAATTTGACAATTATGTGTCTTGGTGTTGCTCTTCTCGAGGAGTATCTTTGTGGTGTTCTCTGTATTTCCTGATTCTGAATGTTGGCCTGCCTTGCTAGATTGGGGAAGTTCTCCTGGATAATATCCTGCAGAGTGTTTTCCAACTTGGTTCCATTCTCCCGGTCACTTTCAGGCACACCAATCAGACGTAGATTTGGTCTTTTCACGTAGTCCCATATTTCTTGGAGGCTTTGCTCGTTTCTTTTTATTCTTTTTTCTCTAAACTTCCCTTCTCGCTTCATTTCATTCATTTCATCTTCCATCGTTGATACCCTTTCTTCCAGTTGATCGCATCGGCTCCTGAGGCTTCTGCATTCTTCACGTAGTTCTCGAGCCTTGGTTTTCAGCTCCATCAGCTCCTTTAAGCACTTCTCTGTATTGGTTATTCTAGTTATACATTCTTCTAAATTTTTTTCAAAGTTTTCAACTTCTTTGCCTTTGGTTTGAATGTCCTCCCATAGCTTGGAGTAATTTGATCATCTGAAGCCTTCTTCTCTCAGCTCGTCAAAGTCATTCTCCATCCAGCTTTGTTCCGTTGCTGGTGAGGAACTGCATTCCTTTGGAGGAGGAGAGGCACTCTGCTTTTTAGAGTTTCCAGTTTTTCTGTTCTGTTTTTTCCCCATCTTTGTGGTTTTATCTACTTTTGGTCTTTGATGATGGTGATGTACAGATGGGTTTTTGGTGTGGATGTCCTTTCTGTTTCTTAGTTTTCTTTCTAACGGACAGGACCCTCAGCTGCAGGTCTGTTGGAATACCCTGCCATGTGAGGTGTCAGTGTGCCCCTGCTGGGGGGTGCCTCCCAGTTAGGCTGCTCAGGGGTCAGGGGTCAGGGACCCACTTGCGGAGGCAGTCTGCCCATTCTCAGATCTCCAGCTGCGTGCTGGGAGAACCACTGCTCTCTTCAAAGCTGTCAGACAGGGACATTTAAGTCTGCAGAGGTTACTGCTGTCTTTTTGTTTGTCTGTGCCCTGCCCCCAGAGGTGGAGCCTACAGAGGCAGGCAGGCCTCCTTGAGCTGTGGTGGGCTCCACCCAGTTCGAGCTTCCTGGCTCCTTTGTTTACCCAAGCAAGCCTGGGCAATGGCGGGCGCCCCTCCCCCAGCCTCACTGCCACCTTGCAGTTTGATCTCAGACTGCTGTGCTAGCAATCAGCAAGACTCTGTGGGTGTAGGACCCTCTGAGCCAGGTGCGGGATATAATCTCCTGGTTCGCCGTTTTTTAAGCCAGTCGGAAAAGCGCAGTATTAGGGTGGGAGTGACCCGATTTTCCAGATGCCGTCTGTCACCACTTTCTTTGACTAGGAAAGGGAACTCCCTGACCCCTTGTGCTTCCCGAGTGAGGCAATGCCTCGCCCTGCTTCTGCTCTCGCACAGTGCGCGCACCCACTGACCTGTGCCCACTGTCTGGCACTCCCTAATGAGATGAACCCGGTACCTGAGATGGAAATGCAGAAATCACCTGTCTTCTGCGTCGGTCATGCTGGGAGCTGTAGACCGGAGGTGTTCCTATTCGGCCATCTTGGCTCCTCCTCCTAGTTATTCCATATGTAAATTGTTATATCTTCTTGATGAATTGAGATTTTTATGTAGTCATCTTTTTTTATCAATAATCCTTTTGCCTTGAAGTCTATTTTGTCTCATACTAATAAAACTGTACCAGTTTTTAAATTAGTGTTTTCTTGATTTTTCTATAAATTTGACATTAAATTTTTGTTTTATTTTAAATTTTTGTATGTTAAGCTTTAGATGGTGTCTCTTGCAATAACTTAGAGTTGTATTTTCTTTTTAATCCAGTCTGACAATATTTGTCTTTTAACCAGGTAATCTAGGCAGTTTACATTGATCATGATTAATATTATATTTGGATTCATTTCTATCATCTTATAATGGTTTGGACTGAAGTGTTGATCTGGATTGTTGCACATCCCTTGGTTGAAAGATGTTACAGCCACTGAATCACCCAATCACTGATCCACATCCTATTATTTTGAACTATCCCTATGGCCCCCAATAGCATAGTGACTTAGGGTTAAATGGCAGTGTAAAAGGATACAGGAGGCTGGGTGCAGTGGCTCACGCCTGTAATCCCAGCACTTTGGGAAGCCAACGTGGGTAGATCACAAGGTCAGGAGTTCGAGACTAGCCTGACCAACATGGTGAAATCCCGTCTCTACTAAAAATACAAAAATTAGCTGGGCATGGTGGCTCATGCCTGTAATCCCAGCTACTCAGGAGGCTGAGACAGGAGAATCACTTGAACCCAGGAGGTGGAGGTTGCCGTGAGCTGAGATCACACCATTGCACTCCAGCCTGGGCGACAGAGCAAGACTCCATCTCAAAAAAAAAAATGTATACGGGAACTGGAGATGGTAAGTGGGCTGAAGAGCAGTTTCAGGAAAGAAGTTCATCATCATCCTATATTTAAAGGACTATGATATGTGTATAAAAGAGGGATTAAAACATGAGCAGCAAATGACAGAACTAGAGCAAATGAGTGGAATAATACCTTATTCCTTGAGCAGCTGTTATGTGCCAGGAAAATTGCTAAATACTTTTCACATATAGCTTAATTCATACAACAAACCACTGAGGGAAGGGCTCATCATCCTTATTTCATAGGTGAGAAAAATGAGGCTCAGAGAGATTAAAGAAGATACTTGAAGTCAAACAACTAGTAACTGGCAGAATTGGGAATCATACTCAATTTTGTATGACTCTAAAACCCTTGTTCTTTTTACTGAATTACATCACAGAGAGGTGAACTGGTAAATACCAAATGAAGGAAGAATACTTTTTATAATTAAAATTCATAAAAAAGTAATGAACTATCATTTGAAATGGTAAGCATCCCATCACTGGGCATTTCTAAACAGAGGTAATGTGGTCATGTGTCAGGACTGTTATAGTGAGAGTTTTACTTTGAGTGGGAAGTTGTACTTTAGAACAGACGCTTGGATTAGATGGTCATTAATTATGGTCTATTTCAGTTTCCATGAGGTTATTGAAACTGTGCCAGAGCTTAACAAATGCATGATTTTCAAAACTCTCCCTACCTTCTGAAACTAGCCGCAATGTGAACTTGTCCTTTCTTCACTTAGCCTCCTTAACTCACTGCAGTGTTATGTGATGTGTACAGGTGGGGACTTTAATAAAACCCTATTTGATGATGACTTGATGAAAGTCTATTTGGCCTGTTTAGATAGGAGAAAAACAAGTCATGTGTATAAGTGCAGTGTAAGGTTCTTTAATTTGAAATACTGGAGCCAAGCAATGCAAAAGCTGAGAGACTCCATTTAATAGCATGTTAATATATTAAAACCCTTAATAATAAATTCATAGCACTTAAAATACAAATATTTCTACAATGTAATATTATTTTACAGATGGTATTTAGTAAATAGCCAGTATTTACTGGGAAGTGGGGAATTCATTGTCCTTTGTGCCTTGCTTTGTTGACACATTCTACCATGTGAAGGCCAAGAGCCCGTAAGAATAGAAAAACCTTTCTGTCAGCAGCAGCCTCATCAAGCTGGTCCCTCTGTAGACTCTGCTCTGTCCACTTATTTTCTTTATCCTTACTGCTAATCCATCAAGTAACCATTTCGCCTTCTTTTAAAGCCCAGCCACAAGCATTATTTCTTCCCGGAGCTTTCATTGACCTGTGCCTCTCCCTGCACTGTACCTCTCGAGGTATCCAGTAGTGGCAGTTGAAGTATATGAAGAAGGATTTTATACATTATTTACTTTTGTTCTGAGTAGTTCTTTTAAACCTTGTGAAAGCAATTTCACAAGTGTTTCCTATAGTATTGCTCTGATGTGGATAGGAAAGACCTCATTATAGCCTTTGGACATGAAGAAACTGAGACATCAGGAGGCTGAGAATTGCCAAATAGTGGTAGAGTTTTAGCATCTTTCAGCTCCACAGCTCTACTAGCCAAATGTGCGTTCCAAAATATTTCCCACAGGTTTCTGACTCTTGGATTTTAAGTAGTATGTTATGGCTGGTACCTGGGATTTGGTGTATTTAAAATTTGTTTGGGCCAGTCGCAGTGGCTCACGCCTGTAATCCCAGCACTTTGGGAGGCTGAGGCGGGTGGATCACCTGAGGTTGGGAGTTCGAGACCAGCCTGGCCAACATGTTGAAACGCTGTCTCTACTAAAAATACAAAAATTAGCCAGGCATGGTGGTGCACACCTGTAATTCCAGCTACTCTGGAGGCCAAGGCAGGAGAATCGCTTGAACCCAGGAGGTGGAGGTTGCAGTGAGCAGAGATCCTCTCACTGCACTCCAGCCTGGGTGACAGAGCGAATCTTTGTCTCAAAAAAAAAAAAAAAAAACACTGTTTGACTCATTATTTGAATGGGCCAAGCAAGGGCTGACCAATGCATAGAGAGAAGTATGGTTATTGAATCCCTACTAGAATGTGAACAAATTTTGAGAAAGGCCTACCATTGAGGTGAGTGTGCTGTAACCTGAGCACGTGAGACCAAAAAAACACCTGAGAAAAATTTTTGCTTTCAAAATTCATCCATGTGACTCTATAGATTGGATATTCTGGTTTCATCCATTTAGCCCCAAACTGACAGAGGGTTGTCTTGGGCAGTCAGAGATGTGTAGTGTAAAGATTATTGGGCACTACTTAGGAGCCAAAGGTTCTAATTATGGAGCGTCTTAAGATTAGATTCATCTTTTTTACTTTCCTGGCCTCAGCTCTCTCTTATGGCAAGTGAGGGGTTTGCAATGAGGTCAGTGGTTCTCAGACCATAGCCTTTGGAGTACATGGACCAGAATCGCCAGGTTATTTGTTAAAAGTTGAGATGCTGGACTCCATCTAGGCCTACTGAATTGGAATCTCTGGAGTGGCACTTGTTTATCTGCCTTTTGACAAGCTGACCAAATATGCACACTAAAGTTTGAGTACCTCTGGATGATGTAGATTCTAAGGTTCCTTCCAGCTCTATGATACTTTGAATGAGAAAGACAAAGACAGACAGCAATTACGGATTTCATTTCAGGTTTCTTTACTATTCTTTAATGTCAGAGCCTTTAGTGATTTTAAATTTGCCAGAAATCACCTAATTAGCATGTGATGACAATATACTATTTTCATTTTTTATGTCTGCCTCCCCCAGCTTATTATCAGCATTGTTTCTATTTCTTTTGTGCATTACTACAGTAATCATCAATCTCTTCTTATTCACTTCCATCCTTTGTATCATCATCAGAGATTTTTGGTGTTGTTTTTGTCCATAAAACAACAAACACAAAAAATGTCCCTCACATGATTAATAAGTTGCTTTTTTTTCTGGCAATAAAAACCCTTAATTTCTCAGCATGGCTTACTAGACCTTTCCAAGTATTATTTATCTTTGTAGTTTTATCTCCCAAATTTTTACCCACATCCAGCCAGGAATCCTTTAATTCTCAAACTAGTTTAGGTAGCTGATTACCTAGAGTCATCTTGTTTCTTTCTTTCTTATTAAATATGAAATAGCTTTATAGTTAACTTCATTGTACGATCTGGTACAATTTTATTCATAGAAAATATTACTATATGATAACATTTTAGACCGTAAGCATTTATTAATAATAAAAAAAAACCAAGCACTGGATTTAGTTTGGCTCTCTCTGAGTTTTTTACCTAATATATTTTCTATCTTTTTTAACTGTTTGCTACCTCTTTCTGTTAGAAAAGTGAAGAAAAATACCAAAGAAATATTTTTGTAAGAATAACTTAAAATTAAGAGTATTCCACATATCAATTTAAAAACAAAATTTCAACAGATTGCTACAGATTGCTTTTATATGGTTTAAATAATAAATTACTTTGATTCCATTTATGGAGCACTGGTGTTTTTTGTGAACGCTGTTAGGTAACAGGACCTGTGTCCCTGTGGTTCTCTTTCTGGAATGCCTTTCTGAAGCTTCTCCTCTTAAAGAATTCCTGCTCATTTTTCAAGACCCAGTAGATTTGTCACCAATTGCAAAGCCTTTTCTGACCCTCATAGAAATAACTATCAACTCTCTCCTCTATATTTTCCAGATTTCTTGGTATGTTCATCTCTACTTAAAAAACTAATATCTAACATCATTATAATAATAATGATTATTCTGTTTATCTCCTCTCTTCCTCTCTTGCCTCTATGGGTCCTGGCACAAAGTTTATGTTCCATAATTGATGTTAAATGAATGTCTTGTTTTGACTAAGATATTTGTTCCTTAAGAACCTTATCCGTCTTACCTTTATTCTGTAGGACCAAGAACACAAGATCTTATGTGTACCCATTTAGCGATGACAGACTGACCAAGTGATCTGGCTTTTCTCCACGCTCTGGGAAATAGTTTAACTCTGTCAAAGAGCAGTCAAGAAAAGTTCATATATTGAGAGTGATGTGATGATGGCTGTTTGAAAAGCTTGGAACTACCTTTTTAGATCAAATAGGCTTGGTTCTGTCTCAAATCTGGATTAGGGCCAATACTTTGATAACCCAGTCAGCAAAGATCAGAAGTCAAGAATTCACAATCTTTCATCGTGCTCTGAAATCATTTGTCAATAAACAACAAAGACCTTCTAGGGCTGGATATTAGAGAGGGAAGTAGCCGAGAGCTTGGAAGGGGAGCTTTTCTATCAGCTGAGGACTCTGGATGGGAAAAAGGCTTAGTTCAGGTCTGGTAAAGAATTTGAGAATAAGCGAAATTCAAGGACACAGTAGTCAAGAAAGTGTTTAGTACTGGGTGTTGGCTCGGATGTGAGGAAAAAGGCACTTTACACTGTTAGTGAGGACAGAAGTAGAAATTGGTACAGCCTTTCTGGAGTGCAGTTCTGCAAGGTGTATTAAAAATGTTAAAGGTGTTTATACTTTTTTTCCCACCAATTCTACTTCTAAGAATTTTTCCTAATGACATACTCTAATAAGTATACCAGGATTTTTGTATAAAGAAATTTATTTAGAACAACTATAAAGGTCCCAAAATAGGGAACTGATTAAACAAATTGATTAATCTATACAAGGTAATATCACACAGGCATTCAAATAATGATGTAGAGATATATTTATAGAAAAGGAAAGGGGTATATGATGTATTATCAGATTTAAGAATCTATTTATGAAATAATAGGTAGATTATGATTATTTTTTGTAAAACAGATATATACATGTATATATATATTTTATATATACACACACATATGCTACACAATTTATGGAAGTTGTCAATGAGAGATTTTTTTTAGTTTACCTTGATGTTACAAATTTTCTACAGATAATATATAATACTCAAATTATAAAGAAATAATTTTTTCAAACTATATTTTTCAAAATATTTCAAAAATTTCAAAAATAATTATTTTTCAAAATAATTTTGAAAAAGTTATTTCTTATAGAAGGGATAATTCTTTCAGATTGGTATTCTCCAGGTTGACTGAATAGTGCTTGGAACAGAGTACATGTGTGATATGTATTAGCAAATTTAATGACTGAGTGAATAGGCAAATGACTTTACTCCAAACTTGGTAGTGTAGGTTTTATTGGTGAGAATTTTCTAAATTTTATCCATTCATCTTCCACTGGAACTGCATCTGTAGGATAGCTGATTTTTGATTCCTGAGATCTTTTCTTTTTTTTTTTTTCCTGGTTTTCACTTTTTTTTTTCTCTCTTCAACTTTTATTTTAAGTTCTGGGTTACTAGTGCAGGATGTACAGATTTGTTACGTAGGTAAACATGTGCCATGGTGGTTTGCTGCACAGATCAACCCATCACCTAGGTATAAAGCTCAGCATCCATTAGCTTTTCTTCCTGATGCTCTTCCTCCCCTGAACCGCTCTCCCAATAGGCCCCAATATGTGTTGTTTCCCCCAGTGTGTCCATGTGCTCTCATCATTCAGCTCCCACTTATAAGTGAGAACATGTGGTGTTTGGTTTTCTGTTCCTGGATTAGTTTGCTGAGGATAATGGCTTCCAGCTCCATCCATGTCCCTGCACAGGACATGATCTTATTCCTTTTTATGGTTGCATAGTATTCCATTATGTATATGTACCACATTTTCTTTATCCAGTCTATCCTGGATGGTCATTTGGGTTGATTCCATGTCTTTGCTGTTGTGAATAGTGCTGCAATGAACATATATGTGCATGTATCTTTATAATGGAATGATTTATATTCCTTTGGTTATATACCCAGTAATGGGATTGCCGGATCAAATGGCATTTCTGCTTCTAGATCTTTGAGGAATTTCCACACTGTCTTCCACAATTGTTGAACTAATTTACACTCCCACCAACAGTGTAACAGCATTCCTTTTTCTTCACAAACTTGCCAGCATCAGTTGTTTCTTGACTTTTCAATGAACCACCATTCTGATTGCATAAGATGGTATTTCACTGTGGTTTTGATTTGCATTTCTCTAATGACCAGTGATGAAAAGCTTTTTTTAATATACTTGTTGGTTGCATGAATGTCTTCTTTTGAGAAGTGTCTGTTCATGTCCCTTGCCCACTTTTTAATGGGGTTGTTTAATTTTTTCTTGTAAATTTGTTTAAGTTCTTTGTAGATTCTAGATATTAGACCTCTCTCAGATTATTAGATTGCAAACATTTTCTCCCATTCTGTAGGTTGTCTGTTCACTCTGATGATAGTTTCTTTTGCTGTGCAGAAGCTCTTTAGTTTAATTAGATCCCATTTGTCAAGTTTTGCTTTTGTTGCAATTGCTTTTGGTGTTTTCATAATTAAATCTTTGCCCATGCCTCTGTCCTGAATGGTATTGCCTAGATTTTGTTCTAGGTTTTTTATAGTTTTGGGTTTTACATTTACATCTTTAATCCATCTTGAGTTAATTTTTGTATAAGGTATAAGTAAGGGGTCCAGTTTCAATTTTCTGCATATGGCTAGCCAGTTCTCCCAGCACCATTTATTATAAAGAGAATCCTTTCCACATTGTTTGTTTTTGTCAGGTTTGTTGAAGATGAGATGTTTGTAGGTGTGTGGTCTTATTTTTGAGTTCTCTATTCTGTTCCATTCTATGTGTCTGTTTTTTGTACCACTACCATGCTGTTTTGGTTACTTTAGACTTGTAGTATAGTTTTAAGGTGGGTAGCATGATGGCTCCAACTTTGTTCTTTTTGCTTAGGATTGTCTTGACTATTCAGCCTCTTTGTTCCATACAAGCTTTAAAATTTTTTGTTCTAATTCTGTGAAGAATGTCGGTAGTTTAATGGAAATAGCATTGAATCTTTAAATTAGTTTGGGCAGTATGACCATTTTGATGATATTGATTCCTCCTATCCATGAGCATGGAATGTTTCTCCATTTGTTTGTGTCCTCTCTGATTTATTTGATCAGTGGTTTGTAATTCTCCTTGGAGGGGTCCTTCACTTCCCTTGTTAGCTGTATTCCTAGGCATTTTATTCTTTTTGTAGGAATTGTGAATGGGAGTTCATTCATGATTTGGCTCTGCTTGCCTGTTGTTGGTGTATAGTAATGCTAGTGATTTTTGCATATTGATTTTGTATCCTGAGCCTTTGCTGAAGTTTCTTATCAGCTTAAGATGCTTTTGGGCTGAGACGATGGGGTTTTCTAGATATAAGATCATGTCATCTGCAAACAAAGATAATTTGACTTCCTCTCCTCCTATTTCAGTAATCTTTATTTCTTTCTCTTGCCTGATTGCCCTGGCCAGAACTTCCAACACTATGTTGAACAGGAGTGGTGAGAGAGGGCATCCTTGTCTTGTACCAGTTTTCAAGGGGAATGCTTTCAGCTTTTGCCCACTCAGTGTGATATTGCCTGTGGGTTTGTCATATATGGCTCTGATTATATCATGATATGAGGTTACATCCCTTCCTTGGTATGAGTTTGTGCCCCTTCCTGTGTCTGAGTGTTGACGATATATTTCTGACTGGTCATTAGTTGTTTTTGTTCATTTCATTAAGGGTTTTGAGAGTCAGGTTCCATTAACCAGTGTCATTCCACCATTTTATTCTGTGACTTCTTTTGGTGCTATTACATTTAGAAAATTCTTCCTCTCTAAAATGTGGTAAATATTTACCTACTTAGCTTTTAAAATATATTTTCATTTAATTCTAAAATGTATTTGAAATTAATTTTTATATGATGTGAAGTGAGACCACAAGTTGATATTTTTCTTTTGAAATACATAACCAGTTTTACACAAACCGTTTATAGAGTAGTCCATTTTTTCCATATTGGTTTATGATGTATGTTCTGTCACATATTAAGTTATAATGTGTACAAGGCTCTATTTCAGGCCTGTTTGTTTTGTTGTGTTAATTCGTCTGTTGATTCTTATACCACCATTACACTATTTTGTATGTGTTATAAAAGGCAGTTTAATATTGAGTTTGGGTACATTTCCACTGATTTTACTTTTTTAAACAGTTGAACTATTTTCACACACAATATTTGCCAAATGCAATGCTTGACATTATATCAAAAATATAAATTAATTTTGGAATAATTAACATGTTTTATTATGTAGTCTACCTCTCCGGGAGCATATTTTATCTTTCCATTTGTTTAAGTTTTCTTCTATCTTGCATCCCTCAAGGTTTTACTTAAGAAATTTATAGTTTGTAAGTATTATGTATTGACCTTTCCCTCATTACATTTTCTAATTATTGTTAGTATATAGAAAATTGAATCTTGAATATGTATTTTATAATTAGTGATTTTCTTGAGTATTATTATTGATTTTGGTTCTTTTTGTATCTTTTAGAAAAGCAATCATACCTTCTGCAAATAATTATAACTTCTATTCTCTTTTGAAATAGTTGTATCTTGTTTCTTTTCTTGCATGTTAGTATGATCTTGGACATCCTTACCTTCCTCCTGATTTTAATGAGAGCAGCTTTAATAATTTGCAGCTAAGAGGTAACTGGCCTAAAAGAAATTAGGAAATACACTTAGCTTCCTAGTGAGGCTTAAAAATCAGAAAAAAAAACAGTGTTGAATTTTATCAAATGATCTTTTGTTCTTTTTTTAAAATAATTATGTCCTCTTATTTGACCTAGTGATGCAATGTGTTATATTAATATATTTCTAATATTAAACAATCCTTGCATTTCTGAGGTAATCCCTACTTGATTATGCTGGGTTATTGTTTTAATATACTTTGACTTAATTTTCCAGATTTGTTATTTAGAATTTTCACAACTGTATTCATAAATAAAACTTGTTTGGAAGAACATTTCTTGAAATGCATTCTAAGAAGGAATGTTATGAGGAAGAAATGGTTCCGTGGTCAAATACACTTGAGAAAGGCAGATTAAAACATTTTAACAAATTTCTTTGCTTTAGGTTTCTCAGAGACTTTAATATGCTAATACATGCTGTAATCTCTGAGGGAGTGCTTTTCAAGCACACTCACAATAGATTCCATTCCCCCCTCAGAAAGTGACACTAATTTCCACAGAACCCTCTTTGGAATATTAATCATTGTCATATTTTGTTATGAGGGTTATGTCAACGTCATAAAGTGAGTTAGGATAGCTTTTCCTACTTTAACCTACCCTGGAATGGATTATATAATGCGGGTCTCATAAGTTTCTTGAAAACGTGAAAGGCCTAGAACCAGTTTTGCAAATTATCCCTTAATAACATTTGCTAAATTTTCCATGGCTATTCAGCTTTCTTATAATATTGAATCAATGTTATTAATTCATATTTCTAGAAAATGGTTCACTTTATTGAAATTTTTAAATTTGTTAAAACGTGATTGTGAGTGGAATTCTCTTTTAATTCTTAAAATATGTTTCATTTACCTGTTGGTAAATACAATGAAATGAAATGATCTGTGCCAAATACTTGAAACAGTGCATGGCACATGGTAAATGGTAAATGTTTTATTTCCTCCCCCTTTTTCTTATTCTGTATCTTTCTTTTTCAAAAAATTTAGATTTGTCAGAACTTTGTTGATTTAAAAACTTTGTTTCCCAGATAATAACCTCTTCTGCTTATCTTTTAATCTACTTATCTCTTCCATCTATTTATTTGATTGTTTAAAAATTCATCACTGTTCACCCTAGATTTATATTTTATTCTTCCTGCTTTTTTATAGTTTTTTTCTTTCTTTTCTAGCTAGCTTCTTGAATTGATTGAATAATTCTTTTAAAACAAAATTCTTGATTAGTAATGAAAATATTCAAGTCTATCAATTTGATTTAAAAATAGTTCTGTATTTTGTGGTCCTTTATGCACATTGTACAAAACTCAAAGCATACAAAAGGGCTTACAGATAATAGTGAATTTTCTTCATTCTCCTGCCTTAGTCTTCTTGTTCCTCACCAGGAGGTAACCACAATTATGATGTTCTTGTGTTTCCTTCCAGAGGTATTCTAAGTGGATTTGGCTATTGAGTACAGCTTTGTCAGAACTATATATATTTTTATTTAATTATTACTTTCATTATTTTAAAATAGAATTTGCTATTAATTTAAATTTCTCACTTGATACAATAATTAGGAGGGTCAAATTAAAATACTTATTCATAGGACATTTTTTGTTATTAATTTCTAGTTTTGCTGCATTGTGATTAAAGAATGTAGTCTATAATTTCTGCTACTTTGAAAGTCCTGAGGTTAATCATGTGAACAATTACAAGGTCAAATCTTATAAATATTTTATGAAATATTTTAAAATTTATAATCTTCAAAGGGCACAAAGTATATAATTAATTCAAAATAATTTTTATTTATTGTGGTTTACTTGATCTATTACAGACAGCAATAAATTTATTTCCTTCTCAAATCGAAATTTTGTTGTTTTATTTATCCTTATAATAACTTAAAAATTTGTATGCCATAATATTTTGCATAAATTATGATTATGATAAATTATGATGCTATGAGAATAAACACAAGCATAAAAGCAAACTCTGGCTTGTAAATTTTATTAAATAAATAAGTCCTGAAAGTAACACCTATGCCAGGATATAAACATTCAATTAGTGCAGCAGGATATCAAATTAGAAGTAAAATTTTTGTTCAGACTCCCCATTTCTAATCTCACATTTCAGTCATAATTACTTTTGAATGCTTTGTATTTCTTCTAATAGTTACCTCCATAACTCTAAATAATGTGTTTAGATCTTTCATTCTTAATTAGTAACTATAGACTTTATCTATTGATTCTTCGATATGAAAGAGTAAGGCTCAAGTTATTTATACTACCCTAAGCTTTCCTTTTCAAATTCTTCCCAATTGTAATTTTTTTCTTAGATGAATAACTTTTGTAATTTTTAAAAATACTTAAGCTTCAACTTCTTGATTCATCAACTTTAAACATTTTTTGGACTCTTGGTTATTTTTTGACTCTTGGGGAATGAATTTCCCAATTTAGCATTCTCTATGTCTTCCTTTCTCTACTGTCTGACTCCTGTTAGCTATGTTATCACTTTATGTGGGGAATGTTTAGAGCATTCTGTTCTCTAATTCTAATTAAATTTTCTATACTTTGTAGGTTAATTCTGAAAGTCAAATACTGGTGGAATTTTAATATAATAGTTATATAAATATTCATTTCATGTTTGAGGAATATTGGGTATGTAGAGAAAGCAATGCAACTCAACACCTACGCCCCTTTAAGGAGAATTTTCTAAAGGTCAAGATTAAATGGATTTTCTCTTTCTATTTTAATATTTCATCCATTATTCAGACTATTGTCATGATTTAACTTGTTTCATATTTGGACCATTCTTGGGAAATGTTTTGGGTTTAATTGCCTTTTTTCTTGAGAAAAGAAACACATATCTTTTTACCATATTGCCAATATCTTGCAATTGTTTAATGCTTTAGTAAGTATCACTCTATTTCTAGGTCTGTTTCAAAGCTGTCACCCTGATATTTCTCTTTATTCCACTTCTAGATTAGTTTCACTATTTCTTAGATCCTGTGTACTCCCTTTTAAGAACATTTCTTTTTCCTCCCCTTCAGGACATTTATTCAAGTGATTTTTTTTCCATAAAGGGTGCATGGGAGGTAAACTTCCTGGGTCCTTGTTTTTCTGAAAATGTATTTATTTTTCCCTAATCCTTGACTGATAGTTTTGGTAGGTACAGAATTCTAGATTTAAAATGATTTCCAGCTGAGCGTGGTGACTCATGGCGTAATACCAGCACTTTGGGAGGCTGAGGTGGTAGATCACTTGAGATCAGGAGTTTGAGACCAGACTGGCCACCATGGTGAAACCCCGTCTGTGCTAGAAATACAAAAATACTTAGCTGGGCGTCGTGGCGCATGCCTCTAATCCAAGCTACTTGGGAGGCTGAGGCACAAGAATCACTTGAACCTGGGAGGCAGAGGTTGCAGTGAGCCGAGATCACGCCACTGTACTCCAGCATGGGCAACAGAGCAAGACTCCATCTCAATGATAATAATAATAATAATAATAATAATAATAATAATAATAATAATAATTTCTTATTAGTAATTTGAAGGCATTGCTTCTTTGTCTTTCAGCATTGACTGTTCCTAATAAAAAGCCTGAGGCCAAGTTTATTCTCTTTACTTTCTAGGTAACCTGAAGTGCTCTATCACAAATTATATTTTCTTCAGTTTCATTCTGTTCTTCATTATTGTCAATATGCTTTTAAACTCTTGATTTTGTTTTGGGTTTCCTTATATTTTCATATTTTAGCCAATTATTTTTTTCAGCTTGTTCTCTATTTATTGTGTTCTGACCTTGTTTCATAGAGATGATGACCTTTTACATATTTATGAAGACAGCAAAACTGGTTTAAATTTTCACTGAGAAAACTCTTTTTAGAAGTTTCTCTTTCTTTGAGGTTTTAGAGAGTTATCTATTTTTTCTGTTGTTGAAGTATCTTTTTTTCCATAATCCCATTGTTGGCTCTTTTTCTACTTTTTCATTCTTGAATTGTGTGAGATTTATCCAGGCTTTGTCTTTATTAACAAAAATAATAGGTGAATTATTTTTTGCTTCACTTGCCGTTCACACATTTTGCCCAGATTTAAACTAAAATTTTAATTTGATGGTTTTTTCAAATGTCTAACGGGCTTTCATCTGTCATGGATTTAGGTGAATTAATACAACTCTTGCATTTTTTAAACTGTAAGGTTACATGTAATTTGAAGTTGTTTGAATAGTGTAAAACATTAATTAGTTTTTTCTAAATAACTGTGCTTCCACTCATGCTGATTATTTTGCTAAGTTAAGAGATCTGAGGTCTTTTAGCAAAAGTAAAATAAGTAGAGCTCATAGAATGGGAAGACTGGTTTGTGTAGGAGCCCATGACTGCAGTAAAGAAAGTTCCCATAAGACTGATTGCTGCTCACTATATTTCTCACCACTGTAGCCCCTGTCTTCTGAAACATGGTGTAAACTCTATGGGTAATCAACATCTTTTCTTATATTTTTTTGAGACCAGAATGGAAGGAAGCACCCATTTTATGTGGTTGTAAAAATAAAATATGTGATGTATGGTCTAAAACTACACCTGCCAACCTATTACTGATGATACATTAAATGGAATTTTTATACTCATAGTAATTCTGATCTTTGGCTTTCTGTACTTTGCCAGTCAATGAAGGTGTGTGCATGTGTGCATGTACATATGCGTGCATGATTTTTTCATAATGGGAGATGGGGGAGGCCCTATCATACATAATAGCCTGCTGCCTGCTGCCATGTTAAGAAGTCCAACCATTAGTCTGTTTTGATAAGCTAGGCATCTCAAGTAGCCCTATTGATTTTTCTTTAGTTCTTCTTCTTTTTTGTTTTCTGTTCATTTTTGTGTTTTTAATTTATCCTAGGCAGTTGAATTAAATTGTCTTCCACTTAATTCATCTCAGCTTCCCTCCCAGTCTTTTTATGTCCAAAGTCCTTCACCAGTCTTCCTATTGCCTCCAGATTGTGAGCCAATTTCTTGAAGGTGGAGCCAAGTCTCACTCTTTATATCTCCGTATAATACATGTTTCATACATACCTACTGATAAGCTGATCAGCTTAATGATGGGGATAGAAGTGAGCTCCTACTCCTGTTTTTTCCGTCAAAGGTAAACCCTGGAAAAGGACAAAGTTCGAGTAATATTTTCTACGGAGAGCTTGGAACTCAGACGTCTTCTATGGAGTTCTCATCTTCTTGCTCCCTTGCCTTTTGGTGAGGGAAAGAATATGCCACCTGTCTTGTCTCCTGGGACCATGCCAATAAGTGTGCTGCCCCAGGGGCTCTGCAGGATGGGTTTGTTCTCCTGCTCACCTTGCTCCATCCCTGCCCTACCTTTCATCTGCTTTCAGGAGGCTCAAATTGTTTTCTTGTTTCCTTCTTTCCCTTTCCCCCAAACCTCCAGTAAAGAAGAGATTTTGGTATTAAGAAAATGGGCTGTTGAATTCCAAAATCAGAAATAGACCACATAAATATGTATGAAGCATTAAAACCCTTCTTCGAAGTGTGATTTCCTGGCTAATGGATGCTTCTGGGATGATTATTATATATATTTTTGTACTCAATTAAGCCCTATTCAGACCAACTTATTTTTTGGTGAACTTAAGGACCTTATGATTAGCATCCATTAGCATTTCCATTACATCTATATTGTAATAATACCATCTAAAATTTCTATGCTGTATCTCTCACAGAGTGCTTTTATGCCATTATTTTATTTGATACTCCCAACAACACCATGAAGAATGTTGAGATTCTCTTAACATTTTTGTTTTATAGATGAGGAGACTGAGGTGCAGAACATTTAAGCGACTTGTCCAAAGTCATGCAGTGAGTAAGGGAGTGGAATGCTGACTAGGAGCCATGTCCTCAGCTAGTATGGCAAGGGCATGCTCCCTATCACTGCTAGTAATAGCAAATGATCACTACCACTGAGTATTTGCATCATGCCAGCTACTATATTAGGCTCTCTGTATATATTTTCTCATTTAATACTCCTCATAACCCTGCAAAGTAGGAATTGTTATTATTCCCCCCGTTACATAGAGGGGAACTGCAATTTAGAGAGGTTACGTAACTTGGTCCAAGTCACACAGCTAGTCCTAGTATACCTAGGACTATACTGCAGTTGGAACCCAGGTTTCCCTGATTTCAGGCCTCAGCCCTAGCCACGTGGGTCCCTCATGGTTTTACTGGACTGAGCTATGAAGATATTCAACATAGCATAGCTCATAAAGGCTGTTCCAGTTCTCATGATTCCCTGAGCTGTGATTACGAGCTCTCCTTGTGACTCCTATGGCTCTGGGGCATATTGCCAGAGGTAAAATTGGGAGCTGTATGGATCAGAAAGGCAGAGAAAGTGAAGGGACTAATATTTACTGAATGCTTACTATATGCCCAGTGGCCATTAAAACCCATATCACAGGAACCTTGTAAGTCTGGTATTATCATTTCCACTTTATGGAGGAGGAAACACAGGTTCAGAGAGGTAAAGAAACGTATGCAAGATTGTAAGTGGAAGAGTCAGGATTTTTAGTCAGGTCTGTCAGACCTTATAGCCCATGTTTTCTCCTCTATGCCTAAGTAGGAGTGGGCTCAGTGGTGATGTTTTAAGGGCTAATGTTGATGTTTTAAGGGCTAATGAGAAGGAGCAGTATTTCTAAAGGGCTTAAGGAGGATTATAAGGAACAGAGATGAATTTAGACCCTGGTGGTTATAATGCATTATAATCAGTACTCTGGAGCCCTATAAAGGAACTCATAAGAGAACCCAAAGAGAAGAAAAACTGTGGCAAGTTTTAGGCTACATTGCCTAGCTTATATCACAATGCCAGCAGCCTTCAACTGCAATACGTAGGAACTGGGACTTAAAAACCAGCAGAAACACATTGGTAAACATCATAATGACACGCATATTTAGGAAAATGATGTTTTTAATTTCAAAATCTATGCAGCCTTGCCTTATATAGTCAGTGCTAGGAAGTTGTGGTGTACCAGGAAATGATTTACATTTTAGCCTTAGGCAAAAATATGGAACTTGTAATTATGTCAGAGAGAGGCAAAACCTTCCAGATTTTACAGCTTTAAAGCTGTAAAAGTCTCAGTTAGGATGTGTGTTGATTAAACTGTGGTGTGGCTGAGCATTTTGCCTGAAACTTCATAGGGAATAAGCATCTGTTAATGACTTTCAGGTAAAAACCTTCCTTCTAAACCTTTAATGCAGTATTGTCAAAATGTGGAAGTGGTGGGTGACAAGCATTTTCTTGTTCCTTCTAAGGCCTTCCTGATCCAAGGTAGTTTTGAGCACAAACGGCTGTGCTGGTTAAGCTTTTGGCTTGTGGGAAGAAAGCCGCACATCAACTCCTGATACGCACGAGCTAGCCTGAACTCTGTGATGACCATCAGATGCAGATAAACTGCCAGACAGAGAAGCTGTCTTGTAGATGTGACTTTGCTGCCTTCAAGAGCAGGGCTTTCTGCACCTATGCTCTAAGCGCCCTTAGTGTTCCTCTCCCAGTGGTCCTGGATTGATTTCTCTAATGGGGAGCCTCCTCTGTAGGGTCTACAAGGTGACTGGTGGATTGATTGCCCTACTCCACGTAATGTGAGTAGGCGATTGTAAAGGGGAGGCTGAAGAGCTTGCCTGTTTTCTTTGTTATTCTTCTTACTGAGAGAGGTGGACTAGAGTGGTAGTTCAAAGATCTGGCTCTGCAGTCACAGATCTGGGTACCAATCAAGGTTCTGTCCCTGATTTTCTGTGTGACCTTGAGCACATCATTTATCATCTCTAAGCCTCTTTCTCATCTTTTAATGCTTTATTCACAATACCTGGTTCACAGGATTGTTGTGGGAATTAAATGAGATAATGTGATATTAAGTCCTTAGGACTTTTAAAGTTGACATAGTATTATAACTGTTACCTCCGCTAATAGCGTCAAACCTTGGGTCTAATCAGGGCTCAGTCTCTTTACTATTTGTGTGACCTTCCTAACCATTTTGCCATTCTGTCTCCCTTCTGAACATAGCAAATATAACTAGCTTGCTTTGGCCTTCAAATTAATAGAATTCATCAGCCACAGATCTCTGTGAGCCACTTGCTCTGTAACAGGGAAGGAGTATGTGTGTCTGGCATGGGAGCTTGCCAAGAATATTTGCTCAATAGCTATGCTATTATACCATCACGTGCTGCTGTGGCTTTATAGGAAGTATATCCTGGATGGTTATTACATATTTAGCTGGAATTTAGTTTCCTAGGGAAATAAAAGTTTCATATTTTAAGAATAGACAATTATTTTGAACAAGTGGTTTATGTCCACAGAAAGTTCATGTTCTTATCTTTTATGTTTGAATGAAGGCACTGTGTATGAGGTGTCCCTGAACATTGGAAGTCTAAAGAGCATGGATTTGGATGTCAAAACTGGGTCCAGATTGAAGTTATGACATGGACCACCTGTGAGAGCCTTAATTTCTTCCTGTGTGAATGTAAATAATACCTACCTCATGGGATTAAAAGAGAAAATAATATAAGAAAGCATATATCATATTATGTAACACATAGTAGCCTCTCAATAAAAGTTACTGGTTACTATTTTGGGCAGATCCAAACATTATGTTAATAAATTTCAATGGCTCCCACATTTTATTCTTTGGGGTGGCACATTCTGTAGAGATATCTTAGGGGCTACAGAGGGACAGTGATGGAGGGACTAAGGAAATAGTATCCAGGCTCTCTGCCCCACTTCCCAAGAAGCTCTGCTTATGTCTGTTTTATATCTAGGGCATCTGAGATTGTTTTACGGGGGAGAAAGAAGGCTTTATAAGTGCTTTCAGTTCAATTTATTAATTTTTCCCTCAATGAACCGTAGTTTTAGTGTTGTATCTAAGAAATCTTTGTATATCCCAAGGTCACAAAGGTTTTCTTCTAGAAGTTTTTATGATTTAGAGTTTTAAATTTAGGCGTATGATCAATTTTTTAGTCCATTTTTGTTTATGGTAAGAGGTGTGGTGTATTAGTTTGCTAGGACTGCCATAAAGCATCACAGATTAAGTGGCTTAAAAAATAGAAATATATTTTTTCACAATTCTTGAGGCTGGAAGTCTGAGATCTAGGTGTAAGCAGGGTTGGTTTCTTCTGAGGCCTCTCTTCTTGCCTTATAGATGGCCATCTTCTCCTTATGTCTTCATGTGGTCTCTTCTCTCTGCCTGTCCCTGTCCAACTTTCCTCTTCTTATAAAGACATCAGCCATATTGGGTTAGGACCTACCCAAATGAACTCATTTTAACTTAATTACTTCTTTAAAGACTATTTCCAAATGCAGTCATATTCTGAGGTACTGGAAGTCAGGACTTTAACATATGAATTTGGGGGGTACATAACTGAGCTTATAATTCATGGATGAAAGTGTTTTTTTCCCATATGGATATTCAATTGTACTAGTGTGGTTTGCTGCAAAGAACCTCCTTTTTCACTGAATTGCCTTTGTACCTTTCTCAAGAAACAGCTGTCCATATAAATATGGGTTGATTTCTGCACTCCCTGTTTCGTTCCACTGAACTATTTGTCTATCTTTGCTCTAATATCATACTGTCTGGATTACTTCCATTTTATAATATGTTTTAGAATTGACAAACTGGACTTCCTCAAAATGAAACATTTCTGCTCTTCAAAAGACACTGTTAAGGGAATGAAAGGACAAGTCACAGACAGGGAGAATATATATATATACACATACACATCTGCAAAAAGTAGAGCTGATATGGGACTACTCATATCCAGAATATATAAAAAACTCTAAGATATAAATAATAAGAAGGTAACCTAATAAAAAAGGACAAAAGATTTGAACAGATACTTCACCAAAAAAGATATGTGACTAGCAAATAAGCACATGAAAATATACTCAACATTATTAGTCATTAGAGAAATGTAAAATAAAACCACAATGAGACACCAATACACACATATTAGGAATATAAAAAGACTGACCATATCAAGTGTTGGTGAACATACAGAGGAACTAGAACTCTCATATACTTTTGGTGGGAATGTAAACTGGTACAACCACTTTGAAAAACAACTTGGCAGTTTAAAAAAGTTAAACATACACTTACATGGTCCAGCCATTCTATTACTAGAAATGAAAGCATATGCCCATATAAAGAGTACAAATAAATGTTTTACTTGTTATAGCCCTCCTTGTTATAGGAGTTTTACTTGTTATAGCCCCAAACTGGAAGCAACCCAAATCTCCATCAATAAGTGATTGGATAAATGAACTGTGTTATATCTATATTATTCAGCAATAAAAAAGAATGAACTATTAGTGAATGCTACCACATGAGTGATTGCAAAATAAATATGCTGGATGATAGAAGCCAGGTATAAGACGCAAACATGCTAAATGATTCCATTTGTATCAAACTCTAAAACATGCAAACTAATGTACAATAACAGAAAACAGATCAGTGCCAGTGGTAGAAGGGTAGGAGGAAAGGAACACCAAGGAGCCTGAAGAACCTTCTGGGAGTGTTCCTTATAATACGTTCATTATCTTAACATATATTCATTCAGTTAAGGAACACATGTTCATTATTTTAACTGTGATAATGGTCTTATGGATGTAAACATATGTCAAAACTTATTAAATTATATATGTTAAATATGTGCAGTCTATTATATGTTAATTATATTTCAGTACAGCTGCTAAAAAAGTGATAAAAAACATTTGGGCCAAATATGAAAAACCCAAGACTAAAGTGAAAAATTACAAGACTGTTACTGATCAATGTTCAGGCCTATTAAAATTTCCCCTATCCCAATGGCACTTGGGCAACTACTTTTCTTGTATACTTTAGGAAGTATCTAATTCAGACAGGGGACTAAGAAGAGACTCTTCACAGTGCTTGCTGATAGCCCCAAAATGCAGCATGAAACCACCCAAATGCCAAGACAAATTGAGAAAGGTTGACCTTTAAAATATGTAGAGTTCAGTACCTTTGAATTAAATTGCATGTTCAGCTTTGGTTCTAGTTGCTAGAGGCTACTTTTTTCAAGTCCACAATTGGCTCCCCCAACTGCGTTTGAAATTCAGTAAAACCAGCCTTTGCACCTGCCTTTGTTAAAATCTGTACCTAAATTGTTTGGAACAAGAAAGAATAGTAACTAGAAGCAGATTTACTGCAGTCTGGACTTAGTTGTTTGGGTGACCTCTTTTTGCTGGTTTTCTGGGTTGATTAGACTTTGCTAATTGACAGAGTGTTTGGCGCAATAGCCCAGGCAGAGCCATTCTGCTCTGGACTTGGATTTGGTACAAGTATTCCTGGTGGTCAAGTCATGTATTTTCTAGTTTGGAAACAGACGTTGGAACAGGACTGCTGGAGCAGGTTTGCAGGATTCTATGGTGGAGAAACTATAATGACTTTCAAAAACATGGGCCAAGGTAATTTGGCTGTCTTTTCATTCCCATCTCTAAAAGAAAGAACCCACCAAAGTTCAGAGCATCTTAAACATTTTGAAGTTGTGACAGTGAATGTGAATAATTGGTGTCTGTGGGACTCTAAGGGTAGAAAGCAGGGCTTACTAGTGCTTCTTCTTATTTAACAGAGAAGAGCCTGGAAAAAAAAAAACCTATAGTCAGACATAAACATTTCAGCCTTATTTATTTTCAACCAGGGAATAGCTAATACCACGATGCTGTAAAGTTCTTGCATTTAAATGTCCTATTTCACAGGTCCAAACCCATGTTCCACATAGTAGTATTATAATAGCACCATGGAGACTATCCAGTAGGATCCTGAAAGTCTTCTTACCCACTCTTTTCCATTTTGCTAAGCACCTGGTTAAATTAAAATTCCAAACAGTATTATTCAGAGACAGCATGGAACAGCGGATTCTTAATTCTGGCCCCCCCATTCATCAAGCACACATAGGCCAGGCAATGCATTTAGCACTGGAGATACTGAAGTAAGGGATTGCCTCTGCCTTCAATGAACCTTTGGTCTAGAGATGGAGACTGAGAAATAAACAGGAAATTCTAAGCAGAGTGCTGTGTACGATGGAGAAAGTCCTAAACAGAGTAATATTGGGACCTGTAGGAGGCCCTCCCACTCCAAACCATGAGGGTCAGGCAAGGCTTCCCAAAAGGTAAGAGTTACCTCCTCAAAGAAGCGGGGGAAATTGTCTCTTACTACTCTATGACAATGAGCAAATCACTCAAATTCTCTGACTCTCTCTTTTGGAAGAAATAACATTTACTGGTTGCTTTTGAGGATTGAATCAGATGAGATATAGAAAAGCCCTTAGCCCAGTGCTTGCTAGGGGAAAGATCAATATTGGTTTTCATCTTTCCTTTCTTTTTTCCTCCCCTCCTACCTCCATCAGGTGGGGAGTGTGACTTCCGGAGCACACTACACAGAGGAGACTTTTGGAGGGTTTTTAGTTGTCATCTCTGTCACTTGGTGTTTATCTTCCTGCTTCTAGTTCATTAGGGCCTTTTTCTTCTGATGCTGGCTTGGGCTGTGTTTATGTCTTTCATGTGCTTCTGTGACACTTCATCAGGGGAAGTGGCTGGCCCTCTGAGCAACTGCTGGAGGCGTTGGGAAGATGGGAATCAAATGCAGCCTCTGTAGGTGGGTGTGGAACAGAACAGCAGTGTGGCCCTGTGCATGTGTCAGGGGCAGGCAGCAGCCATCATCTGTCCTCATGTCCTGCCTGTGGGGTCTGATGAGAAAAGAATGAGTTAGTAATGAAGTAGAGAGGAGAGAGAGCTGAGTGCTAAGTGGAGAATAAAATCATCTTCAAGTATAACTCAGGTTTACTCTGGAGCTGTGTATCCTGCAAATAGTACAGTATTCCCACTCTTGGCCAGGCACTAACAGCTGTGGAAGCAAATGGTGTAACTGCCTTTAGGGGGCGTTCTGACTGGCCAGCAGGCATTACTGATGCAGGGAAGCAATGCAGAAAACTCCACGGCAAGCTGGGCACACTTTGCTCTCTGTTGCTCTGTGTGTCCTTTGGTTTATTTTTCTGTGTACTCTCCCCTCCTAAGAAGACTGTGCTCTTTCCAAACCCAAATCACCTTCTTATGTTGCAAATCCACCTAACCGTCAGAATTTTTTCCTGCACAGCTGTCACAACAAACTTCCCCTCATCTGCTACTAAATGTATCAGACACTGTTGTGCAGTCTGTGAGCTGCCGACTCATTATCCGAGGGCTTTCCAATAGAATCTGATGTTATCCAAAGCTTCTCATCTGTTTCAAAGGGAACAATTTCCTGCGTTCTCTGGAGGGAAATCAAACGCACTACGTTTAGGAAGTAGGACGGTCCTTCACAGATTTAGTAGATCGCAAGGCAATTATGGGCTGATTATTCCCAACTTAGTGTTTCCTCACCTCATTTCCCATAACAGCGACTAGAGTGACCTGAAGATGGGCTTTTTGTCTTTCCAGTGAGACATCGGGAAATAAATCACAAAAATCAAGATAAGTTGTGGTACCTTTGATTTCCCTCTGTCCTCTTCCCAAGCCGTTTTTGGCACTCCCTAGAGGAAACCAGTTCTCCTCTCCTCTTTTACTTCTGCAGTGGGCACTTGGGCTCCAAGTATCTTTTTTTTTTTTAAGTTCATCTTCATCATCCTTTAAATTAAACACCTACTCCCCTGATAAATATGATGCTCTTTTTAACAATTAGTCTTTGGATATAGAAGTTGCTGATGAGGAAAAATCCCTTTCAGCTGGTTACCTATGCTTTTTTTTTTTTTTTTTTTTTTTTTTGAGACGGACTCTCACTCCGTTGCCCAGGCTGGAGTGCAATGGTGCGATATCAGCTCACTGCTGCCGATGCTTCCCAGATTCAAGCGATTCTCCTGCCTCAGCTTCCCAAGTAGCTGGGATTACAGGCATGCGCCACCATGCTCGGCTAATTTATGGTATTTTTAGTAGAGACAGGGTTTCACATGTTGGCCAGGCTGGTCTCGAACCCCTAACCTCAGATGATCCACCCACCTCGGCCTTCCAAAGTCCTGGGATTTCAGGTGTGAGCCACCGTGCCCGGCCCCATGCTTCTTTATACTAGTTCTTTCCTCCCTTCTCACCTCCAGCCTGGGATGTGGTCTCCACTATGGTCTTTATTCCATACTCCAAATTTGTCTCTTTCCAAGTATCTTCCTAATTCCTTTTTTTAAAGTTACCTTTTTAATTTCCTGCCGTGAAACATCTGCTGTATCATCTTGCTTCCGCCACTTCCTAGAAAACTTGTTTTATGAATGTTCTTTCTCCTCAGTATAATTTTCCTGGCTGTGCCCTGATGTAGTGCTACAATAGTTTTATTTTACATTGACTGATTAAGCACTTTGAATAATTGTTTTAGCTCCATTATGGCAAATCTATTTGGCTTAACACTTTTTTTTTTTTTTGCAACCTTTGATTAATGCCTGACCATTGGGACAGAAAGGAATTGGCGCATTAATTTCCCCTTGACGCCACGGAGAGCTGCTCTTTTTCCTGTGCAAGAGCCTGAAGCAACAGATGCTCTGTGTTCGTATTGCAGGGGAGAGCACACACTGTTGCAAATAAGTATGTGTGTGTTCCCGGTCAGTGTTTGCTAATGGTGCTGTGTGGCAGCCATTTCATAGCAGAGAGCAAATGTTAGGATTTAGGGAAAATTGTACCAGCATATCAGATTTTAAAACGGAATGGTGAATTTTTGTTGAGTTAACAGTGTGTAGCTAGACGATGTTTTCTTTCTAAGCTCATGAAACTTAACAGCTGTTTAGTGAAGCAGTATTTTCATATATGCCTGTTTGACAGGTTTAATAGCAAATTTTGCAGTAAGTGACTTGCTGAACAGGACTTCTGGCTTGGGCTGTAACAAGAACTGTATTTGCAGCAAGATTCATTGAGGGTCTTTGTGCTTTAGTGTTTACGGGAAGGGGAAGCCTGGCTAAAGTGAGGAAAACTGAAAGGCATAATCCAAAGGAAATTACTAATATCTCTACCAGAGTATTCCTCAGAACTTGTTATTAACTAGTTTAGAGGAAGATAACATGGGGAAAACATGCTGTTTAGCAATAAAAACACATGAGTACAATCAGCTTACTGTAACCCATTATTGCTGCATAGTAATTAAATCTATATATCTCCAACTTTATAGTTTTCTGCAGCAGAATCTCTGAAAGACTTCTGCACTTCATCTGATTCAAGGAAGCCTATATTCTCTCCCCTGTCTCTGGAAAGGCTACTGTGCCTTGTAATAGCTTTTTAATATTGCCAGATCGAAGACAAATGCTTCACTGGTTTTACTGGGAGAAATAAAGCACTTCCTATTACACTTATAGGGGGGATCCAAGTCTTGGGAAACTAGCACTTTATGAGGTTAGAATCCCTTTTCCTTTCTTCCCATTTTTGAGTTCTCTCAGATCGTAGGACCTCAGAATCACTCATTCCTAGGGCTACCCACTTTGTATTTGGCTCCTAAGTGCATTTTTCAGGATTTATCTGTGCTTTTATTGATTGCATGTGCTTAGTTATACCTGCTGATTGTGGGTGTGTGCATGTATGACAGAATCACAGATCATAGACCCCTGTTCTCCAGGGCAGCCACCCTCATGGTCAGCCCAGCATCCTCAGCTAACAAAAGGACCAAGAGCTGTCTTACATCCTCTTTGGATTTCCGCATAGATTTTGCAAGCCGTAAATACAAAATTTGTCTAGAGTTCATAGTTGGTTCTGTTTACTGGATTTTTTTTTTTTTTTTTTTTTTTGAGACAGGGTCTGGCTCTGTTGCCCATGGTGGAATGCAGTGGTGCAATATTGACTCTGTGCAGCCTTCGCCTCCTGGGCTCAAACAATTCTCACACCTCAGCCTCCAGAGTAGTGGGGACTACAGACACGTGCCACCATGCCTGCCTAATTTTTGCATTTTTGTGGGGGGTGGGTAGAGATGGGGTTTCACCACTGTTTCTTAAGCAGCATGTAAGGGAGCTTCATATTTGTTTGTCTCAGTCCCATCATGATGTAGGTCAAAAGCAAGTTACATTCAGCTAGCTGTATGACAAAGATGCCTCCTTTTGAACAGTAAGAATTTAGGCTTTGTTGTTTTATACACTCAGGCAACTTGAAAAGGATAAAAGAAAGGTGGAGAAAAGAATAGTAAAGTGAGCTCAATTAATTTTCTAAGAAGGCAAACTAAAAACTTCTCACATGTAAACAGTAAGATGTCAGGGACACAAAATGAGTTAGCCCGTGTTGCTGGGATGAGGAGGGATAGCAGAGAAATGGCCATATGATGTCTGAGAGTGTGGCCAGTGGGAGGAGAGGGGTCTACTGGTGGACTTCTCTCAGCAGGTTGTCACCTCCACACTTTCTCATCCAGAGCTCCTGGGATTCCCTCTAGGAAGGAATCATTATACCATTTGCCCTGCTCCCATCATCTCACTAACCTGCTATCACTGTAGTAACTCCAAGAACCAGTGAGACAAGAAAGAGGGATGTCATGAGCTGCCTCTGCACAACTGTTGAATTCAATTTTCTTTCTTCAAGACTCCTTCCCCCATGTTTCTCTAATGCCCACACTTTATTCAGGATGTTGTGTTCAGTAGCAGAGACATTTGAAATGAAGCTTCCTTATCATGGCTTTTAGGAAAAATAATGGCAAAACTATTGGATACAGGTGAATTCTAGTCCAATATGGTAGGAGAGGTGAGCCTGGAATTGCCCTTTTTACATATCCTGCAGTCTGATTCTAATAAAAGTAGACACAGTTCTGGTACACTACTATGTGGTTATTTCCAGAAATATAAATGAGTGTTATTTTATATATATATATTATATATATATAAAATATATAATATGTACATATATAGTATTGAACCGACAGTAGGTACTTATGCCTTCTAAAAATGTAGTAGTAAGTGAACATAGGCAGGCAATATAGGAGGTGATACCTGAATTAGTTTTGAAAGGCTCTAGCACAGCCACCAGGCATACAATTAGGGAGGAGAAGTGGATGTACATTCTATACCGAAGAATAGTTCCCTCCTTATAACCCAAAGAACAGTGCTGAATACATCTTACATGCTTTGTAAATAGGTACTGTCTTGAGCTGTTGTAACAAAGAGAACATATTGGAGAAGAGGAGGCTGGAGGCAGGGAGATCAGTTAGGAGATTATTGTGGTAGTTCAGGTTGAAGCAATATATATATATTATATATATATAAATATATATATTTATATATTTTAATGTTTATAAATATATAAATATATAAAACATTATATTTTAATGTTTAAACTTTTAAAAAATCAGATAGGTAGGACTTCCTTTTTCTTTTTTAAATAATAACTATGGAAGTGCAGAAATAATAGAGATTCTATTGTGCTCTTTACCTGGCTTCCCCATTGGAACATCTCTACAACTCTAGTAGAATGTCAAAACCAGGAAATTGCCATTGGTACAATCTATAGACTTTATTTAGGTTTCAGGAGCTGTTTCTAGGTGGGACTTTCTAAGGATTGCAAACCCCATGGCTTTTTCTTTTTAAGCAGGTAGAATTGAGGGTGCAGTGGAAGCAAAGGCTCATGTCTGGTCTCTTCCTTTCTTTCTGTATTGCCCTCCTATCCCCCATCATGTGAAAAATAGATACTAGAAAACTCATATCAAAAAGTACAGTCTGGATGCTTACTTTGCAGGGTAGTATGTTAGGTGCCCAGGAGGACATGAATGACTATAAGAAGAAATGGTTCTGTAATTTGGAATCGTTTGTTTATACAGAAAGATTCAGCTCAAGACAGTACCTATTTACAAAGCATGTAAGATGTATTCAGCACTGTTCTTTGGGTTATAAAGAGGGAACTATTATTCGGTGTAGAATGTACATCCACTTCTCCTCCCTAATTTTATGCCTGGTGGCTGTGCTAGAGCCTTTCAAAACTAATTCAGGTATCACCTCCTATATTGCCTGCCTATGTTCACTTACTACTACATTTTTAGCAGGCATGAGTACCTACTAACTGTCGGTTCAATACTAGATCCCAGGGGTTCAAACATGGATTCTACACATTCTCTACCCACAATGAGTTCACAGTTTAGTGGAAGAGAGAGACATTTAAGGAGGAAAATGCAGTAGAGTGTTATCAGAGGTATAAGTAGAGGTATGAGTAGGGTATATCTTGAATGCTGTGGGGTTTGAACAAAGGAGGAAAAAATGAATTTCTTTAGAAGAGAGATAACTGTTGTAACAAAGAGAACATATTGGAGAAGAGGAGGCTGGAGGCAGGGAGATCAGTTAGGAGATTATTGTGGTAGTTCAGGTTGAAGAAAGATAACTGAAACCAAGGTGGAGAGGAAGACCTAGGGGAAGGGATGGGTTTGGGGGCTACTTAGGAGCTAAATTTAAGAGCACTTACTGATTAACTGACTATAGAGTTGAAAAGAGTGAGGTGTCCAAAATGGTCCCAGATGATGGGGTGGTGGAAGTGCCATGCACCAAGAGGGAGAGTCTGGGAGAAGATCAGACTCTGGAAGAAAACTCTTGACGGGGTATGGATGTATTGAGTTTGGGGTGTCTGTGGGATGTCCAAACTGAGAGAGCTCACTCAGTTATAGATGAGCTCAAATGATATATGGTGCCTTGATGTGAATGACTTTGCCAGTTAAAGTATGTAGTAGGACAAGAAGATCAAGGAGAAGCCTTAGGAATCACTAAAATTTAAAGGACAGATGGGGGAAGGGACCCTGCAGGAGAGATTAAGAAGGAGAGCAGAGTGAGAGGAAGAAGAGTGTTTGGAAAACGAGAGGCAGTCAACAATATAAAATGTTTTAGATGTCAGATATGATAGAAATTGAAATGTTTTCATTGGAGTTAGGGACAAAGGACATTCTTATTGACCTGTGTGAGTTCAATTTCAGCTGGCTGGTTGCAGGAGACAGCAAAACAGTAGATCAAGTAGTGATTTTTAACTATGAAACAATTAAGAGTTTGGTATAAGGCAATTTAGTTAAGTGCTAACATGGAGTGTAAAGAAAAGTGTAATTGATATTAATTATTTAAGAAAATCCATAATAGAATGTTAGAGCAGAAATGCCACCCCATTTTTAAATATAAAGAGAGATTTCAAGTAAATTGTTCAAGGTCATGCATCTAAAGAGGAACAGCCAGGACCAGGTCCCAGGTCTGTTTACTCCCTTTATAAAAGAAAATTCTGGATAGACTAGTTTAAAGGAGCAAATGAATGTCTGTTGCAGGAAAAGTGATTGTTAAAATGATGAATCAGAGCTGTATACTTCTATTGTGAAATATAACTACTTGTTTGATGAATTTATTCATGTATTCTATAAATATTAATAGATATTGTGCTATTTGTTTAATATGCAAAGACAAATAAACAATTAGTTGTAGAGAACATGCTTGGTGAATTTTATAAAAGTAAAATATTATCGCCATTAAGTGATATAGTCTAGCAGGGTGACAGACACAAAAATGGTATCATACAATGTGCAATTGAAAAGGCAGGAAATAGTTTTGCCTAGGAGTTGGAGACTAGTGAGCTGAATCTTGCATCATGATTGTGATTTCTCCAAATGGAGAAAGGATTAAAGGGAACTTTCAACAAAGGGAACAGTATGAACAAAATCAGACCAGTATAAAGAAAGTCTATAACTTCACAGACTGTTAAACAGCCTGGTGGGGATACGATATAAAGGTAGGGAAATAACAAAGAATTATTTTGAAGACTAGAAAAGTATTAGTTTGTTTGTGCTGCTATAACAAAATACCTGAGACTGAGTAATTTACAAAGAACAGAAATTTGTTTTCTCACAGTTCTGCAGTCTGGGAAGTTTAAGATCAAGGCACCAGCATTCGGTGTCTGATGAGGGCTGCTTTCAGCCTCTAGGATGGCACCCTGTGGCTGCATCCTTTGGAGGGGATGAATCCTACATCCTCACACATGGAAGGGACAGAAGAGCAAGAGAGTGCTTCCTTCAACTTCTAGCCTTTTTATAAGGCTGTTAATCCCAGGCATGAGGACAAAGCCCTCATGACTTAATTATCTCCCAAAGGCCACACCTCTTAATACTGTTGCAGGGGATTACATTTCAACATGGGCCAGGTATGATGGCTCAGACCTCTAATCACAGCACTTTGGGAGGCCGAGGTGGGCAGATCACCTGAGGTCAGGAGTTCAAGACCAGCCTTGCCAACATGGTAAAATCCCATCTCTACTAAAAATAGAAAAATTAGCCGGGCACAGTGGTGCATGCCTGTAATCCCAGCTACTCAGGAGACTGAGACAGGGGAATTGCTTGAACCCAGGAGGCAGAGATTGCAGTGACCCAAGACTGTGCCATTGCACTCCAGCCTGGGTGACAGAGCGAGACTCAGTCTCAAAAAAAAAAAAAAAGTTTCAACATGAATTTTGGAGGGGACACCATCTCAAACCATAGCAAAATTCATAACCATAATACTGAACAGTAAATAGTGGGGAAACAGATGTTTTAAGCCAAGGTGTCCTTTGATCTGGGCTTAAGATAAATCTGGTGGCAATGTGGAAGATGAGTTGGAAAGGGACCTCTGTTTAAGGCAGTGAGATGTGTGCAGAAATGTGTCACATGAGTGATAATGAGGTTGTGAGCTAGGGAAGTGATGGTAAGAGTGAAGAGGAGGGAAGTTAGTCAAGAAAGAATTTGAAGGCAGAATTACAGGCAGGGTTTGGCAAGTGTTCACCTGTTCTTCCTGAGGGAAAAAGAAGAATCCGAAAAAACCCCACAGTCATTTCTAACTTATTGACTAGGGTGGGGAATAAAGGGAGAGCAAGTTTGGAAAGGAAGATTCTGAGTTTGGTGTTGGATATTTAGAATTTCAAGTACTTTGGGAAATCTAGGTTAACCATACATGAGATCCTAAACACAGCATAGTCATAGGTCTTGCTTATGGTGTTAAGTAGTGTAAACAATATATTTAATTATGGATCCCCAAGAAGCACTTAAAAGTAGTTTATAAGTTGGAAATGTATTCAGATACACGGCACAGAAAATCTGACTAAGTGGCTAAAAGAAATAGAGTTTATTTTTCTCATATACAGGAAAGTTGGTGATGCTGGTATTGGTTCAACTGCTCAGTGATGGCAAGACCAGTTCTCTGGGACTTGCCATCATGGTTATAAATAGCTGATGCAGCTCTAGAAACATAACCACTTTCTTGTCAGGTGCTTCTGTTTGGGTCTGTTTGGGTAGAACTGGGTCACGAGGCCTCCTCTGGCTGGAAGGTTGGCTGGAAGAGCGGGAAGAAAATTGTTGAATTCACTTAAATACATACTTTCCCATCCTATTAGACACAATTCCTCTTTTTTAAAAACAAATAATTTGTAATGCCTTCTTTATTATCCTGAAATAAACATCATAGACAATCTGCTTGTGTACATTTTTAAATAAATATATTATCCTAACTGTAATATAAAGGAACAATTAAAGGAAAATAATTTATAATTATTTCAAAATGTGAATTCTAAGGCATGACTGCACTAGAAGACATAATGAAGAAGTCAGATTCTTGCACGGTGAATGTGACAGCAACATATGCAAGTGATACAAGGGTATGGTAATGGTGTTTCCAGTACCACAGGCAGCATATTCATTTGTGTTTTACTTAAAAGATGACCAATTTTGGGTCAAGTTCTGCACAAAACACAGCATAGTCTTCTCTTGATATACAAGATAGTTGTTTCTTGAAAGAGTCAACTTGCATGAAAACTGTGCAACAACAATTTTGTATTCGTATACACAATAGAGTTACATTCAAGGCCAAGGTAATAGGTTTTTCACATTTGGAAAGCTATTTGGAATGTAGGAGAGTTCTTAGTACACAGATTGTCCCCCACATAGCTGTCTGTCTAGTGTCCCCGGCCTCTGCCAACTAGTTACCAGTAGAATCTCCATACCATGGTGACAAGTAAAAGTGCTCCCCCCACATATTCAAAATGGCCCCTAGGGGCAGCATCATCCATATTAAAAACAACTGGCTTAGATTAATGGGACTGGACACTTTGTACTCCAAACAAAATGGAGGTTGGTTAGCAAGGAAAAGGGGGAATGGATATTGAATAGGGAATTAAGTGTCTACCAATAGTAGGAACTGGGTTTTCCTTATGTTTGTATCTTTTCCCAAATTCTTGCAGAATTCCTTGCATATAGTGAGTTCTCAATAAGCTTTCTTGAATGACTGAATAAATAACTGGAATGTAAGCTATGGGAAATGGAAACCCAGTATTATATGAGCTTTGAATAAAGGCAAAAATCTTCCTTAAGATACTTAAAGGGCTAACTACCGTAAATCCAGGAATATTGTCAGAAGTTGGGAAGTGAACTTTGGTGTGCCAGTGTCTGTGCTAGGATTTAGCACTTCTGGACTTTCTGTCTGTTACACATTCTAGACTGAAGACTGAGGGTTAAATTTATATCAGTGAATCCTGTTCAGGAATGGAGGGTTTAGGGGAAATATTTAAGTTTTCATGTAAGTAGTATAGAAGAAAAAGTAACTGTCACAATAAAAGATCAATAAATCTCAGGCTTTAAATCTTAGTCTCTCTATCTTTTAGCACATTCTCTTTCCACTGTGTTCTTTTCCACTTCTGTTTGTCTATTCGCTCTGGCATTTTTATCATAGCCTGAGACATTTTCGAATGATAATTTTTAGGAGAAATATTTAGAAACAGAATCAAAGGGCTTTGTTTTGTTTCCTCGAAATATAAACCTATTATTAGAATATAATTCACAGTATGAGAAATGTAGGTTTTGCTTGAGTTTGCTTCCAGATTTAAGTAGAAAAGAAAGAAAATGACATTATAAAGAATTTTATCTCTTTTTTTGTGAAAAAGATAATCTGTAACTATGGATTGTGAAGACAATATATGAAAAGCAAATCTTTTTCAAACAGTGCTCCAAAGTTGCCTTTGAATATATAACTTCTGAATTCAAAAGCATGATACAGCATGGGTTTTTAAAAAAATAGTTGTTTAACATTTTGAAGGGTATAACATTTGATAACTCCATACTTTGAATTCAAGTGAAGGAACAATAACTTCAACCTTTTGTTTATAAGAATAAGGAACACTAAAAAATGTTGTGTAGTTTAAGTTTAGACATTTCAAATAGTCCTATAATTGCTTGAGAGAGCAGTAGAGTTTTTTTTTCAATTAGTTTATTAGTATTTCAGGGATTTTAAATGGAAGAAAATCTTGAGTGTCTTTGTAAATGAATTGCATCTTTTATAGGCACAGATGTTTTTCGCAGCATTATTTTCATCCCCATGGCTGCTTTACAATATGTGGCCTATGGAGAAAATGACAAGTAGGTAGATGATGAGTAGGGGAAAATGGTGGAAGGTACAGCAGCAATAGGAAGGAAGTATTCCCCAAGGTTTGCCTGAAAACATCTACTTTGTGAAGCTCCAACATTTATGGAGCAAAATGCCCTAGAGTGCTGCAACAGGAGACACAACTTACCACCCCTCATACGGAAGGATGGGAGGGAGAAATGGAAGGGGAAAGGGAAGGAGGGAGAATTCCTGTGATCTTCACTACCCGCTGTCTCCTTAGCACAGAGAATTCATCCATTGCCACATCAGCACAAGGACAACATATGAAGTTCCTCAAAATTTCCAAATAAGCCATTACTTATTACCTATACGGTTATTCCCTAAAAGTTTCACACTGAAGTAAACAAGTGTTTTTGGTCATTTCATGCCAACAAACTGATGGCCCTTGATCATCATCCTTTGAACTGACTCCAGGTCTAGAATGAATTTTCCTATGTATGGTGACCCTAAGTCTGTGTCTTAGAAAATATATATATATATATATATATATATATATATATATATTTTTTTTTTTTTTTTTTTTTTTTTTTTTTTTTTCTGGACTCACTGCAAACTCTGCCTCCCTGGTTCACACCATTCTCCTGCCTCAGCCTTCCGAGTAGCTGGGACTACAGGCGCCCTCCACCACGCCCAGCTAATTTTTTGTATTTTTAGTAGAGACAGGGTTTCACCGTGTTAGCCAGGATGGTCTCGATATCCTGACTTTGTGATCCGCATGCCTTGGACTCCCAAAGTGCTGGGATTACAGGAGTGAGCCACCGTGCCCGGCCAGGAAAGAACTTTTTAAGGTTGCCCTTGAATACCGGTCTTGATTAAGTTTTATTCTGTCTATATATTTCATTATTTTAATTTTATAATACATTTCTATTTCTTGCTTAGAATTTATAAATTATATATCAGATTATGATTTCTGTGTTTTAAAAATACCTATTATATCTTATGCTGGTTTTCTTAAGTGGAATGTGATATATTAATATCTTGTTCCATTTTTGTTACTTCTCCAAATATAGACGATTAGTAATATTCTACTATTTATTAATGAAAAACTACCTTAGTTGGCCTAATGTAACTATCTAAAAACAATAATAATAAAATTCTGTAGTGCTGTTAGAGAGATATATGATTATGCATTCCAGCCAGGAATTACATCAGTAATTTTTAGATTATATTCCAGGGAAAACCAGGTTTTGGGTCAACTAACACCTATTTATTGTTCACTTATGTTGAAGGTTCTAGGTGATTTCTCATATAGCTCATTGTTTTGTGCCTTCAATCTTAGTAAATCTTCTAAAGTGCTACCGATATACTCAGGGAAAACTAACTTTGTTAAAAGAATATCTTTTAAATTAACCTACTTTTAAAAATAAGCATTATTATGTTTGTGGAATTTGAAAATACAGTCTAGTTAAGGTATTTAGAATAACACTCAGTTTCTGTTTCAAAGTGATTATATCATTTTAGTATCAAAATTAATTTAATTGACCATATAAGGAGACATTAAGTATTATTATAAAAATGGCATGTTATGGCAAAGTGTGGTGGCTCACGCCTGTAATCCCAGCACTTTGGGAGGCTGATGGGGGTGGATCACAAGGTCAGGAGATCGAGATCAGCCTGGCCAATATGGTGAAAAGCTGTCTCTACTGAAAATACAAAAATTAGCTGAGCATGGTGACAGGCACCTGTAATCTCAGCTTCTCGGGAGGCATAGGCAGGAGAATTGCTTGAAACCAGAAGGTGGAGATTGCAGTGAGCTGAGATTGTGCCATTGCACTCCAGCCTGAACAAGAGTAAAACTCCATCTCCAAAAAAAAAAAAAAAAAGGCATGTTATTTATTAATACGAGTGACATACATGCAAAAGGATGTCTGACTTAGGCAATGTTATTTTCTGGACATATTTTTTAAATAGACTGTGACCTAAGTTCTGGTGGTCCCTCTAGAAAGGGTACCATTCCCTCTTCTCTGCCTGCTGAGCCATTTCCTAAGACTGTCTTCAGATGTTATGTCTTCTCTAGAGCTTTTCAGCATTCCTTTTATTCTTTTTTTTGTTCTCATGGTACTCTATGCATGAGAATGTTTGAGTATATATATATTATTACAGTTATTTGCCTCTTAGACTGCATTTGGGTATTCCTCTTTGAGTTTCTATTTCGTGTAAATGCATATAGTTTCCTATAAAAAACACAATTTATAATCCTCCAGGAAGTCTGTGTAAGTCAGTCAGTCAAATTACCTGGTTGATTATAGTTTCAGGTTTATCTGCTGCCTGGGAATCAAAACACAGGTCTTGATTAACTTTCTATAAAGCAAGGATATGGACTAGGGATCACTAAGCTCTCTTTTATCTCTACAATGGTGTCATTATATGATTCTAATCCATCACTAGAAATGTATTGTGAAATAGTTAATTAATGTTTGCAGAATGCTTAGAGAACTTTTAATGAGAAGTAGATATTTGTGGTTAGTGCTAATGAATAGATGTCTTATGAACCTTTTTTTTGCACCAACAACACATTGGAAAAATGTACTTTCAAGAATAAATTGCAATCTGGTGAAATTTTTTTATTAGTTAACAAAATTTAGCTTTTAAAAACAAGTATCAGTATAGTGGCTTTAGTGGCTTTAGAAACCAGGACCCTATGCATATAAATAGTTGTAATAAAAAGGGAAGCAGCAACAGTGTATAGTTTTCATAATTTTTCAAAATAGTTTAAATATGATAGCAACTTTTTACTCTTACAGCTTAGTTGTGAAGGAGGCAAGGCCAGTACTCTTATACTCTGGGAAGCTAAGACCTAGAGAGATTAAATGCTCATTTATTTCTTAAATAAAAATGTATTGAGTGCCTGTATTTGAGTATAACAATTGAAGGTGCAGTGGTGAATAATTTACCCTACTTGACTTTGATAGTAAGGGAGACAGGTTTATAAACAAACATATTAGCTGATAGCATAGTTAATTATGGTAGAAACACAGAAGATGGTGCAAATAACTCTGGGGTGTTGTTTAGTGAGCCTTTACAGAAAAGGTAGTTTTTAAAGCATTTTCATTAAACTGTAAGTGGAGGCATTTGCCAGATGAAGGGGAGGAGGTGAGGAGAAGGGTCTTTCAATAAAAGAGAATGAACATATGTAAAGACCCAGAGTTATGAAAGAGCCTGTGCGTTTGAAGAACAGCGTGAAGTTCAATGCAGCTAGAGCAATATTGTCCAATATAAATATGAACACAAATGTGCAATTTAAATTTTTCTAATAGCCATAGTACAGAGTAAAAAGAGACAGGTAAAATCAATAATAACACATTTTATTTAACCCAATTTATCTGAAATATTTATTTATTTTTCAACTTAAGTCATTAAAATCAAATCAGGTGAATATTTTACACTTACAAAACATTTCAATTTGTCTTCCTTCCTTCCTTTCTTTTCTTTTCTTTCTTTCTTTTTCTTTACTTTTTTTTTTTTTTTTAGGGACTGGATCTTGCTATATTGCCCAGGCTGGTCTTCCTGCCTCAGTCTCCCAAAGTGCTGGGATTACAGGCATGAGCCACTGCCCTCAGCCTAAGACATCTCAGTTTGGACTCAACACATTTCAAGGGCTCAATATATAGAAGCTTAGCAATGCATGTATATGTATGTGTGTGTCGGAGAGAGAAAGAGAGTGAGAATGAAAATCTGTGTGCTCTAGAGGGGGAGGAGGTTAGATAAGGTTGAAGTAGTTGTTGGAGTCATATTTTTAAAGGCTCTGCATGCTGGCTTATTTTAGAATTTTTTCTTATAATTTAGTAGTTTATGATTGTGCTTCTCATATTATCTGTGGTGAAGGAACAATTTTGAAAATTTTGCATTTGTTATAGACTAATGCTTTCGCAAAATAATAATAAATTAGAAAGGTGAAAGTAAAAAGACATACAAAGAGAAGCACCATTTTTTAATCATTAAAGTTGACAAGATGTTGTCTTAGTCTATTTTGTGCTGCTATAACGGAATACCATGGACTGGATAGTTTATAACTAACAGAAATTAATTGGTTTACAATTCTAGAGCCTAGAAAGTCCAAGATTGAGGGGCCACATCTGGTGAGGGCCTTTTAGCTGCATCAAAACTTTGCAAAAGGCATCACATAGTGGAAGGGCAAGAGAGGGAGAGAGAAAAAGCAAGAGGGGGTAAACTCACTCCCATGATAAATAACCCATTCCCTCAATAAAGGCATTTGTCCATTCACGAGGGCAAATCCATCATGATCTAAACATCTCTTAAAGGTCCTACCTTCCAAGACCATTACAAAGGCAATTAAATTTCAACATGAATTTGGAGGGACAAAAGTTAAACCCATAGTATTCCTCCTGTCATGTTTTTCTTACATACAAAACACATTTATTTCATCCCAATAGCTCCAAAGTCTTAATTCCTTCCAGCACCAACTCAAAAGTCCGAAGTCTTGTCTAAATCAGATATGGGTGAGACATAACACAATTCATTCTGAGGCAAATTCCCCTCTAGCTGTGAGCCTGTGAAATTATACAAGTTATCTATTTCCACAATACAATGGTGGGACAGGTATAGGATAGACATTCCCATTCCAAAATGGATAAATAGGCAAGGAAGGGGTAACTGGTTCCAAGTAAGTCCAAAACCCAATGGGGACAACAACAGTAAATCTTAAGCCTCAGAAATAATTTTCTTTGACTCCATGCTGCCCTGCTTCCTGGACACACTGGGGAAGGGGTTGAGCCCCCAAGGACTTGGAGAGCCCTGCACCTATGGCTTTGCTGGAACGTTGGAGTCTTATGCTTACAGCTCTCCTGGGCTGGCTTTGTGTGCTGGTATCTACAGTTCAGGAGTCTCAGGTGTGGTTCTGCCCCTGCAGCTTCACTAGACATTGCTTTAGTGGGGACTGTTTGTGGCAGCTCTGCTCCTGCAGCAGATTTCTACCTGGATCCCCAGGCTGTCTGATACATTCTTTAAAATCTAGGTGAAGGTAGCCATGCCTCCACAGCTTGTGAACTCTGTGTGCCTGCAGAATTGGCACCGTGTGGATACCACCAGGACTTACTGCTTGTGCACTCAGGAGCAGAGGCCTTAGCTGCACATGTGCCTGCTCAAGCTATGGCTGGAGCAGCTTAAGGGCACTGCACCAGAATGTGGGGAACAGACATTTGGGTAGGTGAGGTGCAGGGCAGTTAATTCTGAGGTCCCCTGGGTGCCTCTTTGGAAACTTTGCCCTCAAGATTCTAGCTTGCCTCAGAGATCCCTGAAGTGCCTTTGCGGTCATTTTCTTATTGTCTTGATGAATAGCACCTGGCTCTTTACTAGCCATACAAACCTTTCTAGCAAATGGTTGTGTGGCCACATCTTTTGTTTGCACTCCTAAGCACACATTTTTATTCTTTACATGGCCAGGCTGTGAATTTTCATAATTTTTATGTTCTATTTCCCCTTAAATTATGAATACTGTCTTTAAATTATTTCTTTCCCCTCACATTCTATTATATACATTTAAAAGAAGCCACACAGCTCCTTCAGTATTTTGCTTAGAAATTTCTTCCATCAGATATTCTAGTTTATCACTCTTAAATTCTGCCTTCTGTTAAAGCCCTCAGGCATGGACACACTTTAGCCAAGTTTTTTGCCACTTAATAACAAGGATAGCCTTTACTACAGTTTCCAATACGTTGTTCTTCATTTCCATCTGAGACCTCATCAGAATTGCCTGTACTGTCCATATTTCTGTCAGCATTCTGGTCATGAATCTCTAAGAAGAATCACTCAAGTAATCTCTAAGAAGTTCCCGACTTTCTCTCTGGCTCATCTGCTCTTCTGAGCCCTTTCCAGAACTTCCCTTAATACTGCATTCATTGTAATCTAGGCTTTTCCTAGGCTGCTCTTCCAAATTCTTCCGGCCTCTCCCCGTTACCCAATTTCAAAGCTGCGTTCACATTTTTCGGGTATTTGTTATAACAACCCACCTCTCTGGTACCAATTTTTGTCTTAGTTGTGTGAGTGTGTGTGTGTGTGTGTGTGTGTGCTGCTTTAACAGAATACCACAGACGGAGTAATTTATAAAGAATGAAAATTTATTAGCTCGTGGTTCTGCAGGCTAAACAGTCCAAGAATGAGGGGCCACATCTGGTGAGGGTCTTCTTGCCACATCATAACATGGCAGAAGGCATCGCACAGAAGAAGGGCAAAGAGGGGATGAGAGAGATCAAAGGAGACACAAACCCCTTCCTGCAATAAACATTAGTTTATTCATAAAGGTGGAGCCCTCATGTCCTGAATACATTTTGAAAGTCCAACCTTATAATACCGTCACAAGCGCAATTACATTTCAACATGAGTTTTGAAGGGGACAAACATTCAAACAATAGCAGACATATAGTTTATAAAAAAGTGTCTAAACCAGTGCTATCCAATAGAACTTTCTGTCATGATAGGAATGTTCTGTCTGTGCTGCTTAATATAATAGCCACTAGCCACACGTATCTATTGAGTACTTGAAATGTGGCTAGTGTGACTGAGAAAATAAATCTTTAGTTTAATTTAATTTTAGTTAATTTAAATTGAAGTGACCATATGAGACAATTGATTACTATATTGGACAGCATTGAATACATTTACTCATAATCTCTGTATTTACCTATTGTGCATTAGTAAAAAACAGTTTGTGGACTGGTATGGCCCACAAACCCATGCTTTGAGTAGCACTGTTTAAAGCATGGACTCTAGAGCTAGAAAGCCTTTGTGTATCTTTGGCAAACTGCTTAATCGCTTGGTGCCTCAGTTTCCTCATTTGTAAAATAAAGGTAATAATAAACTACCTTATAGAGTTGTTGTGAGGATTAAATGCATTAATGAGTGTAGCATACTTAGTACAAGGTCTGACACACAGCATGCACTATATAAATGCTTCCTGTTATTGTTATTATTATTTATTATGTAGGTGGTGGATATCAAACAGTTAATTGGTAACAAAGCCCAGTCTTTTTATTAATTCTCTGCTTTTTGCAGTAGCTTAGACTTTTTCCTTTTAAAAACATACCACAGTTTGTGGCATCTAGTGGCTTCCAATAAATACCTTTTGAACATAAGCATAAAGTACTTTTCAAGCACAGATGAAGAAGCAATTATTGTTCTGAGGTGGGGGGGGGGTTGGTAAAATTATCAAAAACAGATGACAGCTGAGAAGGCCTCAATGGAGGAGTCTGACAGGCAAAGAGGAGAGAACACACCTGGTGGAGGGAGCAAGGACACCCATTTGGATTATACTCTATTTAGGAGACTATACAGCAGGTAACACTGACTTAGCCCTATCACTGCTACCACCACTTCTTTCTCTCCTTCCCAGCTCTTTTCTTGATTTATCCTTTTAGCATATTTTAAACAGGATTAATAGGTAACACGTGATTCTACAGTTTTAAGGGAGGTCAATCGTTGCCTCTTTACTTGTTCATTCCTCAGAGTAACAGTGCCTGAATTTGATGGTGGATGTTGGGCAGTGGTTGGGAAGGGAAGGGGAATGCTGCTTGAAAAGCAATCCCTGGGTTATGGGCAGATAGCTGTGAGATTCTTTTCCCCTAAAACATAATGTTTCTTATTTATGTAGATTATCTTAACAAGAAAACCAACTGGAAAAAAAAATGAAATTCCTTATCTTCGCATTTTTCGGTGGTGTTCACCTTTTATCCCTGTGCTCTGGGAAAGCTATATGCAAGAATGGCATCTCTAAGAGGACTTTTGAAGAAATAAAAGAAGAAATAGCCAGCTGTGGAGATGTTGCTAAAGCAATCATCAACCTAGCTGTTTATGGTAAAGCCCAGAACAGATCCTATGAGCGATTGGCACTTCTGGTTGATACTGTTGGACCCAGACTGAGTGGCTCCAAGAACCTAGAAAAAGCCATCCAAATTATGTACCAAAACCTGCAGCAAGATGGGCTGGAGAAAGTTCACCTGGAGCCAGTGAGAATACCCCACTGGGAGAGGGGAGAAGAATCAGCTGTGATGCTGGAGCCAAGAATTCATAAGATAGCCATCCTGGGTCTTGGCAGCAGCATTGGGACTCCTCCAGAAGGTATTGTTTGTCTTTTCAGTTTGATTTGTATTTTATAAAACTAATGTCCCTTGGTGTAATTGAGTACAATATGCATGATTCATATTATAATTTGGATAATTTCCTATTCCATTGGCTTAATGAGTTCTCTACCCTTTTTTGTCCTCCCATTTTTTACTTCTGTTTCTTTTGTGAAAGGGAACTGATCATGTTGGATCGCTTTTTAAATGTAGAATCTGTAGCTACTGGTCCATGATACTTACCAGCCCTATCACTTTGTAATTGCTATCTAGTTAAACATTAGCATGGTTCTATAGATAATTGAAATATACATAAACAGGATACAAAAACGATGACTTCTTCCAAGTGGCCTCAGTGTGAATAATTTTTTAGAATTAATGAAATAGAGAATAGAACTTTGCACTCTGAATTGATTTAATTATTTTTATAGAACTGAGGCTTCTCCTGCAAGGAATTATCCAAGGTTGAGTTCTACCTTTACTTATAAGCACCCTGGATCAGCTTTATCAGATAATATACAGTAAATGCCCAGATCAGGGATGTATAGCCAGTCATCAGGGAGCTATCAGTTAGCCTTGAATATATCCATGGGCTAATTTCCGGTGGCAGAAGAACGAGTTTCTATTCTTTTGACTTTTTTGAATGCCAAGAGAAAGGCCTAGTGAAGTACATTGTCAGTTTAAAACATTATTTATTGAGATATAATTCACATACTATGATGTTCATGCATTTAGAATGTACAAGCGATTTTTAATATATTCACAGAGTTGTGCAGCCACCACAATCTAATTATAGAACATCTTCATCACCACAAAAAGAAACTCTGTGACTATTAGCTGTCATTCTCCAGTCTACCTATATCCCAGCCCTAGGAAACCACTAATCTGCTTTCTGTCTTTATGGATTTGCTTATTCTGGGCATTTTACATGAATGGAATAATAAATTATGTGATCTTTCATGAATTCTTTTTTTCATGTAGCATACTGTTTTCCAGGTTCATCTATGTTGTCACATGTTTCAGTATTTCATTCTTTTTATTGCTCAATAATATTCCATTTTATGGATGTACCACATTTTTATTTATCCATGCATCAGTTGATGGACATTGAGATTGTTTTCACCTTTTAGATATTATGAATAGTGCTGCTATGAACATTCATGCACAAGTTTTTCATGTGAACATTTGTTTTCATTTCTCTTGGGCATATACCAAGAAGTAGAATTGCTGGGTCATATACCAGCTCTATGTTTAACTTTATGAGGTATTGCCAAACTGTTTTCTGAAGTGGCTGCACAGTTTTATGTACCCACTGACAATGTATTATAATTTTTCCATATGCTTGCCAACACTTGTTATTATCTGTCTTCTTGGTTATAGCTATTCTAGTGGGTGTGGAGTGGTATCTCATTGTGGTTTTGATTTGCATTTCCCTAATGACAAGTGATGTTGAGCATCCTTCCATGTTCTTACTCGCCATTTGTTTATCTTCTTTGGAGAAATGTGTATCCAAATTCATTGCCCAGTTTTTAATCGGACTATGAGATTTTTATTATAGAGTTTTAAAAGCTTTTTTAATGTATTGTATATACAAGTCCCTTTTCATATATTTGATTTACTAATGTTCTCTCCCATTCTGAGGACTGTCTTTTCTTTTTTTTTGATGGCAATATTTGCTACAGAAATATTTAATTTTTGATTAGTCCAACTAATTTATTTTATTTCTTTTGTTGCCTGTGCTTTTGGTATCATATCAAACCATTGCCTACACCATGGTCACAAACATTTACTACTACTACTGTAATGTATCTAGGTATGTATATCTTTACTCTCATCTCATATTTTCTTCTAAGAATTTTATGGCTGCCATTCTTACATTTATATCTGTGAATTAATTGTGTTAATTTTTGTATATGGTATAAGATAAGGCTTCAGCTTTCTTCTTTTGAATGTGGTCATTCAGTTGTCTCAGCTTCATTTGTTGAAAAGACTATTCTTTCTCCTTTAATTCGGTGCATTACATTAATTGATTTTCAAATGTTAAACAAACCTTGCATTACTGGGATAAACCCCACTTGATTACAATACATAATCTTTTTTATATGGTGCTGAATTCAGTTTGGTGGTATTTTGCTTAATATTTTGCATTTACATCCATAGGGATATTGGCTTGTAGTTTCATTTTCTTATAATGTCTTTTTTTTTTTTTTTTTTTTTTTTTTTTTTGTATCAGAGTAAGACTGGCCTCATGAAATCAGTGGCAAAGTGTCACCTCACCTTCCATTCTTTGGAAGAGATTACAACTGACTGCTATTAATTCTTTAAATTTCTGGTAGAATTCACCAGTGAAGCAATCTCATTCACGCTTTTCTTTGTGGGAAGATTTTTAATTATTAATTCAGTTTCTTTACTTGTCTAATCAGATTTTCAGTTTCTTCTTGAGTCAGTTTTAGTAGTTTGTGTCTTTTGAGAAATGTATCTGTTTTATCTAAGTCATGTAATTTGTTGGTATACAGTTATTTATAGTATCTTATTATAATTTTTTTATGTTTGTAAGGATGGGGTCTAAATCACTGCTGTCACTTGCTTTTGGGCAGAACAACTGTTTAGATTTTTCTAGCAACAAATTCTCTGAGCCTTTATTCATCTTTATCTCTTTGCTTAACCTTCAGTTTTGAAAGATAGTTTTACTAGACATGAGATTCTTAGTTGAGGGGTTTGTTTTTCTTTTCTTTTTTTCTTTTCTTTCTTTCTTTTTTTTTTATTTTCAGCACTTTGAATACATTATCGATCCCATTGCCTTCTGGACTCCATTGTTTCTTTTTCTTTCTTCCTTTTTTTTTTTTGAGATGGAGTTTCACTCTTGTTGCCTAGGCTGGAGTGCAATGGCACAATCTCAGCTCACTGCAACCTCCATTTCCCCAGTTCAAGTGATTCTCCTGCCTCAGCCTCCCAAGTAGCTGGGATTACAGGTGCACACCACCATGCCCAGCTAATTTTTTGTATTTTTAGTAGAGATGCAGTTTCACCATTTTGGACAGGCTTGTCTCAAACTCCTGGATTCAGGTGATCCACCTGCCTAGGCTTCCCAAAGTGATGGGATTACAGGCTTGAGCCACCATGCCCGGCCTGGACTCCATTGTTTTGATGAGATGTCAGCTGTTACAGTTTTGGAGGTTTCCTTGTATGTGCTGAGTCATGTCTTCTTTATTGCTTTCAAGGTTTTCTTTTTCTTTTGATTTTTATTATTTTGACTCTAATGTATCTAGGTATATATATCTTTATTCTCATCTTACTTGGAGGTTGTTGATTTTCTTGCATGTGTAGATTGAAGTTTTTCATCAAATTTGAGAAGTTTTCAGCTATCATTTTCACAAATTCTTTTTCTTCCTTTTTTTCTTTTTCCTCTCCTTCTGGTACTTCCATTTACAGTGTGTTGGTGATTTAATGATGTCCCATATTTCTCTTATGCTCTGCTCATTTTTCTTTATTCTTTATTTTCTTTGTTCTTCAGATTGTATGACCTCTATCAATCTGTCATCAAGCTTACTGATTCTTTCTTCTATTAGCTTAAAGCTACTATTGAGCCTCTATACTGAATTTGTCTTTTTAGTTACTATACATTTAAACTCCAGAACTTCTCTTTGGTCTTTTTAAAAAATAATTTCTGTGTCTTTATTGATATTTTTTATTTGATGAGATGTTGTCATCATATCTGCCTTTAGTTCTTTAAGTATGGTTTCTTTTAGTTCCTTGAATATTTCAATAATAGCTTCTTTGAAGTGTTTGCTATATCCTACATCTGGGCCCCCTAAAAGACAGTTTCTACTGCCTACTTCTTTTTTTTCATGTGTATGGGTTGTACTTTATTGTATCTTTTTATGCCATAGTTTTAAAAACAGAAAACCTGAATATTTAAAATAATAATTTAAAATAATATTTTATGGCAACTCTGGATGCTGACTTGTCTTCCTCCCTTTCCCCCATCCATTTACCTGGTCATTCATTTGTTTAATCGCTTGACTGTACTAACTCTGTGATGTCTATTTCTCCTACACTGTTCAGCTTCTGATGTTCCTGTTTAGATTGTTTTTCTGTTTTATTTTTTGTTTTTCTTTTGGCTGGGTTCCCTATGAGTCACCCGTAGGTCTGCATAAGCCACTTATTGGTCAAAGGTTATGCTTAGGTTCCTTTAGACAGTTATATTTTTACTCTTTGCCATTTGATGTTTTTATGGCTTGGAGTCTGTTATTACAACTTAAGAAGTTTGTTTTTTCCCCCAACTTTGGCCAAGGCCAAATGCCTTGGAAGTTCCTTTTCTAATCACTTCTGAGAGGGTGCGGCCTTGAGCATGCACACAGCCTTCCAGATTACCAGAATGCAAATAATTTTATTTTTAAGCGTGGCTTAATAGTATTTTCTCCAGGGTCAGAATAGCTTATTTTTTAGCCAGTGTTTGCTCAGAGGTTGTCCTTAAACACCTTGAGTGAGTGAGATTTCTGCCCTTTGTTGACGGATCTGTGTGCAGCTTGGGAAATGTTTTCAAGTCTGACCCATGTGTTGTTTTGATTGTTCCTGAGTAGGTATGACCTAGGACATGTGTGTAGCTTTTCAACCCCCAGGGTTTACTGGGATCCCAGGAAGGCCCTTCTTGGTTGTTTCTTTCCTTGGTTCTTTCTGTTAAAGCTATGGTTGTTCTGCCATTTTGCTTGTTGCTAGCAGTATCGTGAAGCTACCAGCACCCCCTTAATTGTTCTTCACCAAGCTCTCCATTATTTTCAGCAACACCCTTAAGTAGGGAATTCTCCGTTCTCTGCACTAAATGAAGTCACTAACATCAATAAGAACTATGGAGCTCTTCATCCTTATGGCTTCTCTCTTCCCCCAGGAGAACATTCGTGCTACTGCAAGGGAGCTAGATGCAGTGATAGTGGCACCTCCCAGTGTCACCCAGAATGATATCCCTAGTGGATGATAAGAAGGGAGGAGGTAGTTCTCAGCCTTGTTGGCTTGCAGCTTCCAGTATGGGACCACCTCCTATGAGTGAGCTGAGAAAGGGGTGATCAGAGTCTTAGTATTCTTGATGGCTACTTAGGGTAGAGTTTCCACCCTATGAGTAGGACTTGGGTAGAGGAATGGCACCTCAGTTCTCTTGGCATTGCTTGACTAGAACAGAGGTTCTACCACAAGGTAATGGGGTTGGGGAATGAGAAACACTGGTAGTCTGTCCTTCCAAAGGTGAAACTGTAGCCCTAAACTGAGAATTGGGTGGAGAGAAAGCTCTTACGTTCTTGTCTGCACTTGGTCAGAATACGGTACCTGTAGTAGAGTTTCTGTAACATGGGGCTGGGGGTGGGAGAGGAAAGCAGATCATGACCCAGATGCCACAGACTCTTACTGTTCTCATCAAGACTTGGTAAATTTTCTTGGATGAATGTTGTCCTTTGCTGTATGCCCTTAGGGGAGTTTTGAGAGACATTAAATTATTTTTTAAATAATTTTTCCCACTAAATATTTTGTGGGGTGAAGATCTGCTGAGTTACTCATGCTGCCATGCTGGAAGAATCACTGGGATAGCCAGTTTTGATCTCTCTAAGGCTGCATGAATAGGTGGTAGAATTCTCCAAGGTATTAGGGAGCTCCTTAGCTTGGGTTCTATAGTGTTAGTCAGTTTTCTTCAGTTGCCTTCTGTTAAATGCTAATCTATGTTAGACACCAACTTAAATCCTCCTTTTTAAGCTCTCTCAATTGTCCAGTTATCTGAAAAGGATTAGCACTTTTTTTCCCAGATGAGAGAACCAGACTCCAAGAGGTTATGTAATTTACCAAGGGTTGCACAACTGGTAAGAGGCCTTGTTTGGGCATGAACAACTGTCAAACTCCAGAGTTTGTGCTTTTAGTCATTAGACTATATTGCCTCACATACAAATATTTTAATGTTGTTTCATTTATAAGATTACTATTTTTAGCCATCTAGCTGAAGCAGATCTGTTTCAAAAGCCGTTGATACCTGTACTGTGACAGCAGAATATATTGGTTTTTGTGTGTTTTTTTAAAGAAAGTTTTCTTATTCCCATTTCTTTCTCATTGTCATTTCTGATTCTACAACTGGGCCTCCTCTTTCCTGGCTACCTGCCTGGTATTGAAAACTAAGCCAAGTTACTGATTGCTCCTGAGACCTTCAAAACCCAGAGGATATGAATTTTACTCACCGGAATCTATTCTGTTTTCCAAGACTCACTTTCACCCCACTCCTCGTTCCATGGGGCTCAAAGTAGATAAACAGTTGTCTGGCAACTGGACTATTTTAAGCTCTGAAGAGACTGGAGAGTTAGGCTGGACCAGGTGTGGAAAAGTCCCACAGGAGACAGTGTAAAGTTGGCGTAACAGGATCTCTAATCCAGGCAGAGTGGTGCAGAGCTTATCTTCTAGCCTCTCTCTCAGGAAACCTGTCTTCTCACTTTGGCTTACCACTAACTAGTTGTGTGACCTTGGTTGCCATTTAATCATCATGGCCTTGATTTCGTGACCTGTGAAATGAGAGATGGTTGGAATGTTGAATCTGTAAGGTCTCCTCTAGATTGGAAAGGGTAATTTTTATGAGACTCCATAAGGGATCACTGAAGCTAGAATTTACAGGAGCTGGATTCTGCCAACTATATGTGATGGAGTAGATTCTTTGTTTAACCAGATTTTTTAACTTTTTAATTCTAGACTTGAATATTACAGTATGTATGTTAGTTTATGCACTCTTCTCAACTTCAGTATTACAGTAGGTATGTTAGTTTATTCACATGGCAGGATTGAGAGCTCTGCAAGTTATCTGTGGAGAGTTTGAAGAAGGCAGATATACAAGCAGGCCAAGTCCGAAGAGATGAAGGACAAACTTACAAGACAGGAGAAAGCACAATCTCCAATCAGTCCTGAGATAACATAGCATACATCAGATTTGAATGGACCAAGTAAAAGAATGAGAATCAACAGTCACATCTGGGACAGGCTGACATATGTTCAAGAAAGAGGAACTTGGGCAGACTATGCGGTTCTTTCCCAGCAGACATAACTCTGGGTCTTCATGGTTTATGGTCTCTGAGCCCAACACAGCAGGTCATTGAGTATTTATTAATCCTCATTGGAGACTGACATCTCTACCGAAATACAGGGCTTTCTTAAAATTTTAGGATTGTATGTTTTTATTATGTTTGGTGTATGTTTTATTATGTTTGTATGCCATATTATGTTATGTTTTATTGTATGTTTTATATTAGTTAGGGGGCTCCTGGCGGCCTGGACTGAGTCTTATCCATTTCTATATTCTCAACATCTAGCATCATACTCAGTAAATAGTTACTCATTTAGTTTACTCATTTATTTGAGAAACAGTGGATTTTTAAGGTAGTTCTTTCCTTGGGGTATTATTCACTTGTACTAAAATAAGGCCTTCTTCTACATTGTATTAGTCTGTTCTCATGCTGCTATGAAGTAATACTAAGACAGGATAATTTATAGACGAAAGAGGTTTAATTGAATCACAGTTCCACATGGCTGGGGAGGCCTCAGGAAAGTTACAATCATGGCGGAAGACACTCCTTCACAGGGCGGAAGGAGAGAATGAGTGGCAAGCGAAGGGGAAAGATGGTTATACAACCATCAGATCTTGTGAGAATTCACTCACTATCACAAGAACAGCATGGGGGTTACTGCCCCCCATGATTCAGTTACATCCCACTGAGTCCCTCAATAAGATTTGGGTGGGACACAGCCAAGCCATATACATAATGAATGATGATACTGTTGAGCCATCATCATTTACTCAGAATTTCCCTGATTATAAAATTAATACTTGCTTATTATAGAAAGCATGTACATAAATATAAAAATAATAAAAATCACCTGTATTGGTCCATTTTCACGCTGCTTATAAAGACATACCCAAGACTGGGCAATTTACAAAAGAAAGAGGTTTATTAGACTTACAGTTCCACGTGGCTTGAGAGGCCTCACAATCGTGGCAGAAAGTGAAAGGCATATCTCACATGGTGGCAGACAAGAGAAGAGAGCTTGTGCAGGGAACTCCCCTTTTTAAAACCATGAGATCTTGTGAGACTTATTCACTATCATGAGAACAGCATGGGAAGGACCTGCCCCCATGATTCAATTACCTCCCACTGGGTCCTTCCCACAACATGTGGAAATTCAAGATCAGAGTTGGGTTGGGACATAGTCAAACTATATCATTCTGACTTGGCCCCTCCAAAATCTATGTCCTCACATTTCAAAACCAATCATGCTTTCCCAACAGTTTGCCAAAATCTTAACTCATTTCAGCATTAACTCAAAAGTCCACAGTCCAAAGTCTCATCCGAGACAAGGCAAGTCCTGTCCACTTATAAGCCTGCAAAATCAAAAGCAAGCTAGTTACTTCCTAGATACAATGGGGGTACAGGCATTGGGTAAATACAGCCATTCCTTGTGGGAGAAATTGGCCAAAACAAAGGGGCTACAGGTCCCATGCAAGTCCAAAATCCAGCAGGGCAGCCAAATCTTAAAGCTTCAAAATGATCTCCTTTAACTCCATGTCTCACATCTAGGTCATGCCAATGCAAAATGTGGGTTGCCACGGTCTTGGGCAGCTCCATCCTTCCAGGCTGCTTTCATGGGCTGGTCTTGAGTGTCTGCAGTTTTTCCAGGTGCACGGTGCAAGCTGTTGGTGGATCTATCATTCTGGGGTCTTGAGGACAGTGGCCCTCTTCTCACAGCTCCACTACGTGGTGCCACAGTAGGGACTCTGTGTGGGGGCTCTGATCCTACTTTTCCCTTCTGCACTGCCCTAGGGGAGGTTCTCCATGAGAGCAATGCCCCTACAGCAAACTTCTACCTGGACATCCAGATGTTTCCATACATCCTCTGAAATCTAGGTGGAGGTTCCCAAACCCCAATTCTTGACTCCTGTGCACTGGCAGGCTCAACATCATGTGGAAGATGCCAAGGCGTGAGGCTTGTGCCCTCTGAAGCCGTGGTTCAGATTCTACATTGGCCCCTTTCAGCCACAACTAGAGCGACTGGAACGCAGGTCACCAATTCCCTAGATGGCACACAGTATGAGGATCCTGGGCCCAGCCCATGAAACCACTTTTTCCTCCTAGGCCTTCAGGCCTGTAATGGGAGGAGCTGCCTGAAGACCTCTGACATGCCCTGGAGACATTTTCCCCATTGTCTTGGGGATTAACATTCAGCTCCTCATTATTTATGCAAATTTCTTCAGCCAGCTTGGATTTCTCCTCAGAAAATGGGATTCTCTTTACTATCACATTGTCAGGCTGCAAATTTTCCGAACTTTTATGCTCTGCTTCCCTTATAAAACTGAATGCCTTTAACAGCACCCAAGTCACATCTTGAATGCTTTGCTGCTTAGAAATTTCTTCTGCCAGATACCCTAAATCATCTCTCTCAAGTTCAAAGTTCCACAAATTGCTAGGGTGGGGGTAAAATGCCACCACTCTCTTTGCTAAAACACAGCAAGAATCACCTTTGCTCCATTTCCCAACAAGTTCCTCATCTCCATCTGAGAACACCTCAGCCTGCACTTCATTGTCCATATTATTATGAGCATTTTGGTCAAAGCCATTTCAACAAGTCTCCAGGGAGTTCCACACTTTCCCACATTTTCCTGTCTTCTTCTGAGCCCTTCATACTATTCCAACCTCTGCCTGTTACCCAGTTCCAAAGTTGCTTCCACATTTTTGGGTATCTTTTCAGCAGCGCCCCAGTCTACTGGTACCAATTTACTGTATTAGTCCATTTTTGTGCTTCTGATGAAGACATACCCAAAACTGGGCAATTTACAAAAGAAAGAGATTTACTAGACTTACAGTTCCACATGGCTGGGGAAGTCTCACAATCATGGTGGAAGGTGAAAGGCATTTCTCACACGGTGGCAGACAAGAGAAGAGAACTTGTGCAGGAAATTCCCCCTTTTAAAACGATGAGATCTTGTGAGACTTTTTCACTACCACCAGAAGAGCACAGGAAGCCCTGCCCCCATGATTCAATTACCTCTCACCAGATCCCTCCCACAACACATGGAAATTCAAGATGAAATTTGGGTGGGGACACAGCCAAACCATATAATCACCTATGATATTTTCCTCTAGAGAGTCATTGCTATCATTTCTATTTTTCCTTTTGATATTTCTATATGCATATGTATTTTATTTTATAAACTTGTGTTCACACTGCATATAGTTTGTGTCCTTTTATCTTATATATCATGAACATTTACCACATACTAGTAAATATCTTTTTAAATAAGTTTTAATGGCTACCAAATTTAAATATGCAATAATTAATATAATGCCTTGTTATTGGAAACTAGATTATTTTCTTATTTTTTTCTCTTCTTTTAAATAGCATGGGTATAAAATCTTTTAATGTAGAAAGAAGTATAGACTTTTAAAGGAAATTTTATGTTTTTAATAAATGACATATAAAGGAGGAATCATTGGTATATTCTAGGAAGTTGTAGGAGAGTAGAAACAATTAGTTTTGAAACTGCTTGTATAGATGTAAAAAATGCCAATAAAGTTCTTAGAAGCTGTTTTATTTTTTAGTGGTTTTAGTTGTTTAAAAATGTTAACACAATAGATATGTAAACATTATATATAATGTACATTTTAATGATACAACGTAAATATATATTTTAATTACTTTAAATTATTAATGTACATATTGATACATTTATATTCTTGATATATTTTGTTAAATTGTTTTCCAGATTGTACACACCTATTCTCTTATTAGCAGTGTATCTTCAAAACCCTGCACCTTCACCTGCATGGGTATTTTTTCCTAATCTTTGCCAATTTGATGAACCAAAAGTGATATTTCCCTATTATTTTACTTTGCATACCTTTGCTTATTGTTCAAGTTAATATTTTCATATGTTTACTGGAAGCATATTTTTCTTCTTTAAATTATTTGAGCATATCTCTTGCCTATTTTTCTACTGGTGCTTTAATGATATTCTAATTGATGAATAATAATTCATTATTAATGAATTATTTTAATAAATCAATTGTAATTGATTGTCCTATTTTATTCAAATTGAGTGTTTTAAAAGATATTAAGATGGTTTGCATTGATATATCACCTTCTTTTTCATTTTTTCTTAAAAGCATATTTCTTTCTGTATTTTGAGGATGACTTAGAATGTAGTTAATAGACTGCAAAATAGCAAAGTTGACTAATTTCCACTCCCTCTCCCCTATCAAAGTGCTCTAAGGAACAGTTCTTTAGGTTAGCTTACACATACTTTGGAACATCAGTGTCATTATTCGAAGATTGGTGAATGCCATGCTTTTGAATATGTACCAGCAAACTTAAGGTCTCAGTGTAGCTAGACTTGGATTTTTGAGCTGTGTATATGGATTGGTACTTCTGCTGGTTTATGTCAAACTGTGTGTACCTTATGACTTTTCCTTTTGGGAATAATATAGGAGTGAGAGGAAGGACAGGTAAAGAGCACTAGATTGAGCTCAATGTGCAGAGTTGACTGGATAGTTAATGTTGAGCTGTGGAGATTAGCATCTCCTCTAACTGGTTTAACCAGCTATGAATATCTTACAGGATTTTAAATGGTTTACAGAATCACTGGGTAAGCTAATGATGCAGATTTTAAATTGAGCTTCTCAGGAATGAATTTGAGAATAATTCTGTAGAACCAGGCTACCATGATTCCTGTTGCCTTTCCTAGATTAAGCAATGGCCTTTGTCAGAAAACTGCCACAGAAAATCTAGAGATTTTCACAATGGTGCTTGTCTCTGAAACAGCAGAAAACAGTCTCTGTCTAATTCCTGCTTTCCAGATCTTGTTCAAGTGCAAAAAATTGGTGACACTTAAATTACTTCTAGAACCCTAACTGTAGAAAATCCCAGGAATGTAGTTCTTAGGTGTTCAGTCTTTGTGACTCAGAAAAGCACATTTGAAGGACCTTGAATGGATGTTGAATGCCAACTCTCCATATCTAACACAATACTCCTTTCATTATGTCCCTTAATCAACAATATGATATGGACTTTTTTGCATAAATAAACAAGAACAGATTGCCATTGGTTATATAGTACAAGTAACACTACCAATAGCATTGTGGTCCTCTGTGGTTATAGGATTAGAATGAATTTAATAGGACAAAAAGGAATATAGAGCATAATCATGAAAGGAGGTATCTCCAAGGGCATTCTGATGGATTGAAGGGAAATTGCTTTAGGCTGTTTGTCACATTTGCCATATAAGTTAAAGTAGGTTTGGCTGGGTGCGGTGGCTCACGCTTTTAATCTCAGTGCTTTGGGAGGCCGAGGCAGATGGATCACCTGAGGTTAGGAGTTTGAGACCAGCCCGAGCAACGTAGTGAAACTCCCTCACTACTAAAAACTACAAAAATTGCCAGGTGCGGTGGCTCACACCTGTAATCCCAGCACTTTGGGAGGCCGAGGCAGGTGGATCACGAGGTCAGGAGATCAAGACCATCCTGGCTAGTGTGGTGAAACCCAGTCTCTACTAAAAATACAAAAAATTAGCCAGGCGTTGTGGCAGGTGCCTGTAGTCCCAGCTACTCAGGAGGCTAAGGCAGGAGAATTGCTTGAACCTGGGAGGTGGAGTTTGCAGTGAGCCTAGATTGTGCCACTGCACTCCAGCCTGGGCGGCAGAGCAAGACTCCATCTCAAAAAAAAAAAAAGTTAAAGTAGGTTCTCCTTCATTTTTTATACCCTTTCCCTTTATCTGTTTTGTATGCTTCTCTTTCCTAGGCCATATATATATATATTTCTGGTCTTACTCTGTTGCCCAGGCTGGAGTGCAGCAGCACAATCATGGTTCACTGCAGCCTGAGCCTCCCAGGCTCAAGCAGTCCTCCCATCTCCATCTCTCAAGTACCTGGGCCCACAGGTGCATGCCACCACACCTGGCTAATTTTTCGATTTTTTTTAATAAAGATGAGGTCTTACTATGTTGCCCAGGCTGGTCTTGAACTCGAACTCCCAGCTCAAGTGATCTTCCTGACTTGGCCTCTCAAAGTGCTGGGATTACAAGCATAAGCCACCATGCCCAGCCCCTAGACCTCATCTTAAAGACTGGCATTTCAAAGGTTTCTATCTTTTGTTTATAAACATTCTCCTTAAGTGATATGATGCAGTTCCATGGCCGTAAGTACCACCTTGTGCTTCAGCCACATGGGGTCTATTTGCCTTTCCCTCAACATGTGAGTACCCCTTGCCTTAAAAGCTGCTTCTTGGACCTCTGTCTAACCTAACCCTAACCCTGACCTTAACCCAACTCAACCCCTCTCTGCTTGGAGAATTTATACTAGTTTTTAAAGACTCATTTTTTTCTTTGAAGTCTTTCTGGAACCCCAACCTAAATAAATTTAATTGTTCTTTCATCTCTACTTTTGTAGCACTGTCTGTTTTATACAATGGTCAGATTTTATTGTAGTTGAGTGTTCACATGGTTATCTCCTCTGAAAAACTGACCTTCTCCATGGTAAAAGCCACACCTTATTTATCTTTCCATCTCCTGTAGCACTAGGCCCAGGGCCTGGTATGTCATAGATACATATTAGATATCTGCATGTTAAATCATGAGTGGATTGTGAAAGGTCACAAATTTAAAAAGGATATTTGAAAACTCATTCATACTAAAACAAGCTTCATTTTAGCACTGTGTGATTCTCATAGGTCTTTTGTGTCCATGTCATATCCAAATAACAAGAAATTTTGGTTGGCATCTCAGTGAAAGCAGATGAGAAAGAGAAGGATAAATAAACATCAATCAAATGGTGATTAGGTTGTTCACCATGGCCTATTCTTTCTGGAAACTTAAGCAGCACAGATAAAGTCTGGGAAGCTACAGCCTAAACTTATTTCCAAACTCTTGTCTCATAGGAACCTAAAATAGCCTTCCTGCATACTTCAAGCACATCTAGCAAAAGAAGGCTTTCTATAGCCAATAAGTTCAGTCCATTTGTTAGTGAGATGCTAATTTACCTGCAAAGTCCCATCATCAGATAAGTAATTATTTGCACATGACCTCATCTCCTCTTTTGATCTCATCAAGGAAACAGCATTTTCAGTATTTTTTTTTTAGGGCTTAATCTTTGTCTGATATCTAATTGCAGAATGAGCAGAAGTGCTCTAGACAGCCTGTATCCACAGATGATACTTTAAAATTGGCGGTATGGGATCAGTTGACGGATCTGACTACAAAGTGTCAGAGGTTGCAAATTCCTTCTCTCTGTATCAAATTAGGGATGGAAATGAGGAAGTAGGGGGCCAAGGAATTTACATTGATCAAGTGTTTATCATATTCTAGTCTAGTCATTGTGCAGATTCTTTTATGTATTTTGTCTGTGACTATAGGGGTTGTTCCCACTTTACAAATGATAAGCTCTGGGAGGTTCATCATCTTGTCCAAGGTCACACAGCTAATACATGGCAGGGTCTTGCCCCAACATCATGCCTTCCCAGTAGCCTTCCCTCTTCACCTTGCCTCATGGTAGATCTTTTTGCCCATATCTTTTAAGTATTTCCACTTCCCTCTTGACTGTTTCTGTAAGAATAAGCACACCTATCTCCTATGCACACAAACATGACCTAAGAAGCATAAATTAAAAGACAAAAATATTGCTGAATTTGATTGCGTCAGAACTTAGAATTTCTGTTCCGTGAAGGATACCATGAACAAAGCCATTAGAAGGCAAAATGAGAGAAGATATTAGCACTGTCTAAAATGTTAAGGAATAAATATGTGGGCCTAGAGAATACTGGAAATCAACATGAAGAAGGCAGTAGTCCTAATAGAAAAATGGGTAAAAGTTCTGAATTGGCAACTTAAAGAAGAGGAAGCCTAAAAGCTAGCAAGTATGTAAAGAAATGTTCAACTCATTAGTAATAAGTACAATGCAAATTTTAAAAACAATGAGATCACTTTGTAGCAGGGATGTATTAATAAAATGTGTTGGCAGGGCTGTGAAGACGTAGGCACCCTCATGCACTGATTGGTGGGTGTGAAGCATGGTGCTGCCATTCTGGAGAACAATCTCTAGCCAAATTAAATATATTTTCATATTCTATGACCCAGTAATTCACTTTTCTGGTATATTTCCCAGAGAAATTATTGTACAGACCCCTAAAGGTACATATTCAAGGATGATTATTATAGCAGTATTTATGGGGGCAAGATCTATGTGGGAGAGTGGACATATAAAATATGATGGATGGCCCCAGGGACTATGACAAAACAGTTGGAAGCAATAGACTAATGTATGTATTGCAACATGAATGGCTCTTATAAACATAAAGCTGGGCTTTAAAAAAGTAAAAAATAGAATGATATATAATACAATTGCATATGTATACATACAATTTTACATGCACACAGAATAATATTTTATATTTTGCAAGAAGATATACAATCAAAAAACATCTTAGAAGAGTTTTCTACTTAGGACATTGTGGGAGGGAGTGAGAAATGGGGATAAAAGAGAACAAATAGTTTTTTAAAAGCAAATAGGACAAAGAGACTTGCGATGAATAGGCTAATGATTTTGTACCATGAATTGAGGCACATAATTAACTGAACACTCTGAATTTGATTTTTTTTTTTTTTTTTGAGACAGGGTCTCACTCTGTCACCCTGGCTGGAGTGCAGTGGCATGATCTTGGCTCACTGCAACCTCTGACTCATGGGTTAAACCAATTCTCATGCCTCAGCCTCCCGAGTAGCTGGGATTACAGGCGTACACCACAACGCCCAGCTATTTTTTGTATTTTTTGGTAGAGATGGGGTTTTGCCATGTTGGCCAGGCTGGTCTCGAACTCCCGACATCAGGTGATCCACCCACCTTGACCTCCCAAAGTGCTGGGATTAAATGTGTGAGCCACCATGCTGGCCTGAATCTGATCTTAAAAACAAAAATCCACTCACCTGTGAGGCATGAGGTTAAGATAGATATATGGATAATTTATTACTTACTTCAAGCATAAAGGAGGCCACTTCTCTTTTACTCTTTCAATGCTTATCCAGTTCCCTTTTCACTCACTATTTTATGACATTCAATTAGATTTTTGCTTTTGATTTTATATAATGTAAATACAATGTAAATTATTCACTTTTTAAAAATATGTTTTTGGTTTTTATGTCATACATCTTTGCCATTGTTTTCTTCTTCATTTCTAAGCTTTTAAGGGCAGGGATGATATTTCTTTTCACTTGTTATTATATAGTCCCTAGCATGGTGATAATCCCAGTGTTCAATTTTATGAAAAATCTTCTAGGAGGAGGTTTTCCTTTTTAAATTCTAAAAGTGTGGATAATGTTCCTAGGAGAGTAGATGACTAAATAATGTAGGCTGATAGCATCAGGTATCCTTTTTAATAAACACCCCATTCCATCTTAACACCTCCTCTCTGCCTCCTCTCTGCCTTCTCTTTAGCAAATCTGTCTGCCTTTTTTCCTGATAGAAAGTATCATTGGTTAATAACTGTAGATTCTTGATAATTGTTATTGTGAATGAATTGCAAAATCGTGGTCAATAATTAATAGGTTATAATAAGTATTGAGCTTAATCAAGTAGAAGTAGTAAATTTAGATATTTCTTCTTGATAGTTATGATTCCATCTCTTTGTCTTTGTGTTTATTTTTTCAGCTTCTCTCTGTGTGTCTTTTTCTATATCTCTCTACTAATCACCTCTTTCTTTCTCTTTATCTCCCTCTCCCTTTCTTTCTCTTTGTCTCTTTCTTTATTTTTGACTGTGTCTCTTTGTTTTTATCTCTTTTTTTCCCCTCTCCTAGTTTCTGGTTCATGGCCTCACCAACAGTGTAGTCCAAGGCTGATGCATTTGCAGCTATGTCAGGTTAGTGCTCTAGAATTAATTAGAGCTTCTATCTTTTTTTTGAGTCTGTAAAAGCTTTCTTTGACAGGCTCATTGTAGTCTTGGAATTATAGTCACTTGAATCAAGCTGGTGAGTACATATTTTGTAGCTTCATAACAGTAAAGAAACATTTTGTGATGCATTTCACATTGAAAGTGGCTCCAAAAGAGTCAGTGCCATTTTGATGGCACTTGGGAAAATGCATCAGTAATATCATTTAGCTGAAGGCACTTTGATTTCTCCAGGAGAGCTGAATAGACCAAGGCCTTGTGAGACTCTTTACAGTCCTGATTTTCTTTTCCTTGAAAAATTTCATGGCAATTTCCAGGAAGTTTCAGAACTTTATGTCATCAAACTGAAACTTTTTTTCTTAGAAAAACATTAAGATTTTTCTTCTTTAGTAGTAGATGGCTTAAAGGTTTTAGGTCTGCTATTGGTAAATGCATTGGATGTTCAAAGCTTGATTGACTAAGTGGGTAATAAATAAACCACTGGGACCAGATGACATCAACCCAGTATTTTTGAAGAAAGTAGAAGGTAATATTGTCAAAACTTGGTTCAATTATTTTTAACCCTTGTTAGTTGGCACTGAACACAAGAACTATCAGATTTTTTTGAGCTTACCCTTCATAAGAATTATCCTACGAAGACTTAAGCAGTACATTTTGTTGGTGATTATTATCTCTTTATTTCATCCTTGTATTAATCAAGGTTCTCAAAAGAAACAGAAGCATACACACACACACACACACACACACACACACATGGCCTCTTTGGAGGCCAAGAAGTCTCATGATTTACCATCTACCAGATGGAGACCCAGGAAAGCCAGTGGTGTAGTTTGAAGGACTGAGAGCTGGAGAACCAATAGTATACATTCCAGTCTGGGTGTGAGGACCTGAGAACCAAAAAATGCTGAGGGCAGGACAAGATTGATGTCCCAGTTCAAATGATCAGGCAGAGTTATTCCAGCCTTCTTTTGCCTTTCTGCTCTATTCAGCCTCTTAATGGTTGGATGATGTTAACCCACATTGGGGAGGGCCATTTGCTTTATTCAGTCCACCAATTCAAATGCTGGATGGAATAAGAGAAAGACTGAAGACAGAGTCCAGATTTGAGGGATGAATGGTTTGATTTAATGGCTTCAGAAGTGGAGAAGCAAAAATGTTAAAGATCTATTAATACCTTTTGTATATGAGAGATGAAGGAATTGGAGGAATCAAAGATTATAAAGCTTTCAAGTTTGGATTGGTGAGAAAACCATAATGGTATTAGAGAGAAAAAGAAGAGGGTTGTGGAGGTAAGTTAGCTGAAGCCAGTAATGAGTTTGGTTTTCAATACACTGAACCTTTTGAGGTTGATTCCATAAAAGGTAGTCATGTCCTCATATGCAATGCTCCCAAGTGTCACAGAGTGATAACAATGGACCAGTGTAGTCACTGATCCCACCCATGTAGCATTTCTTATTTTCTTCAGTTAAATTCTACAAACTCATCAGTATCTCCTACTAATACTGCCACAACAGTGATCTCTGCTTAGTTATCTGTCAGGTCAACATACTGTGAGCCTGATTATGGCAAGGGCTGCCTGTAATCTGTCTCCCAAGTCCTGAAGATAGCACCTGCCACTTGGTAGGTGATCAGTAATTGGTTGTTGCATTGGCATCCACAGTGTGCCCAGGTCAAGGTGATGATGATACACAGATGAGTCAAATGAGGAGATAGCACTGGTGTAATGTGGGAACATGGAGAAGAGGAGGAGTGATAATTCTGTTTGGGGGTTGAACAAGCCTTCAAAGAGATGTGACATTGAAGGATAAAGGATTTACTGGGGCTAAGGAGGGAAAAAAGATATTTTTAGGACAGGAAACTAGAAGAGCAAAGGCATGCAGGTGTGAGAGTATAAGATGTGTTTGCTCAATGACTGGAGGAGCAAGTTCACAGAGAGGAGAAATAAGTGGATGGTGCTAGAACTGGAAACGTATGCAGGTGGACTATAGAAAACCTTGCTAAGGCTCTTATGTGCTCTCACACTTCTTAGGACAGAAATTATTTTTAGAGTGAGGAAAGAAGGGGAGGGAGGTTGTTAGATGGTAATTTAATCTGGTATCTTTTAGTAGAAGCACAGAGAACTGGGAATGAAGAGTTTTGAGTTTTAATTTTTGTTGCTAACTAATGTGATTAGGACAAAGTTATAAAAATTCTCTGAACTATCTAGGGTTAGTTTCTGTTATTTATAAATACTATTATTAGTAGTATAATTTTTATTTGATACAAGAATTCCTAAAAGTTTTTTTTTTCAGGAAAATATCTAGTTTTTTTAATTTTAAAAAATCTAATAAACCAAACAACAGTTCATACTCTTTTGGTCACATAGGCATCAATGAAATAATTTCTATTCTGACTGTCATGGAGAATCATTAGCCTGTTACCTGCTAATGTTCCCTTTGTCTTTTACACTGTGGTTTTTTGTAAACTATGTCAGTCTTACTATGATTCAAAGGACATTAAAGCAAATGGGGTGTTTAGTGACAAAAGTATTTACAAAAAGCTTTTTTTTTTTTAAGTTCACACTGCCGTATTGTACTCTCCTCAACCTTACTTTTAAGTACATTTTCTATACTTAATTTGGGAGAAATTACCATAAAACATTTAGTGCTTTGTTTTCTGATATGGTTTGGTTTTGTCCCTTAGTTCATGGAATTGAACATTTGCCTTCAGACTGTATTTATGTATTACTTTCATCTGAAGAACATTTATTAAGCACCTGTTTGTGGGCATTGCCAGTGATATAACTGGTCTGAACAAAAATATAGCTAATGATGTGCAAGCAGAAAGTGTAAGTTTCCTGCAGCCTTTTAAAATAATATTTTACTGATCATAAAAGCAATGTGCTTAGAATGTAATATATGTAGAACTTTGAAAAATAAAGAAAAGCACAATTAGGAAAATAAAATTCCATGAAATTCTACTGCCTGAAGATAAGAGCTGTGAATATTTTGGTCTGTTTGCATGCTCTGGTTTTTTTCCCTATGCATTTAAATATTTATGTACATTTACAATATCTTGTGAATGCTTCCCCTCTTTTAAATGAGAGTATAGTGTGATTGTTCAGGACTTGGCTTTCCTCATCCAATTAATAATGACAGTGTGACCTTTATCAACTTATTTCGCCTTTCAAAGGCTCTGTTTTATTTTCTGCAAAAAGGGAATAATACTAGTGTCTACTTCACAGGTTTGGAGTCAGGGCAAAATGAGATAATGCATTTACCGCACTCAGAGCCTGGCTCATTACAGGAGTTCTTTATTATTGGATATTGCAGTTATTTCATTTTTTTCATGTATGTAATGTTTGCTAAGCTATGCACAGTCAGTGCCATCAGTTTCCTTACCATTCAGTTGTTAATCACAGAGTTTGATTCCATTACAATAATAATCGCTGAGTCAGACTTTCACCCCACTGTAACTTGTCCCTAGTGGAAATTTTTCCATTAGTTTCTGAAACTTGGGACCTCTCTGTTGTTTCCCTCATGCAGATTTGGTCACACTAGATGACCTCATTTGGTTGTCGTGGGGTTTATTTCTGTAGTGATGATAGCCTCTTACATTCCCTCCACCATAGAACTTGGTAGGGATGAGAACTAGCTGGACGGGGCCAGTAACGGGGTTGCATATGACCTTCTGGGTGGTTCTAGAGTCTGGATCTGAGTCACTTCTGGCAATGGATCAGCCATAGGATTTCATAAGAGTGGCCATTAGAGCCCTTTTAAGCAGAATACTGAAGTCTGGGGATGGAACCAACCTAGGATTAAGAGTTGGGGAATCAGCTATCACCAGCATGAGGTGGGATGGAGAAGGGGATGAGGCTAGCACAACATTAGGGAATTTTGCTGCTGTTTTGGTGGGCAATATAGGTTTGGCTGTGTGTTTGTCTTCTTGTGTCTTGGTGACATCTTAGAGCCTCACACTACTCCCTTCCTCAACTTATTTATTTATTGGAAAATATAATAAAATTGAGATAATTTTTACCTTTAACATAAAAGTTCGGCTCTAAAAAATGTTTGGCAAAGCAGAAACTCTAAGTACTAATGAGGATATGAGTTGCTCCTACAGCCACTTTAGAGAGCTACTAAATGCAAATAAGCATGACCTGATTCTAGGCTCACACCCTAAAAAATCTCTCCCACAGTACTAAGACAGACTTGTACAAGCATATTTATAGCAGTGTTGTTTGTAAAAATATGAAATTATTATTAAGGAAGAGTAGTAAACCAGGTCAGATTTATACAAGGAAATACTAGAAAGCAGTTAAAATGGATGAACTGTAGTTACATATGTCAGCCTGAATTAAACAACGTTGAATTTAATAGGTGTGTTGAGAATTACAGGTACAGTATCATACAATTTAAATGATATTAAAGAACATGCAAATGATACTGTATTTATGCATTTATGTATAGTGAAAGTATAAATGCATTCATTCACATGTTGAATACTGTATTTAGATAACAAGTGCTATGTCTAGAGAAGGAAGAGAATGAGATGGGGGAGATAAAGCATCAGAGATTTGTATTCTATGGATATGTATTTAAGTTAAAAAATGACAGCAAAAACAAATATTTGAGGGGGTGGATACCACGTTTTCCATGATGTGATTATTATACATTGCATGCCTATATCAAATATCTCATGTACCCTATAAATGTATATACCTATTATGTACCCACAAAAATTAAAAGTAAAAAATTTAAAAGGACAAAATATTAAGTTTTAAGGAGACTGAAGTATGTTTTATATTCTCTATTTGTTATCTGATTAACGTATTTCACCATTTTCTTAAATGGGGAAATAAGGACAGAGGAAATTAACATATAACCACAACAAATTCTAGCAGTGCAAGGGAAAGTAAGCCTTTATCACACTGCTGATCCCTGATCCCTTGTTCCTGTGGCCAGAGAAAACTGCTGTTTTTTTTTTAATTTTTATTTTTTATTTTTTGAGACGGAGTCTCGCTCTGTCTCCCAGGCTGGAGTGCAGTGGTGCAATCTCCTCACTGCAAGCTCTGCCTCCCAGGTTCACGCCATTCTCCTGCCTCAGCCTCCTGAATAGCTGGGACTACAGGCACCCACCACCATGCCCGGCTGATTTTTTGTATTTTTAGTAGAGACGGGGTTTCACCGTGTTAGCCAGGATGGTCTCGATCTCCTGACCTCGTGATCCACCCGCCTGGACCTCCCAAAGTGCTGGGATTACAGGCTTGAGCCACCGCGCCCGGCTGAAAACTACTCTTAATAGTTACCCATGAATCCTCATGACAGCCGGTGATATAGAAGCATATTGTATGCACATTCCTTTTACACCTGCATGGTAAATGCTCTTTGCTCCTTTCACTACACTATGTATACCTTGGAGGTCATTTATCCTGCAATATCTGACCTTTTCTTCTAAAGAAACTTTTGCTTCATGAAGGTAAGTACAACTACAGTTTCTCTAAAGCTCAGTTTTGAAATCAGTGATATAAAATACATAGGGTCAGTTTTACATAGTAAGTTGTCAAGACAGATTGCACTCAGACTCAAACCAACCTTGAAAACAAAGTACTGTATATCTGTATTTACATTTGAAAGGCTCTTTTCCCACTTCAGTTTGTCAAACAGTTGAATATGTTAAGCTTGAGACTAGAGACAATGTCAGGGTGAACATATGTGAGGGATTCACACTTCTCAAAGAAAAGCACGCTTTTTGTGGCCTTGGACAAAGCTGGGATTCCGTGCTGTTGTTATTTTCACAAGTCCCTCTACTGAGATCATGACTGCATCTTAGAGTTGCTGTTGAATACAGATGATGTTAATTTTGTTCTCATTCATATTCTATTTAGTTTTTACCAAACTAAATGTTTATTAGTTGGTGATATTTAGGAAGTTTGATAGGATTGTGACTATATAGCTATATTTTATGAAAAATGGAGGAAAAGTTCCCTTTAAAATACCTAAATTTTTTTTGAGTTAAAGAAAGAAAAATAAAATTCATGAAATAGTGACGTGAAGCTTGGTAGTTTAGCTGCAGCTGCCAGGTGTCTAGGCTGGCTCTTGGGAGAGATTATTATGGGATCACAGTGAGCCTGGCTACACAGAGCATGGAAAGTCCCCTCGTCCTTGTCATCACAGAGTTTGGCTTACAGACCTCTCCTCTCAAAGATGGAGGCTTCTGGTCTTTCTGATATTGTTTTCTCTTCCTGTCCCTCCTTATAGAGAGAAATCCAAAATATTTTTGCTAAAATTCTCTAGAGTTGAATTTGGGAACACCAGGGGATAAAACCCCTCATGTTAAGGCATGTAGGAGGAAAGGTATCCTCTTATCAATCGAATTGTAGTTCAAATATGCTGTAAACCCACCTGTTTACTCCTTCGTGGTGGCCGTAAGATGTGAAAAGGCAGGGGCTCCAGAAGTTCTAGGTAGGAGTCCTTTGTTCTTATGTTTTTCAAGGGTCTCATGGTGACCAACATTGTTAACTTCTTTTAGCCTCTGTTTCCTCACCCTCAAATGAGGTCAATAGTATCTACTTTCAGAAGTGATATTCAAAATATCTGATATGGGAGTGGGACTTGGCTGTTATCAGACAGATGGCATATGCATCCCGTAATGTTGTGCCTGGTGCTGTAAGGTTGTGCCTGGTGAATGTCAACTAGGACTGTTTTACAGGGTTGCTATAAGGGTAAGATAAGATCATGCACATGAATGTGCTTTGAAAACTGCAAGGGGATACATAAATTTGTACTATTAATGCAAAATACATGCAATGGGCAGGAAGTTTGAGAAGTGCTTTGAGCTGTTTGACCAGAAGATTCTTTAATGAGAATAAGGAATTATTGCCCTGTGATGTCAATGTATTTAAATATATGCTTATTATACATATATTGAACTATATATATAATATACATATATTACACATATATTGAACTCAGCAATTGAATGCTTAGGTATTTACCTAAGAAAAATGAAAACACAATTCTACTCAAAGGCTTATAGGTGAATATTCACCGTAGTTTTATTCATCATAGCTAAAAACTGGCAACAATTTCTTATGTTGATCACCTGCTGAATGAGTAAACATGCTGTGATGCCTCCATACAATGGAACACTACCCAGCAATAAAATGGAACACATGCCTGATGGACACAGTAATGTAGACAAGTCTCAAGTGCATTATGCTAACTGAAAGAAGACAGACACAAAACATTACGCACCATATGATTCTATTTCTATGAAATTCTATCAAAGGCAAAACTTTAGCAACAGAAATCAGATAGTGGTTTTCAGGGGCCGGGGTCAGGGGAGAGATTGGCTGTAAGAGGTATGAGGAAACTTTCTGAAGTAATGGAAATATTCTATCTCTTGATTGTGGTGGTGGTTACATGATTCTATATGTATTTGTCAAAATCTATGGAATTGTATACTGAAAAATTGATCAATTTCATTATACATAAATTATACTTCAAAAAAATGGAACTGGGTAAAAATAGTTCCCTCATGAAAAAAATAGAAAATGCAATGTTGAAAGAGAAAGGAGGAACATTCTTTACAAAACAAAATGTTTCTTCTTTATAGGCTATATATTTCAGTTTCAGCTTCGAGTAATGAATTTTATGGCTTCGTCTCTTGCATTGAGCATTACACTCTAGTGAACACCCAACTTGCTAAGTCGTCCCCCATACACACCTTACTGTTTCTCTCTTTGTTATCATTTCCTTATGCTGAGCACTTGCCTGGAGTAGCTCCCTCCCCCAGCCTTCCCTGGGGCTCTCATTTCCTCCCTCACTCATTTGGTTAACTCTTATTTACCATTGAAGATTCAGTTTGGAATTCACCTTCTCCAAGAGCCTTCCCCTGGTTTCTCCCCATCCCTTTCACATTGGGGCTCATTTGGGTATCCCTGGCCATTAGCTTTGTCAGTATACTCACCAGATTTCACTATAAGTAGCTCTTTATGGGTTTGTCTTCCCCAAAAGAGGTTAAGGACTATATCTTACACACTTTTATACCCTGGTGCCCAGCATGTTGCTGATGGTCAATAGATGTTTGTAGAATTAGTGATTGGGAGTGCCAAAGGGAGTGGTGAGGACATGTGAGATTGTGGAAAGAATGCAAGGGAAGGAAGATTATTTGAATCCCAGTCTCTCACTTAGTGGTTAGAGTAACTTTGGACAAGTTGGTTAATGTGTCTCAGATAGAAGATGGAGATCTAGACCCATCTACTGGATAGGATTACCATAAGATCTACATAAAACTATGATGTGAAAGCACTCTGTACCTAGTAAAGCAGTTCACACACATAAGTTATTATTATGTCATTGGAAGAGTGTTGTTTCTCAGCTCTTGGATATAGCAATGTAAACCAAACCAAACGGATAAAATATATTCACCTTCAACTTTAAGGGTAGTGTCTGCATTGCATTGATATGTTCACCTGACTCCTTATAGCATCTAGTTAGAACTTCCTCTGCTCATAAGAGACAGCTATAGTCTTGTCAGTCCTTTCACTCTGTTATTTCTCATTGAAGCAATTGCTAACCAGTGTATATAATTTTTGAAAACATGGATCTTGTTTTATTTAGCTTTGGGTCCTCTATAGCACTTACTAGAGTTCATTGCATCTAGAAATGTTAAAATGGCAAGCCAAGTAGAGGTTAACATAGACATCTAGAGAAATGTTATCCAGTTTTCCAGAGAAGGCTAAATATCAAAATAGTGTTGTAATTAAATCTTATTTTTAGAATCTGATAAAGTAATTTTGGGTTACCACAGAAATCTTTCAAGTTTAAGCTAATAAAATATTAATGTCCTGGATCTTTGGAAATCTACTAATGTCTTCATTTGGAACTTCATAAGAATCAAGAATTTCACTGCATCTAAGATCCGTTTTCCACAAGTCTTAAAATCTGAACTACAGCACGTTATCTATGTGATATTCTTTCTAGCATTTCATAAACGTATTCTTTTAAAAAAATAATTATTTTATCTTGATTATAGAAGAATGGAGTCTATACCTTATTTGTAGGTGATAGAGCAAGCACCAGGCCCTTGACCCACTCTTACTGCCTCCGTTCATCATTATTTTTAGTTTCTACTAACCTTTATTGTATTATTTGGAACAAAATGGAAGAAAACCTAACTGGGTGTATAAATTTTGATGTACATTAACAATTCATCAAAGTGATATTATAGATAATGTGACTGTTTTCATAAACAAAACAGGACTAAAATAAATGAATATGCAGAAGAAAGTGTGAGAGATACTGAAATATTTTGCTGGTATAGTATATTATGCAGATGTTTGCATTTATGAGGTAGAACTAGAAAACAAAAAAACTCTATGTTATAATCATTTTTAATAAATGAATTTTTATTTCCAGGTAATTTATACCTATATTCAAGTCTTGGTAAGCAATTTAAAATAATTTGCTGACTTGTTGATCTCACCTTTCAAATAATATGCCAAGGGCCAATAACTTCTTGCAACATGTATAGATATTTATCCAAATGTGTTTTTGATAAGGATATGAAAATATTTGGGGAATAAATCCAATACTTATGCTTATTTATGGTACATAAATCGGAGTTTCCCATGAGTGACCGTAAAAATTGGAGGAAGTGGAAAGAAAGAGGAACTGAAATATAAACCAAATGTTTGTTTATGGGCTTTATTTAGAAATCCACATTAGTGATTCTGACATTGGGATATTAATCCAAAATTTCCTTTCTTTGTGGATTATTTTCACACAAAATTGTACATTCTCATGAGGCAATTCTCTTTGGAGTACCCATAGAGAATTATTACATTTTTACCAGATAGGTTCTTTTTAATATTCTAATCTAGCAAATTTGCATTTAAGAAAACTACTTTATTCCAGGATAGCTTTTTTGCACAAGTTATTGTTCTGCCCACCTCCCCTCAAATAAAACCAGCATCATAACTTCTCAGAGCTTTGTCTGCTTTCAAGATTCTTTGGCACCTGCACTGGGTTATATGCCATACCAAAAATGTTTCCCAGCCATTCATGTTTAAATACATTTAAGTTTACATTAATTTTTAAAAGGATTAAAAGCACCTTCAAAAATGAAGCATGTATTCTCTAAGCAGCAAGTATTAATTTATAGGGGCTGTTCATGGAAAAAAATGCTGTTATTGTATGTCTCTTGCCCCATGCATAATAAAGAACTTTTCTTTTTGAAAGTAATTGCTGTAAAATATTCCTTGAGGGATCAAAATATTAGTATGACTGGGAAGTAGGATCTCTGTTCTTAGGCAGATTGTTTTGTTACTTAGTTCCAAATATAAAACTGGACAAAAGTAGGTGAGGTAAGGGAATGATAGAGTGGTTAGAAGAGATCTTTAGATAAGAACATCTTTGGCAACAGGGATAGGGCCTTCACGATCTTTCTTAAAATCCTGGAGCGGCAGGCTTCACGTGGGAGGAAACCAGGGGTTGCCACTAGATCAGCTAAGAGACAAGCAAATAAGAGGCTGGGTGCAGAAAATGCTGAGTCTCTCCGAAGGTTTTTCCCTCAAGCTGAGCTGGTGTCTGGTTTTCTGACCACATGTTGTTTCTTCTCTTTATAAGAGTGAAACAACATTCCTGTTTAAAAAAAAAAAGCCAAAATGTTTGTCATCAAGCCTGACAGTGATATGGGTCCTCACTCAAATACAGTGAGACTTCTTCCTACGATATTGGTCCTGTGGAGTTAGGTCAGAAGGATGTGGTTATAAAATAAAGTGATTTCATTTTGTTTATCTCCTACTCAGAAACTTTCAGTGTTCCCCCTTTCCCGCAGTGACAACAGGAAAAGGCCCAAAAGCTTCAGCATGGCAGGTGGAGGCCTTCTAGAACCTGGTTCCAATCTTAGCATAACTTTTACCACTTCCTAACTCAAGCCTCAACTCTAGCTCAACCATTCTTCTATGTAATCAAGAGATATTCTAGGCACTTCTGGTGGGAAGTAGAGAATAAGCCAAGGCTGGGAGGGGTGAGGCCTGGGGAACTTTAACAGAGATTAGTACCCAGATCACTAAATTTGGGGTTGGAGGGTGAGGCAAAGAACTCTGGTACTGTCTACACTGACAGTCTTTCTAAGGTACCTTTCCAAGAAGAGAAGACAGTGCTTGCCTAGTGACTGTGATGGTTCAGGGATAATGTGACAATTCTTGACACCCTGCTGTTACTTTACTTATAGATCAGAACATATTCTGTGAGCTGATATATTAGATTTTAGAAGGAGAAGCCAATCCCAAAAGACAGGTAGGAATTAAATGGGGAACTCAGGATACCCAACTATCAGTTTGGTGGCCAGAGCTGGACTTGCTTTCTTGAGGAAATTATGATGAAAACCAGGGCCTGAGTCTTGCAGTCAAACTGGCCTCTGAAAGAGAGGGCTGGAGGTGGGAATGGGTGGGAAAATGGCAGCTCACTCTGCTGCCTAGGACTCATAACGCCTGGTATATCAGATACCAGAAAACAAGTATTATACTATTCCAGAGATTATCTGTCTTACTAATAGGGCCCTGGGTAGGGCAGAGCCTATAGGCTTTTAATTTTGACACCTGGGCAGGACAAGTTCTTTCAGTGACGGACACTTATCTTCCAGCACTATAATAGGCCTCATTATGGTACATATGATAAATTATCTTGTCCAATTAATTTATGCCACTTTAGACTAAGGACTGTCATATATATACATATATATACACACATATATATACACACATACATATATATGCACATATATATATATAGTTTCTTTAGGTCTTACCAAAGTATTAAATACTTTTTGAACAAATAACGTATTTTGGGGGGCATTATTCTGTCCACTTACCTAAATCAAGGATGATATAAACAATAAATACAATTTCAATAAATTAGATTTTAATTTTTTTTTAATGAACAGAAAGCCAATTGATTGGTTTCCTGAAGCTCTATTGTTTCCTCCTGTCAATGGAATACAAAATCACAGGAACTCTTTATCACTTAGATTGGAGATTACGAATGCCGTGAAGGCAAGTAACTGCCTTTCTTCTTCTAATTATTTTGGAAAGAACATATTTTTCACTAGAAAGACCAGAAGCTGGAAAGCCAAAGGCTTTGGCCACAAAACTGTGAAGGGACTCTGGATGGATGGAGGCTCCACAAGAGCTTCATTCCAAATTAAGATGTTCAGGCTACATTGAAGAAAGCAATCTATTTGCCTTGGAAAAATTTATTAGTGCTAAGAGCTAATATATGAAATATACAATCTGTATCTGGATGTTTGCATTTCTCTAAATCTTGCCCTCAACATATATATCATTTTCAATAAATGGTTTTGAGCCATAATTTTTTCATTCATTCTATATGCCAGTTGGTGTGCAGGTGGTGTTGATATAGAAATGAGTAAGGCACAGGTGCTAACATCAGGGGCTCACAGTCCTCACTGGCATCAGGTGAAGCACTGCATGCAATACAAGGACAAGTCCTCAAGCAACTGATGCATAGATTTTTAAAAAGTGGTATAGCCATACAACAGAATAGTCTTTGGCAATAAAAATGAATGAAGTACTGGTGCATGCTAAAAACCTCAGAAACATTAGGATAAATGAAAAATGCCAATCACAAAAGACCACATTTTATATGATTCCATTTATATAAAATGTATAGAATAGGCAAAGACATGGAAATAGAAAGTACATTGGTAGTTGCCAGGGGTTTGGCAACCCCACTTTGCCAGCGGAGGGTGCAGATGGGGAGTGATTATTAATGGTACTGTGTTTGTCGTAGAGGTGATTAAAACCTTTCAAAATTGATTGTGGTGATGGCTGCATAACTCTGTGAAATACTAAGAACCTTTAAATGAACGCTTCAAATGAGTGAATTGTATGACATGTGAATTTAACCTGAACAAAGGTATTATAAAAAGAGAGAGAGAGAAATGGTAGGAGGAGATAGATCTTTCAAAAAATTGTGAATTAGGGGAAGTAGAGAAAAGGGAAGGTGTTAAAAGAAGATGTTTTAATCTACATTGGTTATCAAATGTACACAACAGTTTTAAGTACACATTCTCATTTCATCCAAACAACATTGCTGTGATTTTGCTGTTATTTAGATAAGGAAATGGAAGCTTGGAGAGCTTAAGCGATTTGCCAAAATACATACAACTTAACAAGCAGAATGGGCTATTAAGGTCAGACCTGAGGAAAGCAGATCACAGTTGAGGGGGTTGGAGGAAAAAAAGAAAGAAAGAAAGAGAAAGAAAGACAAGATGAAGATACAGGGATTTTGAATTCTCTGATCCCAGAAGCTCTCATTGGCTAAATCACAGTTTTAGCACTGTTCACTTTTATTCTTTTGTAGGCTAATGTACTAAGCTAATTATGTATTTACATTTTAAATTCCTTGAGGACTAGGCAATGTCTCTATCATTTAGATTCTTCTAGGTACAGGCATCCCTCGGAGATATTGTGGGTTTTGATTCTGGACCACCACAGTAAAGTAAATATCACAATAAAATTTTTTGGTTTCCCAGTACATATAAAAGTTATGTAGTCTATTAAGTGTGTAATAGCATTATGGCTAAAAGAATGTACATACTTTAATTTATAAATACTATTAATATATTGCTAAAAATGCTAACTGTCATCTGTGCCTTCAGCAAGTTGTAATCTTTTTGCTGGTGGTGGTCTTGCCTTGATGTTGACGGCTGCCGACTGATGAGGGTGGTGGTTGCTGAAGGCTAGGGTGGCTGTGGCAATTTCTTAAAATAAGACAACAATGAAGTTTGCTGCAATGAATGATATTTCTTTCATGAAAGATTCTTCTGGAGTATGTGATGGTGTTTGGTAGCATTTTTCCCACAGTAGGACTTCCAAAATTGGAGCCAGTTCTCTCAAATCCTGCCATTGCCTTATCAGCTAAGTTTATGGAACATTCTAAATCCTTTGTTGTCATTTCAACAATGTTCACACACCTTCACCAGGAGTAGATTCCATCTCAGGAAACTCGTTTATTTGCTCATCCATAAAAAGCAACTCCTCATCTGTTAAAGCTTTATTGTGAGATTGCAGTAATTTAGTCATATCTTCAGGCTCCACTTCTAATTCTAGTTCTTTTGTTATTTCTCCTACATCTGCAGGTACTTCCTCCTCTGAAGTCTTGAACCCCTCAAAGTCATCCATGAGGGTTGGAATCAACTTCTTCCAAACTCCTGTTAATGTTGATATTTTTACCTCCTTCCATAAATCATGAATATTCTTAATGGAATCTAGAATGGTGAATCTTTTCCAGAAGGTTGTTGATTTACTTTGCTTAGATACATCAGAGGAATCACAATCTATGGCAGCCATAGCCTTATGAAATGTATTTGTTAAATAATAAGACTTGAAGGTTGAAATTGCTATTTGATCCATGGGCTTCAGATTGGATGTTGTATTAGCAGGCAAGAAAACAACATTAATTTTCTTGTATATCTTCATCAGAACTCCTGAGTGAACAGGTGCCATGCCAATTAGCAGTAATATTTTGAAAGGATTTTTTTTCTGAGCAGTACATCTCAAGAGTGGGCTTAAAATATTTACTAAACCATACTGTTTAATAAACCATATCTGTTCTATAAACAGATACGCTGTCATCCAGGCTTTGTTGTTTCATTTATAGAGCACTGTTAGAGTAGATTTAGCATAACTTTTAAAAGCCCTATGATTTTTGGAAAGGTAAATGAATATTGGCTTCAACAAAGTCATAGCTACATTAGTTTCCAACAAGAAGGTCAGCCTGTCCATTTGAAGCTTTGAATCCAGGCATTGACTTCTCTCTAGCTATGAAAGTTCTAGATCTTCTAATAGAAGGCTGTTTTGTCTACATTGAAAATCTGTTGTTCAGCGTAGTGACATACCTCAATGGTCTTAACTGGGTTTTCTGGATAACTAGCTATAGCTTCTACATTAGCACTTGCTGCTTCACCTTGCATTTTCATGTTATGGGCCCTCTTTCCTTAAATGAACCAACCTCTGCTAGCTTATATGGGTGCAGTTCATGGTGCTCCAAAACAATTATGATAGTAAATCAGAACTCACTGCTCACAGGTTATCATAACAGATATAGTAAAAATGAAAAAGCTTGAAATATTGCAATAACTTTTCTTTTGTAGCTTCCTTACTTCTTTCAGCCATCATAGAATTGAAGAGAGTTAGGGCTTTCCTCTGGATTAGGCTTTGGCTTAAGGGAATGTTGTAGGGGGTTTGATCTTCTGTCCAGACAGCCAGAACTTTCACCCTATCAGCAATAAGACTATTTTGCTTTCTTATCACTCACGTGTTCGCTGGACTAGCACTTTTTTTTTTTTTATTATTGAGACAGAGTCTTGCTCTGTCACACAGGCTGCACTGCTTTGGTGCAATCCTGGCTCACTGCAGCCTTGATCTCCCAGGCTCAAGCAATCCTCCCACCTCAGCCTTCTGAGTAGCTGGGACTATAGGTACATGCCACCATGCCCAGTTAATTTTAAAATTTTTTTGTGGAGACAGGGTCTCACTATGTTGCCCAAGCTGGTCTCCAACTACTGGATTCAAGCAATTCTCCTACCTTGGCTTCCCAAATTGCTGGGATTACAGCAATGGGCCACCACACCTAGCCAGCACTCATAATTTCCTTCAAGAACTTTTCCTTTGCATTCACAACTTAGCTAACTGTTTGGCACAAGAGGCCTAGCTTTTGCCCTATCTTGGCTATTGACATGCCTTCCTCACTAAGCCTAACCATTTCTTGTTTTTGATTTAAAGTGAGAAATGTGTGACTCCTTTCACATGAACACTAAGAGGCCATCGTAGGTTATTAATTGGCCTAATTTCAATGGTGTTGTATCTTAGGGAATAGGGAAGCCTGAGGAGAGGGAGAGAGCACCATGTACTGCACCCATATAAGAAGAGAAACCTAATCAATAAACTTTGTGTTCTGACTGCTCCATCAACCTTCCGGACAAGTCAGAACACAAGCAACATTTATTGATTAGGTTTCTCTTCTTACATGGGTGTAGTTCGTGGTGCTCCAAAACAATTACAATAGCAATATCAGAGCTCACTGATCATAGATCATCATAACAGATATAGTAAAAATGAAAATTCTTGAAATATTGCAAGAATTACCTAAATGTGACACAGAGACATGAAGTGAACAACTGCTCTTGGAAAAATGGTATGGATAGACTTGCTTGATGTGGGGTTGCAACAAACTCGATTTGTAAAAAACGCATTCATCTGTGAAGCACAAAAAGGCAAAGCAAATAAAATGAGGTATGCTTGAATATTTGGGGACCTGACTACCCATTTGCCTGTTTTGGGCAACTGTATTCTGAGAAAAATCTGAGCTCATTGGCAACCAATCAGTAGAAGTAGGGTGGCCACAGATACAGACATATGTCCTTGTTAGTTGTTATTATTTTGTAAGAGAGTATCACCTGTAGTGTCAATATGTATTACCCTGCCCTGAACTGATAACATGGAACACACATTAGCTCCAAGTTTTTGGCAGAGATGCTGTCCTTTAACTCTTTGTTATTCAATCCTCATCAAATCCTTCTTTCCTTTTTCTAATTGCACTCCTTTTATACTCCCGTATCAAATCCTTCAATGTAAACTGTTAATTCTATTTCTAAAATATATTGCAAATTCAGCCACTTCTTTTTCTCTTCTGTGAAATCAGGCCTGGCCATCTCCATCATCTTTGTTTAGGTCTTTCTTTTCAGCTGGTTACATTACTTTCAAGTCTGTCTCTCCTCTACTCCGTAACTGAAAAACTATATTTTTTTTCTATGGAAATTCCATCACATAGCTCCCTGAAGGTCCTCCTGCCTAGAAAAATTATCATCACACAATTACCTTTTAAAACACATCTTAAAAACCCAATCAGCAAATGTTTGAGGGGCTAATATGAGGGAGCTTCAAAAAGTTTGTGGAAAAAGTGAATTAAAAATAAAAATGAAAAATATAACCTTTATTTCTCAACATAAGCTCCATCAAGTTCAAAACACTTTTGTAAGTGATGATATCAGCCATTTAGTTTATCCCTAAATAACTGGGCACTCTAGGTATATAACCATATCATTGCAGTCTTTTTTACATTATTAACTAAAGAAAAATGGGTGCCCTTTACAGATTTTTAAGATTAGGAAACAAAAAAAAATCAAAAGGAGTTAAATCAGGACTTTCAGGTGGATGCCTAATAACTTTCCCTTGAAACTTTTGTAAAATTGCCCTTGTTTGATGAGCAGAATGAGCAGGAGCATCATTGTGGTGGAGAAGGATTTTCTGGTGAAGCTCTCCTGGGCATTTTTCTGCTAAAGATTTGGCTATGTTTCTCAAAACACTGTTATAATAAGCAGATATTATTGTTCTTTCACCTGCAGAAAGACAATAAGCAAAATGCCTTGATCATCCCAAAAAACTGTTGCCATGACCTTTGCTCTTCATTGGTCAGCTTTTGCTTTCACAGGACCACTTCCACCTCTTGGTAGCCATGGCTTTGCTTGTGCTTTGTCTTCAGGATCATACCGGAAAGCCATGTTTCATCTCCTGTTACAGTTATTTAAAGAAATGCTATAGAATCTTGATTCCACTTGTTTAAAATTTTCATTGAAACCTCTGCTCTTCTCTGCAGCTGATCTGGGCACAATGGTTTTGGCACCCATCAAGTGGAAAGTTTGCCCAACTTTGATATTTTAGTCAGAATTGCATAAGCTGACAAATCAAGATATCTATGGTGTTGGTTATTGTTTCTGCTGTTAATTGTCACTCTTCTTCAATTAGGACATGAACAAAGTGAATTTTTTTCCTCACAGATTGATGTGGATGGTCTGCCACTGCAAGCTTCATTTTCAACATTGTCTTGTCCCTTCTTAAAATGAGTTATCGATCTGTAGGCTGCTGATTCCTTTGAGGCATTGTCCCTGTAAACTTTTCATAAAGCAGCAGTGATTTCACCATTCTTCTTCCCAAGCTTCACCTTAAATGTGATGTTTGTTCTTGTTTCAATTTTAGCAGAATTCATGTTGCACTGATGGGGGCTCTTTTTCAAAAAAATATTTTTTATTGTACTAAAATATACATATATAATTTACCATCTTTATCTTTTTTAAGTGTGTAGTTCAGTGGTAATAAATGCATTTATATTCTATTTGTTTCTTTGACTCTTCTCCCCTCTCCCCTTCCTGGCCTCTGATAACTACCAATCTCTATCTTTATGAGATCTACTTTTTTAGCTCCCACATGTGAGTGAGACTATATGATATTTGTCTTTCTGTGCTTGGACTTTTTCACTTAACATAATGGTCTTCAATTCCATCTATGTTGCTGCAAATGACAGGATTTCATTCATTTTTATGGCTGAATGATATTTCATTGTGTATATATATGGCGTTTTCTTTCTTCATTCATCTGTTGATGGGTACTTAGCTTGATTCCGTATTTTCACTATTGTTAGCAGTGCTGAAATAAACACGGGAGTGCAGATATCTCTTTGATGTATTGATTTCCTTTCTTTTTGATATATACCAAGTAGTAGAATTACTGGATCATATGGTGGTTCTACTTTTAGTTTTTTGAGGAACCTTCATACTGTACATTAGGCTGTACTAATTTGCATTCCCACCAACAGTGTATGAAGGTTCCCCTTTCTCCACATCCTCACCAGCATCTGTTATTGTGTGTGGTGAGATGCTGTCTCATTGTGGTTTTCATTTGCATTTCTCTGATGATTAGGGATATTGAGCATTTTTTTCATGTACTTCTTGGCCATTTGTATGTCTTTTGAGAAATGTCTGTTCAAACCTTTTGCCCAATATTTAATCTGAATTTTTTTTTTTTTTTTTTTTTTTTTGCTATTGAGTTGTTTGAACTCCTTATATGTTCTGGTTATTAATCCCTTGTCAGATGGATAGTTTGCAAATATTTTCTCTCATTCTGTGTGTTGTCTTTTCACTTTGTCGATTGTTTGCTGTGCAGAAGCTTTTTAGGTTGATATAATCCCAATTATATATTTTTGCTTGGGTTGCCTGTGCTTTTCAGGTCTTAAACAAAAAATATTTGCCCAGACCAATGTTCTGGGACATTTCTCCAAAGTTTTATTCTAGTGGTTTCATTGTTTTAGGACTTCTATTGAAATATTTTATCCATTTTGATTTGATTTTTGTGTATAGTGGGAAATAGAGGTCCAATTTCATTCTTTTGCATATAGCTATCCAGTTTTTGATAGGGGCTCTTTTAAAACTGATGTCTTATCCTTCTTAGTGCCTCAAACTAGATTCTGTTCAGATATGTTATAATAAATTAGTATGAGTTTATTTTGATGCAAAAAAGTTGAAATCTATTTTTTTATAATACACATTTTTCATGAACTTCTTGAAGACCCCTCCTATTTGCCAGACACTGTTCTTTCATTGACTAATAAATAAATTCTCTCTCCTTTCTTTTTTCATTTTTCAGCTCTTGGGTTTTACAGTTTTAAAAATTAATTTTTAATTAGACAAGTAAAAATTATATGATTTGTACTGTACAAGTGTGATGTTTTGATATGTATGTACACTGTGTAATGGCCAAATCAGGCATATCCATTACCTCACATACTTAACATTTTTTTGTGGTGATAACACTTAGAATCTATCCTCTTAGCAATTTTCAAGTATACAATCTATTGTTATTAACTATAGTCAGCATGATGTACAACATATCTCTTGAACTTTTTCTAACTGAAAATTTGTGTCCTTTGACCAACTTCTTCCCAATCTCTACATTCCCTCATCTCTGGTAATCATTATTTTACTCTCTGTTTCTATGAATTTGAGTTTTCTAGATTCCACGTATAAGTAAGCTCAGATGGCATTTTTCTTTGTGTGCCTGGCCTATTTTACTTAACATAATGGCCTTCAAGTTCATCCAAGTTGTTGCAAATGACAATATTTCTTTTTTTGGTAAGGCCGAATAGTAATTCCATTGTGCCTATATACCACATTTCCTTTATCCATTCATTCACTGATGGACACTTAGGTTGATTCCATATCTTGGGTATTGTCAATAATGTTGTAATGAACATAGGAGTGCAGGTATCTCTTTGACATACTGATTTCATATTCTTTGGATATGTGTACCCAGTAGTGGGATTGCTGGGTCATATGGTAGCCCTATTTTTAATTTTTTAGCTCTATTTTTAATTTTTTGAGGAGCCTCTACACTGTTTTTCATAATGGCATTCTCAATTTACATTCTCTTCAACAGTGTACAAGGATTCCCTTTTCTACTTATCCCTGCCAACACAAATTCTAACTCTTCACCATGGCCCAGGAGGTCCTGCATGATATGGTTCCTGCCTTTTTGTCAGATTTTGTCTCATGTTTCTCTTTGCCCTTTCTCACTGCACTCCAGCCACAAAAATCCTCTTTCAGCTTCTTGTGAAGGTTTTCCTGCCTAGAGGCTTTTGTAGGTACAGTGACCTCTGCAATGAGTATTCTTGTCTCCATTCTTCTTGTCCATAGTTCGTTAGCATAAAATCCTTCAGTTTTTCAGCTTAAATATCTCCTCAGAGAAGTCTTCCCTGATCACCTAATACAAAGAAGTTTTCTGTCCCCCTCATTCTTCAGTTAGCTAAAAATAATAGAAAACCCAAAACAATAGTTGCTTACACACCATAGAAGTTTCTTTCTCTGTCATATGAAATTATAGATAACTATGCACCAGAGTGTTAGCAACCCAGATTCCACTGTCCAGATGTTCCTTTCCAAGCCTACCTCGTCATCCAGGATGGCTTCTTCCATCTGCATTTGAGTGACCAGGATAAAGACATGCCACCCCCTTTAAGTAACATGGCCACATCTAGCTACAGGGAAGCTAGAAAATGGGGTCTTTTTAAAACTCTAGACAGTCATCTTCCCAGCAAAATTAAAACTGTTATTACTAAGGGAGAGGGAGAAAATGGAAATGGAGGGATGAAGAGGAGTTACATTCCACATTTTATACTCATGGTAGAAATGGACTTTTGTACATTATTGTATCACATGGCATTTTTAATTATATAATTTTCTTGTAGGCAAATAACTTTCTTATGGGAAATTTGTGCTACTCTTAAGCAACTGGCTTGTTTTCCTATTATGGACATTGTGAATCTTCTGCCTGATTATGTTTTGCTTTTTGATTTGTTTGCCAGGAAGTTTGTAGCTAAATTTATGGTCCTCTCCAGCAACTACACAAATCCTATGATGGATATTTTTTCTGATAATATTATCTGTAGCGTTATTTTATTTTACTATACTTTCTTCCTTTCTTTCTTTACCTTCTTCCTTTCTTTTTATTTTCTTCAATGTAATTTTGCAAGTCTCTTCAAATTCCTTTGGTAATAAGTCAGGAAATAAGTAAAACACAAGTATAAATAAATAAAGTATTTTATATTTAATGAAGGTGATAAAAGTGCCTACATTATAGGGCTGTCGAGAGAATCCACTGAGTTAATGTAAGTAAAACATTTAGAGCAGTGCCTGGCATATTGTAAGACCTATAGAAATGCTAGTTCGTTATTATTATTATTTTAATTAAATCTTTCCTGAAGTGACTGTCAGATAAATCTGCTTGATAAGACAGTTTTACTTTAACTTTTGTTCTAGGTTAAACAAAGAGGGAAAGATTAAAATATACATTTAAGGACCACTCAGCAACAATCATTCTATGTCTTCATATTCTAATCTACATGGCAGCTAGTAAATGCATTGTGCTGTGTAAGATAATGTGCTAAAACTCTTAGTGGAGATGGCCTCTAAATTTTTTATGTTTAGTATTTAGGCATCTTGTAGATAAAATGTATGGATGAATAATCAGATGAGGATTCAATGACCAGAAGTACTGTTGCTCTCTCTCCATCTCTTTCTGTTAGAAATAGATCTCCATCAGATAGGTCTGTGTTTGAATTTTAGATGTACTACCAACCACACTATGTGACCTAGGTCAAGTCTCAGCTTTCATGTCAATATATTTACCGATGGGTGGCAGTAATACCTATCATATAGGGACATAAGGATTACATTAAATAATACATGTTAAGATCTTTGCATGGTTCCTGGCCAGAGTACACATACAATAGCTATTTCTGATATCATTATTTTCACTCAAGTCTTTTAAATTGAAGAATTATCACCTTTTAGCACTTGAATTTATATTGAATCTATACACACATCATTTTTTTATTTAAATATTTGAAATCCTTACCCTACAATCCAATGGAAATTCTGCAAATGTTTAAAGTTTTGGACTCCATGACAAAATTGTATAGATAGAATAGTGGTTTTAAATATGGCTCGGGGATTACAAATGGTCCACATGGATCCTTGGGAATGAATCAAGCTACGAGCTCCTATAGCAATAATATTTCTATTACCATAGCGTATGTGCCTAAGTTTCTGGTGTGGATTAATAAATTATTACTGTTGTTAAATGGATGCCTGGTTTTCTTAATTGGTAGCTCATCAAAAGCTTATTAAAAACTTCCTATTCATTTTGTTGATTTCAGTGGTTGGGGATAAATGGCCCAGGAGGCTCTTTGCCCTGCTAAAGTGGATCATGAACAATGTGGGATATTTAATTCAATTCAATTCAGCAAACATATTGAATTCAAAATATGCAAAAAGCATTGTGCTACAAATTGTGACAATATCAAGGGACATCCCCTGTGGTGGCCTTCTGTTATTTGGTACCCAGGATCCATTTTTATTCTATTTGGGAACTACAGCCTTGGCCCACTCCAAGCTATGTGGTTTGGGTAGGATTGGCCCCTTACCCAGGTCTGGGGGTGGAATGGCCTTGCTTGGCTTAAGGTAGTCAGCATAACCCTTTCCTATGGCCATGGTATTAGATTTATGAGTGGGCATATAACTCATGAATCTTTAAAAGACTTGTGCCTGGGGCTTCTGAAAAAAAATGAAGTCTCCTCTGTCTTTGCAGTGGGAACTTCTGGAAAAGATACTTTCTCTTTCCCTGGGCCTATAGTTAGGATGTAAGGTATAGGAGAGCCTGCAGATGTTTTGGGGGAGAACACCACACAGATTTTGAATATGAAGCTAACACCATGGGTTTGGAGTCGGTCTGACCTGGATTCAAATCCAAGCACTGTCACTTTCTAGTTTGGTAAGGTATTTGAGCTTCGTTGTGCCTCCATTTTGTCACCTATAAAATGTGGCTAATGCCCTTACTCTCTCCTCCTTAAAACTATTTGGTACTGGCTTTTAATTGTAACAGAATTAACATCAATAATTGGATTTGTGCCCATCAAGCCAATGAACTTTCATAAAATGAAATCCAGAAAATTTTCATGTAATTCATAGAGTTCTTATATTTAACCCATGTCTCTAGAATCTTCTTCTAGTGACAAATTATGTTGTATTGAATCATGTGAAACTGAGCCAAGTTTATCATTATTTAGGGTAGAAATTCTGTTTTGTTACAGTAGTTTCACTCAAGTTTTACTTCTCTAAGAAGAACATAAGACACACTTAAAATTTTAAGCATATCTACATAAAAAAGCCCAGTTTGTTATACCATTTTCATAGAGTTATTTTAGCCCTCTAATATAGCACTGTAATAACATTTTGTACTTGCTACAAACATAAGCACACTAGTTTCTATCATTTTTGCCCTTGGTTTATAAAGATGGAATTTAGAAAGCAAATACATTTAGGGATGAAATAGTGAAATCTGCTGAATGTGTGTAGAATTATTAAAGAGTATAACATGGCTGCTTGTTTTATTTAGAAATGACATTGGGTGGGTTAGCTAACCAAAGCTGCCAATACTGTATTTTAATGATCTTGAGTTTATCTCCTATTTACAATTCTTTGTCATTTAGTCTACAGGTGTTAGATCACTTAACACTTGCTGAATTCTTCAGATTTGTTTGTTTCCTGCCGTTTGGTGTTGATCATTTTGATGTGTGATAGGAGGAGGAAGTAGTTATCTAATTTTCACTGAACAATCTTCCCTAAGGTATCACATATATTCATTCTATATCTTCTATCAGTCAGCCATAGATTGTGAAAAACTTTGATAGAAACTTTAAATTCAGAGCCCCTGAATTAGTCAGTTTTCACTCAGTAATGCTATGATAACAAACAACCTCCAAAATCTCAGTGGTTCACAAAAACCAAGCTTTAATTCTTGTTCTGTATATATATATACATATATCTGCCGATTAGTAGTGCCTTTGCTCCTGCCTCAGGTATCTTTTTTTACCCCAGAATGCAGACAGAAGGAGCAGCTTCCATCTGGGACATGCCATTCTCCTGGCTGAGGGCAATGATCTCTCTTTTTCTTTTTTCTTTTACTTTTTAAGTTCTGGGGTACATATGCAGGATGTGCAGGTTTGTTAACATAGGTAAACGTGTGCCATGGTGGTTTGTTGCACCCATCAGCCCATTACCTAGGTATTAAGTCAAGCATGCATTAGCTGTTTTTGCCAATGCTCTCCCTCCCCGTACTCCACTCCTCAACAGGCCTCAGTGTGTGTTGTTCCCCTCCCTGTGTCCGTGTGTTTTCATTGTTCAGCTCCCACTTATAAGCGAGAACATGCAGTATTTGATTTACTGTTTCTGCATTAGTTTGCTGAGGATAATGGCTTCCAGCTCCACCCATGACCCTGCAAAGGACATGATCTTGTTCCTTTTTATGGCTGCATAGTATTCCACGGTGTATATGTACCACATTTTCTTAGAGACAATGCCAAATCTTGCAATGGTCCTTAAAGCTCCTGCTCAATTATGACTGTATATCATGCGTATTCATATTCCATTGGCCAGAGAAAGTCTCTTGGCCAAGTCCAAGCTCAGTGTCTTTGACTGAGATATCGCAGTTTACAAGGCAATGGGTGGGCATGAGTTTTAAGAGGAAATAATGGAACATATGTCATAGGTCTGTTTTGGACAGGGCTACTGGTGTATTTTTCTCTTATGTCCTATTCTTCTGCTGTTTTTTTCTCCAAAAACTCCCTTCCTTGGTTCTCTCATCCACCCCTCCATCACTTCCTCTGTACTCTTGGCTGCCAAGTAGACCCATGGAGCCTACTCCACTTTTCTGTCCAGCCTGATGTAGAATCTTTAGGATATAGGACCTAAATTATTGCTTTAGTAAAAACTGGAGCTGTCTGATGTTATAAGGAATAGCTCTACTCTGAGCCAAGTAGGCTTGGTATTTACTGAAGTCATATCCACTTTGTTTTATTCCTGGTAATTTGGCTTGAAGTGAAATTTTAAATAAACCAGATACTTATTGCTTATGCCCACTAAATATATGTCCACAGCCCTTAAATAACTACCTTTGTCTTATAGTGCTTTATGGAACATAGAGCAATTTTACCACCATTATCTCATATGATGGTCACAAGAAGCCTGGTGATGCCAATATTATTGTGATTCCCATTTCACAGGATAAAAAAAAGTTAAGTAGCTTATTCAGGATCAAAAGGCTGGTGAGCTTTATAGCCAGCATTCAAGCCAGGGTATATAGTGATAGGCATTTCTTGTTATTGACAAAGAAATCCTCTGCTTTAAGCATATATCGAATAATGCATAATGTAATAAATACCCTGTTTTTTCAAAAAAAAGTTACAGAGTAAGATGTTGGCTTGTTTCACTGAAAATATTCAACTTAAAATTTTTAGAAATGTCTTATTAGTTTTGAATGATCTGATGACTAAATTTCAGTTTATATAAAACTTTCCCTCATAAAACAATCATTACACAGTTTGGGCACTATGCTTGCTGGAGTATAAAACCCCATTGCAGTAAACAGTGTGTCATCATGCTGTTACTGAAAGTGGCCTACTATGCTTTATCTCCACTGCCCTGTCCCAATCTAAGCCACTGTCACCTCTTACCCAGAATGTGGCAGTAGTCCTTTCAACAGTCCTCTATACCTTTTCTGACTTCCTCCAAGCTTTTCCTCAAGCTGAGCCTAGTGATATTTTTAACTGTGAATGTGAATTTGTCTGACTTCCCTATCCTTACCCAAAGTCCTTAATACAAGTCTCCCATGTGATATCACCCTGCAAACGTGGCCAGCCTTCTATCGTCATTCTCTCCCTCAATTTCTGCTTACTTTCTCATCTTAGTCCTCTCTCCTACCCACCCTCCAGCCAGTGTCTCCTAGTCAATTGGCACTCATTTTTCCCATCCCAGCTTCCCAGGGAAGCTAGCCATGACCCCCAGACCATGATAACTAGCCCATTTTAGTCTACTGTAGCTGGCAACTCACCTCCATATCCCACCCATTGCCACACCTGGATTTTCCTCTGTAAATACTGCTTGAACCTGACTGAGGTGCATTATGCTTCCTGCTGCTCACTTTACCAGGTTAGATGACAGCGGTTTTCATGAAAGCCGTCCCTCACTCACGCACATTAGTCACCTTTACAAGGAAACACCCAGTGATTAGAGAGAAAGCAACCACCATGTCAGCCATGCTTCAAAGCAACCATATTCAAAACAAGTTGTTTTTGGAAAAGAGTATATTTCATGTTTTAGAGTATAAATGTTCCCTGTGATAATTACTATAAGAAATCAAGATACTCCAGTCTGAGTGCCTGTTCATGCTGCTGCAAAAACAATGGGAAAAGTTTGGATTTTAAGGCAATCCAATTTCTAAGGACCAGAAGCAGTCTATGCTTATGGCTGCTTATTGCTAGTTGGGTTCTTATAAACCTGGAGTGTCCTACATTTCATGTTGAATTGAACATAATGGGCCTGTGATAGGCACCTCTCCACAAAATAACAAAAGTCTCTGTATAAACTCAATATTTTAGAAGTCAAAGTAGACAGGATACTTTGCTTGTGGCTTGTCCTCAGGTATCAGTACAGCAAGTGGCTCTCAGCACACCACCAAACAGGGCAGGCAGCTGGCTCTCTAGAGATAATTATAATTTATTGTGCCCATGGATTTTGATGCAGTGGGGTCTGGGCTCTCTCACAAGGCCAACAGAGCAGGTCTAATTTGAGCCAGATCTCAGGAGACACAGTCCGGAGAGGATGGGTCATGTGCCTTCAGTTATCACTTGGAGTTGCACTTTGCCCCTTGTTCCTCTTTCTCTCAACTAGTAGCTGAGTTTTAATTTTTTTCCCTGAAAATTTATTCAGAGAGACTGTTTTCCTTTTCTTCCTGGAATTCACAGAATGAAGATGGAGGTCCATAAATACCTTGGTTAAAAGTTGGAAGATCATAGAGTGTCCCACTGTCTGTTTTGGGGCCTGGCAGGAATACTCCTAATCACTGTAAATGAATAGGTGTTTCATCTATTTTTGTCTTCTCTTCTTTGTTCTCTACCTGAAAATGTCCTTCCCTCATTTTCAGGCTACTGAAATCTTCTAAAGCCTTCTTAAAGTTTCTTCTTTATAGGAAACTTCCTAGATTTCTTCCTTTAGTCAGAATTAATGCTGATTTATGTTCTCTCATGAAATTGTACTTTGTACTTTCATTTAGTGCTGTGACTGTTCTTTTTAAAGTTATTGTTTACTTATTTTTTTCTCCTCCAGATTATACAATCCTTAAGGATAGTACTGGAATTTCCTCATCTTCCTATTGTCCACATTGCCCAGCGTGAAATTTTGGCCCAGTAGGAAGGCTATACATTTGTTGAATTAATTTTGATCTGTAAGGCATATTCTTCCACGAAAAGGACATTGCACAATCACAATATTCTCCATAAACAAATGGACACTCAGAAAGAACTGTTGTGTTCTTTTATCTGCCTTCCATGAATGTGCAGTTTCCTTACCACTTCTCCATGGACCTAGTTATCTTGCATAGTGCACACATTAGAAGATTATGTGATAAGAGTAGAAAGCTAGGTTTCCTTTGGGTAGGGCTAGACTATTTCCTGTTCAGAGGTGAAGACTTCTGAAATCAGAATCAATTTTCTAAAACATACCACATTAAAATAAGACCATAGACACGTTTTTCTGTCTATAAGTCTTTTTATTTTGATGGTAGAAAATGTTGTAAGATTATTTCATTATCTTCTTATTGTTAACTGTTTTGGGGAAGAATCAAATCAGGAGAGACTGAGATTGGAGTCTTTTTATCAAATTCTCTATAGACTACATGATCCGTGCCAATACCACAGCAGTCAGCAGCTGTTGTCTGTGCTAGGAGACCACAGTAGTAATTACACACAGGTTAAGTGGCTTAAAAAAATTGATCGGTTTTGAAAATTAGGTGTGGAAGATAGAAAGGAACCTGAGGATTTTTATAATATTTTTGTGATATAATAGACTATAGCCAAAAGAGTTACTTTATAGTGAGTATTTTTAGCTTCAGTCCCACATTCTCTTCAGAAATTAGTATTATAATCCTTTTCATTACTCTAACCGAGTCTGATGACTCCTGTCCTAGGATGAAACACCCCTCCCAACTCCCTTATTAAGAGATTGGGACCTAGTGTGATTAACAGCACCCTGATCGATGAGCAAGATTCTTACAGATTAAGGAAAAGAATTGCTGACAACTTAGGCTGACTTTTATATACCTATTTGTTTTCCTTCCTAATTCCTCTTAAAATGAAAATGCCAAGCTTTTCTTTTGATATTTGTTACATTTGTGAAATAATATAACAATGCAGTTAATGGGAAGAGCATGACCCCTGGATTCAGATATCCAATAGTTACAAATCTCAGCTTCAGCACCTAGCAGTTATGTGAACTTTCTTCTCTGCACCTCAGTCTCTTCATAATAACTACTTTGCAGAGTTGCTGTGAATATTAGTGTAAATAATGGACATTCAAATATAGCTATTACTGTTATTATCATCATCAATTATTCTACCTATAGAAATATGCAAGTTCCTTGGAAGTATACATTTCTGGAGAGTGATCAGGGATGGGGTATTATACTTTTATTTTTTCGGTTTCTCTTCATTCATTCAGTGGGTTATGGGTATGTGTGTGTGTGTGTGTGTGTTTCACACATTATGTGCTAGGCACTATTTCAGGCACTTGGAACTTACATTATTGTAGGGGTACAACTGGAAACTGATAAATGCTGTAAAAAAAATTAAACAAGCTAAGAGGTACAGGAGGTTGGGAGAGAGTTGCAATTATTAATAGGGACATTAGGGTAGGCCTTACTGTGAATATGACACAGGTTTTGTGTTCTTAGAGGTTTTCATGAACTATCTTTTGGAATGGGAGGATGGGAAGAAGGGAGATGAGAGTAAAGAGTAAGAGCTTGCTGATTTGTAGGCAGGCATGAATATTCCCTTTGGTATAAGGTGTCAAAACACAAACTAATATGGAAGGGTAAAATTTTCTAGGTGGTCTAGTTTTATTTTATTCCATTTGAGCAAAAATCTTCCTAAAGTATTTTGTACACACCCTGCCTTCCCAAACAATGGCTACTGAATACAGTGGCCCACCTTGTCTGTGACTGCTGGAGGAGGTCATCACCATGGCTCACATCTGTTATTGGACTTTCATGAAACAAGTCCCTCAGGGCCAGAAGAGATGCTGTCATCTGTTTGTCCTATGCAATGGCCTGAGCCTGCAGTCATTGTGAGTTCTACCCACATGTGGCTATTTAAATGTACGTATAAATTAATTGAAATTAAATGACATTAAAAATTCAGATTCTTAGTCAGTCTAGTCACATTTCAAGTGGTCAATAGCCACATGTGGCTAATGGCTACTGTGTTAGCACAGATATCAAACATTTCTGTCACTGTAGAAAGTTCTCTTAGTGTTAGTTATTTTATATGTTTCTGACTCCAACATTGTTTTTTGTGGTACTGTTGTCAGTTTTCAGACCTTATTTCCTCTTTTTGATTTGTTGTTTCTCATAGCTGATAGGTTTAAATGCCAGATGTAGAATTTTGTGTAAAGTAAGGGTAACCAGGCTCTAAGAGATCAGAAGAGCTTTCTTGTGTTCAAGTTTTTGTACTTGGAATTTTTATTTCTATTCTGAGTGCCCCAAGGCCTCTTTTGCTTGGTTATTGTTCTGCAGCTGTACTGTAGGTGTAAGGGAATCAGACTGCTGAGTTCCTATGGGAGAAGGGCTATCAAACTTTAAAGGTAAAACTGAACATTCATGGAAATGCTTTAGATCCAGTCAGCAGTCTCTTATTTGGAGCAGCACAACTCCAGGGGTGCTTAATGACCAACTGGCTACATGTACGCCAGGCACTGGGTTAGTCCCTTGACACACAAACAAGAATGAACATGGACCCAAATGGAGGAAATTACAGTTTAAGGGGTAGAGAGAGTTTCATTAAGTCAATTCCCAGATATGTCCCAGGTACTCTGAAAGTCCAGAGAAGGGCGGTACCTGATCCAGGCTTCCCTGATGTTACAGGAGACAAGAGGCCAGGGAATGCTCCCTAAAGAAGTGATTCTTGAGTGGAATCTTGAGGGATGCATAGGTACTGGTCACATGATGAAGGTGGGAAAAGGTGTCTGTATAGGTAGGTGTCTATACAGGGAAAAGTGTCTGTATAGGTAGGCAGACTTTGGATGTTGAAATGATGGGTTTTCGGCAGAAGTGGAAATGGGGAAGAGGGGTTGGGGATGCTGCCTGGGGCAGATCTGACTCTTCAGTAGTTTGACTTGTTCACTCTGGCAGCTCTGTGAAGGTAAAAAGGAGCCAGGCTGGAGGCTGGCACACCGGTGGTATGGGAGGGCCAGGGAGTAGAGACCTGTAATAGTTCAAAAGAGAGGTAATGAGGGCCTGCTGTGAGAGTGTAAGGGGGTTGAACAGAGTTCATGATTTCAATTGGTATTGATTTCTAAGGAGTAAAATTATCAGTATTGGGGGATTGATTACATATGGGGGATAAAGGAGACAGAGGAATCAGAGATGACTGTGAGTTTTCAGAAAAACAGATTAATTTAAACTCTTCTTCCAAGTTCACAGTGATAGGTTTTGACCTGTAGCTGCTACTAGTGATTTGCATTGGCAACTGTGGTGTCTAGATTAGGTTTTGGCACTTTAGGACTCCACTCTCTTGTTTGTTAAAAACAAAACAAAACAAAACAAAAAAAAACTTGAATGGAAGCATAGACCATAATGAAGTACCACCCTCGTGTGACTTTAATTTCACAGTGGCCTATGAAAATTTATAGAAATTTGGCTTCATTTCTAGTGGCTCCAATCCGGATGCCAAAATTGCCCTATTGTTGCGACATCCCTTGAGTGGACTATCGAACCTGTTATTCATTAGGAGCAGCTGCAAACCATCAGCCAAGTTCCCATACTATGCCAACAATAACGCCAGTCAAATTTCAAGGTAACTCCAGGTTTCAGAAATGTATGAATCTCAAAATCTGTCTAGCCAAACTCTTATTTGTATTTTTATGTATGCATATTATATGAAAAAAGCTGGTGGTTTCCTTAGTTTCCATAATTATACATTGCTTCTTTTAGACTATAAATTGAGTTCTCAGTGTTGGTGAAGGCATACCTATAGATCTTAGCCAATCACTTTAAAGTGAAAATAGAAATTCAGTCTGGATCATGGTACCAGGGGTAGCCAGCCCAAAGGGCCCATTATGATGAGGCCTATATTGAAAGCAAAAATTCTTGCATACCTGTAGTGCATTTTAAAAGGATTTTCCAAGTAACAGTTAACATTTGTTAAGCTTTCAGAAAAACTTATTTCTCTAGTTTTTAATATTAAGGAAATATGGAAATATATGTTGATACTTTGTTTTTTACTGACATACTTCATGACTGCATGGCTAAAGCCACAAAACACTAGGCACTTACCACTTTCTTTCTTTTAGATATATTTAGCCACTGCATCTGGCCTTTGTTGCCAAATATTTTTTCCCTTTTACTCTAACTACTCCATCAATTTGGATCTTTAATGGTCAGGCAAATTTTGAATGATTTCTTGGAAGATGTGAAACCCTGTTCCCTAATCAGGAAAATGTGGGCAAGTCTTATGGTATGAGAAAAGAAGGGACATCTCTTCTAACAAAGACAACAGGATTATAGCGCCATTACACAACATCTTCAAAGTTTTTATTTGAAAAATAATGATGTGTTTGGTGATGAACAAGTACCGTAAATGGGAAGCATGGGAAGTTTCCACTCTTTAAGAATGTTTCTATGCAAAGGAGGAAGGAAAGCTTACTTTTTGTGGTTCTTCAGAGAGATTACATTAACCATTTGTTGAAAGTTTCATTTATGAACAACATTGGCTTCTAAGAGTATTCTTCACACACTGGCATCCTTTGTATGATGTTGTTGTAGGTTGTTTAGCAACATATCAAAATAGTTATATAAAAAGATTAATATGTGTTTCATTAATCCTAAGGAGAGCTTTCTGAAATTCATTTTTAAAAATAAATGATTAGCATCATTCTTTGAAATTTGTGACTTCTGAGGGTGGGAAAGAATTAAAAAAGAAGCTATCTTTTCAAGCAGTTTGTGATTTAATACCAGCTGGTCAAGTGAGTTGAAAAACCTTATGATTTTTATGTTATATTATTTTGAATGCCTTTTCACTCTCTTGGGAAGTTGGCTAACCCCACAGTCCTTTTCCCATGGTAAATGGCTCTAAAACTTTGATCTTCTTATACCAGTTTGCCAGATGTAGCAGAAAGAGCATGTATGTGACCTTTCCTGTGCCAATTCAACCCAGCTGATGGGAAACTGTAAGTTAATCTTGCATGACTTTTATTTCTAGGCATTACAGCAGAAGTTCTGGTGGTGACCTCTTTCGATGAACTGCAGAGAAGGGCCTCAGAAGCAAGAGGGAAGATTGTTGTTTATAACCAACCTTACATCAACTACTCAAGGACGGTGCAATACCGAACGCAGGGGGCGGTGGAAGCTGCCAAGGTGGGGGCTTTGGCATCTCTCATTCGATCCGTGGCCTCCTTCTCCATCTACAGGTTTGTCACAATGTTCATTTGAATTCCTTTCAAAAACAAGGGTTTTCCGTGAAGGAAAAGTCCTTATGAAGTAAAAACAAACCATTCAAATGAAAATACTTATTGTTCATGGAGTTTCCCCCCCAAACACACACACCCATTCCACATTTGGTCATTTGTTTGTAATATCTTCTTTGGCTTTTCTGGATTCCAAGCATCACTTGTGCATTCCTTTAAAAAGCTTTAAGGCTTTTCACATCCACAGTGATCCCATTACATTCCTTATATAACTAATATATTATGTATTTTCATTGGAGGAAGAACTGCGTTCATGTCTGCATTTCATCAAAGATTCCTAATGACTTCAGAGGGAGCCAGCCTGTTTTCCATGTTGCTAGAGAAGTGGAGTAAAAAGAGAGTGGGTGACATGATGGGGGCCATCTATGGTATAGTGAAGAGTTAGGGAATTAGAGGAACTTGGATACAGACTTGGCTCTGCTCCCAAACAACTAGGTGGTCTTAGGAATGTTTCTTAAACTTCTCTAGGCCTCATAATTTTCTTCTGTTAACCAGGGGTAAAGAATAATAATAAATGTACAAAATAATTTTGAGATTAAATGAGGTCAACTTGAAAAAGATACTTAATTATCTGTAAATGATTATCTACAAAGGTCCATATAAATATTTGGTAATATTGTTTGAGAGTAACATAGGACTTGTCTTTTTCTTTGTAGTTTTGATTGAGGTAATGCCAAATAACTTTATTGGCCCTCAGTCCTAGGATGAAATTCAGTATTACAGTGGATAAAAAGTCTAAAAACTGAGATGTAGATGTTCAGCCTAGTTTAATAGCTATTATGGCAGTGTCATACGTTAAGGATAAAATATTTGAGAAACATGGGGAAAAGAAGCATAACTTTAGTGTGATAGCCTGGCCTAAGATTTTTTTAAAATGCAAAAATAATAGCAGATAGGGTTTATTTGGGTCTCCGGATTGGATTTTTAATATCTATTGGAAAGGGAAGTTTATTTATTCTGCACAATTGCTATTTGGAACTGGAGACACAGCTGCTTGACCTTAATTAGCACCCTACACCCCTGAAAATAAAAATAACTGGGGAACATATGTCAGCAGCTAGGAAATCCAGTCAGAGGAAAGTTGTACAAAAGTGCAGGGAAAAGGAAAGAGACATTTTCCTTATACAGGGATAAGATATCTTCCCAGGGGAGGAGGATGGGGCATGTTAAAACTACATGTTAGAAAGTTATACGACTAGTTACATTGATGTCATAGTGCTAAAAATAATGTTCTTTGCGGGGTCTTTAGAGGTTTCAAGACTAGTGAAATAATGATTGCACCATATTCTTTTGGATGATTAAGCTTCCCAGGAGGGAAGTCCTAAAATGGCTAGCTTACTTCCCATAATACCTCCATCACCCCTTGGAATAACATATTCAGCAAGCTGTGGCCATTCACCATGATTTCACGGTCATGAGACTTAAATTATGGAGCTGGTCTGTTGCTTTGTGAAACTGGGTGATTGCCAGAAACCTTTATTTAAGAACTACTACTCATAAGACTAATAAATTCCCAAATGATTTAATGCACAGTAATTTGTCAGGATTCACTGGCATTTTTTTTTTTTTTTCTGGCATAATGAAGACATCTGGAAACCCAAGCTACAACTTAGGAGTACCAGTAGAATTGTCCAGCAAGGGACTTCAGAATCTGTTGCTAGCCTCTAAGACTGATTATAATGTTTCACTGATTTTATAGCCAATCCATATTTCACTGGACTCTTAACTTGTATAATTCTATTCTTTCAACATTTATAAATACATAATAACATTGGACTTTACATAGCACTTTAGAATCTTTCCCATGTTACTTTATTTGCTCTGACAACAATTCAGTGGCTCATGCAGAAGGGTCATTATTAGCCCTATTTTATTGATAGGGAAATAAAAGTTCAGACAATTAGACATATTAACATGTTTAAGTTTTGCATCCTAAGAAATAAAAACGAAAATAAAATGAGATAAACTATGTTTGTCTACTTCTAGCTTATTGTTTTTAGAACCAAATTTCTTTGATGAGTATTCTATATTCCTACCTCTAATTCCTCACCTTTCATTTGCTCTTCAGACTATTATAGCCTGGCTTTTGCCAATACTGAAACAGGACTTGTTAAGGTCGCAAATAACTGCCTACGTGTCAAATTTAATGGACATTTTTCAGGCCATCATCTTACTTCACTTTTATGAAGCACTTGCCTCCATCAACTGCATTTTCAGTGTTTCTTCTCTTTGGCTTCCATGACTTCTTTCTCATGTTTTCTCTCTCTTTCTTGCTTGCTGTCACTCTCACTCTCTTCTCTATTCCTTCCCTATATCTCTGGCTTCTCACTGTGACTGTTTGACCTGTGTATCCTCATCATGCTCCTATGAATGCGGTTCATACTTGTGAAGATGTGACTTGAACCACAATCTACATTGTGGCCATTTCCAAACCCCTCTCTCCCATCCATACCACTGCCGCCAGCTCTAGGCCTATATATTCACCTGCCTGTGGATTCTTCTCTGGGATGTTCCATAGCTATTTCAGTTTCAATTTTTTTCAAAATTGACCTCATCCTTCATCTTCTAAGTCACATGGTCCTTTATTGCTTTTTTCTCTTTCTGTGTCCATCATTTCTAACAGACACTGAGTCTCTTAGGTTCTGCTCCTTATCAGTCATTTCAACAATTACACACGGAACAGCTCCATTTCCCAGCATGACTCCACATTCCAGCAGTCAGCAATCACTAACACTTTTCCCACGCACCACGTTTCCTCAAAGTGTTGTGACTTTGCATATGCTTTCTCCTCTGCAACCCTCCATTTCCCTTCTCACTGCCACACACTTATGAGTTTCTTCCTCTGGGGATCCCTCCCTGATATCCACTTGTAGCCCAGGTGAGTTACCTCTTTTTTGGTATTTCCACATACATCGTTCTGTGCATGCTCTGTATCATAATGTCTTGGAAGTATTGATAGTTTTGGTTCGTGCTTTGGTAGAGTAGACTAACTGTTGTAACAAACAGCTTCAAATCTCAGTCACTTCACACAATAGGAGTCTTTTGCATGTTCACATAATGGTTTCAAGGGGGTGGTCAGAATGTGGCCTTCTGCTCCTTTCCATCTGTGGCTCTATCATTTTTGAGATCTGAGTTCTCTGCAGAGTCTTCTGCATTCATCTGACGCATAAGGGGATAGAGAGAGAAAGTCGATAACCTAGAGGGAGATTTTCCATGGTTATCCATATCTAGGCCTGGATATGGCACACCTCACTTCTGCTGACATTCTATTGGGCAGAATGCTATTACATGGAGGCTAGGAAATTTGGCCTATCTTTATGTCCAGGGTGAAAGGAAAGTGAATTTGGTGAAATACTGCCCAGTCTGCCCCAATTGCCTGTCTCCACACTAGACTCTAAGTTCCAGAAAGACATTGATTACGTGTATTTTTTAACCTCTGGATTCCTATCATCTAGTATAATGTTTGAAACATGGTAATAACTTAGGAAATGTCTACGGAAGGAATGAATTTGTCTGAGGATGTAGAGTAAATCATGGCAGGGCTCTCGTAACAAACCAGCTGACCCGGTTCCTGGTGCTCTTTGTCCGAACTATGTAACCCATGTATAGTAAGTTTGAAACAACTTGAACTTTTAGGGTACTTTGCTCTGCATTTGGAGGAAAATATTCAGATGCCCAATATGCCAGATTATACATTTTTTCTGCCACTACACTTATGAACAAAGATGTTTTGAGTTGCTGATTAAGGAAAATAGCTCCCTTCTCTCTGAAAAGCATTTCACCTCTATGGGAGTGGGTGATACTGGATTTCATCTAAAAATATTATAGAGGTCAGCAACACTAGAGAACATTATATTATATATATATATATATATTATGATTTGTTGCTGTTGGATTCAAAATTTGAGAATCCCCTGGAGGGTAGTTTGATTTGACCAGTTTGATTGGACACTTTGTGGTGTAATCATCAATATCATCAGCCATTTTGGGTCTGCAGTGGTCACACAGTTGCATGACAGATGTCCTGAAAAAATGTCCATTGCTTGTTGTCAGCATCGTCTCCAGGTTCATTATTGTTATTCTCTGTGTTGCCATTATTAGTGTTCTTGGGCTCAACTTTACTTCTAGGAGATATTCCCTTTATTAATGCTTTTCTAATGACACTTCTTTCCATCACCATTATCAACTGAGACCCCCCCATTAGAGCTTTTTTAGTTTTTCTGATGGTAAAATACCTTTCTTTGCTTTTGTCCTGGGAAATATGTTTTAAGAATAAATGCAATTAATTAGAGATTTAAGTCCCACAGAGGAAAGCTTCTCTATGGAACAATTTGTCTTGCATTATTTCTCTAATTTATCATATTGTTTAGTACATATTTCTTGAGAGCTTCCTAGTTGCTCAGAAATTTCCGAGTACTAGGATTACTAAGGTGAATTCCATGTGTTTTTTGTCCTCAAGAAATATTTTTATGTAGCCAAAAGAGAAGGGGGTAAGAACATGTAAGTGATTAGTGTTATTTATTTTATATTTAGTGCTAAGTGAATGATTGGGGGAAAGGGATAAAGAAAGGAAATTACTATTTATTAAGCACCAACTTTGTACTATTCTAAAGGGTTAAAGAGTTTGTCTCAATTAATTCTTTATGTAACCCAATAGAAGTAGATACTGTATTGGTATCTCTTTTACTGAAGGAGAGACAGGTTCAGAATGATTAATGGCTTATCATGCTACACATCTAATGAAAGAACTAGGATTCAAACTCAGTCTCTGGCTCTAACTTCCATGCTGTTAGATTGTACCAAGCAACCTGGAGAGCTAATGCTATAGGAATCTAGAGGAGATAACAGAAATCTGATTGGGGTTGGTTGCACTGACAATGTGGATTTGGGGTGTGTTCAATAAAAAGGCAGAATTGACCAAGAGAAAGGAGGTGGAAAGACTCTCTGTAAATATCAAAGCAAGGTGGGACTGCATGATATATTTGGGTAAAACACAAGCAGATCAGTTTAGCTGGAGCCAGGCCTCCTAGGGGGTCAGAGAAATGCAATTCTGGGGTGAGAGGAAGAGACCAGGCTTGAAGAATTCAGGGTAGCAGATTAGGCAGTTTTAAGTCTAATGTGGAGGAAATGGAGAACCATGGAATGTGTTAAAGATATGGGGTGAATTTTACAGCAGTGGTTCTTGAAGTGTGGTCCCTGGAATAGCAACATCAACCTATCTAGGAGCTTATTGATGTGCAAATTATTAGGCCCCACCTAATACCCGTTGTATCAGAAAAGCTAAGGGTGGGGTCCAGCAATCTGGTTTAACAAGCCCTCCAGGTGATTCTGATACACATTAAAGTTTAAGAACTACTGTTTTAGAAAGATCAATTTGGCCATTGTGCATAGCATGCATTAGACAGGGAAGGACAGGTTACTCCTCTAATAATGCAGATATGAAGTAATGAGGGCATAGATGATGGCAATTGGAATGGAAAGAAATCAGCAGGAGGCATAGTATGAGAACATTAGAACTTGGGGATTGATTGTATTCAAAGGGGGAAGGAGTAGGGGTCCAAGTTGATAGGCAAGGATTAAAATCTATGGGATGAATCTGTATTTAGTTCAGCCCAAAATTTAAAAATCTTAAGTTTCAAATAACAATAAGGATTTGTGGTTTTAGAGAAAAACCAGATTTGGTGATATATCTTGTATGTTCCATTGGGCAAACTTCAGCTGAGCAGATTAGCCATCAAATTCTTCTTGTTGATGGGATGTCCCCCCTCTTATCTGCCAAGTTTTCCCCTCTTTTTTTATATACTTTATTCATTTATGTTGCCTATTCGAGTCCTGTAGATATTTGAGCTGATGATCCCTGCTCTAAGGATCCCAGCTTGGGGACAGGAGAATAAGAAATGTAGGGGTCGGGAGAGGGAGCTGGCTTGGAGGGAAACCAGCCAGTTTGGTTTCTAGACATTTTGAGTCCGAGGCAACTGTAAGATAGTCCCATTAATCTGGTCTTTATATTTTGCAAGAAAAACAGTTCAGCATTTCCATTTCTCTGTTGTCCGCTTTTTAGATCACCCAAGGCAGTTTAAAATTCTAGGCTGGCTTTCTTGCAATACCTTGGGACTTCTGCCTCCTGCTTTCTTAGCATGCGAGCTCAAGAATGCAAAGTAATTTTTATATTAGCCCATGTAAAATATAATTCAAAAGGTAACTCTACTGAGGCCAAACTGTTTGTTGTATTCCCACTGCCACACATACATTTTTTCCTAGTTATTTTCTCCATTGCCCCAGATAGTTGAACAGGGACTGCGACTTTTAATCAGCTAAGGAAGCAAAAGACTTTCTCTTCACTTTACTGTGAAAATTGCATCACCACACTGGGTATGAACTCATTGAGGTGGGAATGAGTTGTTGATAGGGCTTGGCTTTGGAAATACTACTGGCTGATGTTTTATATCACTTGGCCTTTGTGTACTGTATTGACAGAGTATAGTGAAGAGGAGGAGGAAGAGGAGCAATTTAGTTTGAAGATGACTAAGAGCTGATTAAACATTCAGCTGGGGAGAGAGATGAGTGAATCCAGGTGATGTTTATGGAGTGTCAGAGAGGGAGAATGCTATACCATCTGGTGAGAGAGACATGAAAAAGTACATAAATCAATCTCTATAATGATACTTAATTAATACAGAGTTGATAAATGACATAATTGAAGCAATGGGTGGGCTACATCATAGAGTTAAATAGCTTCAAAGAGGGTGCTGATTAAAGCCATTACAATTTATAAAACATTCTTCATGTTAAGAAAGCATCTTGATGAGATTTCACATGAACATTTTGTAATCAGAGGGCCAGCTTAAAACACTCAGAGCAGAGGTGAAATGTCTTAAGAGGTCTATTTTGGATGATTTTTGAAAACCAGTTATTCTCAGGGAATAAAAAAGCTTGCTTTCCCCACTCCCTTTGTTTTTTAATGGGAAAAAAATTAATGTTGCATTCTTCACCTTTAGACAATCTCAGATTTTTGATGTCCTGGTGGTTTGGTTCTTAAGCATGACCTTAAGATAATTAGCTATCAAGCTTCATTTAAATTGTTTTGAAATATCATTGCAATTTGGGGAGCATATGTGCCTGCTGGTGAAAAATAAGGAAAATACCACTGGGACTCAAAAACTGTACAAGTGACTCACCTCGATTAGTAGGCTTATTTTGTTTTTGCTTAACTCACTCTGAAGCTCATAACAGATGCACAGTAATCAAGCAGAATGCCAATTCTCATCATTCATGCAGGTGGGGCCACTGTGCTCCCAAGGGGGAACCAGAGAAGACCCACAACAAACACTGCGTTTTTTCTTCTCATCATCCTTTCTTTTCCCCCTTTCTGATTTTTGGAAGGTACATTCTTTGTTTGGAAAGCCTTTGTTAGAAATTCCAAAATGTTCTTTAATCACTGGATTCTTATTATTGTATCAGGTAGTGTGACAGGCATGCTTCCTCATAATGGATAGAGCCAGGCAATGTATTTTGGAGCCCGCATTCTGGAGACTCCATGCCTGTGTCTTTGTTCAGCCACTTGCCAGATGTGCCTCATTGGTGCCTCAGTTTCATCTGTAAAATGGGGGAAATATCTTCTTTGTTTTTCTTCCTGGAGTTTTGAGGGTTTTCTTTTTTTGTTTCATTTTGTTTTTGTTTTTCTGAGGCAGAGTTTTGCTCTTGTTGCCCAGGCTGCAGTGCAAATGGCATGAGTTCGGCTAACTGCTACCTCCGCCTCCCGGGTTCAAGCGATTCTCCGGTCTCAGCCTCCTGAGTGGCTGGGATTACAGGCACCCGCCACCACGTCCAGCTAATTTTTTGTATTTTTGGTAGAGATGGAGAGTCACCATGTTGGCCAGGCTGGTCTTGAACTCTCGACCTCAGGTGATCTGCCCGCCTTGGCTCCCAAAGTACTGAGATTACAGGTGTGAGCCACTGAGCCTGGCCTTTTGTGGGGTTTAAAAGCAGTAATGTTATTAATGCCTGACCTATAGTAAGTTTTAAGTACATGTAAAGTTGCTACTATTATACAGTCTTATTAACTATTGACTGGACATAGTTATTGAATGAAAAGGAGGAAGGGAGGGAAGCAGGTAATCAGGGAGGGATTGAGGGAAGGAAGAAAGAGAAGAAAGGAAAGAAAGAAGAAGGAAGGAAGGAAGAAGAAAGAAGAGCTTGATTTAGTTAATGTCACTGTTGTAATTGGTGGATTATAATTGAAGCTGTCTGGTTGGGAGACAAACCCTATGCCATTTAGATCTCTGTCTGTTCAGTTTGTCCAAACTCTGCTGGGGTTATGTATTTACTAGTCTGTCTCCCTTTTTGGATTGGCAATTCTGCAGACAGACTGTGTGTCTTACTCATCTGGGTATCGCCAGGGCTGTGCTCTATACCTGGCACACAGTAGTGCTGGAATAAATAAAGAGCTGGAAGCAGCACATCCCTTTCTCTAACATGTAAATTCAAGGTGTCACCATTTCACATTCATAGACATTGAATAATAATGTAGATGAGGTGACTAACCTTTTGAATTGCTACTCATCAAAAATGGAATCTCTGGAATCTGAGAGGAGACTATATAGTTATGTAAATTTCGGCAAAGTATTGCAAACTCCATATTACTATGGTGCTTTGTGGGGCTGCTATAATTAATGGTCTGTTTGCATTTCTAGTACAGGCTGTCATTTTTCATCTGCTTATAACCTTGATATAAACATTTATTCTTGGCTGCTATTTTGCATTCATAATTGTAAAATATATATAAACGTTAACCTTCTGTTTTTCAGCTTTTTTATTTATCAAAAGCACAGCTCAAGAATCACATCATTGTGGCATGTTTTTCTGAATCTCTAGTGGCAAAAAGAAATGAATGCATTTTGAATTCAGGCTTCAGGATTAAGGCAATGTTGTTTGCTTATGCAGTGCCCTTTGAAAAATGTGTAATGTAGCATATGAACCAAAAGAATCCTGAGAAACTTTTTCCAGCCGGTCTTTTTCTATTACTTATGCCTTTTTTATCCCTCTGTGTTCCTCCCCACCTCTGTCATCAGTTCAAGATGACTCTTAAAGTCCTCTTGCATCCATCCAAATGACCCATTGGCCTCTTTAGGTGCCTGGAGAAAGTACCAGCAAAGGTATTTGTTGGAGTCTATCAAAGGTAACAATACATAGAGTGGGTTTCAAAATCAGACAGGCTGGGTTCTATTGTTGGCTCTCCCATTTAGATGCTGTGTGACCTTATGTACATTAAACAACCAGTGTGAGCCTGTTTTCTCATCTGTAACATGTGGAGAACAATGTTTACCTCATAGAGTTGTTGAGAGAATTAAATGAAATCAAGCCCTTGACACAGACTGAAACATGGGAAGTGATTGATGAAATATAACTGACGTCTTATCTTGGCCATGGTCATTATTATCACTGTCATCATTAGATAGTGATGGGACTAAGCTAGGTAGGTTGACATGAGCTGACTTATCTTAAAAGGCACCAGCTCTAGATAGAGCCCTCCTCAGTGTTCAAAGACTCAAAAGACTTGGGTTCTGTTTATCTCCCGATTTCGGGAGCCCACTCTCCTTAGTCTCCCTCAGTCATTGACTAAAAACTATGCACTTGTCTTTTCCATTCTCTCTATCCTCATGTTAAATGCTTGATATTGTTCTTGCAAGCTGTACCAAAGTTGTGGTGGCCCAAATCAGTATCAGTGGCCAGCTTACCCAAAATGCAGCAAATATTCTATTTCAAACAATACCCAAGATATTTTCCACCTCAGGGCCTTTGCACTCACTGTCCCCTTTGTCTGGAATGCTGTTTCCCTGCTTTGTGTATGGTTGGCTCTGTTTCAATCTTTACATTTTAACTGAAAGGTTCTTTTTGTGAAAAGCCTTTCCTGACTATACTAAGTAGAGTAGCACTCTCCCTCAAACTCTCTCACACATAATCTCCTCTGTATGCACAGAATCCTAATTATATTTGGTAATTTATGTCTATCTACCTACCTACCTATCTAGTTTTCAGCATGTACTTCTGCATAAAAATATAAATTGCATGAGGACTGGAACTGTGTCTTTCGTGTACCTCATTGTATTCTCAGTACCTAGGAGATTGCTGGCACAGGGCAGGTACTTAAGAGATATTGATTGAATAAATAACTATTTTAAAAATCATCTAAGACAATAGAGAACCAATTAAACAGATACATACTGTATTATAGCTATTTTTCTGAAGCCACATTCTAAAGCACCACAGATTTTTTTCTCAATTTTTTGTTTTGTTTTGTTTTGAGACAGGGTCTTGCTCTGTTGCCCAGGCTGGAGTACAGTGGCATGATCATGGCTCACTGCATCCTTCACCCCCTGGGACCACAGACACAAGGCACAATGCCTGTCTATTTTTTAAAAAAAATTTTAGTAGAGATTTTTGTGGAAAAATATAAATCTATAGTAAGGCTGAAAGAATAGTAAATGACTCATTTACTCTTCTGAGATCAGACAAGATCTCAGTGTGGTATGGCCATAGATGTGACTCATATACTCTTTATAAGAAATTGCCTAACTTTTTATTTTTATTTTTATTTTTTGAGACGGAGTTTCACTCTTGTTGCCTAGGCAGGAGTAAATGGCGCGATCTCGGCTCACTGCAACCTCCGCCTCCTGGATTCAAGCGATTCTCCTGCTTTAGCCTCCTGAGTAGCTGGGATTACAGTCATGCACCACCACACCTGGCTATTTTGTATTTTTAGTAGAGATAGGGTTTCTCCATGTTGGTCAGGCTGGTCTCGAACTCCTGACCTCAAGTGATCCACCCACCTCAGCTTCCCAAAATGCTGGGATTGCAGGCATGAGCCACGGCGCCCAGCCTCCTAACTTTTTTTAAGGAAGTTGTACCATTTTATATTTTCGGCAGTCATGTGTGACACTTCAGGCTGCTCCACATTCTTGCCAAAATTTAATTTTAGCCTTTTTGGCAGATATGTATTGGTATATCACTGAAGTTTTGATTTACATCTCCCTGATTTCTGAATCCCTCTTTGTGAAAAGTCTACTCCAGGCTTTTGCCCATCTATAATTTTTTTAAAAATTACTGAGTGGTAGGAGTTCTTTATATAATTTAGATACAGATCCGTAGTCAGATATATGTTTTGCAAATATTTTCTCCCAGCTGATGTCTTTCCCATCTTTTGTGTCATAGAGTCTTTTCTTAATAGTGCCTTTTGATGAGTAGAAGTTTTAAATTTTGAAGTCTAATTTATCCACTTTTAGTTGCTTTCTTTTATATGCATCTACATTCATTACTCAATATTTTGCCACATTTGCTTTCTCTCTCTCTCTCTCTGTTTCTGGATCATTTGAAAGTAAGGTTGTTATAACACTGAAAACATTTCACCCATAAATATATAAGCATGTATTCATAAGAGCAAGGACCACCTCTAACATAACTGTAATATCTTTGTCATGCCTAAGAAATTTAGCATTGCTATAGAAATATTATTTAATTTAAAATTCATCCATATTCAGATTTTCCCAATTGTTTCCCCCAGTAATGTTGTTGATCTTTTCTTTCTGAATTCCATAATCCAATCAAGGACATACATTACATTTAGTTGTCATAAAGCTTTAGTCTCCTTATATCTAAAATTGCTCCCTAGTCTTTTTAGTATTTTATGACACTAACATTTTCAAAGAATATAAGGGAGTTATTTTGCACAATGACTCTCAGTTTGGAGTTGTTCCTCATTATTAGATTCACGTTAAATATATTTGGCAAGGGTTCTATATGGATAATGTCATGCCCCTCATTGCATCACATAAGGAAACAAATAATGTCACTTTTCCTTATTGGTGAGACCAAATTTGATCACTTGTCTAAGGCATTATCTCTGGATTTCTTTATCGAAAGGTAGCATTCCACCTTTGTAGAGGAAATACATTGCAATTATTGTGGGATGCTCTTGAGACTTTGTGAATCTTAAGTTCTTTAACAAAATTTCACCCAGTGAGATTTTAACATCCGTTGATGACCCCTGCCTGAATCAATCATTGTACTGGAAGTTGCAAATGTTTTTCTAATTCAATTATTTCTATTACAATTATTTGCTGTGTGCTTTTGTAATAAAGAGCATCTGCCTCCTTTTCCTTCTTTTTGTTTCTGATGATCACTTCATGGGTTTTTAAAAAATGTATGTGATAAAATTCATTACTATCATCATTCTTTTTGATAAAGCATCAAAAATTTCAAAATAATTAATGTAAAAGTTAGCATTACATGATAAGCTTGAATATTTGAAGCACTGGAAGGAATACTCTTTTTATTCATCCAAAGTTACCCAGACTACCACAGATAAGTCAACTAATTAGGAGTGTGTAATCAATATCATTTCCTCTGAACTTTTTATTAACAGCATGAGCTTTGGGGTAATAATCCTGAAGTTATTTTTAGTTTACAATTGCCAATGTATAGAATATGCAAATAAAGATCCTTCATCCCATACATAATTGCTGTTAATTGTTAAAATAAGTGAGCAAAATCTCAGGTCCAGCAATTGCTTCTGAGTTTCTGCAGACTGATATTTGTTTTCCTTTTTTTTTTTTTTTTTTAAACTATGCAGCTCTGATGTTGAGGAGTATGAAAAGAGCTTTTTTTTTTTTTTTTTTTTGCAAGAGAAATAAGGATCTCAATATAGGTTTGCAGAGGCCAGCAGGGATGTATCTTTAGGATGGGTTTACCTCATATCTGTGTAATACAGAGAACTATAAATTATCCACCCACTCCAACCTCCCCATGTCATCAGTGGTTGTGAAGGGGTAACTAGCCTCTGCCTGGGTGTCAACAGTAATAGTTTAATAGCTCAGTGAATGTCTGTTGCCTCACTGGTTACTGCTCCGTAGAGTAAATATTTGACATCAAGGACAAGAATTTAATTTTTAACTTTCTCAACTTAATTTTATTCAGTAAACATTTATTATGTGTCTTCTATATTTCAAGCCAGGAGAAGACCCAATTTTTGTAGGGGTAGGAACTTACATAATTTGGGGGCCTCTTTAAGAAAAACAATACAAAGTTACTTCTACACATTTAGATATAAAATCAACATTTATTTACAATAGGGAAGAAATTATAACAATTTATGAATTTAAGAGAGCCACCAAATACTACAAACGTGACACAATTCAGAAAAATATCTTGTTTTGATTAAATAACTACCTATCAAGCTGCTGTACTTTGTCTGCATTTTTTATTTGCACATTCTTTGATTGCTCTTTGTATGACAGTGCTTTTGTGTTGTAGTTTCTAAAACAAGAATAAAAAAGGAATTCAGTCTTTCCTGTAGTATGGTTGATCATAATTTAGCTTTTATTATTGATAGTTTGGAAAAGTTTATTTCAGCTTTATAGCTTTTTTATTGGTAGTATCATTATACAATTTTAGGATTGTTGTCAAATTTGGGAAAATGTTATCAAGTTTTGTTCATGTATGGGCTGTAAGATTTCAGGACATTTTATGTTTTTGTATAGTGACAATGAATGAACATCATTCCATTTAGTTTGCTGTCTAGATCCTCGTTTTTAGTGGCATTTTATGAATTTTTGTTATGTTTGTATTTGTCAGCATTTTGTGTCAAACCAACAAGAAATTTCAATCTTTTCTCAAGGTGATGTACTTTTTCATTATTTGGCTTATTGAGTGATCTGTGAGACTACTCATCCCAAATACCCAAAGTATGTCTCTTTCTGTCAATAAACTGTAGTTTTGTATGGCTTTTGTCTGGGAATGCCATACTTTGTCAGAATAAGATGTGGTGTATATTTTAACATGTAATCCAATATGTTAACACAAATAAAACTGTGACTTCATACATAGATGCATTTGCTCTTTGAGCTCTACAATCACAGGAATTCTGATAAATTCTATTTTGCATGACTTCCTTAAAAATATAAAATTAGAGGTTGTGTTCGCAATAGCATACTCTGAATTACTGAACCTATTCTTGATAGGAGAGAACTTCCATTTTAAGTAGGAATTAATGAGGATTGGATACCTCGACTGCAGTTCTGCATATCTGATAACTGGAAGCATTTTCCAGTGACTGGCTTCTGGATCTCCACCACTGTCTCCATGCTTTCACTGCCAGATGTTGCAGGATGCATTCTTGTTACAATATGACCTCTGACCCTGTGTCTTTGTATTATGACACTAGTAGTCCCGGGACACATTCCTGTACCAAGATGGAAACAACTGTGAATCACCTAAGCACATCCCTGTAAACCCAAGCCAATATATCTCCAGGTCAGCTTCTCCTAGCTGGATCCTCAATGCCTATAGTCAATCCAGTGCTGCTCCATATGTTGGGAAGTATGACAGAAAGGAAGTCAGAGTGGATTAAAAGATTCCACACCTTTGGTGTGCATGGATTGGTGCAGCCCTTCTAGTGAGACATCCCCAGATGTTAGCTGATAACATCCTCACCCTCATCCTCCCCACCATCACTTCTCTATGTTTTACTGGCCTGATCCAGTTTTTGGTGGCTTGGCACTTGGAATTCTTTACAAGCACTTTCTTTCTATATTGACTTACTATCATTTTTAGAACCCAGATTTTTTAAATGTTCAAGCTGGATGAACCCTTATACATTTGCTCTACTCTTTCATTTTATAAATGAGGAGCTTGGGGCTGAAGGTCATTCAGCTAAGTAGAAGAACAAGGACACATTATTTTTTAGCTCTTTATGCCATCTTTCTTTTCTTTCAAGTCTCCATCAGACTACACCCAGCCTTCCAGGATTAAAGTAAGTTAATTAGGCATGCATTGATTTGATCTCCGTAGGTCCCCCCTAAATTGATATTTTTAGGAGTTAGAATATTCAATGTGCTCCCCAAATGCTACGTAATAGTGGTTTTTTGCTCATTTTGATAGGGCTTTTAGCAGAGTGAACTGTTTCGTGGACACTGTCACAGGAAGTGGAAACTCACCTTGTGAAAAGGTAAGCTTTCCATGGGCTTTGAGTTTTCCTTTCCTCAGCAGGGGAAGGGCCTATATGTGTTAGTGTTAGCTGCCTGGCCTTCCTCTGGGGCTTGGTTTTTAATCTCCAGGGAGGCAAGGCTGACAAAATGTCATCTATTTGCCTACTAAGGAAAGAAGCTGTGAAATAGATCTCCATTGCTTATGCACCTCAAGTCGCTTAGTTCCAGCTGTATCCATAATATCATGGTGTATTTAAAATACTGCTCATTGCAATCCTTTTGAAAAGAGATTCTGATGCTCGTAAATACTCCAAAAAGGCATTAAGGTGTTACACTGATTTTTATTTTTATTTTATTTTATTTTATTTTATTTATTTATTTATTTATTTATTTATTTATTTATTTATTGAGATGCAGTTTTGCTCTTGTTGCCCAGGCTAGAGTGCAGCAGTGAGATCTTGGCTCACCACAACCTCTGTCTCCAGGGTTCAAGCGATTCTCCTGCCTCAACCTCCCTAGTAGCTGGGATTACAGGCATGTGCCACCACACCTGGCTAATTTTATATTTTTAGTAGAGACAGGGTTGCTCCAAGTTGGTCAGGCTGGTCTGGAACTCCTGACCTCAGGTCATCCACTCAGCCTCCCAAAGTGCTGGGATTACAGGCATGAGCCACTGCACCTGGCCGCTTTTTATCTTTAATTGGATTTATTCCCTTTAGAAAACTTAAGTTTGTGGATTCATATCCAAATATTGCCCTTTACTGATCTAGCTTTTTCTGCTGTAAGTTCTAGGAACCTTTTAATTCAGAGAGGGGTAAAGAAAAGAGCTAGCATACACTCAATAGCTTTTATGTTTTGGATGCTTCATAAATATCACCTCATTTGGACCCTTACAAGAGCTTTGGGAGGCAGGGAGCTTTAGACACATTTTACACCTGAGTAACTTGATCAGGACATTTTGAAAAAAAGGTTTTTGATTATCTGTTTTTCAACTTGAGAGAGTCGTGAGATAACTAAACTACAAATGAAAAATACGTAGGTAAGTCTCTTTGTAAGGTCATATTCGTAAAGGTTGCAAAAGAGACCAAACAATGTATTCCAATTGAGAAGTCCAGGTAGAGTATTTGGTTCATTTGTGCTGCTATAACAGAATACCATAGACTGGGTAATTTATAAAGAATAGATCTTTATTTCTCACAGTTCTGGATCCTGGGAGGTCAAAAAACAAGGCACTGGCAGCTTCTGTTGTCTGGCAAGGGCTGTTCTCTGCTTCCAAGATGGCACCTTATTTCTTCATCCTCCAGAGGGGAGGAACGCTGTGTCCTCACATGTGGAAGAACAGAGGGACAAGTGAACCAAATCTTTGTGTGAAACCTCTTTTATAAAAGCCTTAATCCCATTTATGAGGGGAGGAGCCCTCTTAAAGGCCCCACCACTTAATATCATCACATTGGCCATTATAAGTGTCAACACCTGTATTTTGGAGGGGACACTTTCAAACCATAGAATAAAGAAAACGAAAGGGGGAAAACTGCAAACAAATGTGCTATGAGATTAGATGGATTTGAAGGGGACTCGACAGTCTTGGGCCCTTTGTTTTGGAAGATGGATTTTGAAAGTTATCTTTTATTGTATTCCTGTGAGGCCCATTTGTTTCCTACCCTTTTCTCTTGTCCCCCTCTTCCTTCTCTTTATTCAGTATCTTCCTCTGGCAAATAGCAGTTACTAAATTTGGTTCTCTGTTATCTTCCAACTCGAAAGGCAAAAGGCACAGGCAGTACCCTCCTGGTAATTATTTATGATATTTCTCCTTCCAGAGATTTGCCCTATGGCAGCTTCAATCCGTTACCATCACTTTTTATTTTTTTGCCCATATTGGCAGCTTCCCAAGACTTTGGGAGGAAAAAGCAGATCTGCAGATACGCAAACCTCAAAATCAAGACTTGGTTAATGAAATCACTCCTCCACTTGCCCTTGCCTGTTACTGAATCCTGTTCCAGCTGGGATGGAAAAAGTGCATTGGTCATGCTGTCAAAAGCATATCACATTTCTCCACTGCTATTTCCTTCCTTCTTAACTAAAAACAAAACAAAACACCATAGACAACAAATAGACACACACACAAAAAAAAAGACACTAGGTGAGAGTGAAGGTAGTTTGTACTATTTTCATTTTTCGTGTGTTCAATCGTATTTCTCTCAGCAAATATGATTGGAAGTGGTGCTTTTCCTTCCTTCCCCACCTTCCAGCATTAGGTTTGTAGGTGAACATAAAAATACACTGACACTCAAAGAAAGAGCTCTTTCTGCTCTGCACACATCCCATCTCGCCCTCTTCCTTGCTCCTGCTTATTTCTCTCTCTTTCTGCCTCCTTACCTCCTTCAGTTTAGAGCTTAGAGAAGTTTTTCACTCTTCTTTTGACAGGTGTCAGATAGACAGTATGAGCTCATTTAAGCTGAACTGTCTGGGGGAAACTAAATTTGTTCAGGAGAATAGCAATTTGGATGACAAGTGCCAGGACATACCAGATGGCACGGCTGGAGAAATTCTTATCGGGCTCCCAGCTCACGTTCCAGGCGGCCTCTCTGTCTCTCTCCTCTATTCTTATTTGTTCATGGTTGACCCAGATGGAAACTTGAAATGCAAATGTATTTCTTCTTGGAAGTTTCCAAGTAAAAAAGGTGATAGTGACTCAGCATAAGATGCTTACATGCCCCCAAAAGAATAGCCAGTACTTGTTATTTATGCTTATTACTACTGATGCTTCCCAGACCCCTGTGGGCACATATTTGAAGAAGTCTTAATTGTGAGCCCTAAACTGATTGTGTAATTCCAGTTGTTTACTAAAATAGGACTGTTACCTAAGCTGCAAAATATTTGATGTTCTTGTCAGGATGTGAATGGAAGTGTTCTTAAACATTCTTCCTCAGTTGCCACACAGTTTGACTGATTTTGTTGGCCCTCACTTTCCAGAAAGGGAACCGTGGACATAAATGTCATGGGAAGGTATTTAGTAGAAGGTGTGATTTTTGGGGGCGCATATGAAACATTCTAAAATTCAAGGCCAGGGCGCTGTGACAGGCTCTAATCTATGAATCATTATATTCTTAACATATTCTGAGAACAGGAAGAGAAAGCTCAACCTTTATAGACACAGATGGAATTTCTCCTGTGAAGACTGGTAATTCATGTGACATTTGCTGTTTGCTTTTGTTTGCAGTCAAATTCTTTCTCTCAACCTTGCACTGTGCTGTTACTGGTCACTTAACAGACCTTCTGAAAGAGCAATATAAGTTTATATTTTAGGTACACAAACAAAGCAGATGTTTATAATACTGGGCATGATTTTTTTTTTTTTTGGTCAATATTTGGTTCACATGAGAAGATCAACTTTTTCTAGCCTGTATACTTTGGCTCTGAATTTACGTGTTTTGAAAGGTTTGTTGTTGTTGATAATTTAGTGATGAAACTTACTCGTGGAAAAGGCTTATTGTGAGTGAATAAATAAATAGTATAGGCTAAAGTGTGTGTAGCCTACATTATTTGGTAGTGTAGTGTACACTCCACATACTTTTATCATTTTAATTTTCTACTAAATTATGCATGTCCTGGTATTAGGATTCCCATAGTCATGGCAAAACCAATGATGGTAACGCCATACTTATCTGGAGGTTAAAGTTTCATTAACAATTTAAGGTGGAAATCAGAGAAGAAGGCCTCTGAGCCAGCCTAATAGCTATTCTAACCCCACACAGCAAGGTAGTATATTGTATTGCTGCTCTTCTCACCAAGAGCTTCTGGGCCTTTAGCACATTATTTTTAACATGTTTAAATTTCTGGGTTTTGTGGACACATCACATTAGCAGATGTGGGAATGATAGAGGTTATTTTGACATACAGAGAGGAGACAAGAAAACGGAAGTGTAACCACAAAGCTGGGTTGCCACATCCTATGGAGGTGTAAATTCATAAGGATAACATTGAGTCACCCAGAAAAGTTGTATTGTGTCTTCCTTTTAAGAAACAATGTGGGCCGGGCGCGGTGGCTCACGCCTGTAATCCCAGCACTTTGGGAGGCCGAGGCGGGCGGATCACGAGGTCAGGAGATCGAGACCATCCCGGCTAAAACGGTGAAACCCCGTCTCTACTAAAAATACAAAAAATTAGCAGGGCGTAGTGGCGGGCGCCTGTAGTCCCAGCTACTTGGGAGGCTGAGGCAGGAGAATGGCGTGAACCCGGGAGGCGGAGCTTGCAGTGAGCCGAGATTGCGCCACTGCACTCCAGCCTGGGCGACAGAGCGAGACTCCGTCTCAAAAAAAAAAAAAAAAAAAAAAAAAAAAATGTGGTGGAACTAAAAGCCCAGTAAAAGTGTAACATGAAAGGAAAGGCTATGTTATATTCATCCAATAGGGTGTGTGTTTGTGTATGTGAATATGAAGAAATTTATCATAAAGAATTGGTTCATATGATTACAGAGGCTGACAAGTCCCAAAATCTTCAGGGTGAGTCAGCAAGCTGGAGACCCAAGTGAGCTAATGCTTTAGTTACAGTCTGAGTTTGAAGCCTGAGACAGGAGAACTGATTGTGTAATTCCAATCCTAAAGCTAGCAGACTGGAGACCAAGGAAGAGTTGACGTTTTACTTCAAATGCAAAGGCAGGAAACATTCTTCCTCAATTGCCACACAGTCTGACTGATTTTGCTGGCTCTCACTTTCCAGAAAGGGAACCATGGCCATAAATGTCATGGGAAGGTATTTAGTGGAAAATGCAATTTTTGGGGTCCATATAAAACATTCTGAAATTCAAGGCTTGATATCCCAGTTTGAGGGCAGCAGGGCAGGAGGAATTCTCTCTTCCTTGGGGAGGGTCAGCCTTTTTGTTCTATTTGGGCTTTCAGCTGCTTGAATAGGGTCCACTCACATTGGGAAAGGCAATGTGCTTTGCTCAGTTTACAAGTTTAAATGATAATCTCTTCCAAAAATGCCCTCACAGAAACATCCAGAATAAAGTTTGACCAAATATATGAGCACCCTGTGGCCCAGTCAAGTTGATACATAACAATCACAGCCATCCTTCCAGTTAGTCACAGAAAGATACCTTCCTGCATCTAGACAACAGGCAGCTGCTGAGGAGGGCTGGGAACAGCAGTTCATGATCTGGTATCAGATCATGAACCCAGGGGTCCAGCACAAAGACGTAGATCCAGCCCTGATAGGAGAATGCCTGGTTTTTAGAAATAGGGGGATTAGCTTCCAAACTATAGAAAGAATTCATTCATCCATTCATTCATTCATTTTAAAATTCAGGTCTTAATTCAAATATCACTTCCCCAGGGAGGCCTTTCTGATACATTGTCTACAGAAGTCCTTTCAGCCGCTCTCATTTATTCATTCACGAAAATGTATCAGGCCTACCCTGTGAAAGGCACTGGGAATCCAATAGTGACTGTGAATAACAAGCAAGGTCCCTTCCCTCACGCATCTTACTTACTAGTGGGGACAGACAGAAACTAAGTAAGCAAATAAAGAAGGTAATTTCAGATAGTGATAAATGCCATAAAAGATAAAATAGGGTAATGCATTAGAGTGTTGATTTGAGGACAGGGGGAAGTTACACTAGATACACCCGTTAGGGAAGACTTCTCCAGAAGAGCAGTCAGCTTGGATTGAAGGATGAAAAGTAAAAGCTCCATTCAGAGCTCTTGGGGAAGAGCCTCTTAGGCAAAAAACAGCTGGTGCAACAGATCAACGGACAGAACCATTTGGCCAGTTCTGGGACTGAAAGAAAGCCAGTGTGACTGGAATACACTGAGCAAGGGAGAGAAAGGTCAGAGAGGTGAGCAGAGAGGTTGGCAGGGCAAGATCTTCATGGAAGGTCATATAGGCCCTGATTCAGAGCTTGCATTTTATCCTGATTGGAAATAAGTTTTAAGCAGAGGAGTGATATGATCTAATCTGTGCTTTGGGAAGATCACTGCCCAGCGGGACACAGATTGTGTGGAGCAGGAATGTTGTAAGAAGTACAGACATGTAGGAGGCTATTCCAATAGTCCAGGTGAGAAATTACGATAGCTGGGCTAGGGTGGTAGCTGTGGAGACAGTGGGCAGTGGGCAAGCTTGGCTGTTCTGTGAAAAAGTCTTCAGGAATTGCTGATGGTTTGGATATAAGGGGTGAGAAAAATAAAGGACTCAAGAGTGACTGCTAGGTTTTATTTTCTTAATGGCACATATTTTTATTTGAAATTATCTTGTTTATTTGTGTACTTCTTTACTGTTGATCTCCCTCATCAGGCTGTAGGTACAGTGAGAGAAGGAATCTTGCTTATCGTGTTCACTGCCTCAGCCTCAGTATCCAGAAGAGCACCTGTTCCTTGAATGTATGTGTATATAAATATTGATTGAGTACTTAGTATGGACCAGGCCTGTACTAAGGCTGAGATACAGAGGAGAACAAGACAGAGATGACCCATACGATCATGGAGGCTGCATTCTGGCAGAGGAGATAGACAATAAACACATGAACTGAGTTGTTTCAGGTTTTCATAAATGCTGTGTTGACAAAAGGATGAAGAGAGTGGTTAAGGAAAAACCTCTTCTCTAGTGGTTCTGTTATTCTACATGTATTCACTAGACTCTAACATCTGTGAAAGCAAGGACTAGGTCTTATATTCTTCGTGTAGTGCTAAGAAGATAGTATGTGCCCAGGAAATAAAAGTGGGCTTGTCAAGCCTGGAAGCCATGCTCAGTTCCTGGAGCATCCTCAGTACCTGTTTTGTTATCTATGTGATGTGACCTGCTAGGGAAATTGTCCGAGTCTCTCCTTTCTTGTGTAGGTTGACAATGCCTAGACCCATCAGTCTCTGCCTGGACAGGCCTGTAATTTAACTGCCTGCCTGGCTCTGATTGCTAATAGGCATGGGTAGCCACCTATGGATTTGCACAGCCACACACGGCCTTGCTGCAAATTTAGCAGCAGATAGTGCCTCAAGGTCACTAGAGAAGAAATGAATCTGTAAGGTGAATAAACTAAGGCCAATAAGCATAGAGTGCCAGAAAGTAGTGCCCAGAGGGATCCGAGGGGCATCTGCATGTTTATTAATAAACAAACACACAAAAACCCCCGCCTCCTCCTCTACTTAAGGAACACAGTGAGATCTCCTCTTATGAAGTCATTTCTCCCATGACTTCTGCTTTGAACAGAAGATTTTCAAAAGAGCTTTGTTTGCCCTTAAGCAGTCTTATCCTCAGATAAGGATAAACGATCAGAGGAAAATTTCACTGGGTTGTTGGTCAGCTATCAAAATGAAAAATGAAAAATCTTTCTTAACTGGAGTAAGTGTGGAATGCTTGAATAGTGCAGCAGCTTTTAGTCATTCTTTTACAACTGCTGTACACATTGCAGCCAGAAAAGACATTTTAGTTGTCAGGTAGTCAATAAATATTTATTACCTGCTTCCTGTATACTGGTTCTCCACTGGGAACTGTTCCTAAAGGTTTGTTTTCTTGTTACTTTTCTTGTCCCTGTGTTCCTCATAACTCAAAACTGCTGACCCATTTAGGAGGTATGGGAAAGCAAGATTGATCAGAAAGCAGACTGGGAAGAGACAAGTCATGATAATTCTTATGCTGTCAAAAACTGAGTTTAGCATCATGCTAAGCAGGCAGTATTCAATTCATAATTCAAAACTGAGTGTCGCAGTGAATGGGGCCCTGCAAAGTCAATGTCTGATTGTTTTCTTGCTGATAAGCACCATGATCAGAGGTCTCTTCACTTTGGCTTAAATCATAAACATGTTTGGAGCACCTACCATGTATGGCCACTCTCCTAAGAGTGAGGTAGGATATTGAGGTACTCCCAGTGTAGTGTCTGGCTTCTGGGGACTCAGTGTTAAATGAGTGTGGAGAAGATGTGTATATGAAGACTGTGTCTTAAGGGAGAATGTACTAAGGGAAATATGAAGTCTGGTAGGTACACAGGAGAAGGAGATATTAATACTTCCTGGGGGGAATCCAGGCCTTACTAGAGATCCTTCTGCACACTGTCCCCCAGCTCCTCACTTTGAGTGTTTCTTTTGGATTATTCATTTTCTCTATCTTGTGGCAGGCCTCATCAAGACTGGTATGTGCATCTGTGTTTGCTTTTATCAGATAATCTTCTACCTACTTTGAGTTTACCTTCTATTTCTAATTCCTTGCTTAACTTCTGGGTTCCTTGCACAGCAGCGTCTGATATCCTGCATGTTAGTTCTTTGTTTTCCCTACCCAACTGAAAATTACTAATGCAAAATTATATTAGCAAAATGGGCATAACCAGAATCACCACTGCTGGGGTAGTTAATGAGCAGAGGTCTCCCATTTGCTTCCTGCCCACCAGTCTCTCTCCTGCCCTTTCAAGGCAGACGGGTTGCTGGCTCACTAATTTCCCACATATTGCAATCTTTTCCTGTGATGCAGAAAGCTATGTGTATTTCCCCACTCCTGAGGTGACTGAACTGTTTAAGTAGTTTTGATAATTCGTTGCTTTAAAAAATACACAAAGATTTGAATAATATAGATAAATGTTTTCCTTGACTACCCACACCACCCTATTGAGGTCAGTATTCTTAGATATAACGAACAATGTGAGTTTGATCTATATTCTTCCAGACTTTGTTCCCATGCACTGACATATGTATATGTGTGTGTGTATGTGTGTTTGTGTAGTTTTGTGCTTTTTTCTAACAACTCAGCTGCCAAATGATCAGTGCATATAGCACTACTTCATTGTTTTTATTCTCTTGAGTGTCATTCATGTATTTCTAACTCTTTGTATGCCTAATATTTTTTTGTTTGAATGCCAGGCATTGTTTTAAAAAGCTATTGATGCTCCATAGGTTTACCTTTCCTCTACTAGGCAGATCAGGTTGAAAGACTGATTGCCTTAATCCAACAACTGACTAAGTTGCATCAGAACAGGTTGCAATTTTGTTAAATTACTTTTTGTTCTCCCTATTTCAGAAGCATGGCCCTCCAGGGCTTTTGATTGTAATTCTTTGTCTCCTCAGCACTAAGAGACTGCAGAATATCTTGTCTGCTTTTGAGAGATTTGGGCTTAGCTCTTTAGTCTTCTGTACTGTGCAGCTTCTGAACATGACAAATAACTTGACAGGGAGACCAACTCTGTGTTCAAGTCTCCTCAAATCTTCAATTTAACCACTGAAGCCGTACATGGTTTCCAGAGGATCTGCTGGTTTCTTTGTCCCAGCAGCTTCCCTCTGCCTGAACCTACCCTAGATTCCATTCTCTAGAATGAGCCAGCTTAGGGTGGCAAGTGTCCCTGAAGTTGGCTGCATGTCCTCAGATCACCTCTGAAATCTTTCCTTTCTATAATTTTACTGTTGTTAGAACTTTTGGCTTCATTAACTTTCTAATGTCCTTAAATATGTGATTTTTATAATTTATTTAACTTTTCTAGTTGTTTTTAGTGGGCATGTTGGCCTGCCATGAACAACTTCATTATACTTAGAAGTAGAACTTCTCCCTCATTGCTTTTAACTCCTTCAGATTCTTTCATTGCATGATGTCTGTGGCTTATTTGGCCATTTCCCTGTTGATAGACATGCTGATTTTTATTTGTCACTGTTACAGTCTTATAATTTAAAATGAAGTACATACATTTTGTGTACTTATTTATAGCAATTACTAATATCTGGAATTTCTGGATTTAAAATATGGATTTTTAATTTTAATAGAGATTACCAAATTGTTCTCCAAAAAGACTTAAATTTAAATCTCAGGGGCTGAGGCTTCCCTTTAAATAAACCAGGTCTATCTCTGATCTTATAGGTTGGCCCTAGTACCAAACAGTTCTACTAGTAACATTGAGAGTTCTATGAACTCTTTTAGAGACTCTGAGCACACTGAAAGCTTACCTGCTGTGTTGTCCTTGCCACTCTTACCTCAGTGCTCTCCTGTGGGTACATTTAGTACCTTTACAACGTGTGCAGTGATCATGCCATGGATTACAAGAGTTTAACACATTTTCTAAGACACCAAGTGAGTAATGTAGATACTGAGGAGATATTCAGTAGAAAAAGCCAAATCACTAATAATAGCATATTTTCAATATACAGGCAATTTCTCAGTTGAAAAGCTTAGCTATTATTGCTATGGCCATGGCTTCAAAGCTGTGAGGTTCGCTTTTTATTTATATTGGCAATTTTCCCATGTGCTTATAAAAATCAGTCCTTTGGATGGTTCACTCAGTGTATTTGAATACCTTTTCCAATTCTCTGAAGCTCCTTGATCCAGTAACAGTTTCTTTCCTTGGCAGACCATGAGGAGTGGGAAAGTAGCTTTTTCTAAGTAGGCATTGATTGGCATTGAGCAGTGGGAAAGATTGGAGCTGGTGAACATGGGGTGTGCAAATGTATTCAGCCAACAGGAGCTCTTCCAGTTCATAGGGTGGATCTGCTGGAATAGTTGCCTTGGTTCTCCTTTCACTTCAGGGTGGAATTAAGCTCCTGGCTCAATAGGGAGGAAGCAGGATAAGTCTTAGCCTCTGGACACTTAACCTAAAATTCTAAAGAAAAATTCCTTATTCCTTTTTTCCTTTTCAATGGCTTACCTTTAAACAGCATTAATATCCTGCCTGTTGTACTGAAGCAAGAAACTGTAGTATCTATTTTCAAAACTAGTACATGGATTTTCAATGTGAGTGTCTTGGTAATAAATGCTGGTTTATTTTGAATTTAAAAATGTATTTTGATTTTGTACTGACAGTTTAACTCTTTGAAATATAACGGAGGAAGGGTCAGAAATAAAGCAATCTTTCTTTCTTCTGGACTTATTTATTCACTCTTCTTTAAACAGTTGTTAAATCTCTCTTATGCATTTGACATTGGGCTTTGCACTAGTGATAGAAAAATGAATAAGACTGTGACATCTTTTGGTACTACATCATATAAATTGTCTAGATTGTACTTCTAAGCCAGCATGAGCATTTTAGAATATAAGAAATAGAAACCAAACCAAGAAACTCTAGTTCGGAGCAAAATTATATGCCCAGTTGTCTAAGAAAGGGCTTTGCTTTTTACCAGTAATTTAGAATTTTATGACTAAGACAAAGCAGAAAATTGGGAAGAACAGTGAAAAGGGCAAGAAGTTAATGGAGTGCGGTCAGAGCTGAGAGGACAAAATCTAAATGAAAGGGGGAAAAGCAATAAGGATTGAGGAAGGTTGTTTAGGTCATTAAGCTTACAAGATCTTCTATTTCCCAATTAGTACATTCTGACCCTGAAGACGTTTAAGTACATGACGAGGATGTCACTGGAGTGTGACAAATTCTTCACATTCTCACTTCCCTTTGCTAATTCTGGCGTCAGAAGTTATTGCAGAGAACATAGTCAACCGTCTGTGGAGATACATCTAAAACAGATGTGCCTATTGTTAAACAAACATGGTATGTTTAAATCCATATTTATTTATTAAACAAAAATTAGATAATTACTCCGATTATCTGGTACCCACAGGGATCATACAAATGACAAACACAAAGGGCCAGCACTCTGAGAATGAGAAGCCTAGAGAGAGGCCAGGCTGGGATAGTGCCAACCCTGACATAAGATAGAATATAATTAGGACTTTAAAGGAAATACAAACAAATATTGTGGGCACTCAGGAAGAAAAGCACTTTTGGTGGTTGTGGATACAGGTAGAGGGAGAAAGCACAAACAACTCAGAGAAACTTTCTTGAAGGAGATAGTATGCTAACTGGCCATGGAAAATTGTTTGAATATCAACAAGTGATGGGATCTCAACAGGGATAAAGGATACAGGTGTCATAGGTAAGGTAGTGGCATAAGCAAAGCCATGAAGGAGGACAGCTTGTTTGATGACTAGCAGTGTGTGTTATAGGAGATGGGGTGGAGGATGCAGAGAAACAATGTATTTTGAGACCACACAACTATGCCTTTAAATCCCAGCCCTTCCGCTTATGCATACGGGACCATGCCTAGGTTGCTTAACCTTTCTAAATCTCAGATTACTCATCTTTAATATGGGGACAATAATATTGATTTTTGCATTTGTGTGTGTGTGTGTGTGTGTGTGTGTGTGTGTGTGTCTGGGAGAGAGAGAAAGGAGAGAGAGAGGAGAGAAAGACTGGTTATAATCTATGTAAACCTTCTGGTGCTCAATAAATGGTAGTAATTATTATGGCAAGTAGTTAGGCTATCTCAATTTTGGACAATGTGTTAGATAAAATAAAAAAAATAATTTGTGATCAAATTTTGGGTGATCTTAAGGAGCTAGTTTAGGAATATGGAGTTACTTTGATAGGCATTGGAAAGCCATTGAAGACTTTTGACCAGGGAATGATGTGATTAGGGCTTAGAATTGCAGTGCTGATTCTAGATATATTGTAGAGCTACGACATAAAGGATTAGACAATTAGATATGAACCATGGTGTCAGACACCTACATATCTGTTCTTTACTCTCTTGCAGTTATAAAAACCCTGATTTTTAGCTGGAAACATGACTGTCTAAAATGAAGACCCTATTTACCTGTTTTGCTTGTGGCTAAGTGTGCCTATGTGACGATGTTCTGGCCAGAAGTATCATGCAGTAGCATACCTAAAAGATGGCTGGCCCACCTTCTTCTTTATCACTTCCTCCATCCTGCTTCTTAGATTACCTGCCATCTTGGTCTAGGTCCAGCTGCTAATTTGGACCCTAGCAATATTGGAGGGATGAACTGGCAGGAGACTGAGTCCCAAAGAACTTCATGGAACAGAATTCTGCCATACCATCCCTTGACTAAATTTCACTAGCCTTCTACATGAGAAAAGAATGAACTACCTTGTTGAAGCCTCTGAGATTTTGAGATTCTGTTACATGCAGTTGATCTTACAATCTGATTCTAACCAATTCAGATATGGAGGAAATAAATGAATAAGAACTTAGTTTCTAGGATTTCAAGCCAGTAGCCATTATAGGAATATAAGGAAACATGTTTGGAGCAGGGGGAGGATGATGGTTTTGGTTTGGGATTCAATCCAGGTGGAGATGTCAGGTAATTGGAAACAAATGTCAGGAGCTTGGAAGAGAGGCCAGAGTTGGAGGTTTAGACTTGGGGTGGGAAGCAGGACTTTAAATAGCTCTGATAGTTGAATGTATGATAGGGGAAGACATTTTCAAGGGATAAAAGTATAAAAAGAGTGCAAAAACCTGAAGGCTGACCCTGGACTAAGTGTCTGCTTATACAGGTGAGGAGGCAATAGAGATAGTGAAATTGGGCAGGAAGAGGTGTGGTGAAGGTGAGGGTAAAGGGAAGAAGAGTTGAGGCTGAATTAATGAGCTTATTTCTTTTGCATATGGCATGTAGGAGAGGAAAAGGATTCCTAGGTTTCTCATAGTCAAGAATGTACTGATTATATGCATTTGCTTCATTAATGAATACAGTGCTATTTTGTTTAGTGTTTCAGGAAATGCTTTGATTCCAGCATTGTTTTCCGCTTTTAATGCTTGGAAACAGCTTTGCTAGGCTCTTCTCAGGTGAGTAGCTGCACGCCAAAGTGTCTCAGTGACAGCATTGCTAAGGAGTTTTATGGAGAATGGATGGTCTTGACTGGAAAGTCACTTAATGGCTTTTAAAGTTGTGAGCAGATGATCATACTGTATAAGTGACAGACTGTGAAGTCTGAGACCTCATGAATGGTTTTGATGTTGGCATCAGATAAAATTACTAACAAATTAGATCTGACATATTTTAATGGTATGTATAATTATTATTGGTCTTTGTGATTATAGGCTACATAGTAACTGCTATCACTGGTAATAGCCAGTATTACTTTTGTCTGGACACACACCAGACATTTACGGAAATAGCTGGAAGAAGAATGATATTGAGAATTGAGGGAGAGGGTGGTTTGTGCCAAAAGGAAGGTTTGGAAGAGGTGGACACTATTCCTCTCTCACTTCCTAACTGGCTTATTCTGGAGTTGGAGGCCTGCAGTGCCTCACCCTGTCAAGCTGACCTAGGCACCTAGTATGTTTAGCTGTTCCAGTCCCCACTCTCCAGATTTGGCCACATTCTCCCAGTTGGAAATGATGGAAGATATTGCCATCTGGAGTTCTCTGATTTCCTGTAAGTTCTTGGAGACTTTATGCATGGCCCCACCCAAAGCTTTTCCTTCACCCCAACAGGAGAGAAGGAGGCTGCAGACCACAGAAACTTCAGAGATGATGATTTATGTGGACTCATCAGAAGTCTAAAGGGGCATGTCTGTGTTCTTAAAGGGTACGGGAACCTCAGAGAGCCAATTGGCCCAAGAAGCAGTATGTAGAATGGCTACATATTCTATATTTTCAAAGATCAAACAGTGCAGAGTGCAAGATTATAGGAAACCCAAAAGGGTCACAAACCAGGATAAGAAAATATCCCATTCACTGCCATATTTTCCAAACCTAAAAGAGTGCCTCAATCAATGTTTGTTGAGTTTTAAATAAATATCTTTATTTCAGTAATATTTAAAAATGTATCCTAAATCTACTTGTTGTCTGTATTTTCAAACATAGGGAAATAAGCACCAATAGCTAATTGGAGGAATAGGATGGGGGATGGGGCACAGCATGAGGAGAGGAGTGAGAGTATGTCTCTCCCAGAAAACATTTATTGTAGGTATTGATTCAAATTCCAGTTCCTTTCATTCCTAGCTGTGTGATACTGGACAAGTTACTTAAATTTGAGCCAGAGTGTCTCCACTGTTAAACTAAGTAACAATATCTACTTTATAAGATTATTGTGTAAAGTAGGTAAAATTTATGAGAACATGCTTAATAAATTCTAAGTGACAAAATGTTAGGTGTTATTACTGACATTTATAACAATAATAATAATAATAAAATAATAAAGATTGGAACATGGCCAGGGAGTGGTGAGGGGTCATAGCATTGGTGTGAAAGTTGGATTTGAATGTCAGTTTCTCTGGCTCATATGGTAACTCTGCCTATCCAGGATTTAACTTAGAATCAACAGCTCCCCAAACAACAGCAGAGCTCTATCCAGTTTGAACACTTGAACTAGTTCTTTTACTCAGTGAGAACCTGTGAGTCTGTCTGGAGTAGAGAGGCGGGTGTTGAGATTAAACCACCACAGTGGGCTGTCTCTGTCTTAGGGAAGAATAACAGAGAAGGAGTTTCTGCACACCAGTCTGACTTAGAGCTGAGCAGCACATAGACGTGTACCCAGGTATCTCATGCCTTATGCCCAGCGGGACCCTTCCTGGTGTGTATGGTCGATATGCTACCCTGTGGAGGGTGGCTATTTATTGAATTCCTATTCCACTCAACTTCAGTTTATCTGACTTTGGAGGGGTTGCAACACGGCCTTGCCTCTTATGCTGAGCTTTCTTTGGAATTGCTATGTGACTGTTTCTTTGACAGACTTAGTTAGAAATTCAGATGATACTGATTTAAAATAGACCCGTGGGGTTTGAGAACAGTTAGAGAGAGCACAGATGAGAAGGAGAGGTTAAATTTTTTCTAAACTCAAGTTGTCAGTACTAAATTCATTATCCCCCATTAACAGGCATAATAATGAAAATAATAATGTATAACTTTTTCACTCCATTCACTCATTTATTCATGAAATATTTATTAAGTGCCTATGTACTAGAGTGTATACTAAATGCTAGACATATATAGATAAATAGATAAACCATGCCTGTCTTAGGGAGTAAGGTGGAAAGCCTGAGGGTGGCATGTAGGTTAGTCTGGCATATAATCTCAACAAGCTTTTGGAAAGATGAAATGGTTGTACTTAGAGGCAGAAATTGCATTGGTTTTGGTCACAGATGTAGCCTACCTCCATTGCCTGCCACAGAACCTGGCTCAGCTAAGTACCCAATAGATGTTTTTTGAATTGGCTTAATATTTCTAATTGCATGATTAAGTGGCCAGAATCAGTTAATTTAACCCATGAGTCCTTTTCACTCCTTTTACAGAGCTAGAAACTTTTTGTGGCCAGTCAACCTGGTAACCAAACATTTAAATTCTGGTAATTGGTAAATATGCCTCGTCACAGGTTTGTTGAATGATTTATTTTTCATAAAAGCAGGAGGTTCATGACAAGCTCAGCAAATCTGTTGGCAGTTTTAAGACATTATACCGGGTAGTTTAGGGAAATTTCTCAGCACATGAGACCCTTTAGATTATGTAATATTCTTGCAAGGCAACTAGGAAAAATAGTTTTTAAAATTATGTCTATTTTGCTATATTTAAAAGCAGAAATTATCTTATTACGGAGAATTGATTAAATATTTGATAGCATTTTTGTATGATTTAACATATTTATAGGTGTTAATTTCTCACAAAATTTAAGTTATAGCTCTAAGTGTAGAATTAATAGTTTCCCTTTGATTACAGTTTTTTTGGTGTTAACGTTCATCTATTTTTGGATGATTTGACTTACCCTTCCTTTTTAAAATTCAGACTCTAAATTTAAGGCTATACATCACCATAGTGTTTATGAAGTGAATTAAATCTTACAGAATGTTCCAGTGCAATCTGAAACTACAGCAACTACTTGAGGTTTTATGTCTGAAAAGTGTTTTAATCAGTGATGGATTTGGAATTATTGCAGCTGATTCCTGAATTCTTAGGCCTAGGCCTTAGGAACACACTATCCAGATGTTTATAAAATGCCATTTTACCAATGTCCTGTTTATACTTTGACTTTGTGGTTCAAAAAAAATACATTTGCCTACTTCAAAGTACCAGATGAAAGTATTTTACATCAACTAAATACTGCATTTGAGCTGCCCAACAGTCCCTAACACTGACTCCTTCTGCCTTAAAGGCATTTATTTCCTATCATCACCTGTTTTCTCCAAGACATGTGAGAAGAATAAAGCCTGTATTGTGGCATTTTGTGTGAATGCTAAGATCTTGGCAATGTTTCTTATACCTTCCCTAGCTCTTCTATTTTCCCTAAAAAGTATTCTCTTTTTGAAAGAAAAATTTAATTTCTCAATTTCTTAAACCAGATTATTAATTAAAACTGCAAAATGAAGGAAGGAACACCCACTAATTCTTCAAAGCTCAGCAACAGAATCAAATCCTTTGAAGATCTGTCTGCTTAACTCATCACTATTAATCAGTTTAAGACTATTTAGAAAAGGTACTGAGAGAAAGAAATGAATAAAAATGGGTGAATAAGGCAATATTAAGCTGACACTTTATAGTCCGGTTGGTAGAGTAAAAAAGCAATCAAACTTAACAGCTTTTTAAAAAATTAAGAATGTTATATAGGTTGATGTTATTTTTATTATTATAAATATAATATTTACTCCTTTTGCCAACTTGGAAAATGTAGAAAAGTCAAGAAAAACATAACATTCATCCATGATCCCACCACCCAGACAAAACCACTTTTACCTTTCCCCTATTTTTTAAGTCATTTTTTGCTATGTAATTAATCAATTTGCATAAATACAAAATTGAGGTAACGGTATATGCACAATTTTGAAACATGTTTTAATCACTTTCTTGTGGCATTAAATATTCTTCAAAATATGTTTTTAGTGGCTGCAGAGTTATGTTATGACTTTCTCATCCTTTAGTTGGTCTTTAGTGTGTTTTTATGGTGTCCAGTTTCAGTATTCATGTTGATCTCCTTTCACCCTTTGTCTTCACTGAGTCACTCTTGGCTCACTATGGTAATCATTAGCACTGGTTTCTAGATATTTCTGGCTCTTCACCTGCACATAAAACAGGGCTGTACATCTCAGTCCCTTGGAGTTTGGGTGAGGACATGTGACTTTTTCTAACCAATGAGATGTGAGTAGAGCATTTAATTACTGATGAGAGAGACCTTTCAGAGTGCTGTCCTCTTTGCCACAGTGACTGGCAGCTTTCCAGAGAGTGGCTGCTCCATTAGCGTGGATCCCAGAGTGAGGTTGAGGCCAACATAAACACCTAATTGGCCTGGGATGGATAGGTAATGTGAGAAGAAAATGAAACTTTGTTTTAGTGAGTGAAATCTTAGGGGCTGTTTGTTATCAGTGAATAAGTTTGCCTGTCTTAACTGATAACACCAATCATTTGTATCTAGATTGGGAATCTGATTTAGACCTTGTGGTCATCTTATAGACTCATGTTCACCTTCACATCTGTAAATTATGTGGCAGGTCATCATATACACTTTCTCAAACAATTGGGGAATCTTTGCCCCTATGCATCTGTTTTCAGGGTGTTTCTTTAGTTGACTTCAGGCGTATTCAATAACTCATATCATATACATACATAAACACTCATACCTTCATTCTCACAATGTTTATGATTAGCCTTGTTCATACTTTTCTGTTGCCTAGGAAAATGTCAATAGAAATTTTAAAGTAAAGACTGATTTTTTTTAAAGTATAAACTTAGTAGTTATATGAAAATGAGAAAATTCATAAGGAAAAAATCCTGTCATTTCCCCTGCCATTCAAACCTATTTTTATTATCCCATATTTCCTCTATTCCCTGTGTATAAAACTTTATATTGCTTATCATAGTTTACATACAACTTGACATTTTCTATATATATAAAAATTTTCATGTTTTTCCTACACTTCATAATTAACATTTTAATGGCTGCAAAATATTCCACTGAAATTGAACACCGTAATTTATACTACAATTTCCTTATTACTGGTTTTTTAGTTTGCTGCAATTTTTTTGAAATTCTGTTGGAATAAATAATTTTTAGAGCATTTTAAAACAAATATACTAGAATGTATACATCTAATCAGTATTATCATATAAATAACTTCTAAGTCTAAACACATATTCTAATGCAGGTGCCATTGATATAAACATTTCTAATCTCTTTTAAAATGGTCTTTATGGCCAATTGATGAGCTACAAATTAAAAATTAGTCTCATTATTTTATAATATATCTTGATTTGGACCCCAAATCATTCATTCATTTTGTTAATCATATTTTGGCTGTTTTCAAAAGTTAATTCTAATTTTAAAGCACCAAATTTTGCCTTCATTTAGACCATTTGGAAGGCTGCCAAATGCTCTAAAGGCAATTTCAGAGGAAAAGTTCCAAAACTGTTAACAGCACTGGGCAATTGCTGCGATAACTGAGCAGCCTACCATAGTGATGGTTTTAGAGAAAAAAACACTCCTTTTTAAATGTGAGTTTGAGTGGATTTGTTACTGTAATCATTAAATCCACAACTCTATAGTCACACTGGGCATGGATGTAATATTGTTCAAAATAAATGCCAGTTGCTTGATAGCAGGGACTGATTCTTTCATGACATCTACATTAGTGCCTTGCACATGGTAACTACTTAGGTATATTTGTGATCGAGTCTGTGAAAGTGATCCCTGTTGAGATCACACTTTTTCCATTGGCAAGGACCTATCTTTGAATAAATCCTTTCTGCTGGTGAAGTCTTGAAGTCTCCAGCACTCTAGACTTACAGCATTAGCATTATGTGGGAATTTGTTAGAAATGAAAGTTCTCTGGCCTCACCCTGGACCTACTAAATCAGAAATTCTAGAGATTGGGCCAGCAATCTGTTTTAGCAAGACTTCCATGTTATTCTGACACATAATAACTAAATGGTAAAGTTAGCCTGAAGAAAAACTGAAAATAAAGGTCAAAGAGGTGATTCTATAATGAAAGAAAGTTGGTGTTAGAAGCCACAGACTAGCAAAATTCAATAAACATCTTCAGAGCACCTACTGTGGTCCAGAAATTGAGCTTGTAGATACTAGGTATGCAAAAGCAAAATAGATAGTGTCTATACAGAAGACATAAATGTGCGTAAATGGGTATAAAATAAATACAATGCTGAGTGATACTTCGATATAGAAGAATATACAAAATATGGGTGGTGATGATCATAACTACCATTTATAAACCACATGTTGTCTGTCAGGCACAGTACAGTGCTTTATATATATATTTTTTTGGTATGATTATCAGAAGGAATATAAAGATTAAAAGGTGCTGCATTACTTAAATAGGTTCCCTTAAACCTGGAAAGAATAAAATCCTGGTCACAAAGTTCATTTCTTGCCCAGAGCACTTGACCCATTCAGGGATCCTGTGTTTGTCATTTCTCTTCAGAAATGATTATATTGGCACCTATCTCAGAATTGATATACAGATTAAATACGGTCATGGATGAAATTATTTAGCCCACTATGTATCATCAATATTCATTAGATAGTAATCATTTTTATTGCTACTAATAGTAATCATCATCATCATTAGAGGGGTGAGCGGCAATATAAGATAGATTCTATAGAGGTTAAAAGCATGACTCCAGCCAGATTCAGATTGCCAGGGTTCAGTTCTGTCTTTGTCAGCTTCTAGCTGTGAGACTATGGGCTTAGCCTCTCTGTTTCAATTTTGTCATCTGTACAATGGGGACAGTAAGAGTCCTTCACAGGGTTGTAATAACTGGTAAATGAATTAATGTGTGAAAAGCACACAGCACACTGGCAGGCACAGGGCAAATGCTCAGTAAGTGCTAGCTTGGAGTGTTCTGTCAAAAAGCCTAACATCTCTTTGTGGTATTTTGTGATTTTTGACAGAATGGTGTATGCTTTAGGCATCTATGGAACAAAAATATCACCCTTCCTTAAATCTGTGGCGTTGAGGGATCACTACATATTTGAATAAAGGCCTTTCTCTGATGTCTAACAGGAAGAAGAAAACCACTGATACCAAACTAAGGTTTAAAAAAGGCCAAGGGGAAGAAAATTTTAAATCAAAAGTCATCCATTCTTATTTCATGGAAATACGTTATTTAAGCAAATATACTGATAATGATGCACAGATGCTGTTTGTATACATTACTTTCCTCCTTTGAATTCACTAAGTACTGATTTCTTATTGGTGCCAGCGATCTTCAGAATTAGTTCTGTCCCCTTCTGTATCATTGTGTGAGACAAATATCTCATATACAACTTTTCTAAAGATTAGAAGACTAAAATATGTGTCTATTGCCTCAAAGGCAGAGAAGAGGTACACAAATGTGAATAAACAGTTAAAACATTAACAGATGTATTGGAAGAGTCCTTGAATACACATGTGATTGATATCAAGAAAACATTAGCTTTGTAATTCTGCCTAGATCGAACACTGATGGGCTGGCACTACAGAAAGATTCAGCTGCAAGTATTTCATGTAACTGATGGTGTAACGCAAAAACATTTCAGTAGATATCTTTCTAATAATTTGCCACAGGTGCTCAAATGCCTGGGAGCTAGAATTTCAAGGATTCAAATTGCTACTGTGATAGCTTCAGGCTTTGCTTCCAGGTTTTTTTTTTTTTTTTTTTTTTTTTAAGCAGGCTGTGGCACATGTTTTTAAGAATTTAAGTCTGTTTATTGGTGATGCTGCAGTTTGCTTGATTACAGTTTAAGAGGGTGACTGTAGTTTCTCAAAGAACCCAATGAATATGAACTCAGTTTACATCATTGAAAACTCATGTTCAATCTCTATCCTGTGTGTACTGTGTTCAGTTATTTTCTTTGAACTTAACATTATTTCATCTACATTTCTATGTACTGCTTTCGACCCATTTACGTGTCATAGATGTCTTCTCTTTTGCCACTTCCTCTCCTGAAGTTTCTGTCCTGGGTTTCTTCTAGAGTTCAACGTATATATAGAGATGCAGAGAACATCTTAGTACAAATTATTTTTTCTTTTTTTACGATATTGGCGATGAGTTTGTTCTCCAAAGCAAAATAACCAAAACAAAATCAGAATTTTTATAGGTTTGCTGCATTTTGGGAGATCACACTCTAGAAAGATCAAACTAATTTAAGTGCCACCAGCATTGGTTATACAGATTGATCATCCCTTATCCAAAATACTTGGGATCAGAAATGTTTTGGATTTTGAATTTTTTCAGATTTTGGAATACTTACATGTACATAATGAGATATCACAGGGATGGGACCCAAGTCTTAAACATACAGTTCACTTGTGTTTGAGATACACCTTATATACATAACCTAAAGGTAATTTTATGAAATATTTCTGATAATTCTGTGCATGAAACAAAATTTTAACTGCATTTTTGACTGCCACTGGCCACAGAAGTCATGTGGAATTTTCCATTTGTGGCATCGTGTTGGTGCTCAAAAAGTTTCAGAGCATTTGGGATTTTGGATTTTTGGATTAGGGATGCTTAAACTGTATGTGTAATTTTCCCATAGCTTATACGGTACCAGATTTTTATTATAATTTAGGTGTGTAATAACTTCTTACAGTAATTTTAATTTAGATTTACTTAGTTGGTAGGAAGTTATATATCTGTGAGAGAAAATTCTTAATATTTATAATTTGAAAATATATAATGCACTGATTTATCATTTTGGTCATGGCAAACATTGGGATATATTTGTCTGCAAATAAAAGAAAACTCGACTAATGGTGGTTGTATTAGTCAGGACTATCCAGAGAAACAAAACCAATAGGATGTGCAAGTAAGCAGAAATTTTAACATACGGTAGAATTAAATTGGAAAGGAAACAAGGAAACTCATATATTTTGTGATGTTTACTATGGGTTACAGAATGTACAGTAAACACAAAAGCTAATATTTATTCAATACTTTCTAGCTCACAAAACATTAAGTGTAAAATTTTAGCTATTTTAACTTTTCTTTTATCTTTATTTCACAGGCACTTACCTCCTGTATCTTTGAATCTTCTTTATATTTTTATGTTTAAGAGAAAAAAGCCAAAAGTCCTTCCTGTATGGTGTGGATGTTAAATACCAAACAGTTTTATTCCCCTTAACATTTTGACCATCTTCCTTCTTCCTTGCACTCTTGTGGAGTTGGCTGCTTTCCTTTACTTTGGAAGAAGCTACGTTTTTCTGACCCTGTAATGGTGTTCTTCTGAGATTTGCGGATGAACATAAGATATTAAACATATCGGTTGAGTTTTGTTCATGTGGAGTCTGTCATCAATATGGAATAGAATTCAATAATTTGACTTTTTCTTGCCTCTCTTCTGCCATTTCAAATGAATCATAAAAATTAGGAAGGAAATTTAGTCCCATCTCCTCTCTCTTGAGCAGATTTCTTTTCCTTCTCTTTTTTTTTTAAACCTGTGGGAGTTGGGAATATTTTAGTGCTCCCCCTTTGTGAATTATGGTGTAAATGAAACTTTTTGCTTTTGTGTTATTAATGACAGTTTAAAAGTCTGAGATGGATTTTCTCTTATTGTTGTTAATGACAGTATAAAAGTCTTAGGTAAATTTACTCTTAAGGTGCTAAATTAAAAAAAATTAATAAAGTCAATTGAAAATTTTCCAAGAGTTATTTTAAAGTTGATTTTTAAATCAAATAAGCTTTTCTATTAAGCAAAATAAGTGCTCTTTTAATTAGAAGCTTTAAAAAAAACTCTATGGAAACAAAAGACTATACCTTCAAAAGCTCACAATCTTTACAATTCCCACTTCCAGACCTTTTTTTAGGAAACATTCCAAGGCTTTAAACTATTTGTGAATAATTTTTATCTTAGTCAATGTGTTATATGCCCCTGCACAGACTTATATATTCTTCATTGAGATATATAATTGTCCTCTTGTTGGATATTTAACCTATAAGCTGACACTCACTTTCAAGGATTGATTTGAGCTTTGCAAATTTTGAAATGCTCAGAAACATAAAGTGCTTGGTATCTTTTATAAGAAGCTAGTCAGAACTGCCTGACATGAAGGGAGTTTGATTGATGTGTGATAATCAGGTGGGAAATTTCAAACTTATTTATTTAAGCACTGCATTTATTTTATGTAGATCAAAGGAAAATATTCAGCTGGCTTCAAATGATGTCACTTTTCATAAGATACACAAGAAATTTGATGAAATTTGAAAAACTGATTAAGACTTATATTTGTTCATGTTCATTTTATATTTTGGGTGTACTATCTTGCAAGCACAAACACCAGCAGGCTTTGCTTTTACACATCTCATAAGCCAAGTCCATGGAAGTATAAATTTTTAATGAGATAGATACTAGGATTCTCTCCTTAAAGGAAAATTGGAAACTTAGGATTCTTATTTTGACTTTTATAATAGAAGTTCTATTTGGGATATAATTCAGACACAATAAAATACACTCCTTTAACTTGCACAACTCTATGGATTTAGTATATTCACAGAGTTGTGCAACCACCACAACTAATTTTAGGACATTTCATCATCCCAAAAAGAAACCTCATACCTATTAATATTCCACTCTCCCCTGCCAGTCCTGGGCAACCTAAAATTTACTTTCTATCTAAAACCTAAAATTTCCTTTATTGAATTTACATTCTATCTAGATCTGCCTGTTCTGGACATTTCATACAAATGGAATCTTGCAATATATGGTCTTTTTTGACTAGCTTCTTTCACTTAGAATAATGTTTTCAAGGTTCATCCATGTTGTAGCATGTACCAAATGTCATTTTGTATTGCTGAGTAATTTCATCATATGGCTATACTGCATTTTGTTTACACATTTATCATTTGATAGGTATTAAGGTTGTTTCTACCTTTTGACTATTAAAAATAATGCTGCTATGAATATTTGTGTGTAATATTTCTTCATGTGGGCATATATTTTCATTTCGTTATAATATATACCAAGGGGTAGAATTGCTGGGCCATGTGATAAGTACATGTTTAACTTTTTGAAGAACTGTCAAATTGTTTTCCAGAGTAACTATGCCATTTCACATGCAATGTACAAGGATTCAAATTTCTCCACATCCTCCCCAATGCTTGTTTTTATCTCTTTTTGGTAATAGCCATCCTATTAGATGGAAAGTGACATCTCATTGAGGTTTTGATTTGCATTTCCTTTATAGCTAATCATGTTCAGCATCTTTTCATGTAATTATAGTCCATTTATGTATCTTCTTTGGAGAAATGTCTATTCAAATTATTTTCCCGTTTTCATAATTGGATTTTAAAATTATTGAATTGTTAAATATCTTTATATATTTTAGATACAAGTGCCTTATCAGATATATGCTTTGTAAAAGTTTTCTCCCATTCTATGGGTTGCCTTTTTACTTTTTGATGGTGTCCTCTAAAGCACAAAAGTTTAACATTTTGATGGTTCCATTTATCTATTTTTTATTTTGTTGCTTGTGATTTTGGTGTTGTCTCTAAGAAACAATTTCCTTTCCCAAAGTCATGAAGTTTTGTAGTTTTAGCTATTACATGTAAGGCTATGATTCATTTTGAAATTGTTTTGTCTATGGCATGATTTAAGAATGTAACTTTATTCTTTTGCATGTGGATATCTGGTTTGCCTAGAACCATTTGTTGAAAAAACTGTTCTATTCTTGTTGAACTGTCTGGGTATCTTTGTTGAAAATGAATTGGCCATTCCTAGAAGGGTTTATTTCTGGACTCTCAATTCTACTCTATTGGTTTATGTATCTATCCTTATACCAGTACCATGCTATCTTGGTTACTATAGTTTTATGGTAAGTTTTTAAATATGGAAGTATGAGTTCTCCAACTTTGTTCTTTTTTTAAAATTCTAACTTGTTTTGTTTATTTTGAATGATTTCCATATGAATTTTATAATCAGCTTGTCAATTTCTTTTTTTAAAAAAAGCAGCTGGAATTTTGATATGGATTGCGTTAAATCCATAAATCAACTTGAGGGGCATTGCCATGTTAACAATATTAAGTATTCTACTTTATAGACATGAACATCTTTCCATTTATTTAGATCTTTAATTTATTTTAACAATATGTTATAGTTTTCAGTGTACAGGTTTCACATGTTGGTTAAATTTATTTGTTCTATTTTATTGTTTTTATTATGAATTACATGGATTGCTTAGTTAATTTAATTTTCAGATTACTCTTTGCTATTGTTTTGCTTTTGCATCGTTCATTGCTGCTGCACAATTGATTTTTGTATGCTGATCTTTTATCTGCTAACCTTGATGAACTTCTTAATTAGTTCTAATCGTTTTGTGTGTGTATGTGTGTTCCTTAGGATTTTCTATATGTAAGATCATGTCACTCTTTCTAGAAATTTGGCTTTGATATTAAAAATACATTAATATAAAACTAAAGAATTAGTTAGAATAAGATTTTGTTAAAAATATTAACTTACTCAAAAAAAAAGATCATGTCATCTGTGAAAAGAGATACTTTTACTTCTTCTTTTCCAATATGGAATTTAAAAAATTTTTTTATTATTTGATTCCTCTGGTTAGAATCTCCAGTAAAATGTTTAATAGGAGTGGGGAGACAAACATCCTTGGCTTATTTCTGATCTCAGGGGAAAAGCATTCATTCTTTTCCCATTACATATGATGTTAGCTGTGGGATATTTGTAGATGCTTTTTATCAGATTGAGGAAGTTCTCTTTCATTAGTTTGATTAGTGATTTTATCATAAAAAAGTGCTAGATTTTGTGAAATACTTTTTCAGCATCTGCTGGGATAATCATGTGGTATTGTCCTTTATTATATTAAAATAGTATATTACATCAATTGATTTTTGGATGTTAAATCAACTTTGTGTTCCTGGGATAAATCCCATTTGTTTGTGGTATATAATCCTTTTTATATGTTGCCGGTTCTCTTTGCTGGTATTTTGTTAAGGATGTTTTGCATTTATATTTATAAGGGATTTTTGGTCTGTAGTTTTCTTTTCTTGTGTTGTGATGCCTTTGTCTGGTTTTGATGACAGTAATGGTGGCCTTGTAGAATGAGTTGAGAAGGGTTCCCTCCTCTTCTATTTTTTGTAAGAATTTATAGAGGATTGTTATTAATCTTTAAATCTTATTTAGATTAGTTATGGCTTCCTTGGTAGTTTACCCTTTGCTTTTATAAATTGCAGAAGGGGCTTGTAAATGGGGACAGGACGGTGGTGTTTGTGCTGATTGGTCCCTTTACAATAATTTTACTACAGTGAAAGTAGAGGATTTTAAATAAAACTGAGTCTTCATTTTGCCTCCTTCTATAAAACAATGATAGATGCTCCACCATTGGAAGACATGCTTAGTTGCAGAAACAAATTCAAAGGTTTTTATATCTTAAATTAAAATTAGAAGATGCCTTTCAGTGCCGTCTCCTCAGCTGAGCCATGGGTGCATGCCCGGCTCACTGTCCCCACTTTAAGAAGTCTTACCAGTAACCTATAAGTACAAATCTGTCTAGAAACACTACTTAAAAGAGCCTGTTAAGAAGTGTTATACTGACCTTCTCTTGGGTAAGAGCCTAAGAACAAGGAGAGTTTGTTGAATCCCAGACATCACGTAAGGTAATATGAATAATAAATATTTAGATTGTCTTCCTACATGTTGCAAGGTAATTTTTGGTCATTAATCACTCCACTAGCTCAGTGGGAAAAATTAACACCAAAGAAGTAATAACAACTAATTTTTACTAAGTAATTACTATGTGCCAAACACTGTCTTAAATCCTTTATGTATACTATCTCTTTTATTTTTCATAGCAATATTATGAGGTCAATGCTAACATTATTCTCCACTTTACAAATGCGGAAATTTAGAAACAAAGAGGTAATCTTAGTTGCAAAGAATGCTGGAGCTGGGATCCGACCTAGGTTAAGTGACCCCAGAACCTGAACCAGAATTTGGAATAGATTATATGCATCCCAGGGATTTAGACTCAGGGTCTCTGTATTCCAAGTTCTGGGTTTGGAAGATAAGTCTTTGTACTCCTTTTGATGAATAATAAAATTTGCAGTCCACCTTTTCTTTTCTTTTTTTTTTTCTGAGACGGAGTCTCGCTCTGTCGCCCAGGCTGGAGTGCAGTGGCATGATCTCGGCTCACTGCAAGCTCCACCTCCTGGGTTCAAGTGATTCTCCTTCCTCGCTATACCTGTAATCTCTGGGGATTACAGGCATGTGCCACCACACCTGGCTAATTTTTCTGTATTTTTAGTAGAGATGGGGTTTCCCCATGTTGGCCAGGATGGTCTTGATATCTTGACCTCATGATCCACCTGCCTCAGCCTCCCAATGTGCTGGGACTACAGGCATGAGCCACCATGCCCGGCTTGCAGTCTACTTTTTAGAAATGTTCATAGAGGGTATACTCAGATGGTACTAATCACTTGAGATTAGACAGTCTCTGCAGGGATAATTGAATAAGCAAGTTAATAAAATAAATATTTAAAATGCATTGAGTGATTAATGTGTTTGAGGGTAAGTGATTTAGTTGTATAATTAATTATTTCTGCAAAATAACTCTATGAAATGGTATTATTATCACTTCCATTTGTAGAAGACACCCCTGAAACAAAGATGTGGGTAACTTGCCCTGGGCCAGTTAGCAATAAGCCCAGATTTGAACCCAAGCAGTCTTGTTCCAGACCTTCTGTTTTTAACAATTCTACATTGCAGTTTCTCTAAGTAAATAGTCACCTGAAATATGGCTACAACAATACAGTCACACCAAGAATGTAGTTAGAGATAAGAATGCATCATTGTGTTTGTGCATGTGGAGACTGGAGCTGCTTCTATAGGAGATAAGCACCAAGCTATCATCTGTTGGAGAGAAATGTGTTGTGGGTGAAAGGAGGAGGAGGGCTGTTCTGTAAATATGAGACAAGCTGAAACAAATATAGAAATATGAAAAGAAAATCTGATTTTCAAAAGTGAAGTTTTTAGCCTATGCTTTAACAGAAGATAGGAATAGACTGTGGCACGCACTTGGAAGCTGTGACAGTTTGGTCCTGAGAGCACTGTGGTGTGGGAGGGTTAGGAGCCACACCTCAGGGGTGAAAAGGAACAGTTTGAAAGGGCAATTTTAGAAAATGACTTTGATAAGCTCCATTAGTAGATACAGAGGTTGAATCAACAGATTAATATAGGCTTCAATTATAAGTGTTTCTATGAATATAAGAAGCATCTAGAAATTAACAGGAAAATATCTGACCAGTTGGGATGGTATTTCTCCTTTAGTGCCAAAAGTATAATAGTTTTTTTTTCTCTTGTGGCAGTAAAATTAAAGGCCTGGATTTATTCAGCAACTTTTCTTTATGAGAATAGGAATATATTCCCAGACATTGTTCTACACTTTTCCTGCGTGGTGTTCTACCACCAATGTGGAGTTATAGATTTAGACCTCTGTGTTTGGGTGGGAAGAGAGTAGGCCCACTGGCAGGCAGTAACCACAGAACTACATGTATCTGGGCCAGTTTTATTCCAGACATGTGGATCTTCTGGTCTGCAGCCTTGACAAACTTCAGAGTTCCCTTGTCTCCTTGTACAGATGTGTGTACCTTTTGATCATGAAGGCACTATTAATGTCCTTCAGAGTTTGTGTCAATTTGCAACTTTGAAGGATATCCAAATTATCAAATAATTTACATATGATGATTATTAAATTGAAGTTTCTAATTTATTCTTAACAAAAAATAAAAATTACATTCACATCAAAAGCAAGTAAATCAATACTTCCCACATTTCCTGTTTCCCAGATGCAAACAAAGATAAGTGGAAGTTAAATATCAATATACAGGTGCTTTCAAAAAAGTCTTTTGGTCTATTTCCACTTTCAAGGTAACCTGGTGGCTTCTTCTCTCAAGTCCTCACACAGGTATTCAGGAATACCAGGATGGCGTGCCCAAGATTCCAACAGCCTGTATTACGGTGGAAGATGCAGAAATGATGTCAAGAATGGCTTCTCATGGGATCAAAATTGTCATTCAGCTAAAGATGGGGGCAAAGACCTACCCAGATACTGATTCCTTCAACACTGTAGCAGAGATCACTGGGAGCAAATATCCAGAACAGGTGAGTGAAGGAGAAGGCTGGCCTAAGAATACAGTTTCCTGGTCTAGTTTGAGTTATTAGAGATAGTTTGGGAAAGAGAGAACGTGAAACCACCTAGATGGTCCTCATAGATTCGTTGAAGGCAGAAGCTTTATATATATTTTTTCTCATCAAAATTTTACCATGTTTACCATCTCACACCAGTCAGAATGGGTATTACTAAAAAGTCAAAGAATAATAGATGTTGGTGAGGTTGTGGAGAAAAAGGAACACTTATATGTTGTTGGAGGGACTGTAAATTACTTCAACCCCTGTGAAAAGCAGTTTGGAGATTTCTCAAATAACTGAAAACAGAATTAGCGTTTGACCCAGCCATCTCACTACTGTGTATTGTAACCAAAGGAAAGTAAATTGTTCTACTAAAATGATACCTGCACTCACATGTTTATTGCAGCACTATTCACAATAGCAAAGACATGGAATCAACCTAGGTGCCCATCAATGGTGGGCTGGCTAAAAAACAAATATATGGTCATATATATATATATATATATATATATATATATATATATATATATATATATATATATATACCATGGAATACTACCCAGCCATAGAAAAGAATGAAATCATGTCCTTTGCAGCAAGATGGGCACAACTGAAGGCCATTATCCTAAGTGAATTAATACAGAAAGAAAAACAAAAAGCATGTTCTCACTTACAAGTGGGAGCTAATCATTGGGTACATGTGTACATAAATACTGGAAGAATAGGCAATGGGGGCTCCAAAATCGGGGAGGGAGAGAGGGAAGCAAGGTTTAAAAAAACTACCTGTTGGGTACTACATTACTCTTTGGGTGACGGGTTCAACTGAAGCCAAAACTTTAGCCTCACACAATATGTCCATATACCCCCTGAATCTAAAGTTTAAAAAATAAAAAAATAAAAATTTTAGCACATTGACTGAAGAAGGGCAGGAGTAATTGAAGGACAGAATGGTATTCGTGATGTGGAAATTCAACCTCGGAACAATTGAGAGTGGTATTTGTCCACGTGTTGTATTTATTCCATTTGAAGCTAGCCTGGCATTTGAGATAAAACCAATAGTTAATACTTATTGTGTTAATTATCTTATTTAATCCTTTCAAAGCTTAGTGAATTTGCATATATTTTCTGTATTAGTCCATTCTCACATTGCTATAAAGAAATACCTAAGACTGGGTAATTTATAAGAAAAGAGGTTTAATTGGTTCACAGTTCTGCAGGCTGTACAGGAAGCATGGCGGCATCTGCTTCTGGGAAGGCTTCACAGAGCATTCAATCATGGCAGAAGGCAAAGGGGGAGTGAGGTGTCTTAGATGGCAGGAGCAGGAGCAAAGGGGAGGGGAGATGCCACACACTTTTAAACAACCAGATCTCATGAGAACTCGCTAACACAAGAACAGCACCAGGGGGATGGTGCTAAATCATTCATGAGAAACAGCCTGTATAATCCAATCACCTCTCACCAGGCCTCACCTCCGACATTCGAATTACAATTCCACATGAGATTTGGGCAGGGACACAGATCTAAATCATATGAAGTTTCTTCATTTTATAGGTGAGAAAACAAACCTAGAAGGAAACTCAATTACCCAAGGTCCACACAGCTAAGTAGGCAGCTAAGAAGGAATTCAGACCCAGGATCTTGTGAATATTAAACCAAGCTTTAAACCACAGTTTATGTGCAGTTTCCAGAGTTCATGAATTTATCTGCAAATAAAGGGATGGTATGCAAGTAATTAACAGAATTATTGTGAGGACTAGATTAGGTAAGGCACATCAAATAGCTTTGTTGAGTGTTTGGCACATCACAGCTCACTGAATGTAAGTTTCCTTTGTATGGCATCAAGTGTGCAATAAACACTTTTTATAAGGTTTCTGGTGCAAATCTCATGCATTTGTTATTGAAATTCTAGAAATGGAACTTAAAAATGTTATTTAGAAATTTCAGACTTGTATTTTATTTGACAGCATCAGTGGGATGAAGGAAAGGGTGAAGAGTGATGGCATTTGGTGATGGAGAAACAAGTCTTATGCACATGACTTCTCCCAGACTAAGGACTGGGAGACTCAGGACTCAGGACTTCTCCCAGACTTGAGGGCTGTACTGCAGTAAAGATTCATTTTAAGCTCAGGACTCTTTTCCCTCTTCTAAAATCATCTGCTTCAAGGACCTGGGCATCAACCATGGCTTTTGCCACAGGGATGATGGAAAACAAGAACTCAGTAGAATCACAGGGAGTCAGACAGCTGTAGAGAAACGGTGGTTTCAAATAGACAAGCCCAGCCCCTTGTCCCTTTAAGAAACTGATAACAACAGAAGAGCCAAGAGTCTATATTTCAGATGCTAAATAGTCAGATGCCTTAAAGTGTAATCCTTCCCAGGTATTTTCCCCAGTCAGTAGTTCCAGGGTAAAGTTATGTCATCATCAGGTAGCTAGCCCAGGGCTTGAAGGGTTTAGGATTATAATACTATCGCTGTTTGGTCGAGCAGGCTGGGTGAGCTGGCCTAAGGTTGTGGGCAGGTGGGTGGCAGGGTGAGAGTGAGTTATTGGGATCCTTAGTCTGTAGCAGCTATGGAGTCTCAGAATCTGAGGCTGAAGTATTTAGGCAGAGGAGTTCTTGAGAGCCAGAGGGCTGAGATAGTGCTGGCTCTGACAGCTTCATGAGGGACATTAACATCTTCTGGCTAGGAGGGCTTGGGCCTATTTGTCAGCTCAGCCTGACTCATTCTTTTATTTTTTAAAATCAGCTGAATTGAGGTATAACTTATATAAAATAAATCAACCAATCTAATGTACAATTTGATGAGTTTGGAAAATGTATAATGTAACCACTACTACAATTATAATATATAATATTTCCACCACCCAAAGTTTCCCTTGAGTTCCTTTGTAGTCCATCTCCGACTCTACCACCCTGCCCTGGCAGCCAGTGATCTCCTTTCTAGAGCTATAGTTGTTTTTTAAATTATTATTTCATATATAAGTGAAATAATATAATTTGTAGTCATTTTCTGTGAGGCTTATTTCACTCAGCATAATGCTTTTGAGATGTATCCATGTTGTTGATTCAGTTGTTTCTTCCTTTATATCCCCGAGTAATATTTCATTGTACAGATATATGACAATTCGTTTATCCATTCAGCAATTGATGGATATGTGGGTGGTTTCTAGTTTTTGATTATTGTGTATAAAGCTTTTGTGAACATTCTTGTACTAGTCTTTCTGTGGACTTAATGTTTTCCTTTCTTCTGAGTAAATATCTTGGAGTGGAATTGCTGGACTGGCCTAAATTTAAGTACCCTTCTCTCTGTCAAGATGCTTCACTCTGTATTTTGTCGGGGTAGCACCTTCTCCCAGAAGGTAGATGGACAATTTCAGAGCAATCATGAGATTTAGGATGTTGCCTAGAATTCCAAGAGTTGATCATAAATACTTTGTTACCAAGATGTAAAAGGTAGAAGTTTAACAAAACTTCTTCCACAAAGAAGTAACAGCATTACTTTCACAGAAAAAAATGAAAATGAGGACAGTAAAGTCAAGTCTGTGGTTGCGTTTTGTGGAGGGAATCTGCATTCTAGCTGGCCTGGAACCGCAGGGGACATACAGACTATGAAGGCAAGCAAGAAGCATGAAGTCCCTCTGCAGGTGTTAAGTTGACTAATGAGCCTGAAAAAGAATGGCCTTATCCCCAATAAATGTCGCTTCTTCCATGAAGACTGCTTTGATAACATTCCCCTCATCCCAACACTTCATGCCACTGTTATGGTGTCATCTCCTAGCAGAACTTGCAAATGCCCTGAGAGCAGGCACTCTGTTCACTCTATTTCCTTTCTTTTCCTTTTTCCCGCCCTAATGGCTATTTCAGGAACTTGGCATGCAGTGGCTTCTCAACACATGTTTTATTTTGGTAAAATGAAGGAGTAAGTAAGAAAAAAATGGTTGGAGGATGTTACTAATCTTGATCCTCTTTAAATCTGGAAGTTTTACTGCCCTTTTAGAATACCAATTGTTCATTGGCACATTGAACCTCATCCCTGAATGTAGTGCAACATGTCCAAATATGAACACATTGGCTCCCTCATACCTGATTTTTTGTCTTTGTTTCTTGTTTCTATTAAATGAACCATATTTATCTAACAGCAAAGTTATAAAACTTCAAGTTAATTTTCATTCCCTCTCCTTTATCACTGTCCTACAGTCAGGTATCACATCCTATTCAGTCTATTTTCAGCATATTAAAAAAAAATTCTGTTCCTACCTTGCCTTTACTGCTACTACTGCCTTAATTCAGGCCCTCACTATTTCCCCCCGATTTTTTTTCTTCTGGTCTTTTCCATACTTCTTTGCAATGAGGCTCAAAGTTATTTTAAAACATTTGATCTCAACATGGTGATTCCCTGCTTTCAGGTCCCTCTCTCCTGTTTCTTATAAGATAAAGGTTGTGATGAAGATAAATGCTGAGGTGAGTAATCAGAGGTGAGCAGAAGACAGAGAAAAAAAGACAAAGAGAGAGGGGAGTCAGGGTTAGATAAGAGGCAGTTATAGTAAGAAGAAATTATATGGTACCATTCATAAATGAACAGAAAATGAGAATGAAGAAAGGGGAAAAGGAAATGTATGATGGTGAAAGGCAATGTCTGGTGGAGATTCAAGGTCAACTGAGAACTGATCTTTCATAGGCCAGGGAAGGAGTTCAGTTCCAAAGTCTAGCAGACTTTCCTAAAATCATTCATTTTTAAGTTATCAGTAATGCTAACAGTAACTTAAAAGTTGGTTTTTATAATTTAGGTTGACTAACTTCTGCCTGACACAACCTTGCTACTTTGCTCCATAGCATACTAAAGAATAGTGGTGCTAAATAACTTATAAAATTAGCTGCAGTGGAAATTATCTCTATAAAAGGAGAAGGTCTGTTGAAACTATCATTATTCTGCCTGCAGAATAATGCAAATATCTTTGGAGACTTGAAAGTAGGCAGAGGGGAGGAAAGTGGGTATCTTAGTCTGTTTTATGCTGCTATTGAAGAATATCATAGAATGGGTAATTTATAATGAACAGAAATTAGATCAGAGTTCTGGAGACAGGGAAGTTCAAGAGCATGGCACCAGCAATTTGCAAGGAACTAAGGAACTTCATGCTGCATCATCCCATGGCAGAAGGTGGAAGGGCAAGAGATGGTGAGAGCAAGAGAGCAGGAGGGGACCAAACTCCTTTTTATAACAAACTCATTTTTGAGATAATTAACCCATTCCTTTGATAATCATATTAATCCATTCCTGATGGCAGAACCCTCATGATTTAATTACCTCATATTAGGCCCCACCTTCCAGCAATGTTGCATTGGGGATTAAGTTCTCAACACATGAACTTTCGGGTGACATATGCAAAACATTGCATGGACTAACACTAGGCAGTGGCTAATAGATATTGTTCAGTAATAACACCCAGTATAGTTCCTTACATCTCATCAACCATGCAGAGAACCTTAATAAAAGTAAAGCAGTTAGCATGTAAATAATCCTTCCATTTTGGCCCAAAACCCATGGGCAAAATGTGGTAAATATCAGCTTTAGAAAAGTGTATATGTGATTGATAAAGTATTAGTACATTTCAAAACCCTGTTGCATAATTCATCCATAAGCCTGGACCGAATTAACCACAGGCTTTAAAAAGATGCCAATAGGCCAGGCGTGGTGGCTCACGCCTGTAATCTCAGGGAGGCCGAGGCGGGCAGATAACTAGGTCAGGAGATGGAGACCATCCTGGCTAACACAGTGAAACCCCATCTCTACTAAAAAATACAAAAAAAAGTTAGCCGGGTGTGGTGGCGGGCGCCTGTAGCCCCAGCTACTGGAGAGGCTGAGGCAGAAGAATGGCATGAACCTGGGAGGCGGAGATCGCACCACTGCACTCCAGCCTGGGCAACACAGTGGGACTCCATCTCAACAGAAAAAAAAAAGCCAATAATGAAAATACTTTATTGGGTTTCACTTTGTGAAAATAGCAGAATAGGGGTAATATATACCTAAAATCTACCCTCTTTCCAAAAAACCGATGGTGGCACATTCTGGCTCCTCTAAGCCCAGAATTCTCTCTCCACTCTGACTTCCTCAGAAACTGTACTCTTCTGTGATTTGGGCATGTTTTGCAGGACCCAGAAGATCTTGGACAGTGTGCATGAGTGCACTTCACTGGGGCTAAAGCAGTCCTCTGGAAGCTCTGACATTAGCCTCAGAACTGCATTCTCTCAAGACAGCTTTATCCCTGGGAAATCATGGTATATTTAAGACCCATCTATGGTTGAGAATAAATCCGAGTAGGTGAAAATGAGCGCTTTTTGATTTCTGAGCTGATACTTCATGGTACTAAAATAGCAATATTATTTCTACCCCCACTTATCAAGGAACTACTTTGCATTTGAAAATTCAGAGGAAACTTCTTACCATCTGTGAATAGGTTTTATTTTTTGTTAACTCTATAGAGGTTATCCTAACAATTAAAATAGTCTTAGAGGCAGAGACAGAGAGTAGGGATCCTAGAGATTTAGTACAAACTCTATGACTTTCAGATTAGGAAAATTGACCAAGGAGAACTTGTCCAAGGGGACACAGCAAATATGTGGTACAAACACATCTGGAACATAACTCTAGATTTCTGGACTCCCATTTCTTTTAACCTCTAAGAGATTCCATTATGCCTGGGCATGCCTTAGTTGAATGGTGTATAAATTTGAGGGCTATACATTGATTCAGGATATAGGCAGTTCCATCCTTACCAAGTCATTTTTATAGGAGAAATTGTACCTTTCTCTCATGCTTTTTCTCCTGACATCTTTTCCCTAAGCACAAAGAGTTCTCATATCTACCGTCCTTTGTCGTCTCAGAGTTTCCTTAGAGCACCCCTGAAGGAGTTTCACCTGGGAAAGTCGCCTGTGCTTGATCCATTGATTTTATGTATCCTCCCTCTAAGTCCTCCTTGGGTCATTTCTTTTTAGCTCCTTGTCACTTTGGAAGAGGATCTGATGAATGCATCACTTCTGGGGTGTTAATGACTCTTTATGACGCCTTGTTCCCCTGTGCCTCTTTTCACACCCCTTCACCAATCAGCTACTCAGGTCCATCTTTATCAGAGGGCAACAGAAAAAGCCAAAATAGATGCACTACTAATCATATTATATTGTAAAATAAATTTTTTAGAAATAATTTTAGACTCACAGCTATTGTAAAAATAGTGCGGAAAGTTCAAATGTATGCTTTGACCAGGCTAACATGATCAGTGATAACATCTTACGTAACCATAGTACATTAACCTGTTGAGGACACTGGTGAGAGGAGACTCCTGAGAGCGAGCTGCTTTCTTGGAAAGCGAGGGCTGTCTTGTGGGCATCTCTGTGTAGCACCCAGTGCAGGGTGGACCTGCTCTGACTTTAGCCCCCTTAGTCTTTTTCCAGTTTTAATTTATGATGCTTTCATGATTTTCCACAAACAGATGAACAAATAAACACAGAAGGAAGGTTGTGCTTGAATTGACCTGACCAGAGGACAAACTGATCCTAAACTGGACTCTCTCTCACCAGTAATGGATTCTCTAATGTTGACTCTTGGGGCTGGCCCATTTCTTTTGATCCCCAGCAATTTCCTAGGTCTTATTTTGAGGTTTGCTTAGTAAAGGCAATATTTTTAAAATGTTAATATATTCATGAATTATTCTGAAGTTATTGTATGGAAAGGAAAGTGTTTGGGATTTTGGAGTGGTTGGCGGTTGATGGTATTCAAACCCATTTTGATAAGGCCTTGATGCAGTGAATTTTTTTTTTAACATGCCTTTTTCTTACAGCAGTTATTTTCATGCATTCAAAGAACAAATTCAGTTTTATATGCCAGTATTATTTTAAATATAGTACAGTACTGTGAAGGCTAGTGGGGAACATTGAAATGAAAACTCTAGTTTGTTAACTGAACACTTCACTTTCTTTTTTCAGTGTGGGGCAGGATTTCTCAACATCATCTCTGTTGGCTCTTTGGATCAGATAATTCTTTGTTGTAGGGGGCTGTCCCGTGCATTGTGGGGTGTTTAGCAACATTCTTGGCCACTAACCACTAATGTCACTTCCTACCCCACACCACACCTCCTGCAGTCTCGAGCATCAGAAATGTCTCCAGACATTGCCAAATGTCCCTTGGGGGACAAAAGCCACCCCAAGTTGAGAGTCACTGATGTGGAGTAATGGAAGGAAGACTAGATGGGTGTTGTGAGGCTTTGGTTCTGGTTTTATTTCTGGCACAAATAAGCTGAGTGGCTTAATCCTTCATCTATAGAAGGAGGAACTTTGTCTGAAAAAGCTTGAAGGTCATTGCCAGCCCTAAAATTCCTTTATTAAAAAAATACTGAAAGATGAAAAAAAATACTTAAAGATGAAATTTATCATCACACTAATGGTAAATTCTGTGTACTGTTAAATAGCAACAAGACGTCATGGAAGCCCTTTCTAAAGCTGGTGCTGGAGAAAAGCATTATTTACAGAGTAAGGGTGTTGCTGTTTTGTTTTGTTTTTAAATTCTGTGTTCGAATACAGTTGGGAACTTTCCTATTCAAAAAGTTAAACAGGCTCCCTTTTTCTGTGGTACTTCTTAAGCCTTTAATGTGCTGATGTGCACTGGGAATCTTTAAGAGGTAGCTTTGCAGTATTCTGCAAATTTTTGATCATGGAACACTGTTTTCACAGAGTATCTTAACATAAAACATTTTGTGAAACAGTAGGATGAGGCATGAGTTTTGCTGGGTAGATTATGTTTTAGTGTTTTTTATTATATTCTTTTTAAATTGCTCTTACATTAATTCAGCATCTATTTACTTATTGGGTATTGGTATGTGTGAGGCACTAAGGTTATAGCAATAGCATGGGGTGGGCAGTATGCTCTGAGCATAACCTGTAAAATTTGCATCCTGTCTCTTATATTTTGTTGGTAGACTATTTTGCCTTTCTGGATGTAAACATCAGCCTTTCCTGAAGATGGGAGAACTTATGCAGAAGTTGAGAAATAGGAGAGGCCCATTAGGAGGGACAGCCCACGGTGGGTCTGACATGCCATGTGAAGGGCCAGGGCTTTGTCCTGTAGGCAGCGCGAAGGCACTGTAGAGTTTTAGCAGTGGATTTGCGTTTTAGCAGTGGATTTTCATTTTAGCTTACTCTGGCCACTGCATACTTTTGAGTAGGCAAAGACTGAAATTCAGCCAGAAGATAATAGAGTTTAAACCAAGACAGTTGAAATAGTGTTGGAAAAGAGGAGAAGGATTCAGAAAATGTTTGGAAATAAAGTTGGCAGGAGTTGTTGAAGTTTGGGTATATGAGAGAAAAAGAGGTAGAAGTGCAGTTTGGGTGAGTAGGAGAATTCATCCATTAATTCTACAGGAATTTATTGAGCTCCTACTTTGCTGGGTGTATTAGGGTTCTCTAGAGGGACAGAACTAATAGGATATATGTGTATATGAACAAGAGTTTATTAAGGAGAATTGACTCACACGATCACAAGGTAAAGTCCCATGATAGGCAATCTGCAAGTTGAGGAACAAGGAAGCCAGCAGTGGATCATCCCGAGTCCCAAAACCTCAAAAGTAGGGAAGCTGACAGTGCAGCCTTCAGTCTGTGGCCAAAGGCCCGAGAGCCCTTGGCAAACCACTACTCTGAGTCCAAGGGTCCAAAAGCTGAAGAACATGGAGTCTGATATTCGAGGGCAGGAAGCATCCAGTACAGAAGAAAGGTGGAGGTCAGAAGACTTAGCAAGTCTGCTTTATCCTAGCCTCACTGGCCATTGCTTAGATGGTGCCCACCCAGATTGAGGGTGGGTCTGCCTCTTCCCGTCCACTGACTCAAATGTTAATCTCCTTTGGCAACACCCTCAAAGACACATCCAAGAATAATACTTTGCATCCTTCAATCCAATCAAGTTGACACTTAATATTAACCATGACAAGTTCACCCCTTGTCAACTTGAACCCATACACATCTCCTGAAATCGTATATAATCTCCAAATAAAGACAATAATTATGCCTAATATAATACAGCTATCTCTTGTGCAACCCGGAGCACACTAATTGTTAACCTAAATGCTATTACATAAAGTTAACAATACTTAAATACTGATATGAAGTCAATAACTCTTACGTCACATGACAAAGGAAAAAGAAAATGAAGATATTTTCTTAGTGCAAGTGTATACATCTACATATTCTTAACAAAATTAGGAGGAAATATTCACAACAATTACAGTCCTCTTTCTGTAGCTGGTCACGTGGTTGTAGCTGGTATTGATGACTACCTTTTTCTACTACCTATTCTGTATTCCCTTTGCCTTCAGCAAGCACCTCAGTGGGTCGTAGTTTTTTACTTGGTGTAGTGACCCAAACCTTCACTCCTGAAGGGTCTGGGCCATTTGTAGTCATGCCTGGATTGGGTTGTTGTAGTTTCCCATTGACCATAATCACAAGGCATGGTAATACTAAGAGATGCCGTAAGGATCTCCTGTATTCCATGCATACTCTTCCTTACCTCCATTATGGGATAATAGACTAATTTTATCTTGATAATCCGGATCAGTTGCCCCGGCCAACACTGTAACTCCCTTCTTAGCCTGTTGACTTAGAGGTAGGCAGAGCCCAAAGTGTCCAGATGGCAACCTTAACTTCCAATTTAATAGAATCATTGTTGTGCCTCCTGGCAACATTCCTCCCTCTGGAACTAAGACTTCTAAGCCAGCAGAATATAATGTAGCAGGAACAGAAAACAAGAATTTTGCTAGTGGGTCACTAGGGGTGATGGTGAGTGATGCCACTTCCATTTCCACCCCTTGTTTTTTGGACCTGTGAATCCTGGCTATGGGAGAAACAGTACCATGTATTGGATGCTGATTCAGATCATACACAGCCTTCTGGAGAACTTCACTCGAGCCCTGCAAAGCCCTGCAAAGTATTGTCGCCTAGTTGGCATTGTAATTGTGACTTCAAAAGTCATTCCACCATTCTATCAATCCAGCTGCTTCAGGATGATGGGTAACATAGTAAGACCAGTGAATTCCATGAGCATGCACACATTGCCACACTTTTTTAGCCATAGAGTGAGTGTCTTGGTCAGAGGCAATGCTGTGTGGAATACCATGACGGTGGATAAGACATTCCATGAATCCATGGATGGTAGTCTTGGCAGAAGCATTGCGTGCAGAATGGGCAAACCCATATGTCTATTCCGGTGCAGACAAACTGCTGCCCTTTCCATGATGGAAAAGGTCCAATATAATCGACCTGCCACCAAGTAGCTGGCTGATCTCCCTGAGGAATGGTGCCATATCGAGGGCTCAGTGTTGGTCCCGGCTGCTGGCAAATTAGGCACTCAGCAGTGGCTGTAGCCGGGTCAGCTTGGTGAGTGGAAGCCCATGTTGCTGAGCCCATGTGTAACCTCCATCTCTGCCACCATGGCCACTTTGTTCATGGGCCCATTGAGCAATGACAGGGGTGGCTGGGGAAAGAGGCTGAGTGGTGTCCATAGAATGAGTTATCCTGTCCACTTGATTATTAAAATCCCCCTCTGCTGAGGTCACCCTTTGGTGAGCACTCACATTGGATACAAATATTTTCACAGTTTTTGACCACTCAGAGGTCCATCCTTAAAATTTTGTATATACATATTATCCCATTATCAAATATTGTCAAATTGCCCTCATAGCACCATAGCTGCATGGTAAGATGGGCAATTAAACAAGCAACAGTGATAGAAGGTGGTAAGTGCCACAGTATGGCAGCTACATGCTTCTATAGGGGCTCATTTGAGGGCAACCGTCCTGGTCTAGGAAGCCAAGGATGGCTTTCTGGAGAGATTCAGTTTATTCCTACTAAAAAGAAGATTAACTGCATGCTAGAGATTATAAGGATGGGGTTGGGATGAGGTATATTACAAGCTGAGGAAGTACATGTGAAAGCCTGAAGAGTAGTGTTACTCTTTTTTTTAAGAAACGTGATGTGACTTCCTTTAACTTCTGAATTCATTTGCTAATGAATCCTGTTTTTATGGAGTTATCCTGTAAAATAACCCAAAGACAAAGACATGGCTTTTTTAATGTATATGTGTTTTTAGAAATAAATCATTGAAAAGCTCAGTAATCCCTTTGGAGAACAGCTTTAGCATTGATGCTGTCAAGACCCTTGTCAAAAGAATAAACCAAACCTGATTGGCCTGGTGGATAAACTCATTCCATACATAACTGAATAGTTAGAGACTGTACAGAAATGCAGTTTTGCCTTTCATCTTAATATGTAGTCTGATGATTTGTAAAAACCTTCTTAGTGGGAACAGCAGGTTATTCTGCCTGGGTGGGAGCCTTTTTACTAGCTTAAGCAGCTGTTTAAACTTTCATAAGCAAAGTAATTATTAAATGTTTCATGAACATATTGGTTGGAACGTTTGTTCACATTTTAACCTTGAGTTGGAAAGTTTCAGGGGGGTGGGGTTAAAGAGTTTTAAGCTGGCAAATTCATTCTTTTTTTCTTTCTTATTATAAACTTTTTATGGCTTAGAACCAGCCAACCTAAATCATGGAAGGAAAAATACATGTGTGGCAAGCATGAGACATTTCATTGTTTATTTTTCAAATTTCTGAAATGTGCTCATAGCTGTGCATGCCTCTGGGCTCATAAAGACAGCAAATGGAAATAGCTGAAGCCAGACAGACTGTTTTAGATAGATAGCCACCCAGGTAGGCAAGGAAAACCTTGTAGGTTACTCTTTCCTCCAATCAAGTCATATTAATTTGCCAAAATGGGATTTTCAAGCAGGAGGATGTGATCTTTCATAGGTCTGAACACCTTGCCTTTTTCAATGATGGAGCCATTTAATAATAATCATAATCAGAAGATGAGGAATAATATACATTTATAGAATACTTAGTACATGGCAAGTGTATATGACACATAGTAGTCTACGTGTTTCTCATACATTATCTCCTTTAATGTTCACCACAACCTTGTCAAACAAGCAATGCTGTTATATCCATATAACAGATGAAGAAACGAAGGCTTAGAGAGGTCACAGAATTTGCAAAGCTTCTGAGTGGCTGAGCTGGGATTTAAATTCATCTGTCCTATCCAAGAACAATTCATTATCCTGTACTTCTTAGTGCCTTTTTATTCTAGTTTGTGAAGTGCTGCTACCTAAAGAGTTTCCCATTTTACTCTAAATGAAAAAGAAAACCAGGACAACCATCAGCATCAACAGCAACTAATGCTTGTTGAACAACTACTATGTGCAGGACGCTATGTTATAAGCTTGGGAAATATTCTGGGATGAGAATAAAGAAGATAAAAGGGTCCTTGCCCGTGGCTGGTGAGGAAAATAGGCAGTAAGTTCTAGAGCTCACACTGTGCAGCACTAGTGCAGGGCCTGCAGCACTGTGTCCTTGCTGGCCCAGTACTAATGTCTGCATATAGTACTTTACAATTTGTAATGTGCCCTCACTGATATTGTCCCACATAATCCCAACAATAGGACTGATAATAATGATTCCCACTTTAAAGATGAGGAAGCTGAGATTCAGAGGGACAAAATAATTGGACTAAGGTCAGGCACACACCAAAATAAGTGGAAAATACGATTCAAAATGTGGTTCTCTATAACTTGCTGTAGTCATTACCTAGAGCCCTGCAATTTTATATAGCATAAAATAAATGCTTTAAGGATTACCTGAAACACAACCTTAAAAAATGAAAGCCTTTAAATAATAATAATTACAATATAGTGAAGTAATGAGAGCAATTTTAGTAGTTTTAAAATATGTCCACATTTTTTTTTAAAATTTCTGTTTAAAAGGTGGAGCCGAATTCTCTTCCCCTGCATGTGTACTGTACTTAGTGTCTGACTTCTAGTGAACAGAATATTGCAGAAGTGCTGGGTTATGGCAGCCAAGATTAGAACATAAAATGCAGTGTAGCTTCCTCCTTGCTCTTTCTCTTGCATCACTTGCTCTGGGAGAAGCCAGCTGCCACGCTGGGAGGAGCACTTGGAGAGGTCCAGGTGGTAAGACACTGACTTCTTCTGCTATTAACCAGTACAAACTAGCTAACAAGTAAATCCAACAGGTCCAGTCTAGGCTTCAGATGACTTCAACCCTGGCCAATATTTTGACCACAACCTTATCAGAGACCCTAAGCCAGAACCACCCAGCTATGCCACTCCCAGATTCTTGACTCACAAGAACAGTGTGAGATAATAACTGTTTATTGTTTTAAGCCACTAAGTTTTGGGGTAAACTAATACAGCAATTAAAGGGCACAAGATACACAGAAAGGAATAACTGTGTCTAAGCTGTCACAAAAGATGGGTACTAAAATGTGACAAATATGAGTAGGAACTTATAGGTGGACAAGGAATTTATTGGGAGGTGTTCTGGGCAAAGAGGCAAGTGTATGCAAAAAAGTGTGGAAGTGTGCCACAGCAAGGTACATTTATGAAACTGCACAGTACAGCACAAGATAAAAATCACACCAAGAAATGTAATATATCATAATATAACAACAAATGTTCTTAAGAGTGACTTTGAGTCTGCAAGAAATTTAGTTCTATATGGACTATTTTAAAAGATAGGAAAGCAATTAAAACATTGTTTGAAATATTTACTTCAAAATTTTTTTAAAGTACTGTATAAATTTTTAGTTAGAGTCTAAGCTATCCAGAAAAGCCACTTCCCTGTTTTCTTACTTCACTAGAACTGTCTGGTTCCATGTTTTGAAAACTTTAGTTTAAATGTAGAGCCAAGAATTAACTAATGAAGAACACCTGGATTTTCTGCAGGATTTCACTGCACCAATTCTGTTACAACAATCAGGTAGAAATTAACATTTTATAACCAATTATATGTTTTACTTGGCATCATGCTAACCAACTGAATTTTTACAAAAGAGAATTGGCCAAATTGACTCATTATTCTCCACCATACCTCACTCATTGACTGACTATTTATTGAGTGCCGTCCGTGTGTTACCCACTGTGATAGGCCCATAAAACAACCCTTTATGGTTGCAAAAATCACTTTGCATCCCAGTTGCAGCTCTACTGTTTTCTAGAGTTAATAGAAGTTCCTGGTGAAAAAAACTATGCTTAGTTTTTTTCTAAGCATGTTTAACTTGGGTTTTTAATTAAAATTAATACCTACTCATTTGAAATAAAGAGAAAAGTGAAAAGAAGTTTTACTTGGAAATACATTAATTGAAAGACAGTTGCTGTTAGCATCTTGCTGCACTTCTTTCACTCTATTTTCTTCTATGAGTATCTTTATAAAGTTATAATATTTTATAGATACTGTCAAATCTAGTTGTTGTTTAACATCAGGCAAAATATCCCTTGAAACAGAATTTTTAATGTATTTAAGTTATTCTAACAAATGGATATCCTGCAATTTACTTAACCTGGTATTAGATGTTTTGATTATACATGAATCTTTCAGGAAAAATGATGTCATAGTTAAATAAATATGTAGCTAGTGAATTTTGAATGTGTCTTTTGAACTGTTTATGGGCTTTGTGATAATTGGGTAATTTTAAATGATAATCAGTAGGAAGCTTAGGAAGAGGTTAACATGGTTTCTCTCCCTTCCAAGAGAACTGCCTTTGTAAGATTCTGAGATGACCACTGTGGCCATGTGCCCAAGTGTGCTGTCACAGTTATACTGTCAGTTAAATTAAGCATGAATGATTGGATGGAGAACATTATTATTCTCTGCACATTCTTGATTCTTAATTTAAGGTTAAACTAATTTAATGTCATGTGAATTTTTAGCAGCAATTATGGACAGTTAATGCATGTTCTTCCTTAGTTATGCCTCATCTCTTTGCAAAATTACAATATTTCATTCCAAATTTCTTCTGACCAGATTTGGAAGTAGCTCTCTCTTCTCTTTTCCCTCAATGTTTATATCAGAAGGGTTTTGAGTTTATACTGTAAATCTCCATTTGTGTATTTTCATAATAAGACTCTAAGAACCTTGACTGGTTATGAGGGCACTGGAATCAAAGCAAATGAGGGCACTGGAATCAAAGCACTGGACCCAGTGCTTTCTCCATCCTTCAGGGGATATTGTACAGACAATAGAGATGCTATCTTAACATCTCTGTTTGAGTTTTTCCCTCTCCACCTGTCTTGCATACCACCCTAACCAATACTCCTTAAGTATGGCTCTATATTACTATGCCCCTATCAACACTCTATTTTAAAAAGGCATGGCTTCACACTTCCTGTAAGATAATAGCCAGTAGTCCTTGAATCTGGCATTCAAAGCTTTAAATCTACAAGATGATATACTGGTCATACCTTTTCCTGCCTATTTTCTAGAGTCTTTTCCCAGAAGACTCTGTTCCATGTATTTGGTGTCACTTTCCTGTCTCTGTGCCTTCCTCATACTGACCCCCTTTTCTAACCTGACTGTTGAAATCTTACCTACTCAGTCTTTTTTCATTTATTTGTTGATTGTTTCAATAAAATTAATTTACTTAATAAGTATTTACTGAGCACTGATTGCTCATCAGACAACATTCAAGAGCCTACTGAAATGGCACCTTCCCTGAGAAGCCTCTCTTAATTACACACCCATATACAATGTTTCTCTCTTCAGAACTTCCATAGGTCTCTTTTTTATGCTTTCCATAAAATTTGTCACAAATCCCATACCTTATTTATGTGCATATAGGAGCATCTAATGGGAACTCAAAATTGCTTTAAAGAACATAAATGAATGAATGAACATGAATGAGCTAATGAATGAAAGAAAAGTTATGCCTTCTGCACCAGCAGAAGCTAATGACTAAAATAAAATGGTTAAACTGGACTAGAAATTTAAGATTGTTATGGGTTTCTAGTCTAGGAAACACCCTCAATGTGGTTTCCATATTGGATTATCCCAACAGAGAAAGATATGGAATCCCCATCTTCTGATTCCCACACCATTACTCTTTCTGCACCATGTTATCACATGCTACTCTATTAAAATTGAGGCAGTATTATCATACTTTGTTATTGCTTTTCATTATTAGACATAGTGTTTTAAGGACAGTATTGAATAGGAAGATTGTTTTTTCAGAGTGCTGTAACCTATTTTAGCATTCAAAGGGGCAAATGTATAAACCTGAGTGGTGAGAAAAACGTAGCAGATTAACTAATTTTGAAAGATAATTTATTTTGAACTTGAGTAGGGGCTAGGGACCTTCATTAGTTCCTAAGAAAAGTAGACCACAAACTCAACCTCTATGCTCTTTTTTATCTAGTCATGATATTAGAGTATGTGTGGACTTTGACAGTGACACCTAAATGGTTTTTACTTGCCTCATTGTTTCCTTACTAACTGTATGAAAGAAGAACACGTGTTGAGCCCCTCCAATCTAAAAATACAAACTCTGGAATGCTCCAAAATTTGAAACTTTTTGAGTACCAACATGACTCCACAAGTGGAAAATCCTGACCTCACATGTTGGGTCACAGTCAAAAGGTAGTAAAACAATTGTTTCATGTACAAAATAATTAAAAATTTGTATGAAATTATCTTCAGACTATGTGTATAAGGTGTATAAGAAACATAAATTAATTTTGTGTTTACACTTGGTCCCATCCTCATGATATCTCATTATGTATATGCAAATATTCCAAAATCTGAAAATTCCAAAATCCAAACATTTCTGGTCCCAAGCATTTCAGACAAGGAATACTCAACATGTGAGACTCTGGAGGTGAATTTTTGTTTGTTTGTTTGGTTGGTTGGTTTTTGCAGTAAATTGTTGAAGTCTTAGAAGGGGCGCATTCAGCAGTTAGAGCTTCCCTTTTAATTTGCATACCATGCCGAAGAAGAGGAGGTGTGATTCTCCTTCTGGAGATGATCATTCTTTCAAAAAGAATTATGGTGAATTGTGTTTTTTAAAAATAGACTTCTAGGGCAGAGTAGGGGAAAAACATAGGGAACCGTTAATTAAGGTATCAGGGCTTGAGAACGTTGTTTTTGTCTGCCCAAGACCCTTCCTTTGGAAACAGCACCTCTCCCAACATTTGTGCTCCTAGTGGACTGGTAACTTGCACTCCTAAGAACTGGAATCTTGAGGAAGACACAGAGCGATAGATGAGATTGGGGCTGAGTCATCCATGATGGTATCCTGGGCAGTTCAGAATCTCTGAGCCTCAGTTTTTCTTCCCCCCAAAATGGGATTCTATGTCTCACTGAGTTATTTGAGGATTCAGTGAGATGATGTCTCTGCAAGCTTTGGCACAGAGTTGTTATTCAAGTGAATATTAGCTACCACTCTTTGAGGTTAGTAGTCCTGGGGACAATTCTTTTCTCCCCCTAAAGAAGGAAAGGGAAAGGAAACTTTCTACTGAGGAGGTAGCAAATGCAGAATCACTGAAAGTGCTTGCGAAGAATATCCAACTATTCAAATTATGAATTAGCAAAAGATAATCAGGTGATTGTGAACTGTGGGTTGCTGCTGCTTTGTTGTAATACTGCTGTTAAAACCCACGTTAGAGATCACATGGACACAGGAAGGGGAATATCACACTCTGGGGACTGTGGTGGGGTCGGGGGAGGGGGGAGGGATAGCATTGGGAGATATACCTAATGCTAGATGACACATTAGTGGGTGCAGCACACCAGCATGGCACATGTATATATATGTAACTAACCTGCACAATGTGCACATGTACCCTAAAACTTAGGGTATAATAAAAAAAAAAAAAAAAAGTCAATAGTACTGCAGAAACTCAGGCTTCTTGTTGGGTCGGGGAGTGGCGAAATGTAAAGGGAGTAAAAAGGGTGGTAGTCTATAAAGGAACTAGCCATCCAGCCACCCAGAAACCAAGTCCCTCTTTTAATTAATAGAGTTATGGAGAGGCTCCAGCATATTAATAAATGTCCCCCTATGGGTGGTGAGAACGTCAAATGTGAAACAGAGCATATTGGATTTTGTAATAAAAATACAGAGAATTATAAATGAGATGTCCAGGAGGCATCTAAGTTAAGGACACCTAAGATCAAGAATTTATATTCTAGTTGATAAAAAGTTGTGGATAAAATTAGGGTGCTGAGATGGAAAAAGAAAGGCTCCTGTTGGCAGGAGGAACACTGATATGAAGTGATGGGAGAGTTTTGATCAAGCCTGTATCTTTGGTATTTAATATGGGGATGCGTAGAGAGTATTAGAAGCCATAGGTACAGCCACATACATTGTTAAAATGTGACTTTTTGTATATTATTTCACGTTTGAGCAATTACCAACTTACTAGCAGTTGTACAAAAAGTAAGCCATTGTGAATTTGGGATGCATTTTCACATATACATTGTATTAGACCATTCTTGCATTGCTATTAAGAAATACATCAGACTGTGTAATTTATAAAGAAGAGGTTTAATTGGCTCATGACTCTGGAGGCTTTATAGGAAGCATGGTGCTGACATCTGCTCGGCTTCTGGGGAGGACTTAGGAAGCTTACAATCATGGTGAAGGTGAAGGAGAAGCAGGCAACTCACGTGGCGGGAGTGGGAGCAAGAGAGAGAGAGTGGGAGGAGAGGTGCCACACACTTTTAAACAACCAGATCTCATGAAAACTCACTCACTATTGCAAAGGCAGCACCAAGCCATGAGGAATCTTCCCCCATGATCCAAACACCTCCCACCAGGCCCCACCTCCAGCACTAGGGATTACAATTCAAAAGGAGATTTGACTGGGGATAAATATCGAAACTATATTAGACATGAAGCTGCAAATTATTATTTAATTCATATTCTAGCATTAGGTATACCAGAACAAGGTATCTGGGTAAGAGAAAGTCGATATGAAGGGCACAAGATAATGGAGGAAGACAGTTTCTTCTATCGTCTAGGGACTTTGAGCCAATTCTTGGGAAAAAAAATAGATGATGTTGTCTTTGATGGTCCTTTTGTTGTTGTTTTGATCCTCTTCTTCAAATTCCTGGTACCTTTTCTTTCTGACTAACAGAACTCTCTTGTTGTAAAACAGCCCAGTGAAATAGGTATTATCCCAATGTTACAGTTGAGAAAAGGGGGCTCAGAAAGGTTTTGTTAACTTGCTCATGCCAGTATAATAAATAGGAAAAGCCAGTTTCATAATCAAGTATGTCTGGCTCTAAAGCTCACCAAGTCCAACATTTTTGCCTTGGAATGTGTAAGTTAACAATGCCCCCACTAACAACATGAAGCAATACAGAAGGAATGGGTTGAGATGGGGTTTGGGCAAAGAAAAGATGAGCTTGGTTTTAGGTATGTTGATTTTGAGCTACCTTGGAAAGCCATTTTCTGTTTTGTGGTTGCAAGAGAAATCGTGGTTTGTTGCCCTGTGTTAGACATGGGTAAACTTAGAGTGTTCCATTTGCTGTAGAATTAGTGGAGGATAGATAGATGGGATATATAGGCAGAGATCGATAGATAGTTGTTTGTACATTGGTTGTTTGAAAGTTGAGCAATGTCTGCAGTCACTAGTCAGTATTTCTATTGCTTAGCAACTCTATTTCCTCATGTAGCCATAACAAATGGAACTTTTATATTTATTTTTTATGCTTAAGGGTACATAGTGCTGCTTATAAATGATGCATAAGTGACAATTTTATACTGTGAGCATTACTCTGACTCTTGGAATCATAGAATCTCAAGGTTGGACGGGAACTTAATAGTTGGATTTGTTCTATATTCAGACTGCTTTACACCTCCATGAGGTCCTGACTGACACATACTACTCATTTAGATAGTGCTCCCTATCTGAAAAGTCTTGGTTTTCAGATAACATTTTCTTTCCTTTAGGCAAATTATTCCTGTTTTACCCATGAAGGACAAATCCAAATATCTTGTCTTCATGAGAACTCATTGCACATTTAGAAATAGGCCCCATGTCTCTGCCAATTTTCTCTTTCCTGGGCTGAGCTTCTTCTCCATCTTTTCAGTGGCTCCTTGGAGAGATATATTCCTTGAGCGCAGGACTCTTTAGCCCAGGTTCTGGGAATGCACCTCACAGAAGGCTCCAGTGTCATCCCCTGCAGGCATTGTCTCACTGGCAGAGAGCCACTCATCCATGGCCATAGCCTTTTCCGGTGTAGTCCCCATCTAATGATCAATTCAGATGGGGTATAAAAGCTCAGTTATTTCAGTCCAATATGTGACAACTCTGACAAGCCATTTTAGTCTCAGAGCTGCTCATGGGGTCAGCTGAGTCTATTGTTGGGCTGCATTGCAACTTGATTTGTTTTCTGTTCCTTCTTGAGTCCTTCCCCTCCCTTTCTCAGGTGTTCATTCCCAGGGCATAAACATTCTGCCTGCCAACTCTGATGCAGAGTCTGCCTCCTGGGGAACCAAGCCTGCAATGTATGACTTCAAGTCTTCTTATGAAACCATTCCAATTTGTTTATGGACTTAGACTTCTGGAGTGGATAGATACCTCTAGGTGTAATCTCCTGTGTAATCAGAATACATTTTGCTTTGAAGAATATTTTAAATTAAGTAAGATTCCACAAATCTAATGTGTAAAGCTCATGCAGTAGAAAGTTTTCAGTGTGGATGTCTTAGCTTAGGTTCCCCCTCAAAAGCAGAGTGTGAAACAAGGACTTACATGTGAGTAGTTTATTTGAGGAAATTATCCCAAGGAACAGAAGTGGGAGACTGGAAATGATTGTTCACAATAATCTCTGTCATTTCATAGCCATAGTTTTTCATCAACACTTTCCTAATGAGCTCATCTTTGGGATGCCAAGTGACATTGCTGTGTGCTTTCTTCAAGAGATCTGAGCAATGTAGTCAGACAGCCAATTAACATTTTTATTTACTTTGGGAAAGCTTTGAGTCCTGAGACCTGCATGAGATTTTTCTGGTAGTATTTCCAACTGTCTAACAAAACATGTCAAAAATTTCATATTTGTCGTTCCAGGAATTCAGCTTAATAAGACTACACAGACCAGGACTGAGAGGTTGGTGGCAAAGGAAGGAGCTACTGAGAGCCACACATCAATAAAATGAGATATCCAAAGCATGGAAGGAGGGTCAGTCAAGGCAATGAGGGATAGACTGGGATCAGTTCAGGAGGCTCCTCCCAGAACCAGGAATCTAATTAGGAGACTGAAAAGAAAGGAAGTGAAGGGGCCCCAAGCCAGAGAGCCCTATGTATAAAATTATACATGATTTTATATATGTAAGTCGTAATTTAATTCTCACAGAAATATTGTGAAGAATGTGCCAATATTATTATCAAAACTATTTAGCAGATGAAGTAACTGAGGCACAAAGAGGCCAAATAAATTGTCCGATGTTGCATAGGTAGTAAGTGGCTGAGCCTGACTTCAAACCTCGATAGACTTTTCCCAAAGTTCATGCTCTTCTGAATATTACTTATTTCTCATGTACCTGTTTCTGAGGCAGAGGTTCTCATGTATTATAAATTTCCTTGATGAAAGACCAGGACTGGTTCAGAATGTGTGTGTTGGAGAAGAGGGGTGTAACAGATACACATTTTATAGACCTCCTTCCATCCCATCCATCTGGGCCCACTGCATCTTGCACTGCACCACTCAGGGAACTTCCCCCTTGCCCTTGTCTGCTACTATGTATCTCGGTCAGCAAGTTCCAACTTGGAGTTTCTGGCTCTTCTTGCCACTTCAGGACTTGGATGAGATACTAAGCCATGGGGCACGCAATGTGGCCCCACATGTGTTGGAAGAAGCCAGATGATACACCCTGGACATGAAGGAGAGTTAACTCCTTGTAGGGTGAAATTTGACCAGAGGAGGGCAATGGACAGGAGGGAAGTGGCTAAATTCCCTCATCTTGCACTGTCCAATCGACTTCTCTGAGGCATGAGTTTTTCTTCTAGCTCATTCTTTCCCTTGTCAAGTGGACACACCAGCAAAGGACCTGTTGCGTCTCTTTGTGGCTTAGTGTGAAGTGATAGGCAGGATAGTGATCCTTCAGTTGGCATTGCTTGGCATCTTTTCTTGCCTCAATTTCCTTCTAGCTCATTCTTTCCCTTGTCAAGTGGATGCACCAGCAAAGGACCTGTTGCGTCCCTTTGTGGCTTAGTGTGAAGTGATAGGCAGCATAGTGATACTTCAGTTGGCGTTGCTTGGCATCTTTTCTTGCCTCACTTTCCTTCTTTCTAATCCTTGTACCCTGGGTTTACCCCTTTCAAAGAAAGCATTAAAGGCCAAGCTAAGAAAATGGGTCTGGACTAAAAAGTGGAAACAAATAGAGTAGTAGGCATAGTTCTTAACAGCACTTCACTGTTCAGAGACAAGAAAGGACATAGATTCTTTGAAAAATAAGTGTAGAACAAGTTAGATGTTGATATTATGACTAATGTGTAAGTTCCAGTACTTAACAAGAAGTTGTTGTAAGGTGAGTATTTATGAAGAAGGGGGAGAAGGGAAGAACTCCCTGATCAGGCTGATTTTAAGTCAGATCTATTTACTGCCTGTTATGCCTGTCTCCTCTTCCTCTTCATGTTGCTAATAGCAAAAATAGCCGCTATTTTCTGAACACTTAAATATATGTCTGAGACCATGCTAAGTGCTTTATGTATATTTTCTCATTTATTCCTTTGAGGTAGAAAATTGAGACTCAGAGAAGAGAAGTAGCTGTCAAGCAGCTAATGAGTGCTAGCACCAGATTTCAAACCCAGGGCTGACTAACTCTGAAGCCCATACTAAAAATGGATTTGTTCTGCTGTCTTCTGCAAAGTTCCTTATCAAAGGAAGTTATCTAGAGCAGAGGAAAGCCATATGGAGAAAAAAATATGGCATGAGAGCATCTTATTCATTTTGTTCTTATTTGCTCCGAAAGCAACTTCTGGTGGAGCCAGCTGCTGGTGTTTGGAGTGTCTTTGCCTTCTAGGAGGAAATACTCTTTCCTAGGTGCCACACTGTTGATACTTCTCAAGACCAAAATACCACAGGCCTCCAGCTCCTTGATAAAGCTTTAATGTGTTGAATTGGCATAAATCAATTCCCTAAGTCTGCCTAGCAGAACCAAACTCTGAATATGGTGACCTCACAGGGTCACCTAGCTCAAGGCAGCCAGCAGGCTTCCTACTTGATACTTTCTTTGATAGATGTCTTTAGGGGAGCCAACTTTTCTTTAACATCTTTCCTTTGACTCTAAAGCTCTCCTCTCCCAACATTTCCTCTCCTCAGTTTAACCCGAGTTATGTGTTCATGACATAAATAGGGCCACGTTTGCCGCTGAATGATGTCACAGTGCAGGTGATCCACAGATAGAGAATACAAATAGCATTTGACATTTGCCTTTGGGATGCCTTATACTACTTTTTATCCTCCCAGTAATGTTTACATTGTTGTTTTGTTTTTGTTTTTTGTTATTTAAATGATAATGGCAAAAGACCCTTGTTAAGAGTCATGAGATCTGGGATCTGATTGCAGCTCTGACTTATCATCTGGATGTGACTTTGATCTGTCACCTGGTCCTCTGACGACTCAGTTCATTCACCTGCAAAATGGGAGAGTTGGGAGAGATTATTTATTCTTAAACCATGCTGATCATCAGAATCACCACAGATGCTTTTTAAAAAGGGCCCATCTCAGAGTCCTGAATCACACTTCAGGTGAAGGGAGGAGAAAGGAGATTGGGGAGAGGAGCAAAGGTCCAGAATCCATAATTGCAACAAGCTGCCTGGGTCATTCTGATGCACAGTTTAGGACAACTTTATGCAATACTGCCAGTTGCACAACTCCAAGGGGTGCCACTTGCATTCTACAGACTCCATGGGCACAGTTCACATGAAATAGAATCTGAACAGCCCCTCTTGGTATTGTGTAATACAGCAGCCCTGTATGAGCTGATTACTGTATAGGGTCATTTGTAAGCATGGATATTCTTTGATTGGATGACAGTAGAGTGCTTTGAGGTCCTCAGTAGACAGTAGCCCTGTATTAGTTCATTTTCACTCTGCTATAAAGAACTACCTGAGACTGGGTAATTTATAGAGAAAAGAAGTTTAATGGACTCTTAGTTCTGCATGGCTAGGGAGGCCTCAGGAAACATACAATCATGGCACAAGGCCAAGGGGAAGCAAGGCACATCTTACATGGTGACAGGAGAAAGAGAGAGAGAGAGTGAGGGGGGAAGTGCCACACTTTAAAACCATCAGATCTTGTGAGACCTCACTCACTATCATGAGAATAACAAGGGAGAAATCCACCCCCATGATCCAATCACCTCCCACCAGGCCCTTCCTCTAACATGTGGGGATTACAGTTTGAGATGAGATTTGAATGGGGACACAGAGCCACACCATATCAGACCCATAAGCATGTGGTTACAGATGAAGGCACAGTAGCTGTGACCAATAGGATAGGAAAGTGGATGGCTTAAGAACAGCTGATGAACACTGCCCCATACAAAGCTGACTCTCAGATTGTCTCCCACATTATAGCATTACAGCTGGTGCCCATCTGACAAGAGGGAGAGGTGTGTGAAGAAAGCAGGATGTTGAGAGCAGCGTGAGCCAAACAGCAGGACCTCGGGTCATGGTTTCCCCAATAGGGTTGAATTGAGGAAAAGAAACAAGGCTTTCTCCCAGCTAAGAAAAGCTTTTAGTTGCCTACTAATTTCTGTGCTTTGGGGTTTCTTTGACTTTGTTTTCCCTTTACACATGGTGAAATTCCTTTTGAAAATAAATTCAGCCCTGTCTTAACCAAAAAAAAAAAAAAAAAAAAAAAGACTGGTAAACCTGTATGGAGATATTACTTGAGTTCCTAGAAGCCAGGTTTTGTTAGTAAAAAATTGGATAAGTTTGGGTACTTGGGCAGACAGAAAGTTGAAAATCTGGGGAAAGACTGTTAGCATGCAGTTGTGATTACATTAAATGTTATAAATGAATTTTTATCAGAAGCTATTGAGATGCTGCTGAGCTGACTTGAGGTATTCCATTGTCTAGAATAATACTCTGCTTAATTTGCATGAGAATCAGTTGAGGCATTTGTCAAAAATGCAGATTCCTGCCACAGCCCCAGGCAATTCTGAGTCACCGGGTATGGAGGGGGCATCTGGGCTGTGCATTTTACATGAGCATCCAAAAATCATGCTTTGAGAATGCTGCCCTAGACAACTGATGGAAAGACAGGGAACTTTGTTCCAGAATACATCCTGTGTTCCTTGGAAATTATATTAACTCCTCTCAGCCTTAGTTTTCCCTCATGTAATGTGGATAAGGATACTTACCCTTTCCAAAATCAGAGGTCTTAGAAAAGTATTTTAAAAAATAAACTGGATAAAAGAGGTAATGCTAGTTACTTAGAATAGGAATTTATGTGAATAAAAGTCTATGTCTTGGGCTTCTGTAAACTCACCTCTCAACCCCAGCATACAGCACAAGAATATGGAAATAGAAGGAAGTATGTATGCATATATGTGTATAAATATGATTGAGATTGTGTAGGAGCCTGTCTTAGTCCATTTGTGCTGCTATAACAAAATTATAATAAAATACCACCAACTACATAGCTTATATACAACAGAAACTTATTTCTCACAGTTTTGGTGGCTGGGAGGCCCAAGACCAAGGAGCTAGCTGACTCAGTGTCTGATGAAGGCTCACTTTCTCATAGATGGGGCTTTTTTGCTATGTGTCCTCCTGTGGTGGAAGGGGCAAGGCAGCTCTCTGGGGCCTCTTTTATAAGGACACTAATTCCATTCATGAGGACTCTGCCCTCATGACCTAATCACCTTCCAAACACCCTGCTTCCTGTCACATCACATATGAATTTTGGGAGGACACAAATGCTCAGACCATAGGAGAACCTTGGAAAGATTTCTAGAAAGTCAAACAATAGATTTTTAAGAAGTCTATTTTCTAATAAGCTATTAGTTAGTGCTTATTAGAAAATAGAATCTGCCAAAGTAATGTAGGAGGAGCATTTATCAAGGCAGATTGATAGAGACAGCTCAGTAGATAAGGCAAACAAATGTTGACCAGTGAATTATATTCATAATATATTTTGTATTTGTAATATATTTTGTTCTTATTTAGAGAATGTACTAATTAGGGTAAAGTATAGCTGCTGTAACAGAGAACCAACAATCTAGTGGCTCAAATAACAAAGAAGTTTATTTACTGCTCATGTAGCAATCCTGGTATGAGTAGTCATTGCCTGATGAGTAACTTTGCTCTGCATGGTCATTCGGTGAGAGGTTCCTTCTATCTTGTTGCCCTGCTGTCACGTAGGACACTGCCATCATTTACTTTGCAGAAGCTGGCTTGTCACCTGGAAAAGGGACAGAGAACATGGATCATCATAAAGCTCAGACCTGGAAATGGCACATAGAACTTCCATTCACAAACCACTAGTGAGCTTAAAAACACCAGGATGCCTAAGTGAAGGGGAGGCTGGGGAATGTAGCCTATCAAAATAGCCATACCCAACCATAACTCTATTGTTACTGCTGTTGAAGAACGGGAGAATGGGGTTGGTGACTAACTAGCAGTCTCTGCCATGGGAAGGTATACAGAACTTTGAAAATGGAGCCAATTACTACTTTTTATGGCTTCACTAATTGGCCAGAGCTACTACTGTGCTGTGGAGTATCAGTGTTTCCTTTGATGTGTTGTTCCTAGCCTCTCTATGGGCTTATATCTAGCATCCCAGGTAAACCTGAGAGTTATCCTGGGCAATGTGGATGCTGGTATTCCATTTTCTCAATTTTAGGGTTCTCCTCCTGTATCCTGTACAGGTCATGAGAAAAGACTTGTTGAGTCCTATCCTACTGTTAATAAATGTGCTGTTGATAGGAAAATGTTGGCAGAAGTGCCAATATGAATAGTCTTCTAGTTGCTTTTCTGATGGTTGTGACATAATGAATCTCAAATGTGACTTTTGTCATATAATTGGAGGCTCTGAACATTAAGAACATTTTCTTAAGGATCATCCAGGCAGAAAATGAGTTCACAGGTTTTTAACATTTTTACTGATGGTTCCCAAGGCTCCACCTGTCCCTTCATTCTATTCTATACTGCCTCTTTATTGGATTTCTCCCCCACTGCAACGTGTGTGTGTGTGTGTGTGTGTGTGTGTGTGTGTGTCTGTGTGTGTGAGGAGAGAGAGACGAGAGAGAGAGGAGAGAGGGAGAAGAGAGAGAGAAGAGAGAGACAGAAAGAGAAAAGATTGACAATATATTTCAGAATTCTTAAGGTTTGCTCCTCATTATTCTGTGATGTGCAGTACTATTCATAACAGAAAGGTCTGATAATTAGCTGCCTTGGGATGTTCTAAAGGTGAAGCCACTCTCCTGCAATGCATCTTGCAAGAGAGATTAGTGATGTAGACTGGAGGTTGGCATGTGACAGAGACTGTTAAGGACAAAAGCAGATTGATAACAGTGAAAGCTGCTGCTTGGACAGGTTCATGGATTTAGAGAGCGACCTCCCCGCCATGGGAACTGGATCCCTATGAAACTGTGGCATGAACTACAATGAGATGAAATTACCTCAGAGAAAAATCTGAAGGCACATTTGAGGGTTGGGACATTGCTTAGGAAGCTGATTACCAAAGACAAAAACATTCATGTGTATAGTGGGAGAATGGGAGATAGGTTACTCTTTAAATAGCTAGTTGGCATTGTCATTGAAGTTTGCCTTACTGGAAAAATTATGCAGCTATTTCTCTTTTCAGTTTTATACACATGCGCACACACACACACACACACACACACACACACCATATATTCTGGGGAAGAGGTGTTTTATTTTCCTTTTGTATCATGATTTCATAGACCCTTATATTCTCTAAGAGATCTGGGCTTTCAGCCACATTCCCATAGGATTCTGGAATTTTTCCCTCTACCCTCAGCCTGCCCCATCACCCAAGTGTGATTTTTGTGATTCTTGTGTTTCTCTAGTGTCTCACCAACTGTATTTCTAAAGCTTGGTCAGTGTTCCATCTTGGATTTCTTGTTTTGCCACTTGTGATGGCAATTTATAATAAAACCAAGATATGACCTGTTTTGTATCCAGCAATGAAACAAGTTGGAATCTGCCTGTGATGTGCAATGTGCCTTCAATGAAGGGGCAGCTGTGATGTGAATGGATCTTGGGGGAGAGAAAGGACCTTAATTTCTCTTCTCTTTTCCCATGGATATAAAACTTTGTTATGGTAAACTAAACCTCTGATATCATATGCAACCGCTGGCATTCTAGATTGTTTTAATGGCCACTCCTTATTGCTTCATGCTAAGCGTTACCATCTGTTTCTTTCTTAATTATAAATGCAGCAGGAATTCACAATTACATCAGTAACGGTGGAAATAAAATGGAGTTAGAGGCTTTCTACTTAACACAAGGCAGCCTTCCTCTAATATTTTTCTTCTGTTACAGGCATTGGTCAGAGAGGAGACTTTTTCAGTGGTTTTCTTTTCCCTCTCTTCAGTATACTTACCATGAGAATGTCATGCTATAAATTCAGCAATTTCCTTTTAATGAGAGGGAGAGCTGTGTTTATTTTCTGTCCATGGAGCTGGGGATGTGTGGGCAGCTCTTTCTCACAGTATTGGAAACCAGTGGTGTGACTGTCCTGCTGTTATTGGCCTCTGTTTTTGTGAAAACAGATGAGTTATAATAGCCCAATGACATGAGTCATGTCATCCCCCAGAGGAGAGCTGGGAGTGGACATCTAAGAAACTCTGGTAGCCAGCCTGCCTGTCTGTGAATATATGGGAACATTTATACAGGGAGGTGATATAAAAGCTGAAGACATGTTTAACCCAGATTACTTAGGCTTTTATTTTTCATTAAGTGGAAAAACTAATCAAATTTCAGACTCATGAAATTTTAGTGCTAAAAGAAACCCTTATAAATCACCTTGATCAAAGCTGTAGTGACTGCCCTTTCCTTTGTGTAGTGCTCGACCAGGTTGAGCACGGGATTTGGAGTCAGCAGAACAGGTTTGATTCTGAAGCCACCACCATGGACTTTGAGTCCTCTTCACTGAGTTTTTAGTGTCAGTTCTCTTTATCCATGACAGGAGACATGATGCTTCTTATGAAGCCTATGTTTGGATTAAATGAGAGGGAACAAGTAAATCCTAGCCATTGTGTGGCCGGTCTGTGGGGTTTTTTTCCCCTTCTTTCCATTCACATTTATGATAGATGAAGAGATATTGGTCCAGAGAGGTTAAATGCCTTGCCCAATATGATACATCTAGTTCAGGGTGGACCTGAAGTAGAAGTAGTTTTAAAACTCTATTTCAAGGCTTTTGCTTACTATGTCATATCTAGACCCTTTGCTACCTTTCTCCATCCTTGTCACCATTGTACAAGGATATGTACTTTTGCACAATGAATAACCACAATGGTTATCATGTGTATGATACTTTTTAAATCTGTAAAGTACCTTTTAAAATGTATATTCCCATTTAACATGAAGTAGGTGAAATAGTGTTATAATCTTTTTTTTCTCTCTCTCTTTGAGACGGAGTCTCACTCTGTCGCCCAGGCTGGAGTACAGTGGTGTGATGTCAGCTCACTGCAAGCTCCGCCTCCTGGGTTCATGCCATTCTCCTGCCTCAGCCTCCTGAGTAGCTGGGACTACAGGGGCCTGCCACCACGCCTGGCTAATTTTTTGTATATTTAGTAGAGACGGGGTTTCACCGTGTTAGCCAGGATGGTCTTGATCTCCTGACCTCATGATCTGCCTGCCTTGGCCTCCCAAAGTGCTGGGATTACAGGCGTGAGCCACCGCGCCCGGCTGAAGTAGTGTTATAATCTTATCCTTCCTCTTATTTTAAGTTGGAAATTCTGAAAGGTCAAGTATCTTGTTGAAGTCACACAGAAGGCTGAGTCAGGACTTGAACCAGGTTTTTAAGACTTTCCATATATGGGCTTCACTCTATACTAGATGGACTCTTACTGTTACACCAGTACATGTAGGAGAGGACTGAAAGATGCAGTAAAAAGAAATCGATATTATTATCTATAATTTAATAGTTGTAGTTAGGACTTTTTATGATGTGAATACTATAAGACCAAAACCATTTTCTTGAATTATATTAATATTTTAGCGATCCACGTGCTTTTTACCCACCAGAAGGTTCCCCTGGGTAAGTAAAGAGGTGGAGCAGGAGAGAGCAGGTTTGCACCGAAAGTAGTTACAAAACAAAACAAAACATATAAGACATCAACCACAAGAAGCCCTTGCTCCAAAATGCAAATGACTTATTTGCTACTTCAAAAATGCACCTCATCAATGAAGGGATCATTTGATCATTTGTTCCTGCCAAGTTTATGTTTAGTCCAGGAAGGGTCAGGCTGGTGCATATTCTCACCCAGGGGTCTGAGAGCACAGTGGCAGGTGTGAAAAGAGTCTTTGGGCCTTGCACTTGCCTTTTCATGCCAATGCCCTCATCCAAATAAGAAGTCCCCTTTGCACTTTCCCAGCTTCTAGGCCATATGTTATGTCTGTTTCTTAGAGGGTGATTCAATGATTCCTGGTGATAATGACATCACACTGAGTTTTACTTACATCCTGTTTCTCTTGTATAATGCCCATGCTCCTCTTGTCATGCGGTCCTGAGCCATCAGGGCCCACTCTATAAAGCTTCCTGAAAATCAGGCCTTCCTGGCAACAAAACTAAATCTTTTAATCTCAGAAACCCTACTACTGACCATGTATAGAAAACCATGCAAATTTAAAGAATGTAAATATTGACATTCTCAGGTTTTCCCATGTAACCTGATTTAGTCTGATTTCCCTATTATTTCTGCCATTTCTGTGGGCATTTTACTGAAGCCAGGTTTTATAAAGCAGCCCAGAAGCAGCATCGTTCATAAGGTAAGGGCACAGGCTGTAGTATCGGCCAGACCTTTGGTCGAGTTCTGGCTGTGCAGCTTGACTGTGTGATGTCAAGTAAGTTCTCAGAGCCTCCCTTTCCCCATCTGTAAAGTGATGATAACGGTGCCCACCCATTAGCTGGTGCTGTGAGGATCGGATGAGCTACCGCATGCAAAGTGCTTAATTACAGGACAATGTTTTGCCTTTCTGACCCCCCAGAACCAGATGAATGATTCATTTGTGATGTTTTTCTCTTATTAGGAAGCTTTAGCTGGACAAAGGTCATTCAGGATTATTTTAACATATGAAATGCATTTGTTTTATTGAAAGAGATTAGAAATGTTATTTTGAAAGTTTTATACCTTACTTTAGAAGTCAAGTCTTATAACATTAGTAGGTTTTCACTTCAGGTTACTTTCATGTTCTGTCTTTTCACTGTGAGCAAGGTGGTAAGAAAGCCATTCTTTCTATTGTCTTGTATGCGAATGTGAATATATCCTCTATGTGCCAAATACAACTTCGTGAGCATATTGTTTGTTTTAATGTAGCCTTTTAATGTCAGAAAAAAAGTCTCAAAGTTCTAGTATAATAATAATGATTAAAATGCTTATTAAAGAGCACATTAAAAGATAAGGCTATTTTGAGGACTCAGGGGCATATAAACAGGTTATTATTTTTTCATAGATGTATTAAATCAGACATGTGCTAGCCAAATGTCTGACCTTATATAGGTTTTCTTCAGAGTTTTACAGAAATAATGCTAAAATAAAGGAATGTGAATTCCTTTGCCAGTTCTTTGAAGGAAATGGTAGAGTCTGACCTACCTCGAAGGAGTATTAAGAGAAACAACCTGGTTATATTGCTGGAGGCTTAGAGTCTTTAAATAGTCTCAGAGATCAAATCTCCCTCGGCTACATAGAATGATTCCATACGCTTTCTTCTGAAACTTCCTCTCTATCTCTAAATGGGGCCATTTTGAGCCCCTCATGAGGAGGCGCAGTGGAAGAAAAATGTTCTGCTGAGCAGAATCTGCAAGCCATGCCACATGCAGACATCTCATCTGATAATGACATTCTCACTCTGTAGAGGCCAGGACCAACTGTGTTATCCTCTTTCTCCTGCTCCTCTCCTCCCACCTCACACATGCACAAGCACCTGTCAACCAACATCCTCATACCCCTTCTTCTCTTAGAAAGGAGGGGCTTCAAATAATATTCTAGGGGGAAAGGTCCCATGACTCTCTGATAAGAAGAGGAATCCTTTAATTCTACTAAACATGCAAAAGCATTGAGCAAGCAATTAGGCAACCATGTATATAGCTCCAGATGTCCCATACATATGGACAATTGTCCACACTGCTGGTGGGGCTGGCAGCATTTTAAAAACTGGTTACAACACATATGGTCCTTTGCTTTTTGCTCTGGCATCTGAAGTCTTGCTAATCCAAACACATCATCGCTGTGGTACTTCCAGCACAGTAAATACCTATCTGCTCTCAAGTTACAAATGCGGTGTGCTTCCCTAGCTCAAGGTTGTGGGTAAATTAATTCTTAAATGAAAGTGAGAGGCAGGGAGCTTTGCAAAGAGAAGAAGCATGTTAGGTGTAGGAAGAGGAAATTAAATGGATTGGACTCTCCTCTATCTTTTCAGTGTTTTGGCCCTCCACCCATTAAAAGCTTTCAAGCTTTATTGGATGATAGTTTCTAATTCCCCTTCTAGCCAAGGCTCCAAGGTATGATTTCAGGATGGAGAGTAAATTCTTTGTGTTTCCCATCTCTCAGAAAAATTGCTTATCAGCTAAAGTTTTCGAAGAGTCAGTTTATGGGAAGCTATTTTGGTTGTCTAGCTACTTATGTTATCATTATTCAGTCTAAAGTCTTGCCTATTGCTGAAAACTTTATGCAAAACAAGATATTGTGGTTATTTATTTCTTAGCCATTGCTTTGTTGTTTACACACCCACATAATTACCTTGAACACCACAGGAAAAAAATTGCAAAATAATATTTCCTAAACACACTTTGGGTTTACAAAGTGATTATAAATGGCTTTTAAAGAAAGTAATTCTTGTTCATTTCATTGTATTCAAGCTTCTCTACTTAATTGTGCTGTGTGTGTTGGAGGATTGTGGTGGTAAGTTGAGATATGTAGACAAAACAGATTTTGTCATTTTTTTCAGTAGACAAAATTATAATAGTGTGGAGATACTGTCATTTTAAAATTAATCTGAAAAACATTTATTGAGTACTTTCAATATGTCATCAGACAACTTCACCTGTCTTTGCGTATGAAGTTTTTGTTTGTGTTTTGCTTCGATTAGTTTTGTAAAAGGAGACAGCAACCCAAGGACTTTATAGCTATAAAAAGGCAAGGGTGGTTACTACAAGCTAAATATGAGAAAAAAACAGTTTTGATTCATTCCTTGAATGCCTCCATCACAGAGCAGTTTTTAGCAATGGAAGTAAGATTGTGAAAGGAAAAGAACAGGGCCCTTTACAGAGCTCCAGGAATCCTTTTGTGGTACTTTCAGCAAGTATTGGTGGTAGAAAATTAATAGATATAATAAACACTGTGAGGTTGGCTGGCATTTTATCTATCCCTTGAACAGGTTTAGGAAATATAATTGACTTGTGTCCACAAATCTGAAATACAATTTTTTTGTGTGTAATAGTAATTTTCCCTGCAGCTTTGGCATTCTTTTTTCCATTAAACGTCTCAGTTTTCAGTGAGGGGAATACATCCTTGGTCCTACTTTGTCATTTTGGGATGATTTATTTTAAAATTACAGTAAGGGACTTTGTTCGGAATTCCACTAGGCTAATTTCAAACCCAGTTTGCTGACTCCAACTCGCCATAATGTTCCCCACCTCCAGCACACCGAACAGGAAGTGGCATACTCAGATGCCAGGAACAAGGCGATTGCTCAGATGGAATAACACTTGGCAGTTTGGAAAAATTTGTTGATGTAAGCTGAAATTGTAGGTTAGATACTGACTTGTGGGATACATTTCTGCCAATTATGGTCCATTGTACAGTCAAAAATGGGAAAAATTACTTACTGCAGCTGGCTTTTTGGCATTGAAATCACTGATGGAATAATCAGAGGGAAATCTTCTAAGTTATCATAAAAGATGGATTGTGACACAGGATGTCAGTTTCCAGGGTTATCCGTTTTACCTGCCTCACATGACTGGAAAGCTTTTTGTTTAAGGAAAGAATCAAAGAGCCAGAGAACTGTTGAGCACTCCTTGACACTGACTTGCCCAATGATAACTGATTCCTACAACTAGCCTTCCTGTCCTGCTACTTCAGGGGCCTATGTTTTTAAGAGCTGCAGCCTTGGGAAGATTTTTTTTCCGTGCCTCTCCTGTGTCCAAAGCTCCTGAAGCATCTGTAACTTCCTATTCCAGGAGTGTACACATTCTGTAACTAGAAGCCTACAGCTGTAATGCTGAACACCAAAATAACTACAGTTGATCACTGGAAACATGCCTAAGGCTGAACATAATTTTTCATTTTCATTCATGGATTTGTACATATTCTAAAAAAAAGTTCACTCTGAAAATAATATTTGCATAAAAGGAAATAAGAGAAAACATACTACCCACCCATGTAGAGCAAATGAGCTACATCTCTTTATTGATGAATTTTAAGTCATTTGGGTTTTTCCATACTTATTTCTCATTGAATGCTCCTTTTCCAGAAGACCTCACAGTTGTCTGACTGTGTCCTCCATCACAGTCCTCCCAGTATTCAGGACAGATCTTAGGATTCCTCTCTTGAGGGTCACGTATCCCTGCTTTGTAATTCACCTCCTCTGTCCTCTATTTCAGGATGCTCGGCTCTAAATACACTGCTTGCCTCAACCTTCCCTTTGGATTGTAAGTTCCTTAAAGGAACTTAGGCAGCCGATGTTTCAGCCTCCCCAGAATCTGCCTCCTCTTTTTCTGGAAATAGTACCTTAATTACTCAAGAGAACCTCCTCTCCCACTTTGCATACAGGCCAAGTGGCATCCCAATTAAGATTTTCTTCTCGTTTCTGCCTGGAGGTGATCACATGATTCAGTTGAGGCTATCCAGATTATCTCTGCCCTGAGAATTTGAGCTTTGAGTAGAATCCCTGTAAGAATGGAAAAGAGAGAGATCTGATTCCTCTTAGGAGAGTTTTCTGAAGAGAAGGCAGGATATCCTGCTGCTTGCCTTGACTTGCCTACTTCCCTTCCTTTATAAGCCCCGGTTGAGTAGCTTCACTTTAGAGTATGCGAGTTGACGCATATCTTGCCAATACATCTTTTAATTTTGTCCCAGTTGGCCCAAATTGGTTGGTTTTTGTTGACAAAGTATCCTAATACAGCCTCCATCTTCCAGTTCCTATTTATGTGTCATGATGATCTGAAGCATTTCAAAAGAATAGTGAAGGTTATTGCATAAGATTCAGAAAGTTCCAGTATTCAATGGGATCATAGATATGAATTAAACCAAAAAATATTCTTTATTATACAACTTTATTTCTTCCCAGAGTTTTAGAAATGTGTGAGTTTAAAATGGAGAGTTCGAGCAGGAAATAACTGGAAATTCATGACCATTATCTTTAAAAATGATTTTTTAAAAATTTTAGAATAGTTTTAAATTTACTGAATTTTTGTAAAATAGTACAGAGTTTCCATATAGCCCACACCCAGTTCTCCCACTATTAACATTTTACATCAGTATGGTAGATTTGTCACAATTAATGAACAAATATTGAATATTTTTAACTGAAGTCCATAGCTTATTTAGATTCCTCTGTTTTTCCTTAATATCCTTTTCCTGTTCCAGGATCTTATACAGGGTACCACACTACATTTGAAGTCACATCCTTTAGGCTCCTTTTGGTGTGATAGTTTCTTAGAATTTTCTTGTTTTTGATGGCCTTTACAGTTTGGAAGAGCATGGTCAGATATTTTGTACCATGCTTCCGATTGAGATTTGTCATATGTTTTTCAAAAGTTTAGACTGGGGTAATGTGTTTTAGGGAGGAAGACCACAGAGGTAAATTGCCATTCTCATCATCACATCAAGGGTGCAAACTATCAAAATGCTTATTGCTGTTGATGGTAACTTTGATCACCTGGCTGAGGTAGTGTTCATCAGGGTTCTCTTTCTTTTTTTTCCTCCTTTTACACATTGCACTCTTTGGAAGGAAATCACTACACTGTGTGTAGCCCACACTAAAGAGTTGTAAGGTGAGAGACAGACAGGTACAAAGAAAGAGGCAGTTATTAATTCCAGGATTTAAAAAAACAAGATGGCATTATACTCCACCTCTTTAAGGGTGTAGTTTGTATATATATATTATCCATAATTCTTCCACACAGGAGATTTATCTATTTTCCTTTTTTATTTTATAGCTTATTTATATTAATGTAGATACATGAATACTTATTCTATAAGTACTGGTTATAATCTAGTACTAGTTTATTTATTATGTTGCTCAAATTGTTACAGCCTTGGCCATGGCCATTGGGAACTCTTTCAGTGGCTCTTGTGTCCCTTTGGCATACTCCCATTGTTGTGGGGTTTTTTGGTTTTTGGTCTTTTTTAGCCCTTCCTTACTTTCTGGCAACACAAAATGCTCTTGGCTTATCTCTCATACTTCCTGCTCCAGTCCTAGAATCAGCCATTTCTCCAAGGAACCCTGGTTCTTTTTAGTGGAGAATGGCATTAAAAATATGTATCTGGTGTTAGTTATGCTCATTACACCTAGAGTGTCATTGCTTCTAGGTCTTCTCAGCTGAAAGAACAAGAAGATGTATGTGTGTATACTAACCCATCTGTATACACATATCTATAAGTATTTCTCTGTGTAATCATTTGTATCTATTAAGATAAACATGAACACATACTGATATCTCCAACTCTAATCTTTCACCACATTCTAACTTTGTCCTCTTGCTTTTCTGTAAGATCCCAATAGTGAAAATCTGGTTCCCTTCACCCACCATTCATTGTCCAGTTCCAGCATAGATGTATTGTTTCAGAATTGTTAACTCATACTCCTGTGGAGAACAGCTGTATCAACTAGAGTACAGTGCTTATAGTGCAGTTACTGTTACCTTTAGCCGTATAGAGTGTACTCTTAGTGTACCTTATTCCAACCCCCTGCAGTGACGTTGTTTCATACTGTTCTCTTTAAAATTATGTTTTAAATTTATCCAGGGGATAATGCATAGCTAAAGATGACAATTCGTGCTGATAGGCTTATAATAAAAACTAGCAGCCCCTTTCTCTCACTCCTTGTGCACCTTTACCTGTTCCCCAAGAACAACACTTTCAACTCTTTTAGCTGTTCACATCAATTTGTCTAAAATCTAAATAATGTACTTTACAGCTTGAGATATCAATTTTAAACATTATACATTGATTTCCTATTATTGTAGGTAAGGATTTAGCTTTATTGTACCTCCTTTCCCTGACCTATTTCTTTACAACATAGTTATTTCACATTTTTTATTAAATCAACATTTAGTGTTTACATTGCTTTCCTGTTTGTTTTTTTAAATCCTGGGACCAATAATTGACTCTTTCTTTGTACCCATTTCTCACCCTATAAGACTTTTCCCACATGATCAAACTTACCAGACAGTATCCAGTTTCTTCTTACTCCTAGTTCTTACTTCCCAGGACCCTCTGTTTACTCAGGCTGCTTCATTGAGTGTATTTATGCATAGCTAGGAATAGGGCTGCTGGTGTCTGGGAACTGAATGGGGAAGGAGACTAGGTGGGTGGGGGGTTCTCATTGTCTTCTATGTAGGCTTTCATTTCACCTCCTTGTTCTTAGATTGATGTCTCACCTCACCTCACCTTCCACTGTGCCCAGGTCACTAAGTCACAAGCCTTTCTGAGTCACTTACAGTGAGACTGATACTACTATCTCCTGGCATTGGAAGGATGTGGGTTTCAGTTGCCTCATTGGGCATGAAGGGCTTAGGGACCTAAGGGTGTATATGCTTTTCATACTGCTTTCTAAAAAACTTTCTGCTTTCAACCCTATGACTTACCCTGCTTTAGTGGTATGTGGTACCTCTAATTCCTGCACCTTCCTAAGGTTCTTCGCAGTAATGCATTTGTTTCTCTCAGGTATACCCTAAGATTGCCCCATGGGTACATAAGTTACTCTAGCTTTACTGTGCTGAGTCAGTAAGAATTCCTGTATCTGCTTGACATCTTCATTTTGTGTGGTTCAGTGTTACAGATGTCTTTCGCCTTTTTTTTTGTGCTGTTGGTTGTTGTGAGAGGTGATTGTGGAAAGAAAAGGGTGTGCCAAGTTAAACCTGAAGTCCCATACCTGGTCTACATTTTGTATGACCACACTAAACTCAGCTCATGCGACCTCTTTGGAGAAGGTACTCCTGAATCTTCCAAAGTAAGTTTCTTTGTCTTTGGCTTCCACGTCATTCTGTCTGTGGCACATGCCATACTCTTGTCATTTTCCCCACTAGACAATAAACACATCTAGGGCAGGAATCATATCTAACTAACTAACGTATGTGTACTGTGAACTCTGTGCTGCTGACTCTACTAGATATCCTCAATGTGTACTTACTTAAATCTAAGAATTTGCTACATTAATTGTAAACTAAAACCTCTGAGATATATTATGTTGCTCAGGTACCATCTGAGAAGTTATGTGTCAATGTTGGGCTGAAACTAGAATTTCACGTTTTAAAGCCTTAAACTGGTTTTATGTCCCACAACTATGCGGCCCCTGGAAGGTATTCTTGTGTGACCTAGAAAAGATTGGAAGAAATTGAGGATACTTCAATTAGGGAGGTTCCCCAAATAACTTGATTTTTCTAATTAGATAGAGATATCTTTCATATTTAAAATTTTATTTCTGTGCAGATTTGCTGTGACTTTGGTGTGGCCTAATCTTTAGCAGTAATCACTTTATCAGTGAAATTTAACTTAGAAGTCCAGTTAGGGTTAAGATAAAAAGGCCACATGAGGTAACAAATGAGAATATGTACTCTGGAGTTATACAGATCTGAGTTTGAACTTTAGCTCCTTCACTTACCAAATAAATAAGTCATCAACTTCTTTCAGCCTCAATTCATCTATGTTAAAATTGGGATAATAGCAATACAAACATTATTGGTCTGTATGAAGATTAAACAATATAAAATATGTAAAACAGCATAATGCCTGGTATGTGGTAAGCTTTCAATAAGTGTTACCTTCATTTGTTATATATATCATGACAGTTAATACAATGCTGAGCGAATATTTGATGATTGTCTGAAATAACTTGAAAAAGTTTAGTGAAAAAATTGGGGGATGGAGGGGTTGGGAACTGGGCACAGACAATTCAGCCATCTAAGGAAGCAGTGGCACTTTCTTCACTGAGCCCTATTAAATTGAAAGATTGTGTTCTAGCACCAGGGAAGAGTAGCTATATGAATCATTTCTTATGATCTAAAGTCCATTAGCTACTCCATTTAGCTGTTAATGTTGCGAGGCCATTGGCGGAAATAAATATGTTATTTGGTAATGGACTTGTTTTCTTAACAATTATAATATATTCTTTCCAAATGCTGTAATTTAATTCTGCCATTGTGCTAATTAGTCAGCCGATCAGCCTTCAGCATTGTTTCAATATCCCACCCACCACATTTTTATATTAAAGCTCATTTAATTGGTGTTGTGGGTTGAATTCTGTTCCTCCCCAAATTCACACATACCCTAACCCCTAGTACCTCAGAAGGTGATCGTATTTAGAGATATTTCATCTTGAAAAGATTAAAATTAGGCCATTAAGCTATTAGGGTGGGGTCTGCTTCAATGTGACTTATCAGAAGAAGAAATTTGGACACACAAAGGGACACTAGGGGCATGCAGAGGGGGACCACCTTGTGAAGAGACAGAGAACAGGCGGCCATCTGCAAGCCACAGAAAGAGACCTCAGAAGAAATCAGCCCTGCCAACAGTTTGATCTTCAACTTGAAGCCTCCAAACTGTGAGAAATACATTTCTGTTGTTTAAGCCACCCTGTCTGTGGGATTTTGTTACAGCAGCTAAGCAAACTAATGTGGTTGGCATTGAGGAGCAAAATTTAGACTGGAATTTCTGATTTATTTTATTCTGTATAGCTTATAAAGCACTTATCACACACGCCATTTGAACTTCACCCAATCCTATAAAGTAAGTGTTATTATTAACTCCCGTTTTACAGATGAAGCCATTGAGGCTCTGAGAGTCTACACAAACACATAGCTGCTCAGGGGGCAGGTGGAAATTGAACCTGGGCTATTTGATTTCAATCCCCCTTTCTTTTTATGTTTCTCATTTCTCTCCCCCTTTACTGTGAATGTAGAGCATGCACCTGTTCTTTTCTATTGCAGTTCATTCATTTGTGCAACTGACAGGTTACCACTGGTGACTGTGGATTGCTGCCTAATGCTGGGCTGAAGAAAACAACAAATTTGCCAATCTCAAAAGAGAGCATTTTTATTTATTGCTCAGCTTCCAGAACCTAATGCCTTTCAATTTTCTGTCATTGTTCCACTGAAAGTGAAGAATGTAATGTTGATATACCTCTTGTTTTTTCTGCTTTTATGCCACTCCATGTGGTTAGACCACCTTTTAGGTGTTCATTCATTCCACAAATATATACTGAGCACCTGTTTTGAGCCCCGAGTTTGGATGTCATGTTTTTGAGGCAGGAGTTAATGTGCTCAGCATGAAGAGCTGGGTCTGCACAGAAAACTGCTGCTTCTTGAGCCAGGGAGGTCTTCCCATGATACTATATTGCAGCTTCTTTGCTGTAATGAAAATACAGTACACCTTTCCCCAACTCCCAAATTAAGCTTTCAGTGTTCTTCATTCTCTGAAAAACTTTTATAGAAATTCTAAGAAGTGTGCCTCAAAATAATATAGTAAGCAACCTGATATTACTGGTTTTATATAATCTTAGTGCACTATCTTATTCATAATTAAAGTTACAACGGTGACTATGTGGAAGTATCTTGGAGGAGAAAGTGAATAGATGAGGTGGGGGGACATTTGAGTAATAACTTTGATTTTGGATGTCTTCTCTACTATTTTTAGATTATAATTTAAATAAGTTCATGTGTATTATATTATTTCACCAAAAATTTTACTTTAAGATATGGAGAATGCTCCATTTTTCCCCGTAAGAGTAGCAATAATTTTTAAAATTGTCTTTTAAAATTAGATTAAATTACTTAATTCCAGAGACCTGTGTTGTTCTTGTGTGACAACACAGAGTATGCAACTTTAAGTTACTGGCCGTCTAATTAAAAAGATGTTTCCAAAGTATGACCAGCATTGGAATTTGTTCAGACCCATATTTATAAACAGTAACTATGACAACTCATTCCTCCCAACCATGCTCAACCCCTCATACTTTCCCAACTGTCTGTTTTACAAGATGACATAAGTAGAGGGTTTGGAAAAAAGAAAAAAAAATCTTTGGATGATAAACGCTTTTTGCAAACAGAGCCTATAAAGCTGTTTGTTCAGCAGCATGTGAATCGGACAGTGGGAGTTCATCAGACAGCAAGGATTAACCCCCTAATTTGTTTCTCTCTTTTGGAAGAGAACAGACTGCTGTGAATTCCGTGTACTCAGCCTGAGCTGCCAAACATGATTGAAAACTATTTGACTGACTGGTGGCCAAAACATGAGGCAGGGACCATTCATCATTTTCCTGCTCTTCACTACCCCATATAATAAGTTTTGTTTTGTTTGAAAGGAGTAAATGTATGTTACAGTTTTCAAACCAATGTCTCCGACAACCTAAAAGCATTTCAATATTGTACCCTTTTCCAATAGAATGGAAAGATGCTACATATCTGTAGCAATTTTAACCAAATTCCTTCTAGTTACCTCCATTTCCAATGCAGAAACTCCTCTCAAGTGAATACATACACAGGTTATAATATACTTGATGAGCCAGTTTCTTTAGGATGAGTACATACATGACTGGTTTTGATTTGACCATTGTGGTGTGCAGTGGGCTTACTGTGTCCATACCAGTGTCAGAATAGTCAGTCCTCTGGTGCTTGATTGGGTGGCATAGCCCATAAGATTAGCTGACTTTTAAAATCAAAGTAATAGGAGGACTATGCAATGGAGACAACTCCTCAACATTGACCCATCCCCTCAGTCCAGTTCCATATGTTCCATTGGGAATTAATTTCCTGCAGGCATAGAGGAGTCGTAAGAGTTGCCTCTGCCAGAGAAGCCCCATCTTTCCTTGAGCCAGGAGTCAGTAGAAGATAGTAGGCTACAAACCATTTGACTATACCTCTATGATCTCTTGCCACTGAATATAGAAAAGGAGTATAAAGAAGCAGTATAAAATATGAAATTGAATTGTCAGTGGCTAGATAGTTAGACATATAGTCTGGGTATTCAAAGGGAGTGCCTTTTAAAAATGTGCTCAACCCCCATTAGCCCATGAAATGCCTCCTTTCCGTTCCTACACTGGCATATCTTTCACCAGAAGCATTTAACCAGATTCTAGAACCTGTCCATTGGGAATAATTTAGTCACCTTCTTCAACTTATTTTTCTCTTTTTCCCCTCTCAAATGTCATTTTTTTTCACATGGCTCCAGTCTCAATTCTCCTCTTATTTTATCCATTGTCCCCAGTAACACACTCTTCTTTGTCCATCTAGTCATACATCAATCCACCTATCTATTCATCCAATCAACTATTATTGAGCCCCAATTACATGCATGTGAAGCATATTCTCAAAGCACCATTTCCCTGGCCAAGCTAGGATGATAATGAGAGATAAGATGCTCTGTTTCAGTTTGGTTATTCAAAGCAGACCCTATAATAAGGAATTGGGAGCAAGTAGTTTATTTGTTAGGTAATTCCAGGAAGCAACAGTGAGGTAAAGAAGGAGAGGAAAGGGGGAAAAAAAACAACAAAATAATAAAGGTGCATTAAGATGTGAGAAACTGCTTATAGGCAACTGGGTTTAGTCCTGCTGGGAATTTTTTGAGAAACTTTGTAGAACGTGCCTCAGAATTGTGCCCCTGAAGGATGAGAAAGCTGAGATGTTTATCCATTTACTTCAGTCCTCACTGGCTAAGAGTTATCTTGGGGGCATTAAATCCCTGGCATTTTCAGGATGCCCTCCCAGTAGGCTTTGCAAGCCTTAGTACTGGAGAGAGCCTTCAGGCAGAAAAGCAGAAGACAAGGGCATGCATAGTTTCTGTTCACCTAGGCTGCAGGTGAACTCAAAAGTGGATGCAGAGGTTTTGGTTGGGGTGGGGGTAGGGGTGATGGTGGTGATTCCATAGCATCTGCTTCAACCTCTGTGTTACCACCCCCAACTGCCTTAAATGGAAGCATATCAGAGTTTTTCATTTTCTGGTAAAGAGTACCAGGGTGGGCATTTACTCTATGTAATGTGCAGAAACACAGCACTGTGTTTAGAATTGGACTTACTCATTTCCTGAGTATATGTATAGCTTCCCTTTCTCTACAACCTCTTTTCAGCAGATTTATGCAGACAAGAAAAATATTGTAACCCAAAGCGCCACTGCAAATTTCCCTGTGCTGACATTAATCATGCCCATTTGATTTATTATCTATCATTTGAAAAGAATATTTTGCAACTCTTGTGCATTGATTTTTTTTTACCAAGAATGATTACATCCATGCAGCATAACTCTTCTAAAGGCTAATGCAGTTTGCTTTTATCACCCATTCACTCCCTAATTATGGTGTTTTCGAAAGCAGACACTATACCTGGAAAGTTGGGAGAGAAATATTTGATTCACCCATCTTTCAGAGAAGAGGAGATGGATTTAAACCAGGCTAGATACTGTAACTGATTATTGAGTATTTGGCTTGGGGGGCTTAATTTACCAGCTACCATTGAATTAATTGAAATATAAACTTCTGTGGATATTAATACTTTCAAGAGTCAAAGTTTAAATGCCATCTACTTTGGATCCGTTCAAAATATTTTCACTAACCCTTTATAATTTAATTGACTTTTTAACTTTTTTGTTCTGTTTTGTTTTAACACAGCGATCTACCCTTTTATGTAACCCCTTCTGCTCCACATATCACTGGGCTGGGGCCAAAAGTAACTGAGTGACTAATATCTGGGAAATATTTATTGAATGAGTGAAAGAAATCCACTTGGGATTTATACCCAAGAACAAATGCTCATTAACTGTAAATTCTCCTTCTTTTGAGGTTCATATATAGATGCTCTATATGTGTTTATCAAACACCTATCAGGTTATGAAAAGAATGCAAGAATGCCTCTCTTTTCTCTCCATTTATCCAAATCTATCATTTAAGGCCCTGGCATAATTTCTCCTTCTTTAATGAAGCTGCTTCAATTTCTTCCAATTCAGTGCTTCATATACTTGGCTGCAGTTGGGGAGCTGTAAAAAATCCTGTTGACTAGGCTACACCCTAGAACCCTAGATGATTTAAACCAGAGCCTTTGGGTGTGGAATTCAGGCCTCTGCTTTTTTTTTTTTTTTGAGACAGAGTCTCACTCCATCCCCCAGGCTGGAGTGCATTGGTGTGATCTTGGCTCACTGCAACCCCGTCTCCTAGGCTCAAGCGATTCTCGTGTCTCAGCCTCCTGAGTAGTTGGGATTATAGGTGCCTGTCACCACACCCAGCTAATATTTGTATTTTTAGTAGAAACAGGGTTTTGCCAGGTTAGCCAGGCTGGTCTCGACCTCCTGACCTCAAGTGATCTGCCCGCCTTGGCCTCCCAAAGTGCTGGGATTACAGGCATGAGCCACCGTGCCTGGCAAGGCCTCTGCACTTTTTTTTTTTTTTGAGACGGAGTCTTGCTCTGTCGCCAGGCTGGAGTGCAGTGGCGCGATCTCAGCTCACTGCAACCTCTGCTTCTTGGGTTCAAGTGATTCCCCTGCTTCAGCCTCCTGAGTAGCTGGGACTACAGGTGTGCACCACAACGCCCAGCTAATTTTTTGTATTTTAGTAGAGATGGGGTTTCAACATGTTAGCCAGGATGGTCTCAATCTCCTGACCTCGTGATCTGCCCGCCTTGGCCTCCCAAAGTGCTGATATTACAGGCATGAGCCACCGCGCCCGGCTGGCATCTGCATTTTTAAAAGCTCAAGTTATTACAATGTGCAGCCAAGGTTGAGAACACCACTGTACCTGGATGTGATTGCTCTCTTCTCTGAAAACCTAGGAAACCTCGATATTAAAAGCCACCTCTTAAGGACAGTTGTAATTGGCCTAGTATTCTGGCTTAAGTTACTCTGAAGATCAACTAGCCTAACCACCCTTCCAATTCCAAGATACCTCTGACAGCCTTCTGGTTGTCCAGTTCAAATCCTTAATACTGACATGGAACTTATTCCCAGTGCAGCCTTGCCCATCTTTGGGCAGCTCTGACCAGTCCAGATATAAGTCTGTCTCTTTGTAGCTTCAAGCTATTCTTCCTGTCTCTATCACTTTGGGGTGGGGCTGGGAGTGAGGGAATCTTTCTAACAAGTGTTTTAAATGTCTGAATAATCTATTTATTCAATAAACGTTTATGGAATGCCTCCTATGTATTGGACACTGGGCTACCTCATTGAAAAGCGATGTACAAATTCCTAGGAGGATTTGCAAGCCAGTCCTCCTTTCTTCTTTTTCTTCTTCTTCCTCTTCCTCTTCCTCTTCCTCTTCCTCTTCCTCTTCTTCTTCTTCTTCTTCTTCTTCTTCTTCTTCTTCTTCTTCTTCTCCTCCTTCTCCTTCTTCTTCTTCTCCTTCTCCTTCTCCCTATTCTTCTTCTTCTTCTTCTCTTTTTATTGTACTTTAAGTTCTGGGGTACATGTGCAGAACGTCCAGGTTTATTACATAGGTATACACGTGCCATGGTGGTTTGCTGCACCCATCAACCTGTCATCTACATTAGGTATTTCTCCTAATGCTATCCCTCCTCTAGCCCCCAAGCCCCGGAGAGGCCCCAGTGTGTGATGTTCCCCTCCCTGTGTCCATGTGTTCTCATTGTTCAACTCCCACTCATGAGTGAGAACTTGCATTCTGTTTGTTGTTATTTTGTTATTAAGCTGCCACATTTCTGACATAAAAGAATATCTTTGGCTGCAATAGTGAAAGAGAAAATGGGCGTAAGCTGCAACATGAGAAATTTAGGTAGCAGAGCGATGACTATTAAACTTTGAGAAGTTTTCTGTTTAACGTTGTGAAATCTTTCCTTGAAGCTTTAAATATGACATACTTTCATGTGATTCTATTTATATACTGCCTTGAGGGCAGAGGGCAATGCCCTGTGTTCCTTCTGAGGGTTCCTTCTGAGTGACTCTAAGTCTCTAGATGAGGTAGCCCTGAGGAAGCAAGAATGAATGATTAAGATACTTCCTGATGATGTTTTTAGGGGAAAGATAAACAAGGTTGCTTCCCCTGCTGGCTGGTGTTCCCCATCGTGCATGCATCCAGATGAGGTCTCCAAGGAAAATCTTGGTCCAGCAATGCTTGACTGTGCCAGTTCCCTGATGCTGATGGCTTTGCTGGGAAACAAAGCACATTAAGGGTGGATCTAGGTCACTCTGGACTTCATACCTTTCCAAGGCAAGGAAAGGCCAAGCCCCAGGGGCTCCATTCACATTATTGTGCTCCTGAGGGGTTGCGCTCCTAGACTTCATCAGTGTCACTGGAAATGATACCTCCCACAGTCATTTAATGAGGTAGTCCTGGGCATATAGCACAGTGGAGATAGGCACCTTGTCAAACAACTGGTGCTGCAGAAGTGCTGAAAACCCTATGCTGTCTCATTGGAGGGAAGGTAAGGGGTCTCAGAGACTCTCTCCTAGGAATTAGAACATGGTTCCACTTACTCCAACCTAGAAACACATCAGAGAGGAATTTTATACTCCAGGAACCAAGCTAACTAAGATGTTTCCACCACCTTTTTTTGCCTGCTTAGATTTCAGATCCTTCTTTCTTTCTAATACACCAAGCCCTGAGATGACATGGGTTCCTTCTAATCTCAGAGTGTGAAATTTTCTCTCTGGAATTTAATTCTGGTTTATTCCTCCACCTTGCCCTGCTTTATCCTGTGGCATATGTGATGCCACAATGCAGTTGTGACTTCCCTGGATGCATCAGCGTTAAAGCAGACACAAGCACTGAAAATATGCAGGGCCAGACCAGCAGGTCCCGTACAGCTGAAGTTCATCATGGTGTTTTACAACCAACCAATTACTCAATTCATTTTATGGGTTGACTGTGCCCATCTTTTACTCTCATGAAGCATTTTCTATCGTAAGACAGAAAGCGAGGGAAAAGTGCTCTTTCAGTTCCAAACCCTGGGGCATTTATGCACTAATAACCTTCCTCCTTTGTGCTTTTCCAAAGAATGTAAACCAAAGCAATTAAATTAAATGGAGTTAACATTGGCATGGTAGCATAAATCAAACGTCAGGAAATTCATTATTAAGGGGTTATCGTTCCTTTCTTATGAGCTATCTAGTATCTGCCTTCTCTGAGGTAAAAATAAGCCAAAAATTTGGTCCTGATATAAATGAGGGGACTGCATGAGAGAGAGACAGACAGGGAGAGAGAGACCTTGTGTTTAGCAGCAGATAGGCAGACTTGTGATTTGTGGGCGAAACATGTTTATCAGATGCTTGTCTCTTTGCCTCTTAATCAGGTTCTTCTTCCCATGGCATGCTAAGCAGGCAAACACAGTTAAGCAGTTTACCTCTGTACTCAACAGTTCCAGAACTGAAAGTAAACAGCCTTGTGTGTTTAGGCTGCAGCCACCGGGCTGTGCTCTGTAGAGCTGCCAGATTTCTCCACATCACTGATTCTCCCAGTGAAAAGCAAAGGCTTCCTCTTCATTGTGTTCACAGACTGAAAGTTGCTTGCAGGATTGGCTTCCGAAGTTCAGACCCTGATGAAGGAAAATGATACTCCGAGTCTGAGGGTGGCAAATCAGAAGAAATAATTTGTTTGGATTCGGGTCTGATTTTAATTTCAGGAGTCTGGGGCCTGAAAGCTTTCTGCTGAGTCTGAACACAAACCCCAAACTTCTCAACTCAGGTTGCTTTTAAGGAATTGTAAACTATTTAAAACCTATATATTTAAAAAATTATAATTTATTCCCAATGAGAGGATCCTCTCCCCAGCCAACGTCTATTTTGCACATGACTTTCTAATGAACTGTTAACAAGCATTTATATTAAGAGCTTGCTCGGGCTTTTGAATGATGGAAGATAATTCTGATTTACATGAGTGATAGTTTAAAATTCCAGGTGCTTTATTTCTGTTTATTGGGGTGGGACAGGGGAAGGACTAAAACTGCCTACAAAGACCCTTTCAAAGGCAAAGGAATAGAATGTATAACATTCCATTTTGTCAGCATGAGGAAGGTCTTATTTAAGACTCTCTGAACAGATGTGACCAATTGTATTGGTGAGGAGGAATGTTGGAAGATAAGATGTTCTGCTCTGTTTGAATGTGTATTTTTAGCAGTGTCCTATTGTAAAGAAGTTATGCCCATTATCTTTTGACTTGCTTTATCAGATTAAACAAAGATGCTCATCTTTCTAGGCTTTCTAATATGCTCCCTCAATGCAAGTCTCTCAGCTCCAATGCTGTGTGTTAGAGTGTGATACCCCCTCCTGTTACTCCTATTTGGCTGAATTTCAGAAATCCATTTAGATACTCTCACGGTTTTGTTCAGCATTGCTCAAAACATGGCTTCTCACCAATTCTGACTGTCTCTCTGAAACATGATTAATTTTTTCTATGTCTATCTTTACACTGTAGAGTTTAGGTTGAAAATATACTTTTACTGTAGTCTCTTATTTTCAGGAATGTGTACGTAAGCACCCAAATGAATTCTACTCTGAGATACAATTACCCATGTATGCTTCCAACTGAAAGCATCCACTGAAAAAATATAGATAGAGAATTCAGTAGCTCTGACTGTTAGAGCATCTCAGTAGGCAAAAGTTTCCTTACAGTAATTGCTATGCTTTGGAAACAGCATTTTCTGTGTACTAAGAACTCAAGGGAGAGCTGTGTTCAGGTCAAAGCTTGGGTGAGGTATAATAAGAAAGAACCCCAGCTGGAGCAGTGAAAAAACCAAGAGGCGAGAATTTTGTCCTCTCTGAACTTCTCGGTTAGAAGATTAAGAGGGAGATATAGGTTCCCTGAGACATATTCAGAAACTATAGGGGTTTCTATGGCAACAGAAATGAAAAATGAAAATACAGTCTCATCTTCTCTTGTTAAGATCCCTCAGTTTCACATGAGCCCAAGATCAAGGAGTCAAATACAGAGAAAGTCACAGAGCAAAGAGGGAGCCATGTTTCTTTTCGTCCAGCAGATGGCTAGCAACAAGAACTGCTTAGAAGACCTTCACTTGTTGAGGAATTGAGAGAACTGTTGAATTTCCTTTTTTCCAGGTGATTTTTGGGAAAGATTGAAAAGTTAATCCAAAGAGTTGGTTGAGATAGAGCATTTATCTCACTTGGTAGCTCCCCCAGTGGAATTGAAGTCCACAGAATTGCTGTCTCAGAAGTTTCATTCTTTGGTTAGCTGTTTCCAAAGTGTAAGTGAGTCCTTCACAAACATGATTACCAAAAGTAATAAATAAATACATATCTGGCAGTGAGGATGATTTTTTTTGGAGATTTTTAGTTTTAAACCACGTATTTTACTGGAAGTATAATGCACCCATTTCCCAGTGGTTACATGGAAAGACTTCGTTCCTCTTCTGGTTCTCCCAGCAATGACTTTTCAGTCACTGAAGAATTCAGAGGACAATGACAACTCCCTTCACAGGATCATACAGACACCTGTCATTTGAATGCCTGGGAAAAGGATAGGAATGGAGATGTATCTGGTTGGACTCCAAGATAAGGAAAAACTTTTGATGGGCAATTGGAATGTCAGCAGATTTATATCTCCTTGAACTTGGGTCTGTCAACACTGCCATGAGAAGGAAGATGTTTTTCCCACAGAGAGACATTTATGGGGCAAAGACAGACATCAGTGTGCTAAATCTTATAAAATTCCTTTGCATCATCCACCTTGACAGATGGTCTTCAGGAATGTGCTGAACCTCCAAAACAGAGGGTTGGGAGGAAACTCAAGAGTGTTCTTCCCCTGTCTTCTGTCAATGACTACGACACACTGAAGGCCACATTGACCTTCCATCAAACATACATGCAGGCTTCAAGCCACCCTTCCTTCTTCCCCGTAAGGGACAGGTTGAAGCAAAGATCATGCTATTAGGTATTAGGTAACAAGCCTCCACTTACAGAGTATCCTAGGGATGAAAACCTTTTTGCCTTATAGCCATGCTAGCTTCAAACATGAGATAGGTAAAATCGTTTTGTTTTCAACTTTCTTTCCATTTACTTCCCTTTAACTTTTCTATTATGCCACAAAGGACAAGTATGTGTTTTCCTTATAAAAAGAAGTTTTGGCAAAAAATGAAGTTTTGGTCCTATAGTTCATAGTGGCCCCAGAAAAAATTGCCTTACTATTTCCACAACACCATTGCTTGTTTTTTGTTTTTGTTTTTTTATATAGTCCCACACTTTCTTTTGCTCCTGTTTCATTTACTAACTTGGAATGCTCACGCTCCTGGGCCTGATACACTCCTAGGATCACCTAGGCTGGGTGAAGCTTGGCCTTCAGAGGAGTAGACAGAGCAGGAAGGATGACCACTATGGTCTTAGCTTCCTTTAGTATGACTTCCCTTTCTTCAGCTGGAGTCCCTTCCCTAAACACCTGCAGCCATCCTGTGGCTTTGCATAGTGGAGCCCAGGGACTAACACGACAGTGGTCTGAGTGTCTCAGACTTCGAGACTATTGCTTTCTCCTCTGTTCCAATCTCCAAAAAGAGTTCTATGAGAATAATTGCCCAAAGAGAAGGTACTTCATTTGGTAGGGCTGGGAAAAGAGGCATCAGATAGCATCTTGATATGGTGAAAGATTTGAACAGACAAAGATCTATCTGGTGCTAGTTTAGTTGCCTTGAATCATCATTACAGATCCCTCTGGACTATTTCCCTTTAGCCAATCAGCAACTTCCCCAGGGAGAAACTTGAGATCTTTTATTCTAGATTTCTGGATCCCTAACTTGTTCCAATGTTCCTTTCTTTTTAAAATTATTTTTAGTTTTCAATTTAAAATTTTTTCAAACATATTTTTTAAAAATGCAGAAAATCAGAGAAAGGGCAGCATGTATATATTCACTACCCAGATTGAACGGTTGTTAACACTTTGCTATGTTTTCATCAGATAACTTGGGAAGAAAGGAAGGAAGGAAGGAAGGAAGGAAATAGTGCAAATATAGTTGAAGTTTTACTCAGTATTTCCTGCTCTCTTCCCTTTCTTCCCTATATAATTTACTTAAAAGTTTGTATATATTATTCCTATGTGCATTTTGATTATTTTTATTACATATACATGTTCTCATAAACCACATAGTTATTGATTTTTAATATTATAACTTTAAACAAGCAGCATCATAAAGTATGTATCCTTTTTCAACTTGATTTTTATTCAACATTATTATTACATTTTTAAAGACTCATCCACATTGATATATCTAGCTCTAGTTCATCCATTTTAATTATACGAACTAGAGTTCGTTAAATGGTATAGTTGCTCTAAATGCCACTTTACTATACAAAGCTGATTATGTTTCTTGCCTACTCATAACAACCCAGCCCCAAACTGCCTTTCCAGTCATCGTGAATTACATGTTCTTGGACCCTTTCCCCTTGGTCCTCCTGTCTTTCAAAAGATGTGCTACATTATGTGATGAATTAATTGTCTGTGCTTTGACCCCAGTGAGTACAAACAGCTTTGTGAGCAGCCTCTTTCAGGTAAGAGAGTTCATTTGAGATATGAGATTTTGTTTGTTCACCATTATCTTTCCAGCATCTAGGAGAGTGCTTGATTCTTAATAGGTGTGCAATAGATATTTGTTGGACAAATGTCTGCATGAGTGAGTAGACGGCTGTGGAATTGGGTTTAATGCTGTGATTCCAATGCATATAATAAGGAATTAAGTTCTTTCCTAAAATACTCACATCACACTCTAGCAACCATTGGCTTCTTGCTAGTTGATTTATTCTCTAAGAATTGCCACAATAGATTAAAGAGATGATGTTTGTCAACTCTTTCAGATGGTAGAATCCTTGCTTGCCTCAGAGAGGACCACTGAATGTTTGCAAAGAACTACCACAAGCCCTCACCATGGGGAATTGGTGATTTGAAAGGCCTGGCAGATGTTACACTCTTTTGCCATCTGTCTCTTGGAAGTAGCTTCAATTTGGCTTTCAGTAGGCCCCAGCAAGGTCATGAATATCAGATTTGGTGAGAAAACGCCAAGTGTGTAGCTTCAGTCAAAGGGAGACAGCTTTTCCCTTATGCTGCTCTTCTCAGCAGCCCAGGCCCATTTGTTCTTCCTCTGTGTGGAACTGGATGCTCCCTCCTGTAGTAAATGGTTAGAGGGTCCAGAATGAAATGGAAAGTGGTCCTGTATCATCAGCAGTAGCTTCTTGTGGACTTTGTCACCCTCATTCATTCAACAATTGTTTACTGAACAAGTAATTGACAAGACATTCTAACACCGACAAGTTGTGTTTAATTCAGAGGAGGAGACTGAACGCTGGTGTTTCCAAGGCACTAAATAAATGCTAAAACAGGGAGAGGAAGCACACAGGGCAGAGGAACACTTAGGAGGAGCACCATACTATTCTATGGTGTGGTGGTCAGCAAAAGCTTCCTGGGGGAAGTGACCTTATCTGTAAAATGAAATGGGATTAATACCCATGTTGCAAGATGGAGCCAATGTAAGGTAATGTCTTTAAGTTTCCTGCTGCTTGCTTAGTAATAGCAGTGATGACCATGTGGTATTGATGGTGATGACAGTGATAGAGAAGAAAAAAAAATGGCTTCACAACCAGATAGTCCGGTTTCAAATCCTAGCTCTTCTTGTCCTTAGCTCTGTGGCCTTGAGCAAATCACTTGGCTTCTCTGTGCCTCATCTATAAAATGCGAATAGTGCTACGTACCGCTACCACAACTGTAATGATTGCAGAAAATGTTCACAAGGAACCTAACAGTGCCTAGCACCTGGAAGGCATTCAGTAAGAGGTGAAAATGCAACAGGAGCTTGAAGAGAAGGTAGCAGTAGGAGCCATCAGTGGATATGGAGGGAAGAGCTCTGCATGTGGAGTCTAGGGACCTAGATTCTCATCTGACTATCACTGAGAAGCTGGGTGCCCTTGGGCATGTCATGTCTGGCATTCTCTGGAGTCTCCCATCAGTGCAGAGAGGCCCATCCATGAATCAGGTAATTTTTAAGTGAGAGAAACACACAACAAGCCTAGGATTAAGGATGGTAGAGAGATTACTGTGTGTTGCTATGGCATGGGAAGACTTTGTGGAGGAGAAAGCCCTCGGGCTGGATGCTGAAGGCCAAGTAGGTGTTAGACTGGGGGAGCTAAGTGAAGAGGGCATTCCAGGCAGGGGCATGATTGAGCAAAAGGGGCCAAGTCACGCATTAAGTATGTCAGCCGCTTCCCTCATCTCCTCACCTCTGGGGCAGCCTTACTCGTGGAGAAGAATGGATAATAGGAAGGTCTTGACTTCAGCTCAGAAGTTTGTTTCTTTGATAGTCAGGACTGGTTCTGGGAAAATTGTCAAGTCATTGAAGTTAGTCTGTGCGACCATTCATCTTAATGTGAGCAACCCACGTTTTTTGCCTGCACATTGCTGCCACCTGGGCTAAACAAGCCCCCCACTCCCACCCCACTTTGCAAGCCTACAAAATATGCCCTGTAGAGCAGCTCCTTTTTGATTCTTATTTCCACCCTCCAAAGCATACCCAGAAGCACAGTATGTCAAAGCTTAGAGGGAGCTCGGAGTTCATTATTTTAAGCCCCCTTATTTTATTATGAAGGGCCATACCCAAAGATAAGCACTTACGGGCAGAAAAGGAACAGAGACAGATCATCACGGTCTCCCAGTTGTGTTCTTTCTTCCACTATGCAGCCTACATTTCTCTCTACCATACATTTTGATTACTTAACCTAGGACATCAATACCTATGTATTAATCAGGACTCTTGGGATTTTAAACGTCAAACACCTAGAGAAACTTGTTTGATAAGCAGGGAAGTTATTGGCTTGTGTAACTGAAGAGTTTTGGTAGGGCTGAATCCAGGTTTCCAGAAGATGTCAGGTGTTTGCCTCTCCTTCACAAGGCTTAACTTTTCTCAGTGTGGCTTCATTCTCAGGCAAGCTGCCTACAAATAGTGTCCAAAAGGCCTTAATGGCAACAGGCTTATATCCTACAAATAGTGTCCAAAAGGCCTTAATGGCAACAGGCGTATATCCTACCATCTTGGCATCCCAAGAAACATAGAGAAATGTCTCTGGCATAGGTCCTAGATAGGGTTTTCATTAATTTGGCTTGAGACATGTGCCTACTTTCATTGTGATGGGGTTATAGAACTGTGATAGTCTTAAACTAGGTCAGGTACCCACCACTGAAACCAAGACTCAAGGTCAGTCTCACCCAAACCATGGATGACTGTGGGGAAGAGGAGGTTCCCAAGAGGTTACCAGGTTTCTGTTTCCAAAAGAGAGGGAAATAGATGTTAAGCTAGTATGTGTTCACTCACCCACACATCACCCTCACACAACCCACCACAAGCTGATAACAGTTTAAGGTATTGTATTCCTGATAGCATTAGCCTTTTGTGAAGGACTGTACGTGTTTTAGTTGAGTATAACATGGAAATTTGGGGTACCATGGAAAGGCCAGTGAGGGGGTTAGAGAAGGTGGAGATTTTGTATTTCAGGGTTTTTTAGGCTCCCTCAAATTATAGCACAAAATATCTACTTTGTGGCATAGCATAAAATACTTTACTTATAAATTCTGTCCTGATGATAGCCAGGAACTCAGCCTGAGATGAAAAGGTTTCCATTAGTGAACCACATGTAGACAATTGTAAGTTAATGCTAATTCATTATCCTCACACCTGGGCTTTCCAAATTTGTCTACCTCTTTTTTTTTTCTTAACCATGTATTGCTTATCTTTCTCATGAACATAACCAATGTCTTATGAGCCCAAGTCAAGTAGTGAACATCAGATAGGAAATTATAATTTTGTGTATATTCTTTCCCTCATTTTTGTGGCCTTTTTGTGTAGTTCTCTTGTGCCTGGAGAAAACTCAGGGTTTGTGTGTTAAGAATGAAGTGCTTGCATTCCCTCACCCAGATGCAGTGCAGCAATGGGGTACAGTGGGACCACATTGGAAGGAGGTAAGATTGGTGGCAGGTAGTTAAAAGGTAGCATTGTTTACTGTGGGTCTAATGCAGTATTTCTGGACTGAATGGAATGGAAGTTTTGCCTAACATCTTTTAGAAATTGTTTTCAGGTCTGTTTCAATTCCTAATGTTCTTTTATATAATTTCTGACTCATTTGCTTAATGGTTTCATTTGTGTTTAAAAAAGCAACATCAAACCTTCATTATTTACTTTCCGTGATGCTTTAAATACCACAGAATTCAGTAAGGCCATCAAAGAGACAGAGAGGCCAACATTAAACATTAATTTTTATTACTTTGGCAAAGAATTCTTGAGATAATTCAGCACAGAGGAACCAGTACAGGTCTCTGATAGCTGTACCAAGTGCTGATTAACTCAACCTCACAAAATCTCTTGCCTGTCAACAATTAGTGGAAACATACAGAAATATCTAAATATCCCAAAGATATTGGGGAGATATTTGGAAAGTATATGAAAACATTTAGAAACATCAGAAGTTTGAAAAACAAAGTTTTCCACATATATGAATGAGACTGGGGAAGGGAGTATGGTCTGTTTTCTTCTCACAATTTTATCACCCTGGCAGTTATTGGTGGAGAGAAGGTTCTCAGTAAGCATATGACGTATCTATTACTTTATCTTTACCTTGATTTCTCCATTCCCATAGCTTTAAAAGTCATTAGAGGAGATAAAACAGGGTCATTTATTTTGTATTGTCATATGTATGGATTTAGCAGCATGTGATATCTTTCCTTCCTTCCTTCCTTCCTCCCTCTCTCCTCCCTCTCTGGGTATTCCCTCCTTTCCTTCCTCCCTTTTTCTTTCCAGTATTTAATGACTCCTACTCTATGTCATTGTCTCTTATGACTGAGAGATGCATAAGGCTTAGTCTTGCCCTCAAAAAGCTTACAGTTTTTTGAGAGGTTACACACAAGTAAATGGGCAATTTCAATATAGTATAATAAATATTATGATAGAGGAAGTACACAGTGCCTTTGGGTCATTTAAGGAGAGCACTTAAACTCAGGGAATCAGGAAAGCCTTGTCAGGGGAAGTGCCATCTAATCTGAGTTTTGAAGGACAAGTTGAGTTAGCCAGAGCTAGTTTTCTATGGCTGAGTGGGCCAGATGGGAGGAGCCTGGACCTGAATTTAATCTCCCTGCTGGGGTAAGGCAGGTGTCGGTGGCCACCCCCAGCTTCAGGTGCTCAGATAGAGTCCAGTCCAGTAGTCATAGCATGGTAGCCAAAGGATTTTGCCTTGAGTTCATAATCAAGAAACGCCTCCAGGCCCTGGGGAGCAAGAGAGGAGATAGTAGTACTGGAAGTCTGCCAGACCTTAGACCTTAGGAGAGACACTTGTATGAACATGGTCAAGTGAAATTCTAGTGTCTGGAGACCATGACACAGCTCAGCCTGCACAGGGCTTGGGACGTGAGCTTTGTATGCACAGTGCAGTCCAGGATCCAGCCGACAGTCCAGTTGTTGCCTATACCCGCAGTCAATTGCCATGTTTTTTAGGAAGCCTCTGTCGAGCGACTCTAGAGGTGTTTCTCCCTTCCCTCTTATTACTAAACCTTACAGAAGCTAAGCTTGCTTCTAAGATATCTTTTAGGTTTAATATTCACAGGATTACAGTGTCTGCATTCCTTAGACGCTCCTATCATGCTGTGCTAGTCGGGCACTGTGCTAGGCACAGGGAATGTTGAGATAAAAGGAAGTTGGTTTGTTGTTTAAACTACCCAGATTGTGCATTGTTAAAAATTATTATTTTTTTGGAACTCTTAAAATTTTGTTTTGCCCAAAAAATTACATGACACTTTCCTCTTAGAAATAAGTTAGTTATATAATACAGAAATGTAAAGGCCAAAACATTAATATTTTCCTTCTTTAAATTCTAGCTTCTTTCACCAGCGTTAACAACTGATAACCTTCTCTTGTGTATCTTTTTAGTCCATTTTCTATGCTTGCATATCCATATATAATTGTATCAGTTGAGATTCCAGTAGGAAACAGATGGTACATTCAAATTAGAATAATTTAGACCGGGTGTGGTGGCTTATACCTGTAATTCCAGCACTTTGGAAGGCCAAGGTGGAAGAATCGCTTGAGGCTAGGAGTTTGAGGCTGCAATGAACTAGCATGGTGCCATTACACTCCAGTCTAGGTGACAGAGCAGGACCCTGGTCTCTAAACAACAACAGCAACAAAACCAAATTAGGATAATTGAGGTTTAGTTTAATAAAGGGACTATTTATATGATGTAGAGAGGGTATAGGGAAAGCACAGGGGATCATGATTATCAACCCTAAATCTGAAGGGGCACAGAGAGGAAGTGGTCATGGAAACCTGGACACAGAAAGGGTGCTGCAGAAAGGACCCTCTAATGGGCACTGAGACCTGTGATGGAGGGATGCAGCCAGTTCTTAGCAACCACAGGAAAGGGGCTGGGAATAAATGCACTCCTTCCTCTCTGCTTCTAAGCGCCCCCATTGACTGAACCCTATGGGAAGCCAAGGGAACAAGAAAACCTATTGATGTAGTCCATATAGGTCAGCCCCCTTAGCCAGAGAGCTGAGTGGAGAAAGGTGGAGAGTGGATCAGAGGGGCAAACAGAAGGTCTCCAGTACAAATACATACATAGCATATAGTTTTAGGAGCTTTTACTTTCTGTGCTTCCTTGTTACAGAAATGAGATTGTGCTGTAGTACGATTCTGGGACTTTTTGTTAACACAATTTGTCTTGAAGCCTTTTTGCATCAGTATGTATGGATCTAATTTAATTATTTTATTCATTGGCTGCTTAGTATTTCGTCATACAAGGTATCTGAACTTTTTAAAATTATGTATATGTAATAGTTGGTATATACAACAGAATATGTACCACCTATGTGAGTTATGAAGCCTAGCAATAAAACAGTCATCTGTAAATTTATCTCTCAACCTAAGATCACTAATACCATCGACCTTAGTCAATCAAACTACTTGACCTCAGATCATCAGGCAATCAGGCATTAGTTAGAATTACCTAAGGAGCATGCATGTGCAGTTCACAATAGGGTTTGGGTTTCTATGAGAATCTAATGCTGCCACTAATCTAACTGACAGGAGGCAGAGCTCAGGCAGTAATGCTCACTTCCTGTTGTGCGGCCATATTCCTAACAGGCCACAGACTGGTACCAGTATGCTAGCTGGGGGTTGGGGACCCCTGCTATACAGTCTTCCTGTGTCCCCTCACCCCGCCAATGCTAGTCTGAAGTTTTTTGTGTTAATTCTCTTATACTTTTTAAAAATAGTTTTTCCATATTATGAGTATGTTGAAACAATATATTATATAGTTACTTTTTAAAAAGCTTTATAAAATTGCCGTTTTAGTTGTACATAGTCTTTTACAATTTGCTTTTTTAACATAGCATTCATATTGCAGTGTGCAGCTGTGCTTCATTTATTTTCATAGCTTATAACACTCCATTGTGTGAATATGCCGCAATTCACCTCTCCATTCTACTGTTGATGGACTTTTGGGTCATTTCCAGTTTTTGCTGTTTCAAACAGTGCTGCTTATGAACATTTTTGTCCGTGTCTCCTGGCACATACATACAAGAGTTGCTCTAGGGTATATACCTAGGAGTGGAATTTCTGGGTCACGAGGTTTACACATACTTGGCTTTGCTAGGTAATGCCAAATTGTTTTCAATGGGATTATGCCAATTTACATTCCCATTAGAAGTATGTAAGAATTCTGGTTGTTCCTTTTCCTCCTTAGTGCATGGTATTTGCAGAAGGCTTAACTTTTTACCATCAATACTCTTTTCAGGGATACCAAGCAAAAACTTAATGAGAGTCTGACTCTGTTATCATAATAAATATTTTTCTACTTTTCTCTGTAAAAATGATTTTCTCTTTCTTGCCCTATTTTTTTTGCCTCATTGTTCCCTAAGTTTATGTCATCTACTAATAAATTATATTTAAAAATAATTAATACATTAAAACAAATCTGCCAAATGGGCCTTTCAATTCTTTCCAACTCTAAAATAAATGTAATTCTAGTAGAAATCCATATACAAATCATGGTTCATAAAACTGAAGGTTAACATTGCTACCATATGGAGAAGTTAGCTCACATACAAAAAGAGAAAACCATCAGTTCTCCAAATATTTCTTTTTACCAAATTTGACTTTAACAGCAAACTGGATTGTGTGTACTCTTGAAAGGAATAGTGCTCCATCTTGCTCTCCCTCTCTTTCTTCATCCTTCCTTAGTTTTGTTCTTTCTTTCTTTGCTTCTTTTATGTATTCATTCACTGATTCACTAAAACCCAGTGGAGAAGACAAATGAATTATTACTGTGTAGCCTGCAAATGGGATGATGAGGAATGGACAGATGTCTTTTGGAGTGAGAGAAGGAAACTTGACTTCTGTATTTCTTGAGTTCACTTCAGTTCTTAAGATAAAGTAGGTTCTACTGAGTATTTGCTAAATGAATGAACAAATCAATACTCTAAAATGTTTTCAGCTTTTTACTCATTGTAGTGTAGGAAGAGCTACATGGAGTTGAATTTCTATCAACTAGCCCATCTTTTATTACTGGAGTTAGTCTTCTTTGGTAATTTAATACTCAGAGTACCTCATATGATCTCTTTATCGATGCCTTCAGGAGACATTAAACGTTCTATCAATTAATTATACTTAAAAAGAATACCTTTTGGATTCATTCAAGCACTTCATCTTCTTTCCCCAAATCTTGGGAACTGGTGTCAGCTCCTTAAAATGAGCCAGCATGCTTTTTCACCCTCCCATATAAGTAAGAGCTTGTAATCACCCAGTGTTTCTCTGACCTAGAAAAGCTGAGAAATTCACATAAATGAAAACACAGGGGCTTACAAAATTGCTTTCGGCCCTCTCCCTTAGAAGCATATCTGGCACTTGGTAACTGGCTGGATGGAATGTGGGTACTACATGGAGTGCCCTGGTGCTGCTGCTGCTGCTGCTGCTGCTAGGCTTATATAACTTTGAAATCAGAAAGCAGATTCAGTGGGGTAGGGGAGAACTGCTTTTAACAAGCTGCTGGGATTGGCTGAACTTGTGCTGGCCTTGCACTCTTACTATTATAAACTTGATGTCTTTCTCATTTGTAAACTTTATTTGCATGCCAGAGCTCAGCTGAATTTGCCTGGGTTCCTAGTTTCTTTAATCTTTTGTCCTGACTGGCTTGCATGTAAATCAGCTTCAGACTTTCAGCTGCCCATATATTGCCCTAGTTTGCACTCTATAAAGAGTTCTTTCTTTGTAGGCTCCTGTCCAAAGCATGGCAGTATGTCTTAAAACTGTACAATATGGTTACTATTAGTAGTAATGAGTTGTTATTGAGTGTCAGTATGAGGTTGAGTAGATGGAGCAACCAAGGCAGCTTAGAACTGAGGGTTTCCCAGCTAACATGCTGTGGAACCCTGGAAAATTTGCCAAGCTCCTCCAGGTCTCCTATTCCATCCTGCCAGAGGTGATGTTTTTCTTTCCTGCTAGGTATGTCATGAATATAACTGAGAACCATGATTCTAAAACAATTAGAATGAAACTTTGTGATTTTATTTGATGAGATAAGCACTGTTTTCATATCTTTACATACATACTGCGTTGTTAAGTCCTATTGTCATAACCATGAATTAAATGTAGTCATTTTTATATTTTTAAATATAGCAATGCAAGAAAACTGAACTGATAGAGTGATAATAAGGCAGATAAGTGAAAGAGGAAGGTGTTTAGCCATTCAAGCTACTGCTGAAATAGTGAATCTCTTTAATGGTAATATATGAGCTGGAATGTTTATCCTTATCCTTTCCTCTAGAGAAGATTAATTTATTTGGCAATATCTAAATAACTGAGAATGGTATATTCCTCATTCATAACTTAGAGAAACAATTTGGCTACTTTTGTTGGCAGAACCTGAAATAGCATTGCCCTTCCAAAGACTGTTTAACTTGATTTCACAAGTAAACCACAAAATGCAATTATTTGATATTTTACCATATCCCATTCCCTTCTTTCATCCCCATAATGCAGGGGGCTGAGTTTGGATTTGCAAACCTTACTCCTTAGCCTAAGCCCTTACAATTGTTTGTATGTAATGCCAGATGCATGTTAAGGAAGGAATCCTATAGAGGCAGGTTACTTGGAGCGAAGTTTTCAGGGTGGCCAGCTCTGCCCAGTTGCCTTCTTTGGTCCCAGCGAGATTTGTAGTTTTGGTTTCTCTGTTTGAGGCTGGGTTGGGTGCAGGGACCAAGCAAATGAAAAACAGACCCTTGGGGTATAAAAGAGGTGAGACATAGGTCAAACAACCTATGGCTCCTCTAGCTGATACAGAAGATCCATCACCAACAACATAGGTTTATGGCTCAGTCCCATGACCTGGGTGGAATATCCGGAGCAGTTCTGGAAATATACCATCCATTATAATCATCTGAGTGCTTGATTAAAATGTATATTCCTTTAAACACAAACAACAAAAACAAAAACATGTAGATTCCTGGGACCCATGCTCAGATTCTGATTCACTAGATCTGGGGCGGGACCCAGGAGTCTGCACTGATGCAGATGTCACAGACAATTCTGATGCTGGTGCTCTAAGAGCCACACTTGGAAAAATTCAGTTTAGTGCCTCTTTGTCATTCTTCCCTTTGGCTCCTTGCCTTTATTTCAGGAAATAACTATGAATATGACTTTCAATGTCACCTCTAGGAGCTGCAGCCAGACATTCCTATGATGTACTTATAGCTAATCTAGTTGAGCTCCATTTGAGAGGATTCTAGATATATTACTTACTAGAGATCTGGCTTTCTAGAAGGCTCCCACTGGATCCAGGTAATGTCCAGTGGCTTGAACGATAGAAAGCTGGAGTCAGCAGCTGGCCTTCCAGACCCATACAAATCCTCTTTCTTTGGAAAGCCTCTAGCACTTCACTGTAAAATAACAGATAATCCCAGGCCAGAATTTTAATTAGAAAAGCTGAATGACCTGTAAGTAAATTATTAAGAATTTCAATATCAGCTAAGATCAATGGAACAGAACAGACAGCCCTGAGGTGCATCTGTAGATGCGTGTACACAATAATTAAGTTTGTTATAAAGATCCTATATACTATTTTCTCTGTATGTAATGGTGGGACCTATTTTCATACAATCCATAGATACAATTGAAATAATACAAATAATACAAATCATTGATAACTGACTACCATGGGTCAGGCCTTGTTCTGCACGATTTCTATATATTCTGCTAATACTCATAATAAGCAGCACTTTAAGTATTATTACTCTTCTCCTTTTATAGTTAAGAAACCAAGGCACAGGGAAGCTAAGTAACTTGCATAATGTTGCACAGCAAGAAAGTAGCAGGCTGGTCCTCTTGGTTTATTTAAGTTAAAATGAAATAATGGAGGAAATTAGGAATCTGAAGAAACCTCCATTTTCAAAAGAGTAGAAAAATAGATACCTGAAGGGCATCGTGGGGTCATAACATAACAACTGTGAGAAGTGTTGTAGCTTTTTGTATGTTTGTGAAATTTTTCAAAAATGTGTCTAGGTACAGTAGTTGAAGCTTCTAATGCATATTGGGGTTAATTCCAGGACTCTTATCGTCACTCAGGGTTTGACAAAGTAATAGTTATTTGTATTACTAAACCTTTTAGGCTGGAAGGTTTTGTACATTAATAGATGTTAAAGATCTTACTGCAGAAATTACTGTCATGATTTTGGAAGCCCTAGTTTAACCCACATTGATCATAATATGTCTCTGGCATGGTCAAGAAGTTCTTTTTTCCTGATTCAAGTACTTTATAAAGCATATTTAAAGGCTGGCTTCAATCTCTCTGGAGTTATACAGCCCTTCTGTTAGTCCTGGTACAATCCCTCTTGAGAATTTTTTCTTTTTTTTAGTGTTATCAAAAACACAGTAAGACGATTGATATTGCTTAGTACTGAATCCCGGAGTTCTGTCTATGATCAAAATATCCTCTGGCCCACCAGCCAAGATTCCAAAAGTGGTCTCATTATGGTTCATACCCAGTTTTCCATCCTACAGCCTTGGGTTGAGAGCTGCAGCCTCCCTCCAAAGTCCCCTCCAGGCAGTTCTGGGAGTTCTGAGGTGTTTCTAGTCTGTTCAGTCCATTTGTTCATGACCCCCTGCTTCTGTCGTCTCGTTAGTATATCCTGATATAATAAAAGTTTGAAAATATAATCAATGCTAGTAAGGAACAGAGTCCTATGCTGTACCATTTCTTTCTGAAGTGTAGCTTTGTTATTAAAAACAATAATAAAAAAAGGACTGGTACAAAATTTCCTGTTCTGGAGGTGTGGAGTTTTTCATATGTCAACCAGCTTTAACCTTTTGAAGGTTTAATGAAATCAGCAAATATAATCCACTGTACGAGAGTGGATATGAATCAAGTCTATCATTGTTGAACAAACGGCATTAATTTCCAGTGCACATGTGGATCTGAGTTTTAAAATATTGGTTTGAAAAATGTCAAGCTGCTCATTGTTTTAGAATATTTGAGCAGCTTGCTAGTATACTCTTTTTAAACAGTTGTACTTCTAAAAGGTTACAGTGTTTGCATATTTATTCCTTTCAATTTAAAAAATTCTTCCAGTGGCCTGGGTAGTAGGGAAATACCTCGAATTCCTTTTTTTATGGATTGTACTTCCTAGAGGGTATTAAAAAAAACTCCCTTTCACTTTTAGCAGTAGCTGAAGCTACAGGACTCACTTTACACCCCAGCGCTCATCATCATGTCTCCGGGTGAAGTTCTCTTCAGTGTCCCCAGAAGCTGTAGAATTAGATTGCTTAAAGCTCGTGGAAAAGCTTATATCTCCTATGTCCAGTGTCAGCCCCCTAGGAAGAAAAGAGCTCTGGGGGAACTAATGCTTGTTGAGTGCTCTAAGGAACCAGGGATTGGATGATGAGCAGGACGGCCATGGGCCCTGCTCTCCTGGAGATCATGGTTGCTGTTCAGCCAGGGTCAGTGGGGCAGAGAGCACAGTCGTCTCAAAAGTGGGTGTGGGGAGATCCATGAGGATGTTGGAAGCAAATATAAAACTGAGGGTTTTCTCATTTTGAATTTCCATTGTTGCAGATGTTTCATAATGCAGATAGTATATTGGTATTTTGGTGCATCTTTTACAACAAACTTAATTATTTTGTATACACATACACAGATGTGCTTCAGGGCTGTCTGTTGTGTTCCATTGATCTTAGCTGATATCTTTAAGAAGGATTGACAACTATATTTTAAAAATCTAATCTATCTAATCAGGAAATTGATTTAAACAAAGCACTCCATGCCATACAAGATTTGATTGAGCTGTTTTTTCTTTTTTCCCAAGATGAAAGAGTGCCTAGGAGCGTGGTTATTTTTGCCCCTATATCCAATTTAGCACCTCTTTCAAGTTAGGTTTGAAGTTGGAAGAATTACAACATATTTCTATAAAATAATCTGTTTAATGATATGATGTTTCATTTCTTACTAAAACAAAACCCTTCCCATTAACTTGTTCGCTTGTCCCCATTTTATCATATATGCCTAGGGAGAAGTCTCCATTAACTGGTTTCTTCCTGCTCCTAAACTGTATCCTCTTTCTTAAGCAAGTTCTCCACACTATTAGTTTGCTTTCAGGTTCCCCTGTGTTTGCTCTCTGTTCAAAACTGGTGATGCTGTGAATTGTAGTCAGCTCAAGTGACTTCCAGGTGACTTGCCTTCAGCAGTGGCTGCTCATTTCATGCACTGCAGAATCCCTGGGTCATGCTGACCTGTTGATGATACCAGCATCACAGACTGCACATATCAGGCCTGCTTTCTATGATGCTGGTTTTCCAATTAACTTTGTGAAAAGGTATATCCCTGCTTATGTCTTCCTGGTTATCCAGCTCCTCTTGCATTTGATTTCATCTTCAGCACTCGTCTGTTTGCCAGTTTTCCATAGTAGAAAGATAGATTTTTTTTCAAAAACGACTCTTCCCTTTTAGTTCCATTCCATAGGACTTCTAAAACAGATACTTGCATTGCTTTCATTTCCAAAACAAAATTATTTGATAATTACAAAAATAATTCTAGAAAATAATTGTCATGTTAGTTTGCTATATTGAATATTTTTTGGGACTTCTAGATTTAATGTATCACATTTCACTAATTGAAAGAAAATTATTATCAGCAAGATAAATCTGTTTGGGAGTGTTTACTTATTTCTTTAATTTTCTATTTTTTTATTATACTTTAAGTTTTAGGGTACATGTGCACATTGTGCAGGTTAGTTACATATGTATACATGTGCCATGCTGGTGCGCTGCACCCACTAACTCTAGTTATATCTCCCAATGCTATCCCTCCCCCTCCCCCCACCCCACAACAGTCCCCATAATTTTCTAAATTAACATGCCCCTCCATAATTCTGAAATCCAAATTAAACTAGTATTTCTGGTACCTCAAGATTCCCTAAATGGAGCTTCCTGGGTCAGTACGCCACTTAATCTAACTTGTGAAGAAAGACTTCAGCACTCAAACTCATTCTGACCCTGTGGACTTTGCTTCAGCTGCTCCCTTTGGCTGTAGTTCTCTTTCTCAGAGCTTCATGTGGCCAGCTCTTATCACTCAAGTCTCAACTCAAACCTTACTTTCTTGGAAAGACCGTTTTCTGGCCGCTGAGGTCTCTGCCACTATCTGTCATAGAATTTGATTTTATTTTTTCACATCATGTGTCAGTCCCTGGAATTATTTTTGTTAACTTGTACATCTACTGTCCTCCAATTAGAATGTAAGTTGAGAAGAACAGAGCCATTGTCTGTCAAGTTCATTGCTGTATCCCCAGTACATAGTATGGTGGCCAGCACACAGTGGTTTGATAAATTCTTGGTGAATGCATGGATATAACATTTGAGAAATGCTGCATAAAATATCATTCAATGGGTTTCTCTAGAGTGAGATATATTGGTACAGCATTTTCCAAATATATTTGACTAAGAACATGTATATATGCCATGTGCCACATAATGCAGTTTTGATCAATGACTGGCCACATGTATGAAAGTGGTCTCACAAAATTATAATGGAGTAGGCTATATCATCTAGGTTTGTTATGTACACCCTATGGTGCTTGCACAACAAAGAAATTGCCTAAATGACACATTTTTCAAATGTATCCCCATTGTCTCCTACTATTGGTCTGTATGACTGTCATTATGTCAGTACCATATTGTTTTGATTACTGTAGCTTTGTAATACATGTTGAAATCAGGAAGTGTGATGTTTCCAGCTTTGTTGTTTTTTCTTATAATTGATTTGGCTATTTGTGGCCTTTTGTGGTTCCATATAAATTTTAGAATTGTGTTTTCTATGCCTGTAAAAAAACAAACAAACAAACAAACAAACAAAAAACTGCTATTGGGATTTTGATAGGGATTGTAGCCAAGCAGCTTGGCTTCAAAAATGCATTTTAAAACTTTTTTTCTCCTTTCTCTTTTCTCCTTAATCTCAAGATGTAACCTTGAAGCTAACTGCAGAAGCATTTCCCCTTAACCTTAAAATAAGACTTCATGTCCCTCTCTTTCCCATCATTATCTAACTGTATGCTAGTATCTAATTATGTGCTTACTTAAAGTTCTGGGACTTAATCTTGAGACAGGCAGACCAAACCCGGAAACCCTGCTTCAAAATTTCAGATAACCTCAAGGTAGCTAGTCAACAACTTGGCCATTGTTGAGATGATGCCAGCCCATGCTCCAGGTGGACCAAGACCCAATATAGCAACCAAAACAAGACACGCAGATCTAGTACTTAGCGCGACTCCTGCTTGCCTTCCATATCAAGTCTCCCCTTTTTAAATACTTAGCTTCTTCCTAGAAATTCAAAGTGGTTACTTTGGATAGGGAATCTGGCCACTTCCCCATTACTAGTTTTGGTTAATAAAGTCACTTTCTTTCTACCAGATCTCTCTCTTGTTAATTGGACTCTGTAAGCAGTGAGTGGCCAGACCTGTGTTCAGTTACAAGATGACATTGAATCTTTAGGTTGCTTTGGATAGTATGAACATTTTAACAGTATTAATTTTTCCAATTTGTGAACTGCAGCCTGTAAGTTTTGATATATTGTGTTTTCATTTGTTTATATTGAGGTATTTCTAATTTCCTTTTTGATTTCATTTTGACACAATGGTTGTTTAAAAGTGTGTTCTTTAATTTCCATGTATCTATAGATTTTTCAGTTTTTCTTTTGCTATTGATTTCTGTGTCATTCCATTGTGGTCAGAAAAAATACTTGGTATGATTTCTACCTTCTTAAGTTGGTTAGGACTTTTTTTGTAACCTAGCATGTTACCTACCTTGGAGAAAAATTTGGGGGCACTTAAGAAAAATGTGTATTCTGCCACTGCTGGGTGAAATGCTCCGTATGTATCTGTTAGGTCTGTTTGATCTATAATATTATTCATGTCCTCTGTTTCCTTACTTATCTTCCGTATTGATGTCCTCTTCATTATTGAAAGTGTGGTATCGAAGTTTCCTACTATTACTGTATTGCTATCTATTTCTTCCTTCAGTTCTGTTAATGTTTGCTTTACATATCTAGGTGCTCTGATGTTGGATGCATATATATTTATAATTCTTATATCTTCCTGATGGATTGACCTTTTTAATCATTGTATATGTCCTTCTTTGTCTCTTGTGATAGTTTTTGACTTAGAGTATGTTTTGTCTAAGGATAGCCACCCATGCATTCTTTTGGTTACCATTTGCTTAGAATACCTTTTTCTAGCCCTTCACTTTCACCCTGTATGTCTCACTAAGTCTAAAGTGAGTTTCCTGTGGAGTGCATGTAGTTGGGTATTTTGTTTGTTTTCCATTCAGCTACTCTATGTCTTTGGATTGGGAATTAATTCATTAAAATTCAGTGTAATAATTGGGAAGGGGAGGATTTAATATTGCGGTTTCATTAGTTGTTTTCTTTTAGTCCTATAGTCCTTTTGTCAGTCTTTTCCTTTCTTACTGTCCTCGTTTATGTTTTCTTGATTTTTTTTTTTTGTATTCATATGCTTTAATTCTTGTTGACATTTTTAGTATTATACCTTTTCATGGGTTTTGGAATTTTCGTTTGCTGACTCATTTTGAGTGGGATGTTTTTACATTCACTTTTTATTACATTTTTTCCCTTTCTCTGGGCTTACTCTTGTTTTCCTTGAGGTTTTGTGATCACTTTTATCTGGTCTGAAAGACTTCCAGTCCAGACCCAGGTTTTATTATGTTCTATCAGCCACCCTTGCCAATGGTGATATTGGGGATATCACATACTCTGTTATCAAGCGAGCAGGTGGTTTGATTCTGTGCCTGGGTCTGAATCACATCTTTGTCAACTTTTCCCTCACAGGCTTAAATTTTTATAAAACTGCTTCTCTTAGTGTGTCGTGTTTTTTGTTGTTGTAGTTGTAGTTTTGTTTTTAGCTTCTTCTTATTAGCCCAACCTCCTTGTTTGGCTTTACAGTTAACCTGGCTTAGGTCTCCTTATCTCCAGTGAGCCAATTTTAGATTCTCTTATCCTGTAGGAGCAGAATGCCCAGCAGTCAGTGCTGGCTTCTAAATCTGGAGCCTTGCAGGTTCCCTGACTTCAGACTTACTCACTGCTTGTGATTCTAATGCGTTTCTAGTCCACAGAGATGTTTATCTGGTTCTTGGAAACAAACTATAAACATTTTTATGTTTACTTTTTATGTTTCATCTTTAATTATCACGTTTGGAATAGGAGGAGTTTTATAATGGTGTGAATTTGCTGAATCATGTTGACCAGAAGTCTCACCATTACTTCTGAAGCATTTTAAAGCATATTTCTGTCCTAATTTCTTGTCCATAGCTCTGTATGATTCTGACCTTTGAAGACTATAATAAAGGTTCATCATTTTTTAATGTACTTATTGTTTATACTCATCACTGAGAGAAAATAAGTTACATTACACAGTAGTCGAGAATAAACTTCTTTAATGGGTTTATGTGACTAAAATTGTAAAGGTCAGGGGAATTAATGGGAAATTTGTTTTAATTATGCATTGATCACAAAACATAATATTGTTTTCTTTAAGGAACTGAACTTGCTGGATTCTGAATCATATTTTATTACTAAACAGAAACAAATAAACTCAGATTGATTTATTGACCCTGCTGTATGCCAGGCCTTGTGAGGAATACATGGGAAGGAAATAAAAAGGTCTCTGTCATTAGAAAGGCTGGTGTTTCTCAGCTGAAGGCTGAGGTTGGAGGGTCTCCTCCTCCCCTCTCCCCAGTAGAAATCTGTGAGAATCTGAAATAGGAGGCTTTTTAATTTTCAAACTATGCACCCTATCTCCATTTCCCAGCCCCCTACCACCAGGGGAGTGTGTCTGTTGCCCCTCAACTGCTTCAGAACTACTATCAGAGCCACTTTTACCAAGAACATACACCATAGCAATTGGACATTATGAAAACAATAAAATATGTAATTAAATTCTAAAATGAATTAGGATGCTAGATGGATTGAGCATACACTGGATACTAGGCAATGCATTAGGACCTTCCTTACAATTGCTGTTACATCAACTCTGTGGACAGATGTTAACATCCATTTTTAGATACACAAAAGAGGGAGCGCAGAGAGCTCAAGCAGCTTGCTGAGGTTCCTAGTAAGTGGCAGAGGTGGACTTCAAATCCCGGCCTGCTTGCCTCTGAAACCCAGATCTTAATTACTGTGTTGTAATAAGAGGGAGAAAGACAAGGTTAAAATATGTCCTACTGTATTGTGGTTTACTGAAGGAATTTATGGAGATTAAAATTCATAAATTGTTATAGAGTTAAAACAGATGAAATAATGCTTCTTTGACAGACCATTTAGTTTTTTCTTTCATCTTTAAACAACGCTGCACTAAAATTTGTCTGTAATGGCATAAAAAAAACCCTGATATTTGCCTTTTCTTCTCCATTCCCCATGCTTGTCAATCGTTACAGAGATTATGCTCAAATGTGATATCAGGAAATACTTTTAGTCCCCAGCTTAAGCTTCTCATTTCTATGTGAAATATGGCAGACTTTTGATGCTTTCTCTAAGGTCCCGTTCTGGATATTCTCCCTGTGTTCAAGGCCCTTTTAGGGAGAGAGCCAGTCTATGGCCAGTCTTGCCAACTCTGTAAATGCAATTTACATTCTTAAAATTCGCTATCACCAGGTCAAAACTAGCCCCTGGTGCATTTTGGGAAGCTTCAGTTCAAACACCTGAATTCATTTTCACCAATGCTACCTGGTTACCTTGTAACTCCAGAGTTTTTTAGAGAGGTTTTGTATATGATTGCTTGAGCTATAGCTTTTTCCCTTTTTGTAAGCTATTATTGAAATAAAAACGTAACTTACCTATTTCACGGTGTATGGATGTTTTTAAGTGGAATAAGTTCATGCTGTTTTAACTTAGGTTCACCAAACAACATTTTTAGAATATTTTCACCTTTCTAAATAATGTGCTTTTGATTGATACTCCCTCTAATTCAAACTGGCAGTGCATAGTACCCTAAACCAGTGCCCGCATAAGCAGTCTGTATAAAACATGCTTATGCTTTTCAGCTTCCCAAGTGAATCTTTCCTAGAGAGAATTGTTTTTTTTTTGAATGTTTGAGGTCATCTTACAATAATTATGCATAATCAGTAATGGAAACAATTTAAAGAGTTTACACTATGTGCCCGGAATATGATCATGATAAACAAGTCATCTCATTTATTTCTTACAACACACTTTTTAAGGGTAGGTTCGTATTATCATTCCCACTTTACAGAGAGAGAAACAAAGGTTAGAGAGATTAAGTAACTTGCTCATGTCAAGGTGGTAGTGAGAAATTATTGAAAGCACCCATTATGCCATGTGAGTAAGCAAAAACTGGCAGATTAATTTTTAGCATACTCAAATAAAAGGTCATGCATTAGAAAAAAAGCAGTCAAAAGTAGCTTCTGCCCCATCTTTAGTGAAGCATACAGAGGGATATGATTGAAATAGTCCTCAGCTCTGGGTCAAACTCTCTGGCTTCTATTTTCAGGCCCTGCCACTTGGGCAAACATTCCTTCTCTGTGGAAAAGTAGAATGTTGGCCACAATCTCCTAAAGTCATTCTAGCTTTGATAGGGTGTGATTGTAGGAGCCTGCAAAGGAATCTAGAATCATTGTAGGTTTCCTAATGTCTGTAGCTCTATGCAATTAAAAAGATTGAGTAAATCTTGGGAGCTGTCAAGAAGGTTCTTACAGTTTATATATAACATACAAAAAAATGTATAGGATATATCATAGTTTTGCTTGCTACATCTCCAAAATCTAGTGGAATTCAAGAAAGTTTCAGAAGGAACCACCAAAATGGCATGATGAGACTATTATAAGGGGTATAGCAATCTTTAGCCTGCAAATAGAGAAAAAAGTCTTATTTAGAAATGTCTACAAAATTATGATTGTTATGTATTTCATACTTAAGAAAGTAATTTTAGTTGAGATAAAATGAAGTACTGTTTTACACAGTGGATGATAATTTTGTGGAACTTTCCATCTGTAGAATCAAAACATAAAAAATAAATGTGAAAACAGGCAAATGTAGAAATAACAGTCCATCATGGATTATCAAAGGACACTATAAAGTATGGAGTTCTCCCCTAAAAGCTGGTATTGATAGGGATCTTAGTTATTATGCCTTCCTACTGTATGTGCCAGGGTTCCAATGGAAGTTGTCAATACAGCATAGCTCCAATTCAGGAAGGCAAATTTTAAGTCATAAAAGGTTCTGTTTAGGATGGCAGATTTCCTTAATCATTAATTTTATTAGTAGTATAATATAATGTTAAATTTTTGTTTTGGTTCCAGTTGAAGAGCAGCATGATGATAGGAATTTGCACTAGAAAACAATACTAATATCACAGGAAAACATTAAGAGTTTCTTCTCTCTGAATAGTGGTCATAATAAGCCCATCCTTCCTTTTCATAGAGGTTGATGGTGTCTTTGGAGATGATCTATCTCACGGCCTCCTCAGGGCAGGTGTCCATTGTTTACCTGGCAGGTGTTCCTTGCACCTCTGCTTGAACACTGCCCATATTTGGCAGCTTATCCTCTGGGGAGTACTGTTCCCTTGTGGGACTGCTCAGGTTTATTCTTTACTGAGCTCAAATCTATGTGCATATGCTCTTTCTCACTGGCCTGATTATTCCTTCAGGGCAAGTCTACTCTTCTTGCAGATGAAGCATCTAGCCCCTTACAGTCTTCTCTTCTCCAGTGTAATATATTCTGCTGCTCTTCAAGCAGTGCATTTCTAGACACTGGAAAATCCTGTCAGTTCTTTTCTGACCACTGTCTCTTTTCCAAACTCTTTCCTCAGGTGTCCTGGACGGAAACAAAAGGGAGTAAAAAAGTGTTGGATTTATTTAGAATAAAAAGGGAGTATTACTTCACATAATCAACAGCATTATTTTATTTTTATCAATGAACCTTAAAATCTTTAAAAACATTTTCCCATGACTGAGATACTGTTAGCTCAATATGCTTGTGGCCACCACCTGAGTTTCCTGATTGTTGCCAGACAGACCGCTATCAACTCACCCTCTCAAAGTGCAGTGTGTGCTTCAGATTTATCCCCACTGAATTATCTTGTCAGTTTTAAGCTATTATTTGTGCTTCAGGATATTTTACAATCTTGATTATTTGGTCCAACATATTAATGATTCATCTTATATTTTTATCATCTTAAAATTCATAAGAATATCTCCAAGGTATTGATGGAAATGTTAAACAAGATTGTATCAAGGGCCGAGTTAAGTTAAGCAATGCTAACATTCAAAACTTAATGAGAAATATAATTTAGTAAGAATGGTACTTTGATGCTTGTATTTCCTTTAATCTTGCTCTAATTTATAGCCTATTAAAATATACTGTTTATGCTAATAAATACAAATTAAATTTTAAAATACATGTTTTTGTTTGTATTGTTTTTTCAAAAAATGCACAATTGAGAAAAAAAGTCCACTTTTCTTTCTTTTTTTTTAAGGTTTTCCACAGGTTGTGATTATTCAACACATGGCTACAATCGACTAATGAGATTTAACTGATTTAATGTATGATAATATAATCTAATGACAAGTCAAAATAATTAGGGGGACAGGGACAACCTCATGAGTGTTGACTTTAAAAATCTAAATCCACAACATGACAATAATGTCACAGTGTCCATTGATGAAGAAAGTGAACAGTCTTTTTTTAATGATGTTCTTTTATTTTAGTTGATTGCATTTAGAGAGAGGACAACTAAACTATTCATTCTCCTTTGTGGTATCTATTAAGTTTTAAAAATTACCTTGTCTTTCTGTTATTTTTTTTATTTATTTATTATACTTTAAGTTTTAGGGTACATGTGCACAACATGCAGGTTTGTCACATATGTATACCTGTGCCATGTTGGTGTGCTGCACCCATTAACTCGTCATTTAACATTAGGTATATCTCCTAATGCTATCCCTCCCCACTCCCCCAACCCCACAACAGGCCCCGGTGTGTGATGTTCCCCTTCCTGTGTCCAAGTGTTCTCATTGTTCAATTCCCACCTATGAGTGAGAACATGCGGTGTTTGGTTTTTTTGTCCTTGTGATAGTTTGCTGAGAATGATGGTTTCCAGCTTCATCCATGTCCCTACAAAGGACATGAACTCATCATTTTTTATGGCTGCATAGTATTCCATGATGTATATGTGCCACATTTTCTTAATCCAGTCTATCATTGTTGGACATTTGGGTTGGTTCCAAGTCTTTGATATTGTGAATAGTGCCACAATAAACATACATCTACATGTGTCTTTATAGCAGCATGATTTATAATCTTTTGGGTATATACTCAGTAATGGGATGGCTGGGTCAAATGGTATTTCTGGTTCTAGATCCCTGAGGAATCGCCACACTGTCTTCCACAATGGTTGAACTAGTTTACAGTCCCACCAACAGTGTAAAAGTGTTCCTCTTTCTCCACATCCTCTCCAGAACCTGTTGTTTCCTGACTTTTTAATGATCACCATTCTAACTGGTGTGAGATGGTATCTCATTGTGGTTTTGATTTGCATTTCTCTGATGGCCAGTGATGATGAGCATTTTTTCATCTGTCTTTTGGCTGCATAAATGTCTTCCTTTGAGAAGTGTCTGTTCATATCCTTCTACCACTTGTATGGCCATACTGCCCAAGGTAATTTACAGATTCAATGCCATCCCCATCAAGCTACCAATGACTTTCTTCACAGAATTGGAAAAAACTACTTTAAAGTTCATATAGAACCAAAAAAGAGCCTGCATTGCCAAGTCAATCCTAAGCCAAAAGAACAAAGCTGGAGGCATCACGCTACCTGACTTCAAACTATACTACAAGGCTACAGTAACCAAAACAGCATGGTACTGGTACCAAAACAGAGAAATAGACCAATGGAACAGAACAGAGCCCTCAGAAACAATGCCACATATCTACAGCTATCTGGTCTTTGACAAACCTGACAAAAACAAGACATGGGGAAAGGATTCCCTATTTAATGAATGGTGCTGGGAAAACTGGCTAGCCATGTGCAGAAAGCTGAAACTGGATCCCTTCCTTACACCTTATACAAAAATTAATTCAAGATGGATGAAAGACTTAAATGTTAGACCCAAAACCATAAAAACCCTAGGAGAAAACCTAGGCAATACTGTTCAGGACATAGGCATGGGCAAGGACTTCATGTCTAAAACACCAAAAGCAATGGCAACAAAAGCCAAAATCGACAAATGGGATCTAATTAAACTAAAGAGCTTCTGCACAGCAAAAGAAACTACCATCAGAGTGAACAGGCAACCTACAGAATGGGAGAAAATTTTTGCAATCTACTTATCTGACAAAGGGCTAATATCCAGAATCTACAATGAATTCTGTTATGTTTTTAAAATAATTATTCCTTATGGACTTTCAGTCTAAGCTAATTTTTATTTGTTCTCTCCAGCAGGTCTATCTTTATAACATTCAAGCTCCCCCTACTCCTTATCCTTGGAGTTCACTTTTATGGGGACAAAAGATGAGTTTTCTGTGCTTTGGAAAGCATGATTATGCTTCATGTTAGCTTTGGAATTAGAAGAAATCATTTTCGGACCATTTTTTTTGAGTTGTGATACACAAACATTATAAGGTTAATCAGCATTTTGGCTTATTAGTGGCCCTTGATTCTTAGGAAACTAAGATAATTCTCTTTTTCCTGCAGATGTGACATTTGACTATGAATATTGAAGTTAAACTTCAATTCATTGTATTGTAAATGGAAAAGAAGAGTTTTTCATTTTAGGTATATATACATAATACATATATTCTTTTCCTTGGCTCTCATCATGTTTATATTAGATACAAAACTAGTTAACATGTCTAGTCTGGCATTTTTCCTCCAAGATATATAAATTCTAATAAAAAATAAGACAAGATTGGGGAATGGGGATAATAGTATTCTTTTAAACAAGGATGCAAGAAAATGAAATGTTTAATTTTTGCAACATCTCCTTTCTAAAACAAAATATACTGATGGAAATTTGGCTTGTTTCCTAGAGTCTCAACACAGGAGTTATTAACTGCGATGACCGGGCTAATACTATGTGAGGTGGAGTATGATAAAAGGATTAAAAGCTAGAGGTACTGTGCTTGGATAGCAAGCTGGATGCTTGTGCAGGCATGGAGCCTTTCAAAGTAAAGTTGGCTCCTTGACACTCTGTCCTGCAGCTTGCGCTGATTTTTAAGATCATTGAAAATCAGGTCATTGAGAAGTCTTCTTTTAGGGATGTCTGTAACATTCTTTGACTGTCTTATGTTTAAGCTAGAATTTAAGCATCCAAATAAAAGTTGTTCTCAGGTGTCATCATCATAGGAAGCCATTCAGCTACCCTAAAGTTCACTAAAAAGTCCTGGAACTTGAGGTGATTGACTTCTGACTCCCCATTGTCAGTGTGGTCCAGGGACATGGCAGGCAGGAGCCAACTGCTTAAGGTAGAAATGCTTTGAGTAACTTTCATTTAAACTGCACAGACTATCATGGCTGGGTATTTTTCAAAGCTACATAGGGTTCTGGAATTTTAGAAACCATTAGGGGCCAAGAAGAATCTGTCAGCTTATAGATCTAAATGTTCAAAATTTAAGTTAAAGCCTGTTTCTTTTGGTAGGAAGCACCTTGACTCCCATTTTTTATAATGAAAGATTGATGATATCTCTATTAGCCTGTTTAAACTGAGCCATAAAAGAGTCTGTAGGAGGCCAGGTACAGTGGCTCATGCCTTTAATCTCAGCACTTTGGGAGGCTGAGGCAGGCAGATCACTTGAAGTCAGGAGTTCCAGACCAGGCCAACATGGTGAAAACCGGTATCTACTGAGAGTACAAAAATTAGCCAGGCCTGGTGGCACGTGCCTGTAATCCCAGCTACTCAGGAGGATGAGGCATGAGAATCACTTGAACCTGGGAGACAGAGGTTGCTGTGAGCCAAGATCACACCTCTGCACTCCGGCCTGGGTGACTGAGTGAAACTGTGTCTCAAAAAAACAAAAAAAAAAAAGTCTGTAGGGTACCAAATGCTTTTTTTTTTTTGGAGACAGGATCTGGCTCTGTGGTACATACTGGAGTGTAGTGGTGTGTTCATGGCTCACTGTAGCCACAGTCTTCTGGACTCAAGTATCCTCCTACCTCAGTCCACCTTCCCCTCTCCAGTAGCTGGGACTATAGACGTGCACCACTACACCCGGCTATTTTTTTTTTTCAATAGAGATGAGTTCTCACTACATTGTACAGGCTGGTCTTGAACTCCTGGCCTCAATTGATCCTCCCTCCTTGACTTCCCAAAGTGCTCAGATTACATGTGTGAGCCACCATGCTCGGCCTTCTTCTTTTCTAAAATCCCACCCACTTAGCATGACAAAGGCCTGGGACATAATGGTAAGTGAATAGTTGTAAGGAATGAGAAGTTTTAGCTGTGCACTGTACCATGCTTGGATTTGATTATGGGAAAGATGATCAATATTAACATAGAAGTTACCTAAACTCTCTGTGTCTTTTCCCTTACCTCAGGAAGTTCAAATACAATGTTGTAATTCAGCTCTTCTACTCTTCCTGTCCTCTCAAATGAGACAACTTATACTGTGGTTGCTGAGGCTAAATAGAGGAGGAATTCAAATACATGGTTCTTCTACTTAAGATCATCTCCAGTTGCATCAAATCATGACTTCTGGATGCAACCCAGTTGCCTCCATTTCATGAGAATGGTTTCCTTCCATAGACATTCTCTGCTGTTCCCCTATCATTGTCAAATCAATGTTTAATCAATTCCAGCCATTTCTTGCAAATCCACTGCAATCACATTTTATAAATCTACCTAGTGCTTGGTTTTCATGCGCCGCAGATAAATTAGGTCCTTCTTGTTTTATCCTGAGCTATCAGTCTAGTAACATGCTCACAGCATGCAACCAGGAATAGGCATGATCTCCTTTTTGTGAGTCTAATCTGAGTGTCCTTTACAAGTAAGAGGGGATAGTCTGAGAGTGGAAACAGCTCTTTTCAGGACCAGCTGGGTGATCCATGAGCATTTGAACAGATGGCCCATTTTTGTGGGAAAGGATTCTGTATCCTACAAGCTAACACCCAACAGCTTCACTGAAAAAAAAAAAAAAAGCTTGAAGATAAGAAATCAATTCAAGAGGAACCCACATGTTTGCTGTGTTGCCTCTGAACACACCCTGTATGTCAAGAGCTTAGCTTTATTCTGTAGACCACCTAGTCAGAATCATTGGGGAGGAAAATATTTGTTCAAACATAGTCCCTTTTGTCTGTGCTGGGCAATAGCACAATACATTCAGCAACCACCCTCTGAAAGCCAAGGCTTTGTCTCCAGTGGGGATTATGAAAACATGGATTTCTTGAGAAGTGCCTGCCCACCTGTGTTTAGATTTTAAATTTTAGGAAGATGCTTGACAGCCAGAAAAGAGGTGCTCAGGGAAAAGTCTGTTGAGATTATAGAGACTTTTTGAAAGACCATTACCTCCTTTAAAATGATTAGAATAGAAGAGGAATTCTTGAAAACTGGCATGGAATATCGTATTAGATGGAACCTTGGAAGGTTTTATTTATCCCTTCTCTTTTAGCTTTCTGTCTAAGGCCTCAGAATGTAGTCTATTTTAGAAAATCTCCAAGGCAGGAAATTTTTCATAACCTTTCCCCTGTTAGTCATTTTTTTTAACTTCAACAAAAGCCTGCATCAGAAGCTTCTTGCTCGCTTATATGACCCTAACGCTCACTGCTGCAGTCCAAGCCTGGCTTCCTTTGCACTTTCTTTTGCTGTTCATATTCTTCACAGTGGGACCTGTCTTAGCTGAAGCCCATTATTAGGTCACTCCTTGGCCTCTTCTCTAAGGCTAAATAATGAGTTATTTTTTTTTCTCCTTTTTTGGTACATCATATTTTTTCAACCATTTAATGATTTTTGTTGTTGAAAATTTGGGGATTTCCTGTGTCTGGAAATGCATTAGGCCTCAAACTTTGTACCCCTAAGACTTTTCCTGCTACCTTTTAAAAGACACCAAGTAAAATTAAGACTAGGAGAAGACAGCTGCTGCAATTTTTAAAAAATCACAAAAGCAAAAAAAAAAAAAAAAAAACCAAAAACACCGAGTAGCTGTCTTTCTGGTTTTTGATTGAGCAAGATATTTGTAAAATGAAGCATACTTTATTGTCAGATGGGCCTGTTGTTTACTGACAATTGACCAACATGAATGTGGTCAGGTTTAGATGAATATCTATACAACTCACATAATTTTTAATGAAGGGAGTTAAAAGCTAAGCATGCCAAGAAAATAAGTATGACTCAAAAGTGGCCCTTTCTTAGTATATTGGATGTATTATGGCTTCTAGTTACCAAGGGCCTTTGAAGATGACTGGGCCATTATTTTAATACTTTTTAATATGCTTCTGGATTCAATTATTGCAGATTTTTACAATTATATTTGATCTCTAGTTAGTTTATAAGGAGGACACTATCTTTGTCAGGTTTTAATATCAAGATTGTGATAGCTTTGTAAGTAAATGTAGATATTTTCTATACTTTTTCTTTGCTTTAGAACAGTTGAAATAGAACAAGATCAATCTGACATCTAATGTTTGGTTGAACTCACTTGTAAAACTGTCTGAGCCCCTTGACTTCCAAAGGTAGGTTTTTGATAATTCTTGCTATAGTTTAACATATCACACATATGGAAGACTTTATTTATCTATGTTCAATCTAGAGAATAGTAATGGAAGGATTACACATGTTCTCACCACTGAGTTGCAGAAACAGAACACTATCAGTGTCTTTGAAGGTCACTGTGTTCCCGTACCTGATCACCTCCTCCTCTCTGCCCTAACCCCCATTTGACATAAACACAATGCTAACTTTGGTATACCATTGCTTTGCTTTTCTTCATAGTTATACCATCTTTGTATATATTATTACTGAAGATTATATTATTTAGTTTAGTTGAAATTTATATTATAGAATCATAATCTTCTACTTCTTTTGTCTTTTTTGGGTTTTTGTTTTTTGTTGCCTATTTTTGTTTTGAGATTCATTTATATTTAATAATGCATCACTAGGTCATTTTCAGTTCACTTTACTACTTTGTAATAGTCCATTGTATGACTATTCCACAATGTATCGATTCTACTGATGATGGACATTTGTGTGTTTTCAGTTTGAGAACTTCTGAATGTGTCTGTATGACCGTTTTGGTCCATGTCTCCTGGTATTAGAATTCCTCTAATGTTTACACCAAGAGTGGAATTGTTGGATTGTGGAATGCCCATATGTTCAACTTTATAAGGATATGTCCAATTGTTTTCCCTTAATTATTTTAACAATTTTCTGCTTCTACCAGGAGTGGATAAGAATTCCTATTGCTCAGCCTCCTTGCCAAGATCTCATTTGTGTGATTTTAAATTTTTTGCCAGATAGTTGTAAAGTGGTATCTTATTAAGGATTTAATTTACATTTACATTTCCCTGATTGGTAATGAAATTGGTCACCTTTTCAAATGCTTGCTGTCATTCATAATTTCTTTTCTGTGAAATGCCTCTTTATGTGTTTTGCCTATTTGCTTTTTGGGTTGCTTGGCTTTTTTATTGATTTGTAAGAATTCTTTACCCATTTTGAATATAAATCATTTTGAGTTATATATATTGTAAATGTCTTCTTCTAATTTCTAGCAACTCCTCTCATTCTATGATTTCTCTTGATGAACATAAAGCCTTCATTTTATGATAGTTAAATTTATACATCTACTATTCATGCTTTGAATTTTTATTCTATTTTTAAAATCTCCACACTGAAGATATAAAGATATTTTTCTCTGTTGCACTTAAAACTATCATTATATTGTGTTTATTTATTTTCCATCTTCCCACCAGAATCTAAATTCAATTAAGGCTAGAATATTTGCTTGTTTTACTCATTTCGGTATCTCTAGCACATAGTGGGAACTCAATAAAAATTGTTGAAGGAAACCATGACTGAATGCCAGAGAGGGTGAAATGTTCTTCAGTATCTTGCATTAGCTCATTTTCCTAAGAATGCACATCCTCTGAGGCTATTTCCTCTCCCTAGTCCTGCCATATTTTTCATATGTCTCATTTTCATCTCATAATCAGGTGGATCCATTTGGACTCAGTGTCTTCATATGCACCAGTAACAGAGGGGCTTGTCCTCAGGCTGCTGTCTGCACATCTTTGATTTCGTCCATCTCCACTCTCAGACCTACAGCTGGCCTGCAGGTGGATGTATGCCGTTGTCATTCTGGTTCCTTCTCCTAGCAGGCTTTCATCCAGTGCATTTCTGTTCGACTGCGGTGTATTCTTCCCCTATTCCCAAGGCCCTCATTCCCAAGGTAGTCAGGGCTAATTTAGTCTGCCTCGCAAATAACAAACCCTACATTTCAAAGAACTAGAGTTCCCATTCTGCCTTTCTAGTTGTTTTGTTACAGCTGCTACTGCTGTTGTTGTTTTCAGAGTAACTTTTTACTCTATACTGCATTTGGAAAAGATGATGGTGAAAAGGAAGTTGGGGGAAAGGAATTGGTCAGTGCCTTGAGTGCCTCAGGATGCAGAACACAAGGGGTAGATGGGCAGGTGCCCACTTCTCTGTTGATTCTAGGCCATGCTTTTGCTCAAAGGAATCCAGATCTGGCAACAGAGGCAGTGAAGGGACTGTGCATTTTCCTAGCATTTATCAGGTGATATTTTTCATGAAACTGCAGTTTACTGCATTTCTGGGTAGTCTGTTTTTGTTTGTTTGTCTAACTCAGATCCAAGTTTATTATAACTAATGTTCTTTTATGCCTGACCCTGACATAAGGGAGATTTTCAGTAGCCTTGTGCATTGGTATATTTTTCTGGGTTATCTTTTGTGAGGTAACATTAAGGAATGCTAGCCACATTCCATTTTGAGTGAAACCTCCTGCACTGCTATTTTCTAAGTGTATGCAGAAGCTCATATATTTGGAAAATTCAAGTTCATTCAAATTGCTACTGAATTAGAAGTATCTTTTTGTCATTACCTAGTTTTAAATCAATAGATATTAAAATTACTACTACTATTTCATTGTTGCCCCAGTTTTTTTTTCTGATTTAAAAAAATATACTAAAACAAGCTCTCATAATCCAGAGAATATGTAATCATTCTTCTATAGCACTATACCAAAGACCTTATCCTATGGGATATCGCTTAGTTTCCTATCATTCAAAAACCATCTTTCCAATTTTTTAACTACCAGTTTAAGTAACAGTAAGTAGATTACAGAATGGAGAAAACATAAAGAAGTATGATCGTAAACAACTTCAATTTTTCTGAAAGAAATCTGAAGGATAAAATAATAGCTTCCTTGACTTAGTTGTTCCTATATATTATCTGAGAAAAAGTTTATTGAAGCACATTTTTACACTTTTAATCCACTGGAACGTCACTGAGAAAATGTTCTGAGAGTCATAAGAATGTTGACTAATTGGGCTGTTTGTCCCACATGGGATTACACCACTACTTTCTGAATCAGAAGTTCCTGCTATTGCAACATGAATTATTCTTTATTTTTTATTTTTCCCTCTTAGAAACAATCCATTTGGGTTCATTACATAGCCATTTGTTAGTTTGGGGGATTGTGCTTGTTTGTAACTACAATGAAGTCATACTAGACTGGGTCCGTATGTAAGTCAGTGGGAGATCGTGCAGCTGCTCAGTGAATCATTCAGTGCAAAGGGTCACCCTAATATTTTAACCCCAAAGTCCTGCTTTCCCAAAGTCATGGGTAATTTTTATTTTAATCATCAAGAAGATTGGTTCAACTTTGGTTTACTTAGTACATGTTGCACATACATATCAATCTGTAAAACTTCTAAAAAAATTATATTGAAGTATAATATTCTCAGAGAAAGTGCACGAATCCTAAGTGTATATGGTGAACTTTTACAAACTGAGTACACCTGTGTAACTGCTACCCAGATCAGAAAACAGAACATGACCAGCACCCCAAAAGGTTTCCTCTACCCCCTTTTTGTCACAAACCCTCCTCACCAAGAGTAATCACTCTCCTGTTTTGCGTGTTTTTATACTTTATATAAATGGATTTATACATCATGTGTTATTTTGTATCTGGCTTCTTTCATTCTTCATTATGTTTATGAGACTCATACAATTTTATCATGAATTGTGTTTTTTCATTTTCCATTTCTATATTATTGCTATGGAGTGTCCTATTGATAAATACAACACAGTTTATTCATTCTATTGTCAGCAGACATTTCATGAGTTTTCTTTCTTTTTTTTTTTTTAGAAGGGTTAGGCCTATTATGAATACTCTGTTATGAACATTCCAGTACATCTTTTTTGGTTAAAGTATACACACACACACACACACACACACACACACACACACACACACACATCCT